>NC_000023.11:7137488-7762488 GCF_000001405.40 Homo sapiens | reverse complement strand
TTGCATTCTTCTCCCCCAGGAACAGAAGCTGGTTTGCTTTCTATTTCTACTTCCTTCTAACCTTCAAAGCAGTGAATGTTCCAATATCTTTTTATTATTTATTACTGGTCTGATCACAACTTAATTACAACTTATGTGTGCAAATGCTATCTCGTGAAGGCTTTTATTATTTTAAGTTATTACTTTTTAAAAAGTTCTATCTCAACCTCCCCAAACAAACCTCCTTACTGTAGTGATAATGCGTAAAATGCATCCATCATAGTTCATTTCTCATGATAGGTTTGCAATATAGTATCATACCTCCACCCTAAATATTTTTCATGGTATATGCACTAAGTTATTTCTTCTTTTGGTTATAACATTGCAGTCAAAGTGCCTGAAATGCTCTTTTCTTTGTAAAGGACCAGATCACCTACATGGATTGATATGGTTTGGCTGTGTCCCTACCCAAATCTCATCTTGAGTTGTAGTTCCCATACTCCCCACATGTTCTGAGAGGGACCTGACGGGAGGTAATTGAACCATGGGGATAGTTTCCCTCATGCTATTCTAGTGACTTAACTCTAGTGAGTTAAGTTCTCACGTGATCTGACAGTTTCATAATGGGCTTCCCCTTTCATTTAGCTCTTATACTTCTATTCCTACTGCCATGTGAGAAGGACATGTTTGCCTCCCCTTCTGCCATGATTGCAAGTTTCCTGAGGCCTCCCCAGCCATGCTGAACTGTGAGTCAATTAAACGTCTTTCCTTTATAAATTACCCAGTCTCAGGTATGTCCTTATAGCAGCGTGAGAATGGACTAATACATGGATCTAGCAAGGGGCTAATTTGACTTGTTAAAAGTTTCATTTAATAAATGTGTTGGAAATCTACCATAGCCTCGCCCCAGTGAAGGATACCACAAATCAAAAGCTCATAAACCCCTCTCCATTCCCTCAGAAACCTCACAAGAAATGGGAGACCAATGTACAAACAAGTTACTTCACTAAACTGTTATCTGTACCACCTCTGATGTCTGTATAACATGAAGGGATGTGGATAGTCCCACCTTTTAACTCAGAATAACAGGGTCACGTAATGTGAGGTGTTTGTGTGGTCATGTAATCACTCCATGGGAACCCCAGGAAGCACTTTTATTTTTCTTTTTTGACAGGTGGGTCATCAAAACATGAGTTAGAATACTTTTGGCTTCAAGAAGTAGACATCAGTTTTTGCTCTCTGAAGCCCCAAGTAGGAACTTATTGGAAGGATTATTAGATTTCTCACTAGAAACTGAAAAATTTGAAGGAAAAGAAAACCAAAAATCAGCAACCAGGAGTCTCAGGAACAAGGACAACTCCAGAGACCTCACCTGAAGAGATTGGGCACCTCCTAAAAAGTAGCCACAAACACAACTCAGCTTCCAAAAATCCCAGCCTTGGAATCTCAATCCCAAATGTCAATTTCCTGAACACATGTGACAGTGGTCCGACCTGAATGACCTGTGCAGCCTTGAGTCTATCAGCTATAGCCAAGAGACCAAGTGCTCATACAATTCGAGTGTAGCCACTGGGGCCAACCTTTCTAAGAAGCCATGTCCAGAGAAGAGGAAAGGAGGAGACTAAACCCAGTGACCCTGAATATTGTTTCTGCCAGTTTCAGATACCAACAGCAACATGGTCATCAGAGTGCTCATTAACATTTACAAGAAAGGCATTTGTATTTCTTCCAATCAGCTGTAGAAATTAAAGCATTCACGTAAGCTTAGAGAATTGGAAATGTGAGAACTTCTTAATGTAAAGAGGGTGATAAGAGAGAGATATTTGCACTCAATCGACCCCGTTTTTATACTATTACTGCATCTAAAATAACATATATGAGCAATAGTAAGAGAGGAAATGAGGGAACACAAAGAAGGTTGGAGACATTTACCATGAAGGGTGATTCAGTAATTGTCATCAAGTAAGTGAAGGGTTATTATGAAGAGAACTCTGGCCAACTTTTCTTAATCTTCCTAGAGCAAGAATAAATGGATTTAAATGTCAACAAGGGAAGGTTAGGTTAGAAATTAAAAAGGATGTCTTGACAATAAAAGTTATTAAGCATTAACTGAGGATTCTTGGTCATAAATGGTGGGAAAAGAGATTCAATACTTCATTTTAAAAATCACTTAAGTCACCATTTCTTTTTATATAAAATTGATTGTTATAAGAAGGCATTTGGATGGAAAACAAACAATTTTTACAATCATATTTGAGAGCTTGGGAATTAGGCAATCTCACAGTGTGCAAAGAATGATAAATAATTGATAAGATTAGCTTTAAGTCAGCTACTTTTTAATAGAGTTGAAAGATAATGAACTTCACTAAAGTTTATCACTTTATGTCTTGGAGTCTATGTCATGGGACTGCCCCTAGATAAGAAAGCCCTCTTAATGGAATGTCCTGGGTTGTTGAAATCACTTGGAGGAATTTCAAGTCCGATATGCTTGCCTCTTTACCAGAGGGCCCTGAATATTGATTCTGCCAGTTTCAAATACCAACAGCAACATTGTCATCAGAGTGCTCATTAACATTTACTAGAAAGGCATTTGTATTTCTACCAATCAGCTGTAGAAATTAAAGCACTCATGCAAGCTTTAGAGAACAGGAAATATGAGAAGTTCTTAATGGAAACTAAAGAAAAAGTAAAACTGAATGAAGTATTATCATGTACTGGCCATGTATTAGTAATGACAGAACATAAAATGCTTGTGCTTAAGTATTCAAATTTTTCAGTTTATCATTATCAAACTGTTTTCATGAAAGCAATAGGTATCCATTTTTAAATCCCTATCACTCATAAACCTTTATGGTCATCAGTTGTTAATTTTAGTTTATTTAGTAAAAATTCATTTTCAAAGGGGACACTCTATGGAATACCATCTTTTATTGGTTATTGGACTAGTATAAATTAAAATAGAGTGAAACATGGTGATAAGGCAGCATTGGTGTTGTCAGAATAAATTCATCAGTTTCCAAATTGTGTTCTTTACATAGAGATCTCTACATGGCAATGTTTTAAAATAATGCTCCCCAATTAAGCACAGTACAATAGTACATGTTCATTATTTTTTGTGTCCTGTTGTTGCTGCTATTATTGTTGCTAGGAAAATGGGATAAGTTCTTTTGTGTTATATCATTAGAACCAAGTAAAACAAAGTGTATGTACAATGGAGTAATTGGGGATTAGTAAAAAGGTACCATATGGAATACAACACACACACACACAAACACACTCCATTCTCTCACTCAGGGGAACCATCTATTATTCATTGACTGCCACCTGCGTGTAAGGGGCTTTGCAAGTCACAACTACAAACAAACACACAATTAAAATAACTGGTGTTGGTGAGGATGTGAAGAAAAGGAAACCCTTGCATGCCGCTGGTGGGAATGTAAATTAGCACAGCCATTATGGAAAACAGTATGGAGGTTTCTCAAAAATATTAAAAATAGAAATACTAATCTGAAATTAAATCAGCAATCCCACTTCTGGATATATATCCAAAGGAAGGGAAATCAGATTCGTGATTTCCTAGATGGCAATGCCTTTTAAATAATGCTCCCCAATTAAATAGAGTACAAAAGCAAATGTTCATTATGTTTTAAGTTTTGTTGTTGCTACTATAATTGTTGCTAGAAAAATGGGGTAAAAGATAGCTGCACTCCCATGTTCATTGCAACATTATTCACCATAGCCTAGACGTGAAAACACAAGTGTCTATCAGTGGATGAATAGACTTTTTAAAATGTGGCATATACTCACAATGCAATACTATTTAATCTTAAAAAAGAAGGAAATTCTGTCACTTGCAGCAATATGTATAATCCTAGAGGATATTCGTTGAGTGGAATAAACCAGACACAGAGGACAAATACTGCATGTTCTCATCTATATGTGGAATCTAAAAGTTGAACTCGTTAAAGCAAAGAGTAGAATGGTAGTTACCAGGGCCTGGGGATGAGGAGGTGTTGAAGAGATGCTGGTCAAATAATAAAAAATTTCAGTTAGACAACAGGAATAAGTTCAAGAGATCTATTGTAGTCAGGTTGACTAGTTAATAACAATGTACTGTCTGCTTGAAAACTGTTAAAAGAGTAGATTTTAAGTGTTCTCATTATTTTAAAAAGTGATGTGTATGTGAGGTAATGGATGTGTTAATTACCTTGATTTAGCCATTCCACAATGTCTATACATATACTGAAACATCATAATGGATACCACAAATATATTCAATTTTTATTTGTCAATTTAAAACAATAAGTAATAGATAAATAACGGAAGTTCAGTTTGATGTTAAAAATCCAGACATGTAGCCTGGCTTTGTGGTACACTGGCCCAATTTGAGTGTGTCATGTTTCCTGACAAGTCTTCACTGTGGCATGGACTATGTTCTCTAAATGTCTGTACTCACAAAATGGCTTTTCCCAATCTACGTTCAGGGTCATGCCATATATTGAATATCTCCTGCTGGACTCTGCAGGAAATTGAGTCTGGGAGGCAGATTTTTTTCTTATTCTTTCAATTTCCAAGCCATTGTTTTTGGTGCCATAATTGCTGATGTTCACGTGTTCCCTATTTGTAAATCTCATCTTACCAAGAACTTCAGCTGAAGACCTATGGGAGATCCTGAACTTTGGCTGTGTAGCACTCACAGTACAGGGTTAGAAGAATGAGTGGTATCCTTGCACTGGTCCAGCTAGCTGACTCATGGAGGCTAAGAGATGCTGTGAACATCTTCCCCAAGTCTGGAAACAGCTAGATGCACATAGGAAAGCAGAATCCCAGTGGGTTTTGTGAGTTTTCTTGGTGAAGTACCTAAGCACAGTCTACTTTTAGGAGCTGTGGTCCAAAGAAGTTTCTTTGAAACTCAGAACATGGATCACCTTTGCTTGGTTCATAGAATCAGAACAATTAATACTGCAGCCCAGATTAAGTTTTCAGCCCACTATTTTCTCAACAAATATGTGACACCTGAAGTTAGATAACACAGGTGCTGCTCCATGGAGCAAAGTAGCTATGTATATCTATATATAGATAATATGTATTTGTATGTGTGTTTTAGGCAACAATGCAGAGGCTTGAATCAATACTTCCTCATACAAAATGCAGGATCAAAGTGATATCATCATTCTACTTCATTTAATAGAATTGTGTAGTTAAGTGGACAGTACACGGGGTCTCAATTAATCAAATGCATTTCTTAGCCAGGTGTTAATTTGAAAGTTGCTAGGTGGCAGTTTTAGCACTTGCTGGATGTCTTCACGTGGTTCACTGAATCCAGAAGGTCTTAATTTTCCATCGAGGGCACAATGTGTTTGTTTTAACTTCCCTGAATGAAGCCCTTACCCCTGACTCTGAGGCAAGGCTTAGAATGCACATCATTTATGTGAGAGGTGATTCTTCCCAAGGAGAACTTGGAGAGATGACACAGGGAAGGGAGAAAAGCCTGTAAATCAGTAAATGGTATGTTCAAAAGCGGGCACCCTTGCAGAGGACAAGGGTCCAGTGTCCCAAGAGACTGGAACATGCCTCAAAGTTGACCAAGCTGAGGGACTACGGAGCTGGGATATGTTATGCCAACTCCAGCAGTCACTGGTTGAGGTTCACTGGCAAACTCACTGCCTGGTGTTGCCAATCTGTGCCTCCTGGAGTCAGAAAATGCCCACAAGGAGAAGTGTCTGTTCATGTCCTTCGCCCACTTTTTGATGGGGTTGTTTGTTTTTTTCTTGTAAATTTGTTTGAGTTCATTGTAGATTCTGGATATTAGCCCTTTGTCAGATGAGTAGGTTGTGAAAATTTTCTCCCATTTTGTAGGTTGCCTGTTCACTCTAATGGTAGTTTCTTTTGCTGTGCAGAAGCTCTTTAGTTTAATTAGATCCAATTTGTCAATTTTGGCTTTTGTTGCCATTGCTTTTAGGTGTTTTAGACATGAAGTCCTTGCCCATGCCTATGTCCTGAATGGTAATGCCTAGGTTTTCTTCTAGGGTTTTTATGGTTTTAGGTCTAACGTTTAAGTCTTTAATCCATCTTGAATTAAGTTTTGTATAAGGTGAAAGGAAGGGATCCAGTTTCAGCTTTCTGCAGATGGCTAGCCATTTTTCCCAGCACCATTTAACAGACACTTCTCAAAAGAAGACATTTATGCTGCCAAAAAACACATGAAAAAATGCTCACCATCACTGGCCATCAGAGAAATGCAAATCAAAACCACAATGAGATACCATCTCACAACAGTTAGAATGGCAATCATTACAAAGTCAGGAAACAACAGGTGCTGGAGAGGATGCAAAGAAATAGGAACACTTTTACACTGTTGGTGGGACTGTAAACTAGTTCAACCATTGTGGAAGTCAGTGTGGCGATTCCTCAGGGATCTAGAACTAGAAATACCATTTGACCCAGCCATCCCATCACTGGGTATATACCCAAAGGATTATAAATCATGCTGCTATAAAGACACATGCACACGTATGCTTATTGCGGCACTATTCACAATAGCAAAGACTTGGAACCAACCCAAATGTCCAACAATGATAGACTGGATTAATAAAATGTGGCACATATACACCATGGAATACTACGCAGCCATAAAAAATGATGAGTTCATGTCCTTTGTAGGGACATGGATGAAATTGGAAATCATCATTCTCAGTAAACTATCACAAGAACAAAAAACCAAACACCGCATATTCTCACTCATAGATGGGAATTGAACAATGAGAACACATGGACACAGGAAGGGGAACATCACACTCTGGGGACTGTTGTGGGGTGGGGGAAGGGGTGAGGGATAGCATTAGGAGATATACCTAATGCTAAATGACGAGTTAATGGGTGCAGCACACCAGCATGGCACATGTATACATAGGTAACTAACCTGCACATTGTGCACATGTACCCTAAAACTTAAAGTATAATAATAAAATAAAATAAAAAAGAAAATGCCCACAAAGAATTATGACATTATGAAATAGGCAATACTAATAACTGCTACACTCTTTTTTTTTTTTTAGACAAGGTCTCAGTCTGTCACCGAGGCTGGAGTGCAGTGGTGTGATCATAGCTCACTGCAGCCTCCACCTCCTGGGCTCAGGTGATCCTCCCACCTCCAACATTATTAGGGGAGCTTACACAATCAGGTCATATCCTTCCAAATCTGGGCACAATTGGACCCAGAGTGTCAAGTACTACATTATTTCTCCTAGTATGAAATGTTTGCTGCAAACCAGCTTGAGTTTCATATGTTACATCTTTCGTTGGATAAAATTCCTTGCAGTCACTCATTGTTCTTTCTGGTGCAAGTCTGGGTAAAATGATTGGGTGGGAGCAGGTCCTCAAATTGGCAGCAACTGATGCGTGTACATCCACACAGCTGGATTCTTCCAACTTAGATGGGAATGCTTAGTCTTTGCTCAAGTTTGTACAAAATCTATCATAGCTTTAAAGCTCAAATGGAAGTGATCTAAGTCTGATATTCTTTTCTTTTAGGGCTATATAAATTCATGACATATCTACATACATAAATGGATGCATATGAGAGTTCTACCAAAGAACAGCAGTAAGGATCCCTAAGTCTTTTCATTAAATTTGCAAAATAAAATGTATTCAGTTCACTACCCCTCTCCCTTGACTCTCCCTAGAAAAATGTCAATACATGGTAATTGTCTAATATCGACAGAACTAAAGACATTATCCAATGACACTTTCTTAACTCTAGAGCCAAAAAGCTTTAGGCAACGCTTGACTGATAGTTCTCCAGCTTTGCAATAAAGCCGTAAAAGGATTGCAGTCTCCATCAGATGTCGCATCCCATGTGCAACGAATAAAAACGTAAACTTCTTACAACACACACCAACCAAATGAAACCCTTTACAGCACAAAAATCATGTGCTTTTAAAGTTAAGTGAGAGGAAAGTTACCTTCTTCAAATAGCTTTACAGCCTATGAAAACAGCATCATATTAGCTTTGAGTTAGGTGCCAGGTTGATTAAAGTCCATCCTCTTTATGCTCCCAGAATTTGTGGCCCCATTATCTCTCTGTACAAACTTTTTCGAGGGAGCAGTTCTGATGTTTGTGATAAGAGGATTGCTATTTTAATATAACCAAAAGTTTGTTTGGATTGCTGAATGTGTGCTTGCAGCAAATAATTGTCTCAGGCTATGTCTGCAGGCTGTCAAAAGACAGATTTTTCAGGCAAACTTGAGAGACAAATCAAGTTGAATGCATGTAAGAATATTCTGTGCATAAGCCTGTTTTTTCTTATCACCTAGATTATTGCATGTGACCTATTTTGGGGCACTTTAATAATGGAACTTTCCCAAATTCCAGAGAAGAATTTTAATTTTGGAAATGCAAATGAATGTAGTAAAATTCAACACTAGTAATGATTTCAAATTTTGAAACATCATCAATATTTATGAAATTGGATTACAGTCATTTACAGATGATGCAATCATCGTTTGAAGCTATCTTCTGTGAGTTAATTTGCAAGATTAAATGTATGTGGTAGTCATGTTTTGGTATTTAATTATCTATTACCTGGGTCTAAATGCCAGAGTTATAATCACATTGCAAAATGAATCCTAAAATTATCAACTTTCATTTATTTCATATCATATCCACACTTTAAGTGGTGAGTTAATTGAAAGTGTGTGCAGTTAACGTATTTGACAATTTGATACGTATGTTAATTTATAACTCTAAAATGCATTTTGCTAAAGCAATGTTGAACATATAATTTGGAGATTTTCAAAACTCTGACATTTAAATCAAAGTGTTCACCGTGGCTTCTGAACACGGCAGACATGAATGGTTAATGATTTTAAAACTCTTGGTATAATAATAAAACTGGATATAGTAGCTTATCAAATGCATTTTAATGCAGCTCAAATAAATGAAAAGAGTATATTCAATGTTAATTACTTATGTGTGAGAGAACAGAAGACATATTTGTTTCTGCAGGGCCCAGCCACAATGTGTAGCATACACAGTGAATAATCGATACATGATTGTGAAGTAGAGAAAAAAGGCTTATGTGTAATCTTTAAACAATGTATTTGATGATCAGAGGCAATTATTTGAAAAACATTATACCAACCCTTCCAATCAAGATGTAAAATGATAATAATTATAGTCTCCTCTCTCCATTCCAAACATGGACCTGTCGCTGTTATTCCATTATACATGTTGAGAATTGAGGCGAGATCATTGAATTTAGTCATCAGGCAGTTGCTGGTGACACTTGGGAAGAGTTTCTTGGGCTAGGAGAAGAAAGCAGATGTCTGAGGGTGGCAGAGTAAACATGAATTGGAGAGCTTTAGCATTTTGGGTCTGGTGGAATTCAACAACTTCTGGCCAAAGACTGTTAAAAAACATTTCTCAAAAAATACATAAAAACAATGTATTTTTGATAAAACATATGTTAAAAAATAAATAAGGCAGAATGAGTATCTCATTAAGTAAACCTAAACAATCTTTTGGTTTTATGAGAAAAATCATCACCTTAATGAATCATTGAGCTGTCCCTTCAGCATTCTTGAATACAAGTTTAGGGATTCCCAACTTGATATAATGAGCTTATCTGTGTTATTCCATATGAGATTTATTTCCCAAACCTGAGTCTCAGTACATATAACCCCTATGCTCCCAACCCCAAGCACAGACAAAGGTATTCTTACAGTCTAAATACACAGAACAACACAGGAGGTAAATACACAGGACATACACAGGATACACAGTTCTTCTAATTGTCCAGAGCCCTCCAACACTAGAGTGGCTGGATGCAGTTTTCTGAGGGCACCTGTTCAACTTAGACACTGGTTGTGGTCTACAACGAGGGTCAGAAGTTGCATCTCCCTCACCACTGCTCTTTTTTATATATAAAATTCTAAATTTTAATGTCTATGCATCAAGCTTCATTGGATCACATCCATATCCATTGGTTTCAGTGTTGTTTACAGCTGTTCTCATGCTTCAGTAGCAGGGCTGAGTAGGCAAAGCAGAGACGATATGGCCTGCAAAGCCAAAATATGTTTACTCTCTGGCCCTTTACAGAAAAGGATTGCTGATGTTTGGTCCGGAATTCTTGAGTGTTTGAAGGTTAGATTCAGTCGCTTTTTTTTTTTTTTAAGTAAGATATATCAGGTAAAGTGATATCATTGTATTCTTTAATATTTTATAATACAAATATTTGAAAATGCTCGCTATCAAATGATTCGAATAAAGGAAATCCCATACCACTAGGAATTAAGTAAGAAGTAAAAATAAGGGGGAAGAATATTTATATTTTAAAATTTTAAGCTAAGGACTGAGCTCTGAGTTCCTGGCCAAAAAAAAAAAAAAAATAGAAAAAGAAGAAAAGGAAAAACAGAATCACTCTCTCTCTCTCTCTCTCTATCATTCTGTCTGTTTGTCTCACATCTGATAATAATTTCTCATGTTAGTTTCTATCACCACTTCTTATTAACCTATAAGAATGAGGAAAAACTCTGTGCCTAGTGAGAAGTTAAATTAGACCTTTGTTTAATAGAAAATTGTATACATTCAAATAGCCCGGAAACTTGGGATCATAGTCAAAAAAATGTGTGCGTGGGGGGGTGCTAATTAATAGGAATAAGACTTTCTCTGGTTTAAAGCTCTTAGGACAGAAACCTATAATGTTTTCTGTCTTTTACTGTTTTTCCTTAGGAAAATGCTTGGCAGAAATGATCAATTCAGTATTATGAACTACAATGTGGAAACAGCCTACTTCCTAATTTAATCATCAATATTAAATAATCAGTAATAGGTCCTGAAAAAGTATTAGCCTCAAAACCCTAATTTACTCTAAAAAAAATTGTATCATGATCAATAGGATTAGTTTTCCATCCATGGTGTCTTAGCCCATTAAGGCTGCTATAACAGAACACCACAGATGGGGTGGCTTATAAACAGACATTTATGGCTCACGGTTCTGGAAGCTGGAAAATCAAGGCATGGTAGATTCAGTGGCTGGTGAGAACCTGCTTTCTGGTTCAAAGTCAATTCCTTCTTATTGTGCCCTTACATGTTGGAAGGGGTGAGGGCACTCTCTGCGGCCTCTTTTATAAGGGCACTAATCCCATTCATGAGGCTCCACCCTCACGACCTCATCGCCTCCCAAAGACCCCACCTCCAAATACCATCCCTTTGTGGGTGAGGATTTCAGCATACCAGTTTTGAGGAGACACAAACATTAAGTCTATAGCACATGACTTCTGTTATTTCCAAATTATGGGATTTCCAAATTATGCATGTATTAAACCCAAATAATTTCATTTTTAAAGGCGTTAAAAATGAAAAGTGAAGAGAGGTCAGAGCCTATGTTCACTGGCAGTTTATTTTTTTTCTCTTTTAAACCATGTGATCTAAAGGCAAAGCCTGAGTACCTGACAGTACCACTGTTCCTTTGAAGACTTTAAGTTCAGAACCTCATGAAATCCACATGAGAGTGACATTTCAATACAATTCTTTTCTTGAATATGTTATTTTATTATGAAACAAGAGCCTTGCATTGACAAAGAGAAGAAAGTTCATGGACTCTACATTTCAGCCTCTCTTTGTACAAAATAAATGGACATTTCTCTTTGCCAAGGGAATGGTCGTGGTGGTCACCTTCACCCTGAAATGCACACTATGGTGATATCTTTCAGGATGCAAAAAGGCATGAGAATACTGGGTGCCTTACCCCCATCTAAATATTAGACTTCCATTCCTCATAGCAAGATGACGTGAATTAGAAATCACATGAACTCGATTCTTGGAAATAAATAATTTACTGTTATAAATAAACAGAGTTCTTATTGCTAATTATATATTACATGAAGAGATGTATTACACAAAGGGGGGCATCATTCAAAGCTCTTATGCCTTTCTGGAGAACCATTGGCCATTTTCGAGTTGAACAAAACTCTGACATATTAAAATAATCCAATAAATAGATTACTTGAGTGGATACCCTGATGAGGCACATGCTGACCATTTAATTAGAGTATTGTAGGGTGTGACAACTGAAAACCTGTTCGGCGATCATATTCTCCTCCTGAAGATCAAAAGGCACTTGTGCCCTTCATGGTGAGTGTGAATACATCAGGGTGCAGCAGAGGCCATGCTGGGGAGGGATGCTCTGCATCCGATCTCAATCTGTGTGAACTCTTTTCAGAAAGTCACTTTGGGGGCTTCACACATAGAGATTATTGTGTAAGTGTCACAGAAGCTAACAAAGCTTATTGTAGCAGAGCTGGGAAAGCCAGACAATAAACACACACAACGTAGCCCCAAGGTAAAGTAGATAACATCCAGCAGGCTCAACCCCAGGCTGTGTCTGGTTGCTGTCTTCAATTTCAAGCCTATTTTACCCCACAGCTCTCCACCGACAGCTACCTGGAGCAACACCTTGGGCTCTCACTCACCTTATGGAGCAAGTTACTCCCTGGAAAGCTGTGTTGCTTGTATGAACTTCAAGCTAACATTACATTTTAGCAAATTTATATTAAAAAACATTTTTTGAAATTTTGTGATTCTAGCAACTGATATTTACCAATGGCATCCAAGGTATTAGATAAATAAATTGTTGTGTGTGCTGTATCTCAATCCTACTGCTAACAGCCAGTTGATTTCAATATTAGGAACTATAATGTGGAAACAGTCTGCTTCATAATTCAGCATTAAATCATTAATAATATGCCCTAATAAAGTATAAAATGCACCATATTTTATAAAGATTTATTGCCAAATTGCTTTTCTATATTTTCAGAAGTATCTTCTGTCTATCAAGCTAATCTTTTCCTTCCTTCTTTCCTTCCTTCTTTCCTTCCTTCGTTCCTTCCTTCTTTCCTTCCTTCGTTCCTTCCTCCTTCCTTTCTTCCTTCTTTTTTCTTCCTTCTTTCTTTTTCTTTCTTTCTTTCTTGCTTGCTTTTTTTCTGATATGGGGTCTTGCTATGTTGCCCAGTAAACATCTTTCCTTAATAAACTGCTACAAATCTACAGTTCATAGCAAGTGTAAGACAATTCTATTTCTATTCTGCACTGAAGGCCATAATCTATGCCATAAAGAAATAAATTTATGCATAAATGAAAAGGAGGATAAGTATTGAACAAAACCCCAAATGTCATGAATTATAGATAAAATGATTGCTACATAGAAAACGCCAAATAATCCACAGCCCAATTACTGAACAAACATGAGAATTTAACAAGTTGGCCTATCACAAGATCAATATAAAAATTATATTGCACTTAAACTTATTAGAAACAAACAAAATATATTTTAAAATTACTGTTATGAGATACATGGTATCCAGTAGTAAATAAAATTTTTAAAAAACATGCAAGAACTATACAGTGAAACACATTAATGAAACATTAAATGCATTTTATGGCCAGTAAAAAGTGTTGATTCACAGAAGGGCGAATTTACCGTTGTAACAGACAAGTATATTGATCCAGACACACACCATTTCATGTATAGAAACTTGATATATTACAAAGGCAGCATTGCAGATTCTCAACTAAAGAATGGTCTCATCAATTAATGTGTTGTAACAATTGGTAATCAATAGAAAAAATAAAGGGCCCAAGACTTCCCTTCTTATGTCTTTTCAAATATTCATTATTGATAGATGAAAGACATGAAAGTGAGAGACAAGACTGTAAGAAAGTTTTATTAAAAAACATACTATGATCTTTCCCTGGGTAGGGAAAATACTTTTTAAAGACACAATAAGCACAGACCATGAATAAGAGGATTCATAAATATAACCACATTGATCTTAAGAACTCCTCTTCATCAGAGATATCATAAAGTGTGTGTGGGGAGGAGGAAGGACAGATATTTGCAAATCTAATAATTTATAATAGGTAAGTGTCCGAGACATATAAAGAGTTCCTTTAAATCAAAAATAAAAAGACAAGCAATTTAGAATAAAAATGGACAAACACATAACAGACTTTTCACAGATCAGGAAATAAAATGCTCATTAATATGTGAAAAGGCGTTCAGGGTAATTTTTAAAAAGATCTCATGCATGCCCACTGGATGGGTAAAACTTAAGACTGAAAATGCTGAATAGTAGGGAAGATGTGTTTCCACTGGAACTCTTACATACCATTGGGGCAATCAGGGTGTATACTGACACAGCTATTTGAACAACAATGTGTCTCTAACTTGTAAAGTTGAATAGTCACAAACAAATGACTCCACGATTTCACTCCTAAGAGGAATATACCTCACGTTAATGCTTGCACAGGTG
Source organism: Homo sapiens (assembly GCF_000001405.40). NCBI lineage: Eukaryota > Metazoa > Chordata > Mammalia > Primates > Hominidae > Homo > Homo sapiens. Next base: position 7,748,196 of record NC_000023.11, on the reverse strand, counting down.
CAGTGGGGGATATGAAAAAGAATGTCAAATCAGCATTGCTTATAGTAGATAAAATTTGGAAAAATCCAAATGGTTATCAACAGGAATAAGATAAATAAAACATATATGCGTGGGGTGGAATATTTTACAGCAATGAAAATAAGTGAACTATCCTTACATTAACAAAACAGACTATCTTAAGACTGCCAAATGCAAAAAGAAAATTAAAGAAGAGTACATGTTATATGATATTTTCATAAAACTCAAGAGCAAAATACTCAATAGATTGCTTAGTTGTGGTAATGTCCTCATTGATGAACTGAGTAGTAGGTTCACACACATTCATTTTATTATTGTGTTTCAACCACACACACACATACACCCACACAAATATATACACACATTGAATATTATACAAAATAAACAAATATTATTGAAATGCTAAAAAGATGGCATGACTAAGACTACATCTTAATAAAAGTGCTACAGACTACAACAACAAAGCTAATTCTATTTCATGATATCATTGTGATAGATTATTTTCCATCAGTCCAGTTACTCAAGATTAACCTCTCTCAAGGTGTCCCACAGCTATTTCTAAGAGGCGCCCAGGTGCTGGCTCAGGTGTGCTCAAGAACAGATCAATTGGTTTCTTATTTACCATTTTGTTTCTGCTGCCTCTATCGGGACAAGAACCAAAAGCCTCAAAACTGTGTATACCCTTTGACATGAAAAGTCATGTGCATCTTCAGGAGATAGTCAATGACGTGAAGAAAGACTTGATTGTAAGGATGTTTTTTGCAATATTATGGATAATAAAATATTTGAAACAATAGGGTATTGCTAACTAAAATATGGTTTGTTCCTTATACCCTCCTGCTCCTGTCACCTTGTCCCAGGTAGGGGGAAAGATTGTCTTGTGTGTCACTCTGGCAGGGGATGGACCCTTTCTAAGTTCAACACGGAGCCACTGAGATCAGGCTGAAATCATTAGCAGGAAGTGAATGAAGTTTTCAGAAATAATGGAAGGAATTTACATAATAGAAAACATCTTATAACTACTGACTGTGTTAACCTCGCCTATCCAAAGCCAAAGGCCCCTTGCTGGCTCAACGCCCTGCCAATAACCTTGCCTGCACCCCAGTAGCAAGATGTTCCTCATCTTCCAACAACTGAAAATATTTTATGCATTGTGCATTTCTCAGAGTCTGAGTCAGACTGAACTCTTGTCCCGAAGAAAAATGTTTTCCTTTGCCTCATCTCAGACCGTTTCCTTGAGTCTTTTTTTGTTTGTTTGTTTTTGGCAGAGTCTCACTCTGTTGCCCAGGCTGGAGTGCAGTGGCACAATCTCAGCTCACTTCAATTTTCACTGCCCAAGGTCAAGCAATTCTCCTGCCACAGCCTCCTGAGTAGCTGGGATTACAGGCATGTGCCACCACACCTGGGTAATTTTTGTATTTTTAGTAGAGATGGGAAATCACCATTTTGGCCAGGCAGGTCTCGAACTCCTGACCTCGAGTGATCCACCTGCCTCGGCCTCCCAGAGTGCTTGGATTACAGGCATGAGCCATTGCACCTGGCCTACCCTGAGTCTTAATTCATGGTTCAGGAGGAATCTCTTCTCAGAATGATTGAGAGTGGATATATCTATTGCCTTCAGGGTAGCTCTACATCTTTGTAAAAATATGTGGTCATGCTCAAAAGCCAATTGCAACATTCTCTCTCTTGATAGCCATTTCTCAATATCTGGACCATAAAGCTTTTGAAACGCTCTGCCTAAAATATCAACCAAGTGTAGGTTGGGCAGTGTTAAGCCCAATGTCTTCCTCACCAGAAGATCAAAATACATTGAAGTTCAATTTTATAATGACCACCTTGCTTCAGAGACAAAAAAAACTCATAAGGGAGTTGGATTTTAGGTTAACTTTTTAAAAATGGATTAAATTTTAGAAAATCTGGTTTTAGGAGAACTGACTTTGGGCAGAGTTGTTGGTTACCTTTGCCGCTAGTGTTGCCTGAAAGCTGACGATGAAAATCTGTAAGTATTTTTCTCACTTCCACCCCTTGATGTGCTGCTATCTCTCCTAGAGCTGGCATAGCTCAGAGGACATACAGCTTCATCCCTATTCTCTACTTACTCAACGCTTCCATGAAATATTAAGACTGACTCCCCTGTATGAAGAAATATACTCAAAGCCACATGCAGCATTCCATCCTTGCCCACAATACCTTTCTCCTGGAGGGCCGAGACCTTTAGTGGTGTCATTCAAACTCGACAAATATTGGCGCAAGGTCACTTGAGTGGTGCAAGGTCACTTGAGTGATGAGTGAAACAAGGCTTTGGAAGATTAGGTGGCATGGCTAAGATCAAGAAGATCACTGCAGATCATAATTTTTTTAAGTAACTTAGTAAATTTTCAGTTACAAATAATAAATGTTTAATGTAAGTAATGTCTTTTTTACCACATAGCTTTAGTAGTTCATTCTCCTCCCCATCTCCCTTCCTCTCTTCTCTCTCCTCCTCCTCCTCCTTCTCCTTCCCTTCTTTCTCCTTGTCCTCCTTCTTGTCGTTCTCCATCCCCTTATCTTCCTCCTCCTCCTTCTTCTTCCTAATATTATTTTAATTTTTTTAATCAAGTAGTAGTATTCTCAGATTTTTACCTTAGACATCAAAGACAATGGAGATGTTGATAAATTTTTAAAATTCAAAAAATTAATGACCAAAAAAAGGCCATACCAAACAGCATACAACTTCTTAATCACCAAAAACAAATTATCACCAAAAAACCCCACCTGCATAGAAAATGGATTAAGATGATCATGTTCTGGCAAAAAGAAAGCTGTGAAGAAACTTAATGATCTTCAAATCCACATAGGACTGTGCTCAGCTATATTTTTATCTCAGCTGAAAACAATGTGCGTGGGCTGAGGGAAGGGAAGTGGCCTAAGACACCAACTAGGTGAAAGAGGAAGAAAAGTTTCTTTTGATACAGTTAGTTTTAATATTCTGAAACAGACTCCTGCTGAAGCTGGTAGAACTGCCTTCTCTGAATATCTTTAAGAATAAGCTGACAATTTTCTATCTCCCTGAAAGAGTTCTAAAAGTAAAAAGCTGGAATAATGAAAGTGAAATAGGAAATCTCCAAGGATTCAGAACTGCCATTCCTTTCTGGAAATGTTTTAAGATCCTCAAATTAATTGTGCAGACTCATAAGTATTTTTGAAGTACGTGCCATGCCCACTGTGCTGCTAGTTATGAATTGCACTAGACACCATGGAAGGAGGAAGGATGGGTAACTATTAATATATCTCTCTTGGACGTTATAAAACAGGTGGGAGAGAGATTTATGTACATAAGAAGGGGTCATTTAAGGCAGAAGGCATAGAGTACCAAAACAGAAGTGCCAACAAAAGTCAAGTGAAGAAGTAGTGTTTATACGAGATGTACTAGCGTAGTATCCCATATAGTAGCAAACACAGGAATTACGCGTGCCAACCCAGTGAACAATACGACAGTTAAATAAGCAAAAGCTCTTGGCAATCCTACAAGAGATGGTGCGGGATGTATGAGATCCACTCTGGAACAAGAGGACATTCTGAGATGAAGGACATCAGATGGGAGCTGCTGTTTGCAGAAAACACTTATTATTTTAAAAATCACATTGGCAGTGTATTAGTCCATTTTCATGCTGCTAATTAAGACATACCTGAGACAGGGTAATTTATAAAGAAAAAGAGACTCACAGTTCCACATGGCTGGGGAGGCCTCACAATCATGGCAGAAGGTGAAAGTCATGTCTTACATGTGGGCAGGCAAGAGAGAAAATGAGAGTCAAGCAAAAGGAGAAACCCCTTATAAAACCATCAGATATCATGAGACGTATTCACTACCACAAGAACTGTATGGGGGAAACTGCCCCCATGATTCAAGTATCTCCCACCGGGTCCCCCCTACAACACATGGGAATTATGGGAGCTACAATTCAAGATCAGATTTGGGTGGGGACACAGCCAAACCATATTAGACAGCATACAACTTCTTAAATCTTTTTTATAAATTTCCAAATAGTTTTAATACATTTTAAAATAATTTTCCAATAGCTTTAGATTTACAAAAAAATTACAAAAATAGTACAGAGAGTTTCCATGTTTCCCACATTCAATTCCCCCTATTATTAACATCTTATATTAGTGTAGCACATTTGTTAAAATTAGTAAACCAAGGTAGATACATTATTATTAACAAAAGTCCATAGTTTATCCAGATTTCCTTATTTTTATCTAATGCCACATTCAGAATTTCATATTAGATTTAGTTTTTATGTCTCCTTGGCTGTGACGGTTTCTCCCTCTCTTTATTTTTCAGATCTTGACAGTTTTAAGAAGTACTGGGTGAGTATTTTGTAGAACGTCTGTTAATTTGAGTTTGTCTGATGTTTTAATTATGATTCAACAAAGGCTATAGGTTTTGGGCATGAAGACCATAGAAGTAAAATGCCATTTTCATCATATCTCATTAAAGGTACATGCTGTCAACATGACTTATCACTCTGGAGGTTGACCTTAATCAACCTCGGGTAGTGTTTGTCAGGTTTCTCCACTCTGAAGTTACTTTTCCCACCTTCCCCTACTTTACTCACTGGAAGTTACTAAGCACAGCCCACGCTTAAGGTGTGGAAAATGATGTTGCACCTTTCTGAGGATGGAGTATCTATATCAATTATTGGAATTCTTCTGCAAAGAAGATTTGCCCTTCTCTCTCCCTCCATTTGTCTATTTATTCAATTATTTATTTTTATCACTATGGACTGACAACATATAACTTTGATACTCAAAACTTTATGTGAGTGAGCCTCTCTTTATTCTCCTGCAATCAAAAATACCTGTCACATGCCTTTTGGACACAATATGTCAAAAAACTCCCCAAATATTATATAGGTAGATTGTTTTGTCTGTGGTATTTATTTGGTAGATGGGTGACCCGTGGAAGCAAGTTCTATTAAGAGTGAATGCCTTACTCATTCTTCTGAAATTTCCAAGTTTCAGGTTTATAAGTTTCTAACTTGGTGAAAATGCCTTCTGGGTGTTGCTAAGCAATTTAGTAAATTGAGTTTCCAAACTCGACCCTGAGTTCCTTCAAAGAATTGAGTTCTGATGAGTGAACATTAATAAGGCATTTGCATCAGTCCTGTGTTCATCTAAAATTATTAAAGCTTAAAATTGCACATGGCCCTACAGATGGGATGTGGTTAAAATGGACCATTTCCCAAGCACATATCTGGTGAAACAAAGGGCTTTTGTTTCTAACTGTTAATGTGGAGGACGGGAAAGATTCTCTTAGCAATTAAACCACTAGGGACATGAACGACCCTCCCAAATCATCACATGTTTAAGCCGAATACTAGGAGAAGTCTATATATGTGACAGCTTATTTTTTTACCCAAAATGTGCATTTTTAAAATGGCATCCTAGGAAAGAAATCTGTGTGCAAGCATGATATGCATAGATAAATGGCTGTATTTCCAAAGTTCTGTAACCCTATGTTTTTACATGAGTCAGATCTCTCCTAAGACCAATAGAAGCAAGACATTTCATTTTGGTAAAACTCTCCAGAAAAAATATGTTTTTAATAATGCAACTCTTAAGTTTGTTCTCTGATACTTAGCATGGTGGTGTTTCTATCAGACCGTGCGGGAACCTCATTGTCCAGAGCTAGCTGAAAGACCTAAGGGTAAACTAGTACAAATAGCTCAGGAAGCCTCACCACTCTCTTCTCAGCCTAGAAAAAAATGATTCCTGTGGTTATCTTGAGGGTCACCCTTCTTCCCCTGGGACTGCAGTGTATGAATAAAACTTAAATTCTCTTCAACCTCTCACTGAAAATGATCCAAATGTCAATGTTATTTTGAAAGCTTTATTGAAAAAACAATTAGTGGGTTTATATTTTGCATAAAATGTCAGAAAGTGAGATGAGGAACCTGCCTTCCTGCCTTCTGTTTTAGTAGTCTTCAGTTGAAAATGCTCTCATTCTACACTCAGATGCACAAAGAAAACATGTGCTTTTTATGCGTTTAAAAGTAGATCTAATCTTTTTTTTTTTTTTTTTTTTAGTGCTGGGGTCTTGCTCTCTTGCCCAGGCTGGAGTGCAGTGGCATGATCATGGCTCGCTGAAGCCTTGACCTCCTGGGCTCAAGTGATTCTCCTGCCTCAGCCTCCTGAGTAGCCACCACACCTGGCTAATCTTTCTCACCTCAATGAGAGTGTGGGATAATCACAAACTTTCAACCCACCAATTCAGAGTGTGACAATTTCTTCTGTTTAGTCTCTTGAATGACTTGACTCCTGGGTCAATACCCAGTTGCTAATTTTGTTATTGCCCTATACTTCTCCCCATGATACTATCTATGTATATAGGCAATCTACCATGACCTTAGGGTGCTGGGAAGAAGGGAGTCTTAAAACCTTGTGGGTGCCATGAATCCTCACTCTTCTGTGCCATAGAGGAACCTGTAGAGTTTGGTTCCTGGACTGGGTTAGATCTTTCCAATCTATCCTGCTGGGGGAATGTGCCAGCATCCTACCCTGAAGCTCACAGCCCCAGTCATGTTTCACTAGTTTCCAAGTTTGCATATAGCAACTTTCCCTCCCGTATTGACCTCCTAGTCATCACTCCTGTGTCTCCACATTCACATATACATAAAGTTCCCAATCCACTACATGTCACAGAATGGCTCAGGTGAGCTACAATTCCCAACCCCCAGACCATCAAGCCCTCAGATAACATCTCCCCACTCCTCTCAAACCATGAGAGATCATGAGCCTTTGCAAGACTTGGCTTTCTCTGAGAGCCTCATCATCTCCCCAGCAGAGATGAGAGACACAGGTGCTAATTTTCCACAGCATCTTTATGCCATTCCAATGTTTATGTAGCTCCATCCCAAAATAAGTGGGGGAAATGAGGATCCTGCTCTGTGATCACCACACTCTCTCTCCATTTTTGTTTCAAGGTGCACCAGGACTGAAGGCACAGGTTTTCCACTTCATTTACTCTCTGGCATAGATTTCAGCTACATTCCATCCTCCTTCAAGATGGCACCAGAAAGCCAGCTCAGCCTTCAGAGAACTGGAGGTTATTGAAAACAAAAATATTGTACTTGTTACTCATATTTTACTTAGCAAGAGTCCAAAGAGAGTCACTGCATGAAATAACAACTCTCAACCTTGTAACCAATTTTATCTTCTCTCCCCTCTTTCTTTTATATTTAATAACTGAGTCATGTGATAACAATTTGCTCCAATTGGTAGGGTAGAATGATATTCCATGCTGTTCCTCACACCTGCCGAAGAAACCCTTCTGATGACAACAGTCAAATAAGCTTGCATCGCAGGTTAGTTCAAGTCAAAGGATTTGATTCAGGACCAAGCTTGGGAGCAGATTATTTGCTCCATGTTCAGGGCCCTAGGGCTTCTTCTATTCTGATCAGCCACAATATCTCAATTCAGGGGCTTCTGGACATGAATGTTTTGTATAGAAACACAGAAGGATCGCTAACAGAATTATAGACCACTTTCAGAGTCAGCCCGATATTACAGTGTGATAAAAAGAAAAATGAAGCAGAAAGCTGCCTGATAGAAAGGCAGGGACCCTCTATGAGTCCATCAAGCAGAGGATGGTGCATTGAATTCTGTGACTCCTAGCCAGATGAGCAGTCCACTTGATGACATCTAAAGGATTTAAAGACTCCAATCTGCCACAGGCATCACATCTACCTTCTTGTTGATAACACCTGTGAGCGGCACCATGATGTTGGACAAAAAAAAAAAAAAGAAGAAGCAGAGCCTGGCCATCTCACTCTTATTACAACTGAGTCTCCAAATCTGCCAGAGGACCAGAGGATGGATGAGTGCAGGGTCCCAAAGTAATTAACAATTGCTTTGTTAAATTGTTTTGTTTCTTGCAAAATGAGAGAGGGCACCTAAAGAGAAAAGAAAAGCAGTAGCTGCTCATGGCGAAACACACACATTTGAATTCCTCTGCAGAGCTGGTGAGGGGTGATGGGGATGGATGATGAAGTAACACAGAGGCATGGCCTATGGATGCTTGACTACTTAGAGTGAGGTGTGTTCTCTGGAGGAAAAGGGTCAAGGTGAAGAGGAAAGAGATGGTTTCATGGAGCTCAAACAGTAGAGTGAGAAGGAAGGCAGTGGACAACCTCTCTAGGTGGCAGCAGAGGAGGGGGCTTGGCCATTTTCTAGCTGTGTGACCAGGGCACCTGGTCCACTCCTATCCTCAGTTTCCTCATGTGCAAACTCAGAACAGTGATTCCTAAATCTCACCATGGTCTGGAGGATTAGTGACAAATTCTCATCATAAAACATAGCTCCGGAAAAGAGGTAGATTCTCAGTGAGGATGGCTGCTTTCATTTGCTATAAAACTTTCATTTGCTATTCTTTTTCTTTCCTTTTTCCAATGATAGTTCTCCTTTGAACATCTTAGTCTAGTCAAGCAGTGGGTGTGTACGGGTAAATTCACTTGATACTTCAAAGAAGAAAAAAAAAATCAACCTTGAGGTTGTTTCCCAGCTTTGTCCATCTGGACGCACCTTATAAATTATTTAAGCTCTCAGAGTCTCCGTTGCTCGAACTATAAAATGAAGACTTTCCATAAGGCTTTGTAAAAATTAGGAAGCAGCACATTTAAATACCCCTGGTACATATACGTATATGCTCAGGTAATATTACTTCATTTCATTGTCTTTTGTCAAATTTTCATCAAAATAGAATTTGTCTTATGCTACATTAGTCACAAGAAATAGCTTTCTATTGCTCATGATTGTGGTGAAGATGTCTTGTAATTACCTGTTTGGAAAACACTTTCCAAATATCCTCCCTGGATGTTGACCTGCAGTGTAGGTTCCTATTATGCCAAACTGTCCTCCTCTCAAAGTATTTCAATGCTGATCGATTGTGTTGTGGTTTCCATTACAGGTTCATAGATTTATGCAATTTTTATGCTGGCCGAGTGTATAGTCTGACACTACCATCTGACAGCATATCTATCTAGCTTTTGAACAAAACATCCTCTGCCATTGCTATAGTCCAATCTTGAGTCACACCTCACACATGGGGACACATAGATGCCTTTATGTTCACATGTTTATTTTATTATTTACTCCCTGTGTTTTGGCATACCCATACCTAAGGCTACAACTATGCTTCTGTCTCTCTTTCCAGTATTTTTATTTATTTCATTGTTTGTTTCTGAGAGCAACTGAGCATTTCCCATACTTCCTCAGTGCCCCATAACCTTTTCTGTCCTGCTGGAGACATGCTGTCTCACCCTTCATTTTATATTGCATGTGCCCTGCCAGCTTTCAAAAAAAGAATGAGGCTGTAGGTGCAATGATTTCCCTGTGATGTGCCTGATTTCTCAGTTATAGTCATCTGCACAAGCTTATAATAGCATTCCAATTTTCACCTCCAGCAAGAAAGGGAAACAGGTGTGAATGTGAGGGGTGTGTGTGTGTGTGTGTGTGTGTGTGTGTGTGTGTGTGTGTGTGATTTGAGCCACAGCCTATTTCCATCTCTGTGCTCAATGTTTTTATTGCTTGTACCCTGCAGGGTAAAACCCTACTGGGAAGATAGTTCTAGAGCTTGTACTTGTGCTTCTGTTTAAATTATTCTGCTTTTAAACCACAGCAAGGCAATTTGTAATGACCCACATGGTAGGAATGTCATGGTACAATTCCTTTGAAATGTTTTTGTCTCCAGGATGGTATTCTTAAGCAATATGAGTTAAGTGACAACGTGGTCTTAATGAAAAATGTGCTACAGAAAGAAAGCATTTTTTAGAGTAATGCTCCCTTTCAGCTACATAAATGCCAAGGCCAGGCAGGGGGGCTTCAGATGCTTAAAAAATTCTAATTGTATGGGCTTCATTCTGTAGCAAATGCTGATTTCAGTGGCAAAAATCAGTGTATTTTATAAAGAGACAGTTTGCTGATTTCCTGACAGCAGTATTTCTTTATTTTTCCATACCTTAGTTTTCAGATCACTAGTATTATCAAAAAAATGATTGTTTTAACAGCATGTACCATGGCAGGGTGCAGTGGCTCACACTTGTAATCCCAGCATTTTCAGAGACCAAGGTGGGAGGGTCACTTGAGTCTAGGAATTTGAGATCAACCTGTGCATCTCTACAGCAAATACCAAAAATACTAGCCAGGCATGGTGGTGTGCCCTATAGTCCCAGCTACTCAGGAAGCTGAGGTGGGAGGATCTCCTGAGTCCATGAGGTCGAGGCTGCAGTGAGCAATGAATGCACCTCTGCACTCCAGCCTGGGCAACAGAACAAGGCTCTGTCACAAAAAAAAAAAAAAAAAAAAAAAAAAAGGAAAAAGCAAAGAGCATGTACTGCATCTCAACAGCTGAAACACTTGACGCTTGGGTTACATTTTCTTTTGTTCTGTATTGTTTTGCTTTTGCTTTATGAAAATAACAACTACGACATTGCTATTCAAAATTCAGACCTTGAATCAGAAGCCGTGGCCTCACCTGAGAGCTTGTTACAAATGCAGATTATTGGGTACCCATTGCAGACCCACCAGATGAGAACCTGAACTTTTACAAGATCCCCAAGTGATTTGGCCACATCGAAAAGTTTAAGAAGCACTACACTTCAAGAGACATGACAAGAAGGAAAACTGTCACATTTTGTGAATTTCTGCCAATGGTTCTTAAATTTGGCAACATATTTAAAATGGTCTTATGGGATTTAATAAGAGATTTTGGTGGGTTGGTCTACCGATTTTTTTTCTGAGATGGAGTTTTGCTCTTGTCGCCCAGGCTGGAGTGCAGTGGTGCAATCACAGCTCACTGCAATCTCCGTCTCCCGGGTTCAAGTGATCCTCCTGCCTCAGCCTCCTGAGCAGCTGGGACTACAGGCACACGTGACCACGCCCAGCTAATTTTTCTATTTTTAGTAGAGACGGGGTTTCACCGTGTTGCCCAGGATGGTCTCTATCTCTTGACCTTGTGATCTGCCTGCCTCGGCCTCCCAAAGTGCTGGGATTACAGGCATGAGTCACCACGCCTGGTGCCACGGGATTGTTCAGAAGTCCTCCTCTCCCAGGCTAATGTGCAGCCAGGATTAAGAATGTTTCTGTTAGCATCCAGAAGAAAATAAAATGGATCCTTATATTTTATAAGATATAAAATATAAAAATTATATATATGAGTGTGTATATATATATACACAAATGTATGCATATACACATATACACACACACCCCTACACACACATACACACGTAACTTTTTGCAGGGAATTTGCTATGGTTGGAATGTGTTTCCTCCAAAATTCAGGTGTAACCAATGCGACACTACCAATGTAGATAGTAGGGCTTTTAAAAGGTGGCTGTGCCTTGAGGGATCCTCCCTCATGAATGCGATTAAGGCCCTCATATAAGAAGCTGCAGGTAGCATTCAGCTCAATTGCCCTTCTGCCTTTTGCCATGTGAAAACACAGTGATCCTCCCTTCTGGAAGATGCAGCCCTCACCAGACAACTGAACCTGCTGGTGCCTTGACCTGGGACTTCCCAGCTTCCAGAACTGTGAGAAAATACATTTCTGCTCTTTATTAATTACCCATTCTCAGTACTTAGTTATAGCAACACAAAACGGACTAAGACAGAACCCAAAAAATAATTCTCAATGGTTAGAACTAAAATTCCAGCTAGTGTAAAACTACATGGATTGAGTGGATTTGAAAATCTTTGCAAAAAGAGCACAAACACTATTCTGACAAGAAACCATTCTAAATTTAAATTCTATGGATTTTTTTTCCTCACAAGAGCCATCCTAGCAACTTATGCCTAAGGATGCTCACACCTACACACATCAAGAACTGTGAAGGGCCTGAGATTTTACTCTACATGCAAGCTTACTAGTTAGCCTGCCACAAGGTTACAGGGGTTAGCCAAAGACATGAGACTCCTGGGTCAGAGATAAAGAACAGATTATTATTCATGGCACAAAAAGAAGCAGAAGCATCACATTTTCATTAGCTCTGTTTGCATCGAGGTCCCACCAGTCTGAAGCAGATAGGCTGAAATGGACTCCTACAAATACAGTGGATATGTTACAGAAGAGGCATCCCATGCTTAAGGATCCTAGTGGATAGGGTTTGGATCTGTGTCCCTGCCCAAATCTCATGTTGAAATGTAATCCCCAGTGTTAGAGGAGGAGCCTCGAGGGAGTGATTGGATCACAGGGGCAATTTCTAATGCTTTAGCACCATCCCTATAGTGCTGTTCCTGTGATACAGTTCTTACGAGATCTGGTCGTTTAAATGTGTGTAGCACTTCCCCCCTCTCTCTTCCTCCTGCTCTGGCCATGTAAGACATGCCTGAATGCCCTCTGCCTTCTGCCATGATCGTAAGCTTCTTGACGCCTCTCCAGAAGCAGAGCAGGTGGTCAACACCATGCTTCTTGTACAGCCTGAAGAACTGTGAGCCAATTAAACCTCTTTTCTTTATAAATTACCCAGTCTCAGGTATTTCTTTATAGCAGTGCAAGAACAGACTAATGCAGTGGTGGACATTCTGGCCCTTTGCTCTGGAAGAAGATAGTATAGCCTATCTTTCCAAAACTGTTTGCTACACAAACATCCTTGAAAAGATGGTCTGAAGCAAACAGTAGATAACACTTCCCTTCAAGACACAGTCAAGACACAGTGAAGCAAGACAGACTCAATGGGAGCTGTTGCCCAAGAAGTAGCACAAGATGTTTTCATTAATGAATGTGATGGCACTTCCACTGGGTGTTACTACATAAAATTTCAGTTAGCTGAACATTGTTTCCTTGATGACTTCAATTATAAGCTCAGGGATGCGTTCTAATAGTAAGCAGAGTTAACACTGTTATCTAATGAAATCCTCTTTGGTGAAAGCTTTGCTTAAAGTTAATTATTTGAAGGAAAATACATAACTATCTTATTCTCTTTACTGAGAATATATTAAGAATAACCCAAATAGATTTAGATTGAGATGGTGCAGTTACTGCCAGAGTACAGATTGTAAAATTCTATTTGACCAGAGATAAGAATGTGCCATCATACTGAATACTACTGTAGTGGCTTCATCTTGACAGTAGCACACTTCAGGGGGAGAAACAATAGCATCCAAAAGTTATGAAAGATGTGAATTGCTGGTGTCAGGAAGTAATTTCAATAGGTTAGGTCATATAAATGTCATAATAGAAAAATTAAGAAAAAAGTATTATAGTCAAAAGTAATAAAAAATGGGTTGTACTTTTCAATCAGGCCTTCTTAACTAATAGTTTTGTCTGCGTGCCTTGTAGACACTAATTTAAGTATAAACGAACAGTCTTCCATGATTTCCATTAAATCATCTTGATAATATTGAAGTTTATTAGGAATGCATTGATGCTTAATAAAAATAAGTGATAGTCAAATAGGAATGATTATAGATCATAATAAAATATTAAGATTGAAAATATAGTAAAATGTAAGTCATTGACCATATAATTATCTGCCTTACACAGATCTACTGTTTGACATAAGATAGAAACAACAAAGACAATTAATATGCTTTCCATAGTAATAATTTGCCAGGCATTACACTGTGCTTTTTATTTAAATGGCCCCTTTAATTTTAACAAATACCTTGGCGCCAGTTCTACTGTGGCCATCCCCATTTTATGGACAACAAAGCAAGACTTACAGAGTTCATGTAAGCGTCCACAACAGTTCACAATAACTGCAGCAAGGTTCTGAATGCAGCCCCAGCCAAGCTCCTCATAGCTGCTCTTTTCTTAATTAAAATAAAGCTTAAAATTTTATAGACAAGTACACTTCAAATTTTATAGACAAAGTAGTTATCATTCTTGCACTTAGGTATACCTGAAAACACCTCTGTTACAGTGGAATGAAAAATAACTAGCTAAGAAGATAGCAACTAAAAATCGTGCCATCTCGTGCTCATTTAACATTAAAGTGTATCTATGGTCTCCTGGATTTTTCAACCTACATAGAGGGAAAGTTTAAGAAGCACTACACTTCAAGAGACATGACAAGAGGTGATAGACATGATAGAGGTGACAGAAACACATGCACATCTTTACCAATCATCTAACTTTATGAAAGCAAAAATCTAAAAATGTGCACCATCTCATGTTAAATCAACACATTTTACTCTTTGTGTTTCATTCCAATCTTCTCCTTATGCATCCACACGTTTTACAGCTCCAATCTTGCCTGCCATGGATAAAATTTTGTTTTTGCCTTTGTCGCTGAATTGACACAAACAGTTTCAATGTTGTTATACAAATTTAGGGATTATCATTTTAATGGCTGTATGATATTTCTATCAGTTGACAAAATATAAGTTTTTTACTCATTTACTTACTAACACTCAAGTTGTTTTTAATTCTCCTTTTCTTTATTTTGGATTATTTCCCAATATGTATCTTTTACAACAATATTAGACAGCAAAGTAGGTATTTATTTTTATGCCTCTTTAAACATCAAATGGCTCTTCATAAGAGTTCAACCACTAGACAATGTGCAATTATAGAATCTGCATTATAAACTTAATGATACAGTATGGTACCATTATTTTACATCCCCATCCTCCAACTTTATTAAAGTAAAACACATTTTCATTTTTGTCACAGGTATAATTTCTTGCCAGGAAAAGGCCAACTCAAGAATAGCTGATGCCAACCCAACCCAAGGGTTGGGCCAACCCAAGAATAGCTGATGCACTGCACGCCCACAGCTGGGCACCAAGGGCAACCTGGAGGCAAAGGAAAATCTCTGAACCAGGGAGAGGAAACAACCAAAGGAAAAAAGATGAGAGCAGAGATAGCCAAGACCTGAGCAGGAGAGGTTCCTCCGTCAATATCTGCCATTCAGGTCATTCAGCTTTGCCCCAAGTATTTACTTCTTGTTGTGTTCCAGCAAGAACCAACACAATCTCGTTGTCTCCCAACAAAAACCAACACAGTCTCTAGAGCCCTTGTCAGTAACAAAAACTCTCTAGAGAGAATTTAATTAGTTCTTTACCTGGTAACTGATAGATGCTGCATCCACCCACTGCATCCACCGTGTCAGGCATCTTCCCCAATCCAGTCTGCTGTGAGGTTGTGAGGGTGACGAGGTGCAACCATTGTATCTGCTTGCTTGGACTGTCTGCTCAACGGGACCTGGGAATTATGGAGACTTCTCTGAGAAGAGGAGGCTGTACAAGCCAGAGAATGGCTTCTAAAAGTCCATGTGCAGAGAAATCCCCTGGGGGTCTTGGTAAAATGCAGACTCTGGGTCTGTAGGTCTGGGAATCTGCATTTCTGACAAGCTCTCAGATGGTGCTGATGTTCCGGGTTGGTAGGTCTGACTTTAAGTTGCAAAAGAATAGCCCACTGATTGTCAAGCTAGGCTGCAAATTCCAATGACCTGGGGTGCTTTAAAATACTAACGTAAAAATCGGCAATTTGAGAATTACAGTAACTCTAACCAGGGCAATTTTGTTCCGCAGTGGACGTGTGGCAATGTCTGGAGACATTCTGAGTTGTTGCAACGTGGGTGGGACAGAGAGTGGGGGAGTTACTGGCATTCAGAATATAGAGGCTAGGGACGTTGCAAAACAGCCTGCAATGCATAGGACAGCCCCACGGAGCATCATCTGGCCCCAAATGTCAACAGTACCAAGGCTGAGAAACAGCCTCTGGTAGGCTCTTGCTCCGAATCATGCCCATCATCTCTGCAGTTGACAGTTATATTATAAAATTAATTGTGCAATATTTCACCGATGGATAATCGGTTAATGTATGTTGAAACATATTTACTAAGCACAATATTGCTAATTAGCTTTGTCTAACTGCTACATAGAATAGCAAATAGCCAGCCCTGCACTTGGTTTCAGTTATCATGAGGTGCAATATGCTAGGAGAAGTTCCCCCAATTTGCCACACTTCGGAGTGCTGCCCCTTGATATTCTCTAATCTAAGCCATGAATTCTGCAACACAGACCTTTGAGGATGAATAATTGCATTGTGATGCTTTTAATATCAAACTCCTTAAAAAAGGCTTTTGTTTTAGCATGTTATCCTTTGCATGGTACAGTGTACCTAAGTGCTTTATAAATGGTGTATTTTATGACCTACTTGAGCAGTTAAACTATCCTACATCTGCAGAATGAAACTGGATGGTGGCTCGAATCCTTGAATTATCAAAAATATCAACTTAGCACTCTGCAGAAATATGCAGCTGATGCTACTTGGAGAAATACTAGGGAAGGGCTTTTTATGAATTTTATTCCATGTAGTAGCTTATCTTTTATTTTCTATATTTCCTTCATAGCTCTGCAAAAATTCTTCAAAGAAGGAAAAAAATAAACTTGGTTGGCATTTTTACTAAGGCACAGAAACCATGTATACATATAAAACAAATAAAGAGAGAGCATATTTGTCATTCAAAATTATATGAGCTACCATCAAAAGACTAGAAAACAATAATTATCAGGATGTTTCATTAATCTCATTTTTAAAATAAAAGAGCTTTTTATGTTGGTTCAAACTCTTTATCCATAGTTCTATATGAGTAAAAAAATATGTGAATATATAAATGATCCTCAACTCTTGATGTGTGTGTGTGCATATACACATACATCTTGCAGGACAGATTTGTGGATGTAAAGGTCAGGTAAGGTTTTTGACATGAACATAAGAGTAGTTCAAGGCTGGGCACAGTGGCTCACACCTGTAATCCCAGCACTTCGGGAGGCTGAGGTGGGAGGATTACTTAAGGCCAGGAGGTCAAGACCGGCCTGTGCAACATAGTGAGATCCTGTCTGTACAAAAAAAACCAAAACCAAAAACAAAACAAAAAAAATAGCCTGGCATAGCAGCACACACTCCTAGTTCCAGCTGCTAGGGAGGCTGAGGTGGGAAGATTGCTTGAGCCCAGGAGGTCGAGGCTGCAGTGAGCCACGATGGCACCACTGCACTCTGGCCTGGGAAATATAGTGAGATCCTGTCTCAAGAAAAAGAGGAGTAGTTCAAGAGTAGAGGGTTTCCTCTGCCTTCTCCCCCTCTGAAGGAGTTTCCTAAGACCCTTATATTTATTGAGCAGGTACTGTAAATAATATTTTGTCTTCATAGCAATGCACTAGGTAAGTGTATTTGTATGAGTTTGTAGAATTTTTTAAATGTAGGAAGTTAATTGCCTTGCAGAGGAACACACAGTCAGGATGGAACTTGCCTCTGAACCCAAAGCCCAGGGTCTTGTATCATATCATGCTACCTCCTGCTACTGGGGACCTTCCTCAGTCTTTCCCAGGGGATGGAATTGCTGCCCAAGCACAACATTCTAATAAACAAAATGACTGCAGAGCTGGAATATTTTTCCCATCATTTCAGCCAATGTATTGATTATGGAGGGTGATCAGATAAGAGATAGCAACCTATGTGAATGGAAGAGGTCACTGAGAAGTAGGATGAGTTAAACCACAGTTGGCTTCCAAACACAGACACTGGTCCCTGTTCCCATTCTGATTTGTGATTCTGCTCAGTGACAGGTCTGCATTACCCTAAGGGTGGAGCTTTGGAATTGCAATTTTTCTAAAAAGCCCCAGCTAAACTGAGATGTCCTGCAGATTTGGGAATGATTCATGGCTGTAATTGGGCTTCAATCACATTTCCATGCTAAGAGGGATGTCCGTACCCTCGAACAGACATGGGTGGAGAACTGGAGTGATTTACACACAGGACCAAAAGCAGAATCATAGCCTCTTGAGACTGGGAAATTCAGGGGAAAGCGTTCAGGCACGGAAACAAGACAGCTCAACCTTCATCTTGTCAGTCACATTTACTGGCCCTGGAGCCTTGCACAAGCTCTGGAACTTCTGGGCTGTTAGTCCTGCCCTCCCCACCAGACCACCATGTGACTTCTCCCTTCTCAGCAGAATTTTCTCCCAACTTGTGCAAGAATCTTGTGCAAGAGAGCAGCAATCTTTATTAATCAAATTACTTCAGAAAGAACAATTCCTTCAGCATAAGCTTTTCTAATGTTAACTATGTAAAAGCTAGTTATTGGCATACATTTTAAACATTGCAACTTTAGCAAACATTTTAGAGGTTATTCGTTGTTTATAATTGTCAAATAATTACTTAATTATTGCTTAATTTAATAATGCACTTTTTATGTCACATAATAAAGTGTGTGTGTGTGTGTGTGTGTGTGTGTGTGTTTGGGGGGCACTGTGTGTTAGGGTCACATTTAGCTTAAAATAACTTTTTTTAATAAAAAAATGGTTTGCTACCCATATGCATTTCAAAAGGTGTTCCATCTCTTTCTTTACCCACGATTGTTTGTGCAGGAATAAGTAGGTGTCCTTTACTGAGACACCCTAAGTAAGCCTTTTAAACTTTGAATTCTCAGGCTCTGTATGTACCCTTGGCTCTCATCTCGTGCATTACAGTGAGGATGTGGCTCTCATTTTAGGATTGTCAGCTTAAAGATAAGCACAGGATGTGTGGATGACTTAGTTACCTGAGCAAACATTAGTAGGTGGACTCAATTCTAGGCAAACAGTCAAACGAAGTCTTGAAAATACAAAGTTCTAGATACTGCTTTTCAAGTTCAGCAGCACTTTCAGAGGAATTCTGAGATAATAAAATGCTGCAATTCTGAGATTGCAAGGCAAGAAAGGTCTCAGACTGCCTGAAGACTGAAAAGGAGGAGGCTTGACTTGCCTACAGAGGAAGTAAATTCCATGCACCAAGAAGAAAGGGGAGCAAGTGAGATCAAGTGGTAAAGATACCAAATCCCGAGTCTTCTCACCCTATGTATAAGTGATGGCTGATGTTAGCCGCAGCCAGCCACATGGAAGTGTCTGGAGGAGGAAGGGTGGCACAGGAAGGAAAACACACAGCAGCTCCCATCCAAGACACCAATCCACACTCTGAGTTTAGAATAAGCTCTACATAGGTACAAACCATTTTTAAAAATGTTATTTCACATGAAACTGCAAGGCAAAGGCCTACAGACACCAGATTGCAACACAAAAATGACATCGAATTTGTCATAAGCAGATTTTGAATCAAATATAAACAATAAGTTTAATGCAATAGGCTGACTTCACAATACAGAATCTTCTCACTTGTTCTTAAGAACCAGCATGTGTGGTGGCTCACACCTGTAATCTCAGCACCTTGGGAGGCCAAGGCAGGCAGATCACTTGAGGTCAGGAGTTCAAGACCAGTCTGGCAAACATGGTGAAACTCCATCTCTACTTTAAAAAAATACAAAAATTAACCAGGCATGGTGACGGGTGCCTGTAGCTCCAGCTACTCAGGAGGCTGAGGCAGGATAATCACTTGAACCTAGGAGGTGGAGGCTGCAGTGTGCGGAGATTGCACCACTGCACTCCAGCCTGGGTAACAGAGTGAGACTCCATCTCAGGAAAAATAAATAAATAGAACTAGCATGTGATGGACTAACTAGCATAAGACATTCCTACACCGTGTCCTTACAGCATCAGCCTGCTACCTTTGTTTCCATCAGTTTGGTCATGTATTAAAAAAAAAAAGGAAAAAAGACAAAAGGATCGTGCTAAGGACTCATACTGAATTGTTATGTAATTCTACCAAGTCTTTCCAACATCACAGGAAGAAACATCCAAAAAGTTCTCGAGATTCCTACACATCTCAGGCACACATCTATACATAGCTGCATACCACACGATCTCTTATATCAACGTGTTTGGCAATAGTGAGTTGAAATCCACGTCTTCCCCCAAAGGCTGATTTTTGTGCCTATGCTTTAAAGCAATAAAACCAACCTGTGTTATTTGGATAAAGAGTGATCTTGTTCTCTGACTTTATTTATTTATTTATTTATTATTTATTTATTTATTTATTTATTTCTCTACGTGTTTTATGCATTATGGGGAAATGCTATTGCACTGTAAGTAGTTTAGCCCTTCATAAGTCAAAATTTCACTTAATACCTTCCCCTGACCATCGCCAGGTGGATTAGTAATCACGGCAGCTGCACAGCGGCTGCCAGTGGGTGGGGAGTAGGAGCCAGGAATTAAGTAGATGTTTGTTCAAAACAGGAAATCATGAGATTTAAGTTAAATTGAGAACACAGCAAGGATGCATGTTCTCTCACTGTGACAGAAATGAACACCTCACATGGTATAAACTGATAACGTTCCATAGTAAAATGTTATTGCAACTAAACAGCCCTTTCACTAGCAACCTGTTGAATTTCTCAGAGAAGACACAGACAAAATACCATTGTTATTTGTTCCTTCGTATCTCCCATATGTATACTAAAGATCTTAAAATAGTTTGAAATATCACTGCTAAATAAAGATGACAGTAACAATGGGAAAAAATCTATATTCTAAAAATTCACCTAAGCTTTTATTAATACCTGGGGGAAGAAAACATAGAAAAAAGGATGATACAAATTTCTTGAATGCACAGTTATCTTCTTTATTTGACTACACTCATTTTTTCACATTATATTATAAAGCTCTTAATATAAACATTGAACCAGTACCTATATGTCTTCCATCACAGCACCTAGGGGCTAAGTATAGTATATATGACTTAGAGGATTTTCCCATCGTTTGCCTGTCTTTTAAATGTTTTAATAAACGACGCTGCTTTATAAGAATACTTTGTCCTCAAATACAGAGTTTGGAATGCTAATAATCACATGTAAAACAAACAAGACCATTTCATGGATGTACTCTGAGCATCTTCATGCATTTTCACAATACAATGTCTTCTAAGGGTCTTGCTCCACGATTTAAGCAATAAACACAACTGCTCAGTCCTAGGCTGCCATCCTTGGGAGGATGGCTTGAGCCCAGGAGTTCAAGGTTGCTGTGAGCTATGATGGCGCCACTGCACTCCAGCCTGGGCAACACAGTGGGAACCTGTCTCAAACAAATAAACAAACAAAAAATGATGCCCCTGTGATGTGGCCCTATGTCACACCTAAACAAGCAGGTGATTCATTGAAACACCTTTCATCTTAGCATCTCACAAAGGGAAGTAATTTGGGAATGCTTATCAACCTCAGGTTTCAGAAGTTTTTACTTCATGGCTCAACTTGCCCTGTGTACATTTCAAAGAAACAAAGCCAAACAAAGCAAACCTTGAGCATATCTTTAGCCCTTCCCATTTAGACAGAATTTCAGTAGCTTTCTCATACCCCTTTCCCTCCTCATAAATATGGAAAATAAAGAAAACCCTTGGTTTCTAAAATCAACAAAAAAAGGCTGAATTGAATTGGATGCATTTCGCTAAGATAATGGTTACTTGAAAATCTGTCAAATGCAAAGCTGCTGTGGACTGAAAACTTTCCTCCATACCTAAAGATGAACAGAATATGTTAAAAAATCAATAACACTCTATCTAGGGGATATATATATATATATATCAACTATGAATACATATGGCTATATGAATTTAAGAAAGATGTCTTGTGAGCTTTTCATGCTCCCGAGTTTTGACTGAAGAATAGAGGGATAAGTTTACGTTACAGTCTACATTTATACTTATGAAACCAGGTAGAACCTGAGGTGAGAAGCTCAGATTGTTATTTATAAGGCCAAAGAGTGAAGTGAATCTGTCAGTATTATTTCCATTCCCAATGAAACAATGACTTGGTGTAATTCAACTGTTGTGATAAAAAAAATCCATAGTTGTTTCTCAGGATTATGTAAAAAATAAGTTCTACAGCTATCTTAGAATTTCCAAAATATGCTTACATTTAAATATTATGTCATTTTAGGACTTTGAGCCTCTCAAATCTTTAATTGCTAGCATTAAAAAGAGATTAAAGAAGACAAGAGAAAACAAGAAAAATAAGAAATAAAAGACAATAAAACTGAATTATTAGAGTAGTTGAATTCAATTTCAAGATCTATCTCTCCACCCACATATGCATATGTAGGTATATGTAATATATATGACAATGATGTCATCTATGAGAATCTTATATATCTATATAGCCATAGATACATATATATCCGTAGTTCTACTGTGTGTATAGAGCATTGCTTCATTCACTGAGCACTTTCAAAGGAACATAACCTAGGAAAACTAGTTTGAATTTAACAATTTAATGAGTTCCCTTTTAACTAGATTCCAAATTTATGAAAACTCTGCTGGAATCCTAATTAATCACTAGAGAAAGTGCTGTCATTTGGAAATGTGGGGTGTTATAAAGGTGAACAGGCCCCCTAAAAAATCCTGTTGATTCTTGTTCTTGAAGTAGTTTCCTCCTCATTCATTCCCTTATTTTTCATCAAATTCCATTGACTTCTGAAGTTTTTGGAGAACGAAGTTCATACACAACTCTCATAATATTGACTAGGAGGTCAAGTGACTTAAGTATGAGATAGAACTGATAAATAACTATTTGGCTCTTCACAGAGACATTATCAGATTAAAATGCTCCCCTAAGACTGGCAGAAAGCAAGATTTCCCTTCTACACACCCATATAAATAACAAAATCCAATAACTCCACACATTTGTTGAGCTAGGTAAATGATGCATCAGGGGGTAAAAATATCTCATCATTCGCCTCATCATTCCAAAAAAAAATATTATCATTATCTCCACTATTAAGTGTGAAGGACTAAAAATAGCCTCACAATGAAAATGTTCTTTAAATAGCGGTCTTTAAATACAGAATAATATTATTGTGTAAGAGGGATCTTAAATTCTTTTTTTTTTAATTTTATTATTATTATACTTTAAGTTTTAGGGTACATGTGCACAATGTGCAGGTTAGTTACATATGTATACATGTGCCATGTTGGTGTGCTGCACCCATTAACTCGTCATTTAGCATTAGATATATCTCCTAATGCTATCCCTCCCCCCTCCCCCCTCCCCCCACCCCACAACAGTCCCCGGAGTGTGATGTTCCCCTTCCTGTGTCCATGTGTTCTCATTGTTCAATTCGCACCAATGAGTGAGAACATGCAGTGTTTGGTTTTTCGTCCTTGCGATAGTTTGCTGAGAATGATGGTTTCCAGCTTCATCCATGTCCCTACAAAGGACATGAACTCATCATTTTTTATGGCTGCATAGTATTCCATGGTGTATATGTGCCACATTTTCTTAATCCAGTCTATCATTGTTGGACATTTGGGTTGGTTCCAACTCTTTGCTATTGTGAATAGTGCCACAATAAACCTACGTGTGCATGTGTCTTTATAGCAGCATGATTTATAATCCTTTGGGTATATACCCAGTGATGGGATGGCTGGGTCAAATGGTATTTCTAGTTCTAGATCCCTGAGGAATCGCCACACTGACTTCCACAATGGTTGAACTAGTTTACAGTCCCACCAACAGTGTAAAAGTGTTCCTATTTCTCCACATCCTCTCCAGCACCTGTTGTTTCCTGACTTTGTAATGATTGCCATTCTAACTGGTGTGAGATGGTATCTCATTGTGGTTTTGATTTGCATTTCTCTGATGGCCAGTTTCTTATGTGTGCAAGAATGTTTAGTGTCACATCACAAATTACGTAACGGGAAATGAGAAAGTCTAGACAAAATGAAGTCCAACAAAAATCACTTTTCCAAATTTAACTTATCCACACTTTATCGTTTATTTCATATTTTGAGAGTCCAATTATCTACAGCTTTCACACCTCAACACCTTTTCTAAACACAACTCTGATTCTTCTTAAAGGTACCAGTAAGATGAAATCAAGTATATTTGCAATTTAGACCTTGTTATTTTTGTTTCTTATAAAAAAACAGATACAATCAAGAGTGCCTTGTGTCAAATCTCTTGTGGATGCATTTTTTTAAAATGACATGTGCTATAGGACCAAAGGTCTTTAACGTGATTAAGAGACCTATTATTTGCAAGAGAAAACATTAGAGATCAAAACCATCATGAGATATGTTTGCTTCATGGCTATGATTATGATCAATTTGCATAAAATGAATGCCTTTTGTGCCTTAATGTTTTGGGGAAAGCATACGTGTTTTAAATATCTATAACTTTTGTTTCTATTATAAATGAAAAGGAAAAGAGAGAAAAGGGGAAGATCACTGTAAGACTAAGTGTCTAGTAGGTAGGGTCAGTTCTGAGTTCCTCCAGTGTATTTCTGTGTGCCTGTAACAACCTTGACTCTTCCAAGAAAAAGAGTTGGGAGAAAGGCGATTGGGAAAAGTAATGACCCATGTCTCTAGCTTTCATATACACATTCAATAAAATATACAAATGTGTGCTCTGAAACATGTATAGAAACCTCTCTGACTAGTTGGTGTCAATTTTCACTCCATCTTTAGGATCTGGTAGCCTTACAACTGAGGCATGTTGCAGAATATTCCATAGTATTTTACTAACTACTGTAATTTCTTCTATTTCTAAACCTTAATGGCTTTTTAAAACGACCTCTCCAAGTCCAGATCCTGAATGCATCCCTGTATTATGCAGTGTGAGCCTTAAATTACATGAGAAATGTTCAAATTAATGATGTTCAAATATTAAATTGATCTGTCAGGGCTCAGTGAAGCCATGAAACTAGTCTAGCAATTTGGACCCTCTCCTTTCCTGGGATATTTTAATGCCCTAAAAGTCTCCTAATTTCAACATATAATAGGTATACTATATTTTAAATAACTTCCATCTTTCTGTAGCAGTTAAATGGTATAATAAGTTCTGTTATTAAAGAGTCCAGTATGTAGAGAAAAATCTTTTATAAAGTCAAGAATAATATTTTACTGAGTTAGAATTCAGGTTTCATTTTTCCTGGACTGTGTTTTGAGATTTTTCATTTCTCTCCTTAAAACGAAGAGCATTTGTTTTGTAAAATACATGAGATACTTTGAATCACTTTGGCTTCTACTGATAGTTTAGACTTTGGTTTACACCACCAAATGCTCTTGCTAGTTCCTCTGCCTGTTTCCAATGTCCTTGTTTATTCCTTATGAAGTTTATTTCAAAATGTTGCCTGCTGAGACCCCTGAAGGCTCATTAAGCATGAAGGTCATAGACATATTAATGAAAGTTTAAACATGCTGCTTGGTAGCATAGCTGTGACTGATGGGCACTGGGTAAACAAAGGACTCACCCAAACCCAGGATCAAGTCTCTGCCATCTGAATTATCCCTGCTTATTTTTACAAATTGGACAGTTCTGGTGTCTTACATCACTAGTGCTTCTCCTAACAAACAAACTGGGAAATCTAAAATACCACCGATGACAACCATCCAAAACAGGTGTAAATACTTGGCATTTCAAGAAGGCTTCACCAAGAAGCACAGCTTAATTACAGAGAAGCAATTGTGAAGATGGAAATAAATGGTCACACTTACCTGATGTTTCTCGAGACCCTGACAATTATGTAAATATAGTTTCTGCACATTTATTGTGTCTAATATTCTTCATTTTAGTTTTTCAGAGAAAACTATTAGCCATAGATAAGTAAACACACACTCACGTGTGCGCACGCGCGCACACACACACACACACGATGCAACACAGACATGTTATAATGAACAGCTAATTCCAACCAACAAAAATTTTTCATCATTGACCCACATAAGAAAAAATTTTAATGCATGACTTTTAACTGCATAAACACATTGTTTTATCTAGTTGTAATTATTAATATTATAAATCTATGAATCAAAACATACTATATATTTTTATGTCTACATTAGTATAGTGCTTACACTAAAGAGGTAGCCTATTTTTAAAATTTACAAAATTTTTCCTCTGTTAAAACCACTGAATTTATACTCACTGAGTAATTTTGATTGAGCAAAATGAGCAGTATGTTTAGTTAGAACCATTTCATTTGACTTGCCAAAATTTTTTAGTCCTTTTTAAACTGCCAATACTATTAATCATCCCAAGTTCTGGGAAGTAGGCTCAACCTGACCACAGATTATTTAAAAATGTTTATGTAGGATTCTATCTGCCAAAGGACTTCCAATAATGACTTTGTCTTACTATTTTTTTGTTATGATTACCATTATTTGTTCACTAGAATAAGAGATAGAAAGATGCCATGGCTCTGATTATTTAAATTTGAGCAAGCCCAGCTGTAAAATTATGCTGCTTTGCTTTGAGTTGTGTGTGGAAATTGTGAGACTCAAGCTCATTCCAGTAGACTTGGTGGACAACAAAAAGGCATTGCTGATTCTCCCCTTTGAGAACTTATATGCAAGAATATTGGCTCGACCTGACACTTGCTCATGTTCATTATGCATGTTTCCATATCTGGAGGCATCCCTGATAGGAGTCCATAGACAAGCTTACTAGTACCCAGTGCAGTCTATAGACTGGCCTACCCATACCTAGTGTAGTCTATAGACTAGCTTACCCTATCTCTACACAGTGGAGTCTATAGACCTGCTTACTAGCACCCAATTTAGTATGTAGACTAGATTATCCATATCCTCTGTAGTCTATAGACTGACTTACCCAAAACAAATATAGCCTATAGACTAGATTACCCATATCCACTGTAGTCTATAGACTAGTTTACCCATATAAAGTATAACGTATATAATAGACTGCCTATATCCAGTTTAGTCTATAGACTAGCTTACCCAAACCCAGTGTAGTTTATAGACCAGCTTACCCATACTCAGTGTAGTCTATAGACTAGCTTACCCATACCCAGCATAGCCAATAGGCTAGCTTTTCCATACCCAAAGTAGTCTATAGACTAGCTTACCCATACTCAGTGTAGTCTATAGACTAGTTTACTCATACCCAGTATACCCTATAGACTAGCTTACCCACACCCAGTGCTGTCTGTAGAGTAGCTTACCCATCACCAGTGTAACCTATAGTCTAGATTACACATATCCAGTGTATTGTATAGTGTAGCTTACTCATACATAGTGTAGCCTATAGACTAGCTTACCCATACCCAGTGTGGTCTGTAGACCAGCTTACCTATAACAAAAAAAAAATCCAAAAATTTGTTTATCAAATTGTAATTTCTCTAGGGCATGTAATTATTTAAAGAAAATCATTCTATACAATAAATAATTTTACTAAAGGAAGATTAAAATGACACACATCTGTAACCCTAAGCCTCTGTGTTTTAAATGTTATTTGGGAACTTCTTGGTTTCCAGTGCTCATCTAAACACAGGCCTATCTTGCTTTGTTGTGCCTCACAGAAATTGCATTTTTTTACTGAATTGAAGGTTTATGGCAACCCTGCATTGAGCAAAGCTATACATAATTTCTCCAACAGCATGTGCTCACTTTGTGTCCCTATGTCATATTTTGGTATTTCTCACAAAGTTTTTCATTATTATTGTATTTCTTATTATTGCTATACTTGTCTTGGTGATCTGTGATCAGTTATGTTTGTTATTACTATTGTAATTGTGTTGGGGTGCCACATATCACACCCTTATAAGATGGCAAACTTAATTGATAAATGTTGTGTGTGTTCTGACTGCTCCACCAACTGGCCATTCCCCATCTCTGTCTCTCTTTGAGCCTCCCTATTCCCTGAGACACAGCAATATTGAAATTAGGCCAATTAATCCCCTACAAAGGCCAAGTGCTCAAGTGAAAGGCAGAGTCTCTCCCTTTAAATCACAAGCAAGAAATGATCATGAAGAAGGCATGTCAAAAGCCAAGAGGGCAGAAGCTAGGCTTTTGCACAAAACAGTTAGCCAAGTGGTGAATGCAAAGGAAAAATTCTTGAAGGAAATTAAAAGTGCTACTTCAGTGAACACATGAATGCTAAGAAAGTGAAACAGCTTTATTGCTAATATGCAGAAAGTTCCAGTGGTCTGAATAAAGGATCAAACCAGCCACAATACTCTCTTAAGCTAAAGCCTAATCCAGAGCAAGGCCCTATCTCTTTTCAATTCTATGAAGGCTGAGAGAGGTGAGAAAGCTGCAGAAGAAAAGTTGGAAGCCAGTGTAGGTTGGTTCATGAAGATTAAGAAAAGAAGCCACCTCTATAACATAAGAGTGCAAAGTGAAGCAGCAAGTGCTGATCTAGAAGCTGCAGCAAGTTATCCAGAAGACCTAGCTAAGGTTATTAATGAAGGTGGCTACACTATACAACATATTTTCAATGTAAATCAAACTGCCTAATGTTGAAATAAGTTGCCATCTAAGACTTGCGTAGCTGAAGAGGAGAAGTCAATGTCTGGCTTCAAAGCTTCAAAGAACAAGATAACTTTTGTTAGAGGCTAATGCAGCTGGTGACTTTAAGTTGAAGCCAATGCTCATTTAGCATTCCAAAAATCCTAGGGCCCTTAAGAATGATACTAAATCTTCTCTGCCTGTGCTCTAGAAATGGAACAACAAAGCCTGGATAACAGCACATCTATTTAAGGCATGGTTTACTGAATATTTTGAGGCCACTATTGATACCTACTGCTCAGGAAAAGGATTCTTTTCAACATTTACTGTTCATTGACAATTAATCTGGTCACCCAAGAGCTCTCATGGAGATGTATAAAGAGATTAGTGTTCTTTTTGTGCTTCTTAGCGCAAGATTCATTCTGCAGCCCCTGGATCAAGGAGTCATTTTGACGTTCAAGTCTTATTATTTAAGAGATACATTTCATAATTTACAGTTGCCATAAATAGTGATTCCTCTGATGGATCTGGGCAAAGTTAATTGAAAACCTTTTGGAAAGGATTTACCATTCCAGACGCCATTAAGAACATTTATGATTTGTGGGAGGAGGTTAAAATATCAACATTAATAGGAGCTTGGGAGATGTTGATTCCAAGCCTCATGGATGACTTTGAGGGGTTCAAGACTTCAGCGGAGGAAGTAACTGCAGATGTGGGAGAAATAGTAAGAGTAGTAGAAGGAGAGGCGGAGCCTGAAGATGTGGCTGAATGGCTACAACCTCATGACTAAACTTGAATGGATGAGGAGTTGCTTTTTGTGAATGAGCAAAGAAAATTATTTCTTGAGAAGGAATATACTGGTGAAGATTATAACATAATATAATATATAATATACTGGTGAACACTGTTGAAATAACAAAAAAATCTAGAATATTGCATAAACTTAATTGATAAAGAAGTGGCAGGGTTTTAGAGGATTGACTCCAATTTTAAAAGAAGTTCTACTTGTGGGTAAAATGCTACAAACAGCCTCTCATGCTACAGAGAAATCTTTTATGAAAGGAAGTGTCAACCAATGCAGCAAATTTCATTGTTGTCTTATTTTAGGAAATTGCCACAGCTATCCCCACCTCCAGCAACCACCATCCTAGTCAATCTGCAACCATCAACACTAAGGCAAGACCCTTCACCAGCAAAAAGATTACAAATCATTGATGGCTCAGATGATTGTTAACATTTTTTAGTAATAAAGTATTTCAATTTAGGTATGTGTATATTTTTTTAGACACAATGGTATTACGTACTTAACGGACTACAGTACAATGTGAACATAACTGTTATACTCACTGGGAAATAAAAAAAAATTGTGTGACTTGCTTTTATTGTGATATTTTCTTTATTGTGGTGGTCTGGAACGGAACCCACAATATCTCTGGAGGATACCTGTAGAAGCCCCTTGGCTTCTCTTGTGAGACAGTTGACAGCTTTGCCAATGTCTACCTTTTCCAGTAGATAGTATAAGTTGGCAACATGTCTCCTTCCATTTACAAGGAGCTGTCAGGACTAGATGTATTCCTTAATATTAGTGATGGTTACACAGTGGTTTCTAATATAATTATACCCTGCTTTCTCTACATGGTTTCCAATGTTTTTTAATCTTTATTTAACCATAAGGCAATAATGAGTAATTTGCTTTCATTGTTTCCTTTTTATTTATTACACAACACATACTGAGCTTCACTATCAGAAATATGCTCATAGAGGTGACAATGAATTGAGCAACTGATGTATGACCTATGTCTGCTAAGGGTTTATTAATGTCTGGAAAAGCTCCCAATTAATAATAAAAATAAAAGTAGCAATAACAAAAATACTGATCATAGTATTTAATATTTCCTAGGTGGTATACAGTAGACACACAATTATGAAAAAAACTATAATATTCTAGGATAATTGTCTGAATATAAATAGAGATTGTATTAATGCTCTTTCTGAAAATAGTGCCATATGTAGAATTCTCCTATTTAGCATATATTTATGTTTTTCTTACCTCTGTCTCCTTGTGGCTTTTATCTATGAGATCTAGCTCTGTCCCCTGGAATGCAACAGGAGTTCTTTTACTGTCTTACGTGAATTTCAAATATTTCAACAGCAAGATGTGTCTTTTCTAGACTAATCATCTCCACCTGTTCCAATGCTTCCCAAACAACAGTTCCTAATCACCTCATCTTGTGGATTGGAGATCCATATTTCCTATTTAGTTGTGATTACTTTTACATTGCAGGGCAAAGAAAAGAACTGAAACCTGGACAAAGAGTCTGAGTAACATGAATAACTGTGAGCTTTCATATTTGTAAAGGACAGGTGCTTCATTGTTTATGACCTACGACGTACATGCTACCATGAGCACACCTACCATCTTCTTCCACACACTTTCTCAGAGCCCGGGTGCAGACTTTCATTCACATTAAAATTTTTCTTTTAGGTTGAGCCTGACACAGAAATGGAGGAGACAGCTGTAGAAACAATAACATTTGTAGATAGGGAGATGGTCAAATTCCTTTTTCATTCATGTGCCTGCACTTAACAGCCAGCATACTGTGAAAATAAAGCATGTTTCAGTGAAATACTGAAATGTAGGAGAAATCCTATTAAGCCACTGCTACCTATGCATAATTTTAATATGCTTTTATATATTTGTCTAGCAAGTCAGTCATCCACCTAGCTGAAGTCATAAAAAACGAAATTTAAATATATTGAGTGGACACTCGTTATGAAGTTTCACAATTGTGATATGTTGCTAGCAAAGCATTGGGGAGCCAATTAAGTGCTTAACTAATACATGGTGAAAATGAGGTATCGTCTAGTAACAAATGTGATGATTATGGCTTCTTTCGATGTTAACTTTGAAAGCTTGTGATTTGAGAATCTCCCCTCTGTATTTTTAATATCTGTTTGAAAATCAGAGCTAGGGCAATGGTATGAAGAAGAATTCCTCTGTCATCTGGCAGACTACCAGTCATGCATTTAGTGTAAGACTTATGGATCTGCCAGGCACTGATCCATTGCTCTGTTATGTTCTGTTGCATCTTTGGAAATTAACTCCACAGATAATCCAAAGGGAAATGCATGTCTTTGGCACATACATTGCAAGATTGTCTTTAGTCATTTCTTTGCCCCTGCAAGGCACATGAATGAAGATGATAAATAGGCATCTATTTTCTTAATAGGGCTTAGATCTTGGGCTGCAGGAATGGTTCACTTGCAATTTCCTTTACATACTTGAAGGTTTGTTTGGCCCTTACTGTCCTGGGCTGTTTATTGAGAGGCTAAGAACCACTTAAGCACATGTGCACACTGAGAGCTGGCTACTGGAAGGGTTGGCAGGGTGGAAATCAGACTAGAGATCCAGGAGCATCAGGCATGAATTGGGTTATATCAGCCCCCGACAAAACATTGTATTTATGGGGTCTTAAGAATTCACTTCAACTCAGGTCATCCTCTTCAAACCAGGGTGCCCTGAGTCAATCTTAAATCCTATAAGTGCAATTGTTCATGTGGGTTTTCAACAGCCTTCTCAGCTAGGAGCAGTGTGTATTTCATCAAACCTCCTGTTGGATCCATAACCTGTGATGGCTCTGGATATAATTTTGAGGAACCCAGTGTACTTTTACGTGCTTAATTAGAATGGGTATCAGACCATCCAATAAACTCCTACCACAATTATTCATGATTGAGCTCACATGAAGCATTCTGAGGTCATTTTTGAACACCCTAAAAAAGAAAAGATGTCGGAGTGTCCATAAACTAAAAACCAAAGCAAATTTTAGAGTTGTGCTTTAGAAAGTGTACTTTTCTTTCTTATTTCAACACATTGTGTTAGTTTCATTTCATCAGCATACTTTCAACCTACTAATACAGGGCTGTTTAATACAATCTTGTTTATGTCAGACAACTGTGCGCATTTTCCTCTCACCTTTCAGTAGAACAAGGATTCAAAAATGTCGAGGTCTATTATAGCAATTCTAAGGGTGCAAACAGTAAGTTTGGTATTTTATTGAAATGTTTTGTTTGGAATCTGAGAGTTCATTGTTCAAGATCCTCTGACACAGACAATGAAATAACACGTTTTCTTTGCAGAAAGAAAAGTAAAAATCTTGAGTTTCTATAAAATAATTTTCAACGTAGTTTATGGTTCTCCTTTAAATGTCAAGAAGAAGAAAGATTGGGAGAAAATACACTGAAACATTTATGCTCTGAAAAGAGAGATTTCCATTTTTTTTCTTGTTTTTACTTTTCTATATTGTCCGAATTTTCCCTAATGTGCAATTATTTTTATCATTGGAATTGGAATGAAAAGGATACAAAAGTTGGTGGTTTAATAGTTCCCAAAGTCTTTACGTGACTACAGAAATCATTAATGATTTTGGAAGCATCAGCAATTTTTGTTTGTACCATCCATTATAATTTGTATGATTAATCAACATAGTTAAAAACTGCCCTGGGTGATCTTTGTTCCACAGATGTGTTTACATCCTGTTTCAAATGAGAGACCTCAATCCTTGCTGTGCTTCGTCTGATTCCCTGGGCATGGGTCCCTCAGGATGAAATAATAAAAATAATCTGCCCCATTTTCAAAAAGAGGTAACTCTCTGTGTCACAAATATGGCAATTCATTACTTTTCTGCATCGCTCATCAAAATTCTAAGTTAATTTTCTTCTCAATAAACTGCTTCTCCCAAATTTTCAGGTTTCTATGAGGAGTAAGCAGTCTTAATAATAATAACTATAATTTATTGAACAGTTAAATATCTGCCAGGTGCTCTGCTAAGCATTCTGAATATACCATTGAATTTAATAATTCTCCGAGCAACACTCTCATGGAAGTAATATTAATAGCTCCATTTTTTATGAGAAAGCTGATGCTTATAGAATTTAAGGATCTTCTACAACCATCTAAAACTGATAAGTAATTGTGCTAGGATTTCACTGGGGGGCTCCTTGGCTCCCAAGTTAGGCATGCCATGTTGCCATTTAATTTTACAGGCAATGTCCCCACCCACTTTGAGTTGTCTCGCCTTTATGTATTTCTTAAACGTACTTGATTGATGTCTCATGCCTCCCTAAAATGTATAAAACCAAGTTGCGCCCCCATCGCCTTGGGCACATGTCCTCAGGACCTTCCGAGGGCTGTGTCATGGGCCATGGTCACTCATATTTGGCTCAGAATAAATCTCTTCAAATATTTTACAGAGTTTGACTCTTTTTGTCGACACTCAGAACATAGCCCTGTTGTTAATCAATGTGTTATTGTAATTGTCAACCAGAAAAGCAGGGAGCTTCCAGGCTGTAAGTAAATTTAAACATTTTCTGGTTGACAATTGGTTGAGTTTGTCTAAAGACCTGGGATTGATAGAAAGGAAATGTTCAGGTTAAGATAAAAGATCGTGGAGACCAAGGTTCTTTTGAAGTCTTATAGTGGCAGCCTTTAGAGACAATAGACGACAAATGTTTCCTATTCAGACCTTTAAAAGGTGCCAGACTCTTAGTAAATCTCTTCAGAATTGGGAGTGCCTGGAAGAAAAGATCTAGCTATGTTAATAGACATTCTTTACAGATGCAAATTTTCCCCCACAAAGGACAAATTTGCAGGGCCATTTCAAGATATAGCAAAGAAACATGCTTGGGGGTAAAATATTTTAACTTTCTTCTTTGTCACATAATGTTATGACAGAGTCTTATTGGAACGTAGGTCACAATATATAGGGTAAAATAAAACCCATCTGATGAGAATTTATATTTTGTAAAGCATGACTACCCAGACTCCTTAGATGGGAATTTGGGCAAGATAAAATATCAGAGCTTAATCCTCATGAGAAATGTGTCATTAAATGATTTTGTTACTGTGTGAATATCAGTAAGTGTACTTACACAAACCTAGATGGTATAGCCTGCTACACACCTAGGCTATACATCATAGCCTCTTGCTCCTGGGCTTCAAACCTGGACAGCATGTTACTGCACTCACTACTGTAGGGTATTATAACACAATGGTAAGTGTTTGTGTCTCTGAACATAGCTAAACATAGAAAAGGTACAGTAAAAATATGGCATTATAATCTTATGAGACCAGCAGCATATATGTGATCTGTTGTTGACCAAAACATTGTTAGGTGGTACATAATTATACACATAATACCTAATCTAATGTAAATGCTACATAAATAGTTGTTACTATTTACAAGAAAAATAGGTGTTTATCGTTCACTACAGATGTACTTGATTTTTCCAAATATTTGGATCCAATATTGGTTGAATCCACAGATGTAGAACGTGTGGCTGACTGCATATATGAGGATGTATTTAGGTTAAATGCAAATACTATGATGTTTTATATAAAGGCCTTGAGTATTCTCAAGTTTTGGAATCCATGGGGGTCCTGAAACCAATCCCCTCTAGATACTGAGGGACAACTATTCTCAATCAAACAAGGGTATGCTTAAGAAAAGATTGGTTATCTAGAGCTACAATAATGCAGCATAACAAACACTCTTTACCTTACCTTGATGGCTTGAAATAAAATGCAGTTGTCTAACTCGTGAGATGGATTATGGGTTGCATATTTAGGTTGTGTTCAGCTAGATGGTATTTTGGTTCCCTGTTGACTTCACTCCTATGGCTATCAGCTGAGATAATTGCACCATAGGTCTCTAGCTTCCAGCAAGCTAGCTCAGGCATGATCTAAAGATGGGGGCCAACAGCAGGAGCACAAGAGAAAGCACAAGCACTTTCAAAATCTCTGCCACTGTTGACACCCATTGGCTAAACCAAGTAATGAGGTGAACTCAAAATTTAGGGGTGAACTATCCCCTGCCTTCTGTTGAGAGAAGCTGTAATGTGGTCACATTGTGAAGGGCCTGGTTTCAGGAAAGGCTGAGAAATCAGGGCACTAATGCAATCTCCCTTCCTCCAGGAACACGGGAATTTCATGTCAAATCATCATTAGCAAAAGCAGGTCTGTGACAGCTATTTACACACTACAAGCTTTGTTTAGAGTAGATGCTTTTTGCTGTTTAATTCAACATGAGTGCATGCTACTCGAGGTGCAGTTCACATCTAATTCATCTTGGCAGGTCCTTAGGGAGGCCATGATGTTCAAAACTGGAACTGCCCAAACACTATGCAGTTATTCTTTCATATTTAAAATGATCAACGGGTAACCCACACACAATATTGTCTGAGCCAAAATAGTATCTTCTTGCCCTAAGTCACAGAAATAAAAAGTCTCAAATGAATAATTGCTTACAGCATTGAACATTTAACGTTTCATGAAATAAATATTGATAAAAAGTATGTCTGTGCATGTGTGTGTGTACAAAGTCAGGAATGACTTTCTATCTTAACACGTGTAAATCAGGATTCTTCTTTCAATTGCAGAACACCAACACCATCACCATTAGAATAACTCTATTAAAGGTATTTATGGACAAACTGTGCAATACTGAATTTATTACCACAAACTCCAACAAAAGCACCATGGGAATAATGGATATATAGGAAAAAATAGTGCAAGTGGCATAGTAATCATACAAACTGTTTACGTTTTCTGAGCTTGGTTCCCTTATCAAAATATTTCCCCAGAAATACTCACCCATTTCACATTAGACTGGCTTTCTGTAACTCCAGCTTTCTCTGACTACTTCTTTTCAGGGTCTTTCTCTGTTGCCCAGGCTGGAGTGCAGTGGTTCTATCATAGCTCACTACATTTTCAAACTCCTGCGCTCAAACAATCCTCCCACTCCCGACTCCCAAAGTGCCGAGATTATAAACCTGAGCTATCATGCCCAGCCAAAATCAGACATAAAAAATAACTTTTGCATTTTCTTTAATACAGCTGCTATATGAACTTTTTATGAGACAAATCCCTCTTAAAAACTGGCTCTAGGAGACAATCTGTTTGTCCAATAAACTTTTTTGCTTTTATCACATATAAAAAATTATAATTTTGGCTTTTTTTTTTGTCTAAAAAGAACAAGGTATATATTGGCACATAATTGCAGTTTCTACATTAGCTTAGGTTTGTATTAGGTTTGTATTATCTTTTATCAGCCTTTGCACTGATATATTTTGTAATTAAGTCAAAATATAGTGGCTGATATGGTTTGGTTGTGTCTCCACCCAAATCCCATCTTGAATTGTAGTTCCCATAATCCCCACATGTCATGGGAGGGACCCTGTGGGAGGTAATTGAATCACTGGGGTGGTGTCCCCCATGCTATTCTTGTAATAGTGAGTAAGTTCTCATGAGATCTGATGGTTTTATAAGGGGCTTCACTGTTGGCTCAGCTCTCATTCTTCTCCTTGTTGCTGCCATGTGAAGAAGGACATGTTTGCTTCCCTTCGGCCATGATTGTAAGTTTCCTGAGGCCTCTGCAGTCATGCTGAACTGTGAGTCAATTAAACCTCTTTTATAAATTACCAAGTCTTAGGTATATTTTTATTAGCAGTGTGAAAACAGACTAATACAGTGGCTTACACAACAGTTGTTTATTTAATGCATGATACTACAGTTTGCTAATTTCAGCAGAGCTCAGCTAGGATAGCTCATCTCTATTGCTTGTGCTATCTCTGGGTTCAGTCATGTGGATGGGGCCTCACCTAGGAAAGCTGGGACAGCTAAGATGGCTGTACCTCTGTTCCATGTGGTTTCACTTTCTCCAGGAGGCTAGCCCAGGCATGTTCACATACCACTGTTTAAACAGAGGAAGTGGAAGCTACAGGGCTTCTTGAAGTCCAGATTTGGCACTTTAACACTATTACTTTGTTGTATTTTATTGGTGAAATCAAATGTGGAGGCCAGCTCCAATTTAAAGGGTAGGAAAATAGATTTCCTTTCTTGGAGAGAGGAACTGAAAAGAATTTGTGACCACCTTAATCTTCCACAGCTACAGATAAAGTGAAGTCTAGGTGATTCATCACTGCATGAAATTATCGGCACAAAAAAAATGATTTTGGTTGTTTTAATGGAAAGCTCAATTTCCACTTAG
Source organism: Homo sapiens (assembly GCF_000001405.40). Classification (NCBI taxonomy): domain Eukaryota; kingdom Metazoa; phylum Chordata; class Mammalia; order Primates; family Hominidae; genus Homo; species Homo sapiens. The sequence continues at coordinate 7,711,035 of NC_000023.11, read as the reverse complement.
GGAAATAAAAATCCAAATACAGTCAGTGGCAATTCAAATATAAATAAAAGTAATTAATGTATATTTTAAATGGATATAAGATGCATCAATTAAGGAAACAGCAGAGATTTCATAGTGCAAATGAATTATACAGTGAAACAATTTAATTGCAATGTATTGACACGTCTTATGATATCCTTTCAAAATGCTTCAAAGAGTGAATTGAATTACAGCCTTCCTGTAATTTAAAACAAGTTTATAACTTGTTTTCCCTTATATACTTTATCTTTTGCATTAATGCTAGACAGATTTTTAAATAAATATGGAGAGATGTGTGTATATGTGTGTGTGTATCCCCAAGTCATTTATAAAATGTAACATAGCAGTACCTAAGAAAACATTGCAAATTAAACAAATAACTGTCTCATAACCATCTTTCTTTTTTCAGCAGCTATCTGCCTAGGGAAAAAATACTCAAGTCTAGATATAAATGGAACAAAATTTAAAAGTAACAATTTTAGTCATTGGAATTCAAAGAGATAAAACTTATAAATGTATAGATTTGTTTCTTATTAAGTATGCATTTCCAGAATTTTTTGAATTTCCCTGGAGCATAAATAGTAATTTGTCTCCTTCCATAATTTCAGTTTTTCACAATCATCTAAAAGATAAACAAGATAGTTATCACAAAGGCAAAATCTGAAAGCTGATATTTCTCTCCCTCTCTCTTCACCCTAATCCCCATCCTGCACTCTTCTGGAGTTAATTGCAGCTTTCATTTAAAGCGATGCGTGTTCCTAGCGAGGGAAGGGCACAGGCATTTGAGCTCTTTGACAGCAAGGAAAACGAAAATGGCATTCTCGAACAGCCTTGATAGAAGATGAAGTTCAGCAGTGAGCATGCAGTGCAAGTACTTGGATGTCTCTGTTATACCCAAAAGACTGGAAGGGATTCTTCTGCAAGGCTAATTATAGGGCCACTGCCAGGAAGCAATCTCCGTAATCTCTGTATGATTTCCTGTCTCTCTTTCCAAGCGGCCACACCTAAGAATAGCTATTATGGAGTCAGCTTCCTCTGTCCTTCCACAGTAATGTGTTATTTTGCCATGAACTCAGGGCTGCCATTACTTTCATAAAAATTGTCCATCCAGTGTGACAGCAGAGAGTTAGGATGTGATCCCAGGATGAGTTTTGGGAGGATTTCCAGGGATCCACTCACAGCACACTCTTACTTTCATGTGACCGAGGGAAAAATATTTAGTGGGTAACTGCTCATCATGGAGTGAGGGGACCCTGTTTAGCAAAAACTCTCAAACCATGTTTTCCCTCTGCTCTCAAACTGCAACAATCAACAAAGAAGACTTCTGGGACAAAATGTGGGGGTTTTCCCCATGCATAGTGTATTAGTCTGTTCCCACACTGCTAATAAAGACATACCCGAGACTGGATAATTTGTAAAGGTTTAATGGACTCACAGTTCCACATGCCTGGGGAGGCCTCACAATCATGGTAGAAGGCAAAAGAGGAGAAAGGCACAGCTTACATGATGGCAGGCAAGAGAGAGTGTGCAGGGGAACTGCCCATTATAAAACCATCAGATCTAGTGAGACTTATTCACTATCACGAAAACAGCATGGGAAAGACCTGCCCCCATGATTCAATTACCTCGCACTGGGTCCCTCCCATGGCATGTGGGAATTATGGGAGCTATAATTCAAGATGAGATTTGGGTGGGGATGCAGCCAAACCATATCAAATACCAAGCAGTGAACACCAGCTGGGTATCCTCTAATTAAATTTGGACACTATCTTTCTGGATATAGTGTCAGATCCTACAGGGATCTACCCTGAGACACCAGTTGCAAGTCCAGGCCTCCTGAACTTTGGAATGACCAGCTTCAAGTTGGGGTTCCCACAGTCCCCTCTTTCGGTTCCATTAATTTGCTAGAGTGGCTCACAGAACTCATGAAAACATATTTATGGTTTATTATAAAGACTATTACAAAGGACACAAATGAAGAGGCATGTAAGGCAAGGTATGGGCAAAGGAGTGTGGAGCTTCCATGCCCTCCCTGGGAATCACCCTCCAGGGACCTCCACATTTTCAGCCACCCAGAAGTTCTCTGAACCCAGTCCTCCTGGCGTTCTATGAAGACTTCATTTTATAGACATGATTGACAACTGTGTACAAATGCAACTGGACCAAAAAAAACCATGATCTAAACCCAGCAAGGAGTCTATTCAGACTTTTCTTGGCCTCTCCGGGTAGCATTCCTCCCTCTAAAGTATGGGGCAGAACGCTGTCTAGAATGAGGGTCTTTTGATCCACAATCAGATTACAATCTTGCCATGGGCAGGTGAAAAGAAGAAGGGAGAAATTCAGTGAGAGAGAGAGGTTCTGTTTTCTGAGACCTAAAGTGCCCCAACATTCTAACAAAAGACTGCAATAAGGGTTATGGGAGATATGAGTTGGAAACCGTGGCCAAAAACCTATATGTGTGTGTGTGTGCATCTGTGTGTGTGTGTGTGTGTTTTGTCCAATCACATTTCTACTTGTTCTCAATCAGGCCTATGTAATGAAGCTTGCATAAAACACACACATATATGTGTATGTGTGTTTCTGTATGTGTGTGTATCATATATATGTGTATATTCAGAATATCACAGACCCCATGTGAGAATATTTATGAGTGGGCCAGGGTGGCAGGGGCTGGGCAGGGTACAGTTATGAAGCACATCTCAACCCAGCAGCAAAGGGCAGTAGCTATCCTAAGGATATCCTAGCATGACTGAAGATACCACTGCATCTAGTCCATTGCCACACAGATCCAAGTTTAATGATGTATAGGAAAAGGTGATCAGGTATCTGAACTCATCTGCATGAGGAATGCCACAGCTTCATGAATAGAATACCCCATGTGGTTGGGCTCCCAGAACCTCAAAACTGGTTCTCAGAGAGGTTCCACTCATCACTGAGCACCTTCCATGATGAAAATTCTGGTATGTGAAAACACACAGTGCTGTCTGTCTTGGAGAATGCTGGAAATTTTTGAGGCATGTATGCTCTTGTAATAAGCTAATTTTACAAGAAGTTTTCCAAATGTGAACCATAAACCAGAGAGGACCCTGAAATCAATAGAGTGGGTTGCAATGGGCCTTCTTCAAAATGAAGGGCCAGTGTGGCTTCCAGTGGCCTCTGGTTTGCAGGTACCTGTGCTAGCTCAGTGATTTCCACACTTTGTCTTGCAAAGAATCCTCAGGGATTGTAGGTGTGGGGAAAAGAAGGAGGAGGTGAGAGTCCAGAATCCAGACTCTTGTAATCCTCACCTTCCTGCTAGCCCCATAGGTTCAACAACAGCTCCCTGGTTTTGTCTATTTGGCACAGTGAACTATCAGCAGATCAGCTCATGTGTCGATGTGCCTCAGTATGTTGGGATTTCAACACAAAAATTTTTTATGTTAAAATGAGCTGCCTTGTAAGAAGTTGTATTAGTCGGCCAGGGATGCTGTAACAAAGTACAATAGGCTGCAGGGCTTCAACGACAGAGATTTAATTCTCTCACATTCTGAAGGTTGCAAGTCTGAGGTCAAGGTGTCTCAGCGCTGGTTCCTCCTGAAGCTTCCCTCCTTGGTGTAGATGCTGTCTTCCCTCTGTGTCCTCACATGGTTGTCCCTTTGTGTGTGTCTGTGTCCTGATCTCTTCTGAGAACACCCCAGTCGGATAGGACTAGGGTCCACCCATATGACCTCATTGTACCTTAATTACCTCTTTAGAGGTTCCATATCCAAATATAGCCACATTCTGAGGTCCTGAGGGTTAAGACTCAGCGTATGAATTTGGGAGGACACAATTCGGCCCATTATAGAAGGGGCTGAATATGTGTTCCCATAACAACATCTCCATGTAATTCCATAAACAGTCACCTTCAGTTGCTCGGACAGTCTCATTTGTCACCACACAAACCACCCCCGTGACAACCAAGGTAGGCTTATCGGGTCTAGTACTGGTTCTTTTGACGTCCGGATGGGGAGGAAGGAGAGGAGCACTCAGAAGCAGCTTTCTGGGGCTTCCATGGAGAAGTTGGAGTCCTCTGGTTCTCTTCTGGATGGGCTGTATGCATTGTTCTACTTCATGATCATGGAATTGCCTCAATAAGCCCCAGGACAAGGAGATCTCTACAAAACAACATCAGATCCTATTTTCTGATTTATCTTCAGCTGGTTGCAACACAGCACAAACTTTGAGGGGGCATGGTTTTTGTTCAATGCTGTGCCATAGTGACAAAGGCAGAGTTCCTCAGTGTCATCCACTGTTCTGGAATCTCTGAGCTTGGGACCCGCCACTTGGAGAATCCATCATCTCTCTTACTATGGACTAAATAATTCACTGAAGGGCCGACAGGGAGGGATTCAAACAGTTAAACCAAAATCCCTTTTTACATTTCACAGCAAGCTCAAGATCTAAAAATAACTTATCTGGGATTTGTAAAGTTGTTATTTCTGAGACCAAGTTCAGAAATTTGCATTTATTGTGAATTAAATCTCATCATTTAAATTTGTTTTTATTTTAATCTATTCATTAAAAAAATGCTAACCCACTTATAGCATTATCTGCAGTTGTTTATTTTCATTTGCCATCTGAAAAACATCTCTTCATTTTAGCCCCATTTCCACACAGATGAGATGGCAATAAAGACCCAGTCTATTACAGACATCATACACTACCTTTGGCATTAATTTTTTTTTAGAACCTTTGAAGGTTATTGAACTTGAAACAAATCTGTAGAATTACATGGCTTTTCAGCTCACATTTTCTTTTGGCTTGTCCACAAGGAGGCAGCAAGATATTATGGAAATGATGATGGTTCCCAAATTTGGAGCTGAGAGACTTTATTCCAGAGAGTTAGCCTCTTGGACCCTCAGTCTTCTTATCTGTGCCATGGAAGCACTGATAACTAATAGCAAACAGCTATTGAGAACTTACTATATGCAAAGCACTATATTAAAATTTTTACCTGCATTTAATTTTCACAATATTTAATTTTTACACATTATATAAAACAGGTCTTATAATTATCACTATCTTACCAATAAGGAAACTGAGACTTAAAGAGGTTAGTTCACACATCTGAGTTCTCATAGCTAGAAAGAGGGAAAGTTAAGAGTTGAATGTAAATCTGCCTGACTTCTAAATTCTGATTTGTAGGATCATGAGAGAATTCCAGTTGGCATTCATGAAGTTCTTGACATAGGAGAGGTGTCTGAAAGACGGCAAATTCTATCCTTAAAAATAAAAAGGTTTTGCCAATCATTTTTTTGAAATACAGATTTAACATGACTAAACACTTTAGTCAAGACTACCAGCCTTGCATCAAGAAAAGGAAGTGTGAAGAACCCTGCAAAATGTGTACTTAGAAAACCCATGCTGACTTTTGGCAAGTGCCTCTTAATTTTTGCTAAAGGCTTACAAAACATTTGCTTAAGTAACTGTGCTAGAATTGGGCCCAGGATTTGACATCTCTATCACCAGAGTACTATTTTTTATATTGCAGGGAATTCCATTTAAAAACTACAGCAGGAACAAGCATTCTATAAATTCTACAGTGTGGACATTCTATAGGAGAAATCACTTGGTTTCCCCAATATCTTAGTAACATGGGGAAAAGGAAAGCAAAAAAGAGAGGATGAAAGTTAAAAAACAAAAAGATTCAACTATGTCAGACTCTATTCTCTCAGCTTAGGAGAGTGGTAATGTGAAGAAAGACCCGTGACCTACAGATTTCTTTTATTTCTCACCAAAATCTTTCATCTTATAGAAAATCAGAATTTCATCTTGAAACCTTTCCAACACTTTTTAGCCATCCACTTTCCACCACCTTGAGCCATCCACCTTAAGCTAAATGATAAATACATTGCTTTTAAACTTAAACATTTTTTAAAATAACATAACTTGAAACTGGTCATAAAGTGACATCAGAAAAGCCCTAATTAATGACGTCCTACAAAAGAGTTGGGTAGTGCTCATGCCATAACAAGACTCAAGAACTGCCCTGGATTAAAAGAGATTCAATAAACAGGACAACTGAAGCATGCTTTTGGACAGTCTCACAATTGGTAGCATCTGAATCGGTCCCTAGATTACATCCTAGCATTGTATCAATGAAGTTCCTGATTTTGATCATTGCACTGTGGTTATGTAAGAGACTGCCTTGTTTTAGGGTATTCTTCCTGTGGCTTTTATCTGTACAAGTTTTGAATTTGTTGCGGGAAGGTATTTGAATATTTCTGTAGAGTTTAAGTGTCTATGTTATGCTTGAAAAATATATCCCTTCCAACCTCATTGTCTTGCATACTTATCCAATGTTCTCTGTTCTGAATTTACATTTACATTCATTGACTTTCATTCAACTAAATCTTTTTTGGAATAAAAAGCAATTTCACCTCCCATTATGGAAGCCTTTTTTATTTTAAAGACAACCTAGTAACCATATAGAGCACAGGGACACAGAAATAGTGAGAATTAAGAACTGCCATTTTTCAGAAGTGGCCAAGACCACCCTGTCTGACATGGCCACACAGAGAAGTTTGCCAGAATGAGCTTCCAGTGTTTCTCAAACTGTGGTTTCCAGACCATGCACATTAGCATTCCCCGGGTGCTGACTGAACAGGCGGATCCCGAGGACCCACTCCAGACATACTGAGTCAGAATCTCTAGGGATTTAGCTGGGGAATTCACATTTTAAATACACTGCCCAGGTGCTTCTTGTCATTCAGTAATGAACAAATATTGATTAGTATCCTCTGTGTGCCAGATGCCATTGGAGGTTGTGAAGATAAAAGTGTACGAAACATCAAACAGAATGCAAAATGGCATAGTCACTTTGGAAGTTTAGCATTTCCTTATGAAAGTAAACCATACAATCCAGCAAACATATTTGTTGGTATTTACCCAAATGAGTAGAAAACTTACACCCACATAAAAACCTGTGGGCTACCCTCTTTAGGTCCCCTCCCTTTGTGTGGGAGCTCTGTTTTCACTCTATTAAATCTTGCAACTGTACTCTCTTCTGGTCTGTGTTTGCTATGGCTCAAGCTGAGCTTTCGCTCGCTGTCCACCACTGCTGTTTGCTGCCATCGCAGACCCACTGCTGACTTCCATCCCTCTGGATCCGGCAGGGTGTCTGCTGTGCTACTGATCCAGCAAGGCACCCATTGCTGCTCCCGATCATTCTAAAGGCTTGCCATTGTTCTTGCATGGCTAAGTGCCCAGGTTCGTCCTAATTGAGGTGAACACTAGTCACTGGGTTCCACAGTTGTCTTCCGTGACCCATGGCTTCTAATAGAGCTATAACACTCACCACATGGCCCAAGATTCCATTCCTTGGAATCTGTGAGGCCAAGAACCCCAGGTCAGAGAACACAAGGCTTGCCACCATCTTGGAAGCGGCCTTCCGCCATCTTGGATGCTGCCCGCCACCATCTTGGGATCTCTGGGAGCAAGGACCCCCCGGTGACATTTTGGTGACCACGAAGGGACCTCCAAAGCGGTGAGTAATATTGGACCACTTTCGCTTGCTATTCCGTCCTATCCTTCCTTAGAATTGCAGGAAAATACCAGGCACCTGTCGGCCAGTTAAAAACGATTAGCGTGGCCACTGGACTTAAGACTTAGATGTGAGGCTGTCCGGGGAAGGGCTTTCTAACAACCCCCAACCCTTGTGGGTTGGGAATGTTGGCCTGCCCAGAACCAGCTTCCACTTTCAATTTTCTCGGGGAAGCCGAGGGCCGACTACAGGCAGAAAGCTGTCATCCCAAACTCCCGGCATTAGCCGGTTGAGTTCATGGCGCAGCCAGAAGTCTCTATTCAATAGTCGCCCATGCGTGCGCCCCTACCTTTCCTTCTGACTCATACCTCTTGGATCCTGACCATGACTTTCTTGAAAGTGTCACCCCAAAATTCTCCTTACCTCTGAATCTACTTCCTCTGATCCCTGCCTCCTAGGTACTAATGGTTCAGACTTTCATTTCCTCTAGCAAGTTGTATCTCCAAAGGGATTTAAGAAAGCTCTACCCCGCGTCCTTAGGCATCTAGGCTATAAACCCAGGGAGTCTTGTCCCTGGTGTCCCTCCCAATTTAGGCATACAGCTCTCGACATTGGCAGTTATGTGGGACCCATTCCCCACCACATTTGCCAGGGCCCCACGTTAGTAATGGCTAAGAGAAGAGGGGAGAGAGACAGAGAGGAGAGAGACAGAGAGGAGAGAGAGAGAGACAGAGGAGAGAGAGACAGAGAGGAGAGAGAGAGAGAGACAAAGAGGAGAGAGCGAGAGACAGAGAGGAGATAGAGAGACAGAGAGGAGGTAGACAGAGAGGAGAGAGAGAGACAGAGAGGAGAGACAGGGAGACAGAGAGGAGAGACAGGGAGACAGAGAGGAGAGACAGGGAGACAGGGAGACAGAGAGGAGAGAGAGGGAGTCAAAGAGAGAAAGAAAGACAGAGAAATAGTAAAAAAACAGTGTGCCCTATTCCTTTAAAAGCCAGGGTAAATTTAAACCTATAATTGATAATTGAGGGTCTTCTCTGTGACCCTGTAACACTCCAATACTACCTTGTTGTCAGCGTAAACAAGGGCGTAGCCTGAAAACACGGAGACCACTGACAATCCGTAGCTTTCCTATCAAAAATCCTTAACCCAGTAACCAACAGATGCATTCAATCTGTAGCGGCAACTGCTTTGCTAATGGAAGAAAGTAGAAAAATAACTTTTAGAGGAAACCTCTTTGTGAGCACACCTCACCAGTTTAGAATTATTCTAAGTCAAAAAAGGTAGCTTACTAACTCAAAAATCTTAAAGTATGGGGCTATTCTTTTAGAAAAAGGTAATTTAACTCTAACCACTGATAATTCCCTTAACCCAGCAGATTTCCTTACAGGGGATTTAAATCTTAATTACCATATAAAGGTCTGACCAGACCTAGGAGGAACTCCCTTCAGGACAGGACAATAGATGTTTCCTCCCAGGTGATTGAGGAAAAAATCACAATGGGTATTCTTCAAAAGTCTGCCTTAGGCCCAGAGCAAAACTTAGAAACCCTATTGAACTTGGCAACCTCAGTTTTTTATAATAGAGATCAGCAGGAGCAGGCAGAATGGGATAAACGGGTTTAAAAAAAAGGGCCACCACTTTAGTCATGGACCTCAGGCAAGCGGACTTTGGAGGCTCTGGAAAAGGGAATAGCTGGGCAAATCGATTGCCTAATAGGGCTTGCTTCCAGTGCAGTCTAAAAGGACACTTTAAAAAAGATTCTCCAAGTGGAAATAAGCTGCCCCCTCGTCCATGCCCCTTATGTCAAGGGAATCACTGGAAGGCCAACTGCCTCAGGGGACGAAGGTCCTCTGAGTCAGAAGCCACTAACCAGATGATCCAGCAGCAGGACTGAGGGTGCCCAGGGCAAGCGCCAGCCCATGCCGTCACCCTCACAGAGCCCCAGGTATGCTTGACCATTGAGGGCCAGGAGGTTAACTGTCTCCTGGACACTGGCGCGGACTTCTCAGTCTTACTCTCCTGTCCCGGACAACTGTCCTCCAGATCTGTCACTATCCAAGGGGTCCTAGGGCAGCCAGTCACTAGATACTTCTCCCAGCCACTAAGTTGTGACTGGGGAACTTTACTCTTTTCACATGCTTTTCTAATTATGCCTGAAAGCCCCATTCCCTTGTTAGGGAGAGACATTCTAGTAAAAGCAGGAGTCATTATACACCTGAACATAGGAGAAGGAACACCCGTTTGTTGTCCCCTGCTTGAGGAAGGAATTAATCCTGAAGTCTAGGCAACAGAAGGACATATGGATGAGCAAAGAATGCCCGTCCTGTTCAAGTTAAACTAAAGGATTCTGCCTCCTTTCCCTACCAAAGGCAGTATCCCCTTTCACTCTCACTGCACCCCCTCCATGCTGCTGTACAACCAGTAGCTCCCCTTACCAAGAGTTTCCTGAAGAATGCGGCTTCCCGGAAATATTGATGTCCCATCGTATAGGAGTATATCTAAAGGAAATCCCACCTTCATGGCCCACACCCATATGCCCCACAAGAGTGGTTATAACTCTGCAACTCTTTGCATGCATGCAAATACTCATTATTGGACAGGGAAAATGATTAATCCTAGTTGTCCTGGAGGACTTGGAGCCAGTCTGTTGGACTTACTTCACCCATAATGGTATGTCTGATGGGGGTGGAGTTCAAGATCAGGCAAGAGAAAAACACATAAAGGAAATAATCTCCCAACTGACCTGGGTACAAAGTACCCCCAGCCCCTACAAAGGACTAGATCTCTCAAAACTACATGAAACCCTCCATACCCATAATCGGCTGGTAAGCTTATTTAATACTACCCTCACTAGGCTCCATAAGGTTTCGGCCCAAAACCCTACTAACTGTTGGATGTGCCTCCCACTGCACTTCAGGCCATACATTCAATCCCTGTACCTGAACAATGGAACAACTCCAGCACAAAAATAAACACCACTTCCGTTTTAGTAGGACCTCTTGTTTCCAATCTGGAGATAACCCATACCTCAAACCTTACCTGTGTACAATTTAACAATACTATAGACACAACCAACTCCCAATGTATCAGGTGGGTAACTCCTCCCACACAAATAGTCTGCCTACCCTCAGGAATATTTTTTTGTCTGTGGTACCTCAGACTATCGTTGTTTGAATGGCCATTCAGAATCTATGTGCGTCCTCTCATTCTTACTGTCCCTATGACCATTTACACTGAACAAGATTTACACAATTATGTCACACCTAAGCCCGGCAACAAAAGAGTACCCATTCTTCCTTTTGTTGTTGGAGCAGGAGTGCTAGGCAGACTAGGTACTGACATTGATGGCCTCACAACCTCTACTCAGTTCTACTACAAACTATCTCAAGAACTAAATGGTGACATGGAACAGGTCGCTGACTCCCTGGTCACCTTGCAAGATCAATTTAACTCCCTAGCAGCAGTGGTCCTTCAAAATCGAAGAGCTTTAGACTTGCTAACCTCCGAAAGAGGGGGAACCTGTTTATTTTTAGGGGAAGAATGCTGTTATTATGTTAATCAATCCGAAATCGTCACCGAGAAAGTTAAAGAAATTCGAGATCGAATACAACATAGAGCAGAGGAGCTTCAAAACACCGGACCCTGGGGCTTCCTCAGCCAATGGATGCCCTGGATTCTCCCTTCTTAGGACCTCTACCAGCTATAATATTGTTACTCCTCTTTGGACCCTGTATCTTTAACCTCCTTGTTAAGTTTGTCTCTTTCAGAATCAAAGCTGTAAAGCTACAAATGGTTCTTCAAATGGAGCCCCAGATGCAGTCCATGACTAAGATCTACCGCGGACCCCTGGACCAGTCTGCTAGCCCATGCTCCGATGTTAATGACATCGAAAGCATCCCTCCCGAGGAAATCTCAACTGCACAACCCCTACTATGCCCCAATTCGGCAGGAAGCAGTTAGAGCGGTAGTTGGCCAACCTCCCCAACAGCACTTGGGTTTTCCTGTTGAGAGGGGGATCTGAGAGACAGGACTAGCTGGATTTCCTAGGCCGACTAAGAATCCCTAAGTCTAGCTGGGAAGGTGACTGCATTCATATTTAAACATGGGGCTTGTAACTTAGCTCACACCCGACCAGTCAGGTAGTAAAGAGAGCTCACTAAAATGCTAATTAGGCAAAAACAGGAGGTAAAGAAATAGCCAATCATCTATCGCCTGAGAGCACAGCGGGAGGGCCAATGATCGGGATATAAACCCAGGCATTCAAGCTGGCAACGGCAACCCTCTTTGGGTTCCCTCCCTTTGTATGGGAGCTCTGTTTTCACTCTATTAAATCTTGCAATTGAAAAAAAAAAACAAAAAAACCTGAACACAGATGTTTACTACCGCTTTATTCATAATCACCAAAACTTAAGGAACAATGAAGATATCATCCAGTAGGTGAATGAATACAATGGAATATCATTCAGTGCTCAAAATAAATGAGTTGTCAAGCCATGAAAAGACATGGAGGAACATTAAGCACATATTACTAAGTGAAAGAAGCCAGTCTGAATAGGCTACAGACTATGATTCCAGCTAGACCACATTCTGGAAAAGGCAAAACTATGGGGACAATAAAAAGATCAGTGCTTGCTAGGAGTTTGGGGAAAGAGAAGAGTGGATGAATAGGTGGAGCACAGAGGATGTTTAGGGCAGTCAAACTACTCTGTCTGACACTATAATGATGGCTACATGTCATTATACATTAGTCAAAACCCATAGAATGTACACCACTAAGAGTGAACGTTAATGTCAACTGTGGACTTTGAACAATAATTTTTCAAAATAATGCATTGCCGGCTACACTTACAAAATTAATAATAATAATAATTCAGCAACTATTTCTAGACTCATGTAGCTAGGAATAGGCACTAAACCTTAAGAGCAAATGTCCTAAGGGATATGTATGAGTTCAATTAGTCAGGATTTCGTAAATAGAATGATCTGAATCTGCAGGTCCAATATTTTCATTTAAATATATTTAAAATATTAATATATTATATTAATATTTTAACATACAATAAGTATATATTAAATAATTATATTATATAATTAATAAAATAAAATATAAATAATAAAATATTATACAATTAATAATTATATATATAGAGAGAGAGAGAGAGTATGCAGGCAATTACGTCTTTTGCCAGCATTCAGCACATGAAAAATTTTAGATGCCAACTTTAAAATAAGCAAAGAAGGACATTGTTTTTCAAAATGATTTTAGTGGGTACTAGAAGAGTTTTGAGAAGCAGTGTTTCATTCACCTTCATATTTAACATTTGAGTTTGATGACGTTTGCAGGGAGCTGGTCTACACAGTAGTGGGAGTGTATCCAGATATGAGAACAGGATGGGAACCAAGGAGCTGGCATGAACTGGGAGAAAATTAGAGTAAAATGGGAGCAAATCCTGGGAACCTATCTAGGAGAAATAACAGGTTACTCTCCCGTGTGTAACGAGGCCTATTTACATCATCACTTCAGAGAAGTAGGAAAGGAAAGAAAAGAGAATCTCAAGTCCAAATCTTTAAAGAATTTACAAGCAAGGAATGGGTTGGGGCAGAGAGAGGACTGTTTCATTTTACAATAAAACACGTTTTGGATTTTGACATCCAGATTCTCAGAGCCACAAACGCCACATTTTTACATTTCCACCACCAAAGTGCAGGTGTATGGCTCCATCTGGAGCACTTGGAACTGAAAATCAGTCTATGGAGATGAGACTGAACAGAAGAAAGCAGCAAGGCAGACTTAATTAGGGTTGGAAATGGGACTCAGGAAAATCCCCCAAATGAATGCACTGATGTAACAGAACCCTGGAGAAGCAAATTTGAGTGAGGTTGTGGGGAGGGGGTGTCCAGGGCTGGTGCTCAGGCATGCTGGGGAATCGTTTAGTTTTAAGAACAAAATATGAAATACAAAAAATGGAGTCATGGTAAAGATTGGGAGTGAAAAGCCTCCGAGCCTAAATTACAAGGGATTTGATGGCTGTGTTCGGCACTGAGAAATAAATAAGCTAGACGCAGAGACATGGGCAATAGGGGTGAAAAAGAAAATACATTACCAGTTCAAGGAAAAGAGAAGGGCGTGCAAGATACGTTATAAATCAAAATTGTCAGTGCTACAAGAGGAGGACTAGAAAAAATGAAGTATGAGGTGGGGAGAAAATGATCCAGGAAGTGGAGATTGAACGAAAAAGGGTGGCAGGAGATTGGAAACATAATAAACAGCTTCCGGAACAAGCAAGCCGCAAGAGGTCAGCAGAAACTGGTGTCCCCCTCAGGACGGTGGATAAAAGAATGGGTGGGTATTTCTGGGGCATGAAAAGACATGCCCTCAGCATTGTCTCTCACACACACAAACCCACACACACTGTCACTGAAGGAGCTCAGAAAAAGAAAACATTGCAGGATGTAAGCTGAGAGGTGAGAATGGATAAAATACCTGTAGGATGTCTTTTCATATGTACAAACATTGATTCAAAGTAGAATCCATTCGTAGAGTTTATCAAAATAAATGGAATTGGTCATTGCAAAAAAAAAATCTGAATGAGCTTTTCCTCTTAAAGTATATAAAAGATATGTAATACTTATGATACTTTTTGGGTAATTTAAACATATACCATCTGGCTTTATAAATTCTAATACTCTTCGATTACAATGTTCAAATATTCTTTATTGCAAGATAAAATTAAATTTATTTTTAAAGATCTGTGTCCTGGGCTGAAATTATTTAAGGTTAGCAATGTTGTTCTGTGAATCAAATAAAACTTTGAAGATGTTAAAAGACAAGAATGCTTACGCAGACCAGAGGGAATTAATGGAAGGGATCACTGTGTTATATCCAAGTAAACAGATCCCTCTCAAAGAAATAATCATGCCGAGAATTAAATCGTAAGTTATTTTTCAGCTGTTACATGCCTTCCAGGGTGCTATATGTAAGGTGGGGTAGAAATGGATGTTTTCTAACAAATTAAATATATGTTATGGCAGCAAACATTTTCTTGTACTATTACTTACATCATGGAAATCCTTATTTCAATATTGATGACTAAAATAAGGTTGCATTAATAATAATGATGGCAATAATAGCTTTAAGTCAGTTTTATCATTTGTTCATATTCACGTACAAGATAGATCAGAAGAAACTTTCCAGAAAGAAGAATAAAACGATAGAATAATCAATGGAAACTAACCCATAGAAACTTACTGACATACAAGTTAGAATTCACAGAAAAAGACATTAAACATAGTTATTATACATGTATTTCATATGCTCAAAAAGCAGAGACTTAGAAGATATAAAAGCAACCCCATAAAATTTACAGAGATGGAAATTGTAGTGTCTGAGATGAAAATACACTAGATAGAACTAATAGCCAATTAGAAACATAACAGAAGAAAAGTTCAGTGAGTTTGATAATATAGCAATAGGAACTATGCAAAATGAAACACATGGACAAAAACGGGATCTAATAAAGAAAAGAACATCAATGAGCCCTGAGACAACTCCAACTGATCAAATATATGTACAATTGCACTCACTATTTTTAAAATGTAGATTTTCAGTTAAGTCCCATTGTATTACCATCTTGATTCCAGACTATTTTTGGTTCTGAGTGTCCAGAGGGCAAACTTCCTAGATTTACACCAGAATCACAGAGCGGATCAGGTGATTCAGATATCTACCTACTTTATAGACAGACATTTGATCAACCTTACCATTAGTCCAACTAAGCACGCTTACTTAGAGAGTTATCTTTATGTCTAAATTTTGAGCCTTTGGAGGTTATCAAATGCTGCTTTAGGATGAGTTTCAGCTTCAGTCCATTCATGTGAGTTACAATATGCCCACATGCTTTCTAGCTTCCAAAAATATTAATATTCACCCTTCATCAGCTATTGACTTGTCTTTGTGTCTTAATCTCTATGGATCAATATCTTCTTTATCCCCATCTTATTACTGAAGTTTAAGATTGAAAAAATGAGTGGTTGGATCTACCATGAAGTTGCAGTGGTTGGATCCACCAGAAGTTGCAGAGATTATTTAAGTAGCCTTCAGGACAAAAATGTGGCTGTTAAACTTTATAACTACCTTCCTTTGTAAGAATGTTTTTATCACTCTTATAAATGAGTATCTTAAATGAGTATTGAATCTATGTCACAACCATCTGTTCTCATAATTCTATTGATTGCTATATTATGCTGTGGAATTTACTATTAAAAAGGAGCAGCCTGATTATTCTTCCCACTTTGTACAATCTTCATGTGATACTTTTATTCTGCTAGAGAAATTATAGGATTTCTTTTCTTTAATGTTGATTTTTAAAAAAATCACCAGGATACATGGATACTTTTAATTTTGCCTGGTTGACCATAAAATCTGAAATCCCTTTCTCAGAGGACTCTGGTTTATTACTGCTTCTGGTGACTTTCCTTTGCTCTCTTATAATCGTGTTGTGTTTCCAGTCTTCCCTCTACAACATGTCTTTTTGTTCATCCATTTATTCCCTTTATTTTTCAAAAAACTGAATTGTAGGGTAGTCTACATTTCATTTTCCAACTCACATTTCTCAGTCTCCAATCCACACTTTTCTGCTGTAATTGCAATTTTAAATATTCAGAAACCATTCCATTTAATCTCACATGTTCGTGATGTGTGGTTGCTCTTTTTCCATGACTACTCTTGTTTCATAATCTCTCAAATCCTATTGACAATACCCTTGAGGATACTTCTGATGGATCTTTAAATGCATCTGCACGGTCATGTCCTTTCATAGTTTAATGTTTTGTTTTGCCTTGTCTTTGAATGTTTTGGAAGTTGAAATGCATGGATGCAAAACTTATTTGGCTCCTGGGTTGAGAAACATAGGAAATGTATACAAGCAAACAAAAGAAACGTTAGGTTTCCTGCAACTTCACTTCTCCCTATAAATAATGCCATGGGCCCTGGGGAGTACAGAGAAGGAGGCTATCCACTTTAGGGCAGCTGTAGCCTCTTTGGTGAAGAAATGTTTGTTTATTTGTTTGTTTGGTGTGGCTGCTGGTAGTTGGATGGAAAATAGAGTGCCCTCAGTAATGAACACCACACCTTCTGAGGAGCCTGCACAACAGTGCCCCATTTCCAGGACTTTGGCAGCCTCCTGACATACACACCAGGTGTGCATGCACCTCAGGGCTAGGGTCACACTCTGAAGATGCTTGTCCCTTGCCCACTTCACAGAGGATGCCACACGAGCATTTTTTCTTCTCCGCCCGCATTGTCTACCCTCAGTCTCCTCTGGATTCCAGACTTCATATCTTGGACTAGGCTTCATAAGGGGTATGTCTAGGGTGAGTTTCTTTTTTAAGTGTGAACTGTAGTTTAAATGTCCCTTTCCCTCTTTCTTTTCTATATTTTGCATGTGAGAAGCACTAGTGCTGTATTTCCAGAAATAAATCGATCTTTAGTTGTTCATTCTTTGCTCTTTTTTTGTTGGAATTGAAAAATAAGGGAAAAGAGGAAGGTAAAATGTAGGTGCTCAAGTGATCCTGACCTGAAAAGCTCTCTTGCTTCTTGCTCAGTCATTGTTTAATCTGGGCTAATCAACTCCAGTTCTTTAATCTACCTGCCTGTAATGTATCCCTTTGATCATCTTTAGTAGTCTCCTTTAAATGCTTTCTAATGCCATTGAAGCTCTTTTAGATAAGATGGCATAAACTGGACACATTTCATATAAATATGAAAGAATATTACCTGTGTATTGGACACCTTATAATATATCCCACAACTGTGAACTCTTTTCTGCACAATTCAAATTATGTGCAGTACAGTGCAGAGGTAAGAAGAATAACAGTGTGATTTTGGTGTTGCAGGAAGGCAGCTATGTGTTCTCCAAACTCTGTTGGTTTTCCAACCAGGCACCAAGCCACCGAGGCTGTGTAATGTGTGCCAAGGTTCTGGGTGACAGAATATGGTCAAAAGTGATGGGCAACCTTTCTAAGCCTGACTCCTAGGCTTTACTACAAAATCTTTTAATCAATCACATTCACAATTGAAATATAAATAACTAGTTTAAATACTGCTACGTAACTCTCAGATCTTGTGTGCCTTTTCAGGGTCTTGTGACATCACTGTCTCCTGAACCATCAACTCCTTCTACTTCAATCACTGCAGAGGCTGAACAATTGCACGTGGAAATGGGACCATGAGATTTCATCTCCTCGAGTCCTTGGTTCCTCCTGGCTTCTAAAGTTGTCAACGGGGCTGGATGACAAAGAGAGGTCTGTGCCATGAGGTAAGTTGTCACCAGTGGAAGACAGAAGGCAGAAGGGAACTCAACCAATAAATTCCTTCACCTTTCCTCACTACAGTGTAATCTTCCAATGGATTCTTTGTTCTGCCTGTCTGCAGACTACTAACCTGGCTGAGTGAATGCACCTGTTGATCTGCTATATATCTTCTTATATGATTTGTTGTGTAGCAGACGCCAGTGCACTAAATATTACATCGTCTTGCATTCTCCTTAGTGTCACTTCCTTTTTCCCTCAGCCTTTCTGCTCTGGGATGCACCTCCCACATAAAGCATCTAAACATAATCCTCTCCTCAGGTTCTGCTTTCTAGTGTAGTCAGGATAAGATGCACCATTTCCCAGAGCATTTGCATTTTAAAAATTACAAAATTCTTAAGGAAAAGGAACAAGTAGTTAAAGGTGAACATATCAGCCTCATTGGGAATTATTTTCATTTCAGCATAGAGTTCTCAATAGCCTTGAAACTTTCTGCATCTGCACTAATATGGTATCCATATATTCAATCTTATTCCAGTGTATTATAATATATAGGCTCATCAACAATAGTAAAGTTAGGACTATTCATTAAGCAGTAAAGTAACATTACCTTTTGAGCATTTCTCACAAGGTAATTCCTATCTTAATATATTAAGAAAGCTGCTTCTGTACCAGATAAAGAGAATGGCTACTGTATTTGTTTTCTAGGGCTGCCATAACAAAGTACCACTGTCTGACTAGCTTAAAAAAATACACATTTATTTTCTTACCATTCTAGAGGCTAAAAATCCAAGGGCAAGGTGTTCATAGAGTTCACTTCTCCTGAAGCCTCTCTCCTTGGCTTGTAGATGCCGTCTTCTCTCTGTTTTCACATGATCGTCCCTCTGGGTGTGTCTGTGTCCTAATCTCTTCTTATAAAGAAACTAGTCCTATTAGATCAGGGCCCAGCCTAAAGGCCTCATTTTACCTTAGTCACCCCTCTAAAGAGCCTAACTCCAAACACAGCCACATTCTGATATACTGGCATTTAGGGCTTCAATATATGAATTTTAGAGGGCACAATTCAGAGCGTAACAGCCACCATCTATCTATAAACGCTGATTTTAGAGACCACAGAATTGTTGGATCAAGAGCAAAACAGAGCACTTTGGTGCCTAAGTGTATCAGTTAGGGATCACTGGTTGCATGCAATAAAACCACTCAGAACTGACCTAAGAGAAAAAAGAAATGATTCAAAAGAAATGGGCATAGTGTATGAAATTCAAGGAAGACCTAAAAATTCAGGACTGAATTGAAAAGGCACCCAGAGGCTCCAGGGAATCTATGCAGTGGGAAAAAATAATTTCTCTGCTACATCCATACCGCTGCTGGAGTGAGTGAGAACCAGCCACCTGCCCTTAGCCATAACAGGAGGCAGTGCTCTAGTTCAGCGTCCAACTAACCTAGCATTGGTCATTCATTGCTCCTTCCTTGACAAGAGGTGGAAAGGGCATTTGTAGTCACATCCTCACCAGTACTGCACACAATATAGGAGGTGTGCTTCTCCAAAAGAAAATTGCAATAATGTTTCACTAAAAACGAGAGATGGGTGTTTGATGGTAAAGAAGGAAACAGAGAACGAAAAAAGGAAGGTAAGGACAAAGAAAAAAGGAAGGAGGAAAGAAAAAAGAATGAAAGAAGTAAGGAATAAAGGAAGGAAGGATGAACGAAGGAAGGGAGGAAGGAAGGAAGGAGGGAGGGAAAGAAGTAAAGAAGAAAAGGAAGGAAAGAATTAAAGGAAGGAGGAAAGATGAAAGAAAGAAAGAAGAAAGGAAGAAGGAAGGAAGGAAAGAAGGAAGGGAGAAAAAAAGAAAAGAAAGAAAGAAAAGAAAGAAAGAAAAGAAAGAAAGAAAGAAAGAAAGAAAGAAAGAAAGAAAGAAAGAAAGAAAGAAAGAAAGAAAACAGCATGGGAAAAGGAAGGAAGAAAAGAAAGAGAGAAAGAAAACATTACATCTAAATTGGCTTGCATTGTTCGTACAAATTGGCTAATCACTGGGCTTCCCCTTGTAGACAGATTTGAGTCCACGAAGCAGGGAAGAACTTAGCCCCTTCTGCCAGTTTTTTTCTGCATATGTCTGTATCTTATCCACCGTTAGGTTTGGCATTCTTGCCATTCTTTCCTTGGCCACAAGCTGTGAGCACAGGGAGGACTCCGCTGACCTAGCAGGTGTCCAGCCGCCTGTGGGAGAGATGAGCCCGAAGGCAGGTCCCTTACCATGAATTTTCTCGTTTCTGATTATTGCTCTTTGCTTCTACACCATTTAAATTGTGCCATATTTTACTTGCAGTTCTTTCAAGATATCTTTTTCGTTCTTTTTACTGTTACAGCCTGCTGGTGCCTCTTTTAAAGAGCCCGTGTCTTTTACAGTATGAAAACAATGGAATCATGTTTGTTAAGAGAACAGTTATAAAGAAGCCTGCCATCTGGAAGGATAAGGTTGATGGCAATTTCTTGATTTTTACTTCTACGGGAAGGAGCACATAACTAAAGAAGGATTTTTTCTCTCCTATTATAAATCCATGTATCACATTTCTGGGCAACTATATAAGTATACTGTGTACCGATCCTCATTTTGTATAAGCACCATATCAAGTTTGACCCAACATGAGACCTGGGCATTGTGAAACTGGTGTCCTAGCCTCTTAGTTCTGCATCTGATCTTTCCTTTGACAAACACCACGTTTCACCTCCCTTCAATCGTAAGGGTGTCCATACATTCATGTGGCAACTAAATCACAGATATCCCCTTTGTCTTTTCATGTTAGTCTAGGACACGGCTATAGAACAGAGATCATCTAACATTTCTGAAAAGACACAGAAAGTAAATATTTTTGGCTGAGTGGGCCATATGACTTCTGCAGCAACTATCCAACCCTGCTGTTGTAGTGAAAAAGCAGGTGTGAGTGGTACACAGATAAATGAATGTGGCTGTTTCCTTTATTTACATAAACAAGTAGTGGGCCAGATTTGGCACATGGGTTGTGGTTTGCTGACACATGGTTGTGAGTTTTTCTTTTATCACTAACCCACGGGGTGCTGACCATTTATCCAACAATAATTGCCATCTGTTGAATCTTATATGTCTACCTATTATATGTCTATGTAGCTTGTGGAAATGTACTCATCTTTACAACAACTCAATATTTACATTCCCACCAACATTGTATTGTCAAAGAACATGAACAGACATGTCTCAAAAGAAGGCATACAAGCAGCCAACAAACATGAAAAAATGCTCAATATTACTAATCATCAGAGAAATGCAAAATAAAACCACAGTGAGATAACATCTTACACCAGTCAGATTGGCTACTGATAAAAAGTCAAGAAACGACGATATTGCTGAGTATGCAAGGAAAGGCAATCTTTTATACACTGTTGGTGGGAATGTAAATTAGTACAACCTCTATGGAAAACAGTATCAAGATTTTTTTTTTAAAATGAATTCTTACTTTGTCGCCCAGGCTGGAGTGCAGTGGCACGATCTTGGCTCACTGCAACCTCCAACTTTCGGGTTCAAGCGATTCTCATGCCTCAGCCTCCCAAGTAGTATGAAGAATTCTCAAAGAACTAACTACCATTTGATCCAATAATCCCACTTCTGGGTAACCACCCAAAGGAAAACAAATTATTATACATAAAAGATACCTATATTCATATATTTATCTTTGCTATCACAATAGCAAAGATATGGAATCAACCTAAGTGTCCACCAGTGAATGGTATGATAAAGACAATGTGATACACACACACACACACACACACACACACACACACACACACACACACAATGGAATACTATTCAGCCATAAGAAAGAATGAAATAATATCTGTGGCAGCAACACTGATAGAGCTGGAGGCCATTATCTTAAGTGAACTAACTCAGGAACAGAAAGTCAAATATTGCGTGTTCTCACTTACAAGTGGGAACTAAACAATGTGAACACATGGATATAGATTGTGAAATGACAGACAGTGAGGACTCAGAAGGTTGGGAGGGCGGGTGAGGGATGAGAAATTACCTATTGGATACAATGTTCACTATTTCACCACTATGCAATATATCCATGTAACAAAACTGCGTTTGCACTCCCTAAATATATATCCCTATTTTATAAAAGTTCCCCATGGTAACTGAAGAGTGAACTAGAGCAGACCTTCCTAAACTTATCATGCATGTAAGTCACCTGTGATCTGGTTCAAATGAAGCTTCTGATACAAGAGTTTGGAGTCTGAGGTCTGAATTTCCTTCCTTCCTTCCTCCCTCCCTCCCTCCCTCCCTCTCTCTCTCTCTCTTTCTTTCTTTCTTTCTTCTTTTTTTTGATAGAGTCTCACTCTGTTGCCCAGGCTGGAGTGCAGTGGTGCGATCTCGGCTCACTGCAGCAACCTCCGCCTCCTGGATTCAAATGATTCTCTCTCTTCAGCCTCCCAAGTAACTGGGATTACAGGCACCTGCCACCACGCCCAGCTAATTTTTGCATTTTTAGTAGAGACAGTGTTTCACCATGTTGGCTAGGCTGGTCTCGATCTCCTGACCTCAGGTGATCTGCCCGCCTCAGCCTCCCAAAGTGCTGGGATTACAGGCATGAACCACCGTGCCTGGCCTGAGATCTGAATTTCTAACACTCCCAGGTGATGTTGATGCTGCAGTTCTGGTGACCACTTTAAGTCATAAGTACTGTCTGGCAAGAAAATGATTCCATCTGAAGAAAGAGAAACATCAGCTCAACACTATGTGGCCAAAACAAGTCACGTGGCTATGCATAACTTGGAAAGGATAAAAAGTGGAGTTCACTCCTTTGCCAGGGAGTAGAAGCAGCATGTATGTTTATAAATAGTTGTAATACATACTCAGTCCATGTTTGTCTGACTTCCAAATCTTTATACTTTTCACCACATCATGCTACTTATTCTAGTTGGAGGTGGAGATAGGTTCTGACACCCATTTCCTTAGCTAGGAATGCCACCGTTCACTGAAGATCCTTTTCCTGGGATTGATACTTATGTTTTAACACCCCTTGCAATGCAAAGTGTGATTCCTAGTCCATCAGCATCAACTGGGGGCTTGTTAGAATCTCAGGGTCCACTCCAAACCCACTGAATGTAAACACAGATCTTCTGGGGAGGAGTAAGCCGTAACTCTGGCCACAAAGATTTAGCCTGCATAAAGTTCCCATGAACCGGAGGTCACAGTCAGAAATCACAGAGCACAGAACAAAGCAAGGAGAACAAGAGAGAGTGGGAAGAAAGAGAAAACAGCAAAGTCAGATACTTTAGATATTGGAATAATTAACTACAAAGTATAAATGCAGAATCTGCATTTTAAGGAGATCTCTAGGTGATATGCATGTGCATTACATAATGAAAAGCATGTTCTAATCCAGTTCATAGGCAGCAGACTGCCACATGTGGAGAAGTGATACAGTTAATGAAAGTTGCCTACAATAATTCTGATTATCCTGCCATTACCTGAATCCACCATGAAGGATACTCTAGGAGGGGCCAATGAGTCTATAGAGAAAAAGTAGCAAACCAGCTAAAGGGATCAGTGGCCACAATGAGGAAAATGAGGAAAAACAACTAGGAAAAAAAATGTCCCAGGAAAGAAAATTGCTGGAGGAGGAAGAGAACATGCAATAAAAACTCAACAAATATTTGAATGGGTATCTACTCATTATGATATTTTGCTTTTAGCAAAGCAGCAGACTAGAAATTTTTAAATGCTCCCTTATTATAAAGCATACAGAAATGCCAGATAAATCATTTTAAAACATCTCTTTGAATGCATACTTGAGTTTGCAAAAACAGTAATACAAATTCTGAGAAGTAAAATGAAATAATGAATCAAGAGAAGTAAACCAGTGCTAAGGCCCATAACTGCCCTTGGGTCATCTACACATCCCAGGAAATAGGAGCTTCAATTTTAATGCCTGCCTGCACACAAAATCAAAAGCGTGTTATAGGCTCTTACAAGATAAGGATAAAGTCCAAACTCTTCTTTTCTAATTTTTAAAATTATTTTGTAGAGATGGGGTGGTTGTCTCACTTTGTTGCCCAGGCAGGTCTGGAACTTCTGGCCTCAAATGATTCTCCCACCTTGGCCTCTCAAAGTGTTAGGACTACAGGTGTGAGCTACTACACCCAGCCCCAAAATTCTTGAAGTGCTACCATCTCAATGAGAAAGTGAACTACAAACCAAAATAACAACAACAAATCTGAAACACAGAACAGCGAAGTGTTTCCTTTTTGAGATTGGCTCTTACGCATCAGGGAAGGTGAAGTCCTAAATGTTCAGATAGGTTTCTAGCCTGAATTCAATTAAAAAAACCCCAAGACCTGAAATATTTGATTTAATGTGGTTTTATTTGTTAACTTTTAACTTTTTATTTATTTCTTTTTTAACTTATATTTCAGGTTCAGGGGTACATGTGAAAGTTTGCTATATAGGTAAATTCATGCCACAGGCATTTGTTGTACAGATGATTATTTCATCACCCAGGTATTAAGCCCAGTACCCAATAGTTATTTTTTCTCCTCCTCTTCCTCCTCCCACCCTCCACCAGCAAGTAGACCCCCAGTGTCTATTGTTCTCTTCTTTCTGTTCATGAGTTCTCATCACTTGGCTCCCACTTATAAGTTAGCACATGTGGTATTTGGTTCTCTATTTCTGTATTAGTTCTCTAAGGATAATAGCCTCCAGCTCCATCCATGTTCCTGCAAAAGACATGATGTCCTGTTTTTATGGCTGCATAGTATTCTGTGGTGTACATGTACCACATTTTCTTTATCCTATCTATCTTTGATGGGCATTCAGGTTGATTCCATGTCTTTGTTATTGTGAATAGTGCTGCAGTGAACATTCATGCGCATGTGTCTTTATGGTAGCATAATTTATATTCCTCTGGGTATATACCAGATTGCTGGGTCAAATGATCATTCTGTTTTTAGCTCTTTGAGGAATTGACATACTGCTTTCCACAATGGGTGAACAAATTTATACTCCCACCAACAGTGTACAAGCATTTCCTCTCCTCTGCAACCTCGCCAGCATCTGTTATTTTTTGACGTTTTAATAATAGCCATTCTGACTGGTGTGAGATGGTATCTCATTGTGGTTTTCATTTGCATTTCTCTAATGAGCAGTGATGATTGAGCTGTTTTTTCATATGCTTATTGGCCGCATGTATGTCTTCTTTTGAAGTGTCTGTTCATGTCTTTTGCCGATTTTTAACGGGATTGTTTTTCTTTTGTAAATTTGTTTAAGTTCCTTATAGATGCTGGATATTAGACCTTGTCAGATGTATAGTTTGCAAAATTTTTCTCTCAGTCTGTAGGCTATTTACTCTGTTGATAAGTTTTTGTTTTTGTTTTGCTGTGCAGAAGCTCTTAAGTTTAATTAGATCCTGTTTGTCAATTATTGCTTTTGTTGTGATTATGGTGTCTTTGCCATGAAATCTTTGCCGGTGCCTATGGCCAGGATGGTATTGCCTAGGTTGTTTTCCAGGGTTTTTATAGTTTCAAGTTTTACATTTTTAGTATCTTCAGGGCTTTGACAAATTTAAACATAAATCTTCTGTGAAGGAGTGAATTGATAACTCAGGCCACAAGGATTTACCCTATGTAAAGTTCCCACAAATATGAGATCCCAGTCAGAAATCACACAAAAAGGAAATAATTAAAATCATGAAAAAATTATCAAAAAGAAAAAGGTTAAAGGGGTTGAAGGAACATTTAGAACTTTATATATATTTGAAACTGAAAACTAAAGTTAAAATAATTTATAGCTAACTACTATGCCAGACACAGTTACAAGAATTTTCACACATTACTTCATTTAATTCTTAACAGTTTTATGAGGTAGGTATTAATTGCCCTAAAGCCACATGGCTAATATGTCTTAGAACTAGAATACAAAGACGAGCAGTCTGTCTCCATAACCCGACCTCTCAACCACTACATAATAGCATCTCTTAATGGCTGCATTTAATGAGCGGAGGAGACAGAAGGAAAAGGAAAATTAGCGAACTGGAATACAGATCTGAAGATATTATGAGAAGAAATGCAAGGAAATGAAATCAGGTTAAGAGATGTGGAAGATTGAGTGAACAGGTCTAATACCTATCTAATTGGAGTTTTTGGATGAAATGACGGAAAGAGAGGTGGTCAACCTTGGCAGAGGCATTTTCCGCAATTTGTGGAACGCATGATACATCACATTCAGCGACTACAGCAAATCTTAAGTAGGATAAACGAAAATAAATCCATCCATACTTAATAACGAAAATGCTGAATAGTAATAATACCAATGTCAAAGAAGAGATCTTAAAAGCAGACAGGCACATATACACATATATACACACTCACACATATATACACATATACACACACCCACACATTGATTACCCACCGGGGTGTCACATGGAGACTGGGAACTGACTTCCCAAAAGCCAGAGGAGGGTAGGAAAAAACCTTCATGTTGCCAAGAGAAAAGAACTACATCCCATAATTATACTCACAGATGAACATTCTTTCAAGGACAAGGTAGAAATAAGTACATTTTTTAGATCACAAAACGGTGAAAATTTATCATAAAAAGAAGCCCCCTCAAATCTAAAGGAAATATTTAGGAGAAAAAGAAAATAATCTTAAAAGAAATATCTGAAGTACAGGAAGGATTAATGAGGGAGGAAAATGGAGTTTTTCATAGAACTGGATGGGATATTTTAAAATGGATATGGAAATATAAAGACCCAAGATTAACCAAAATACTCCTGGACCAGTGTGGTTATGGACTAGCTCAAGCTACAGTAGTTAAGGCTGGGTGTGATTGGCAGAAGAGTAGACAAATGTCCTAATGAACCTAACGGAGTCCTCAAGGACTGACCCACACATAGACTTAACAAATGGCAGAGACTGCAGAGCTAAGGGACAGAAGGGGCCCTTCAAGAACATGGGTAAAAATGAAAACATTCTTGCCAGGAGGGAGAATGCAGAAGTGGCCAGAAATGGACCTGTAAAAAGATGTTCAACATTACTAGTCATCAGAGAAATGCTAATGAAAAACACAAGGTAAAAAGTTTATCACTTCACATCTACCAGATTAGAAAATATTAGAATGTAACAATAGCTAGTGCTATGCAAGATGCAGAGGAATGAAAACTCTCAAATGCTTCTGGTGGGAGCGTAAGTTGGTACAACCACCTTGGAAACAAATGTAGTATAATCTGGAACCTTATGTTGCTTATGTTCTGTGATCCAGTAATTCCCTTCCTAAGCACCCGTTTAAAACCTCTTAGAGAAACTCTTAAGTATATGCATAGAGCGGACATGCACAAGAATTTTACAGACCCATTCTTTATAGTAGCACACCATTGAAAAAAAGTAAAAAAGCTGAAAGCTACCCAAATAACCACTTAAAAAAGAGTATATATAAATGATGGTGCTTATTCATAAGATAGTATATCCATGTAAATATATATCACTGTGTGTGTATATATATGTGTGTGTGTATATGTGTGAGTGCATATATAGTTTCACAAAGTAGTTTCATTTTCACTGATAATATACATAATTATATATAAGGAATTACATAAATATATACATATATATACAATCAGTGCAAATTAAGGAACCACTATGGTTAATATTGATATGGATGGATTACACAAAGGTATTGAATGAAAAAAGTTAGAGATCAATGTGATACAACACTATTAATCTAAACTACAGAGTCTATGCATAACTAAACATATTGTTTAGATTACACACATATACATCAAAACTATAAGGAAAAGCAAGACAGCAATATGCACAATGATAAAGATAGTGGGAGGAAGAAGGAGAAATTTGGAAATGGACACCACTGTCTTCAATTATATTTATTTGTTTATTTAAGAGAGCATCCTTTTATTTCAATAATATTTAAATATTTTATTGCTGAAGCTGGGATGTGTAGATGAGTATGTTTGCTACTGGTTGTACCTCATGTACCTTAGATGGACTAGTTCATAACAACGTTATTTATTTATTTTTATTTTATTTATTTATTTGACGGAGTCTCGCTCTGTCGCCCAGGCTGGAGTGCGGTGGCGCGATCTCGGCTCACTGCAAGCTCCGCCTCCTGGGTTCACGCCATTCTCCTGCCACAGCCTCCCGAGTAGCTGGGACTACAGGCGCCCGCCACCACGCCCGGCTAATTTTTTGTATTTCTAGTAGAGACGGGGTTTCACCGTGTTAGCCAGGATGGTCTCTATCTCCTGACCTCATGATCCGCCCGCCTCAGCCTCCCAAAGTGCTGGGATTACAGGCGTGAGCCACCGTGCCCGGCCGATAAAGTTATTTTTAAAAATTAATGTATTTATTTTTTTCTCTTATGAAGGAGTATTATCACCAGATAAATTTTATGGGGTTAATGTTCTAAGATATTGAAAAGTACTCATATAAACTTGGACCATTAATTTTTAATTTTATTTCAAAGGACAGACATTAAATGCTATGTACTAAGTTCTAGGTGTCTAACGAATAATAAAAGAGCCTTTGGTATCCAGAAACTCATAATTTTGTTTGTAAATAATGAAATATCAATAGATTAAATAAGTGGTTTAGCAAAGGAGTGTGCAGCATGCTGTGAAAGCACGTAAAAGAACAAGGAAGGAAACCAACACTGTTGAACGGCAACTATCAATTAGGCATTTTGCAAAGTGGTTTCATATACTGTACATTTTTCTCTTTCCATCTGTCAGCAACAGCCCTGCGATGTCCGACTATCATTATAATGCCAATGAGATACATAGGCTCAAGGATATGGGACTCCCACACTCTCTGGTGGGTGTGTCAATCACTGGGACAACATTAATTTGTCATGACCAATAATTTGGAAGGTGCAAAATACTCACAAATCAGCCATCCCACTTGTAAGCACTCCCTAGCCCAGAGCAAAATTGAGAAAGAAATTCCACACCAGGCCTGGCAGACTCCCCAGTTCCTGCTTCCTATGACCTCCTATTTCCTCCTCTATCTTAATCATAGACCGAGGGTCTAGGAAAGTCCTTTAAATACCATTTTCTTAACATTCCTGCCTTCAGACATGGACACCTAACTCCTTATCATCTCACTAGATAGATACATACTATTACAACACCAGGATATTGATTCTTTAGTGCAGTTATTTAATCTCCAATAACTGCAATTTGTGCAAAATGGGAGGTCACTTGGTGTTCAGAATTAAATTAAGGGAGAGACCTGGAAGTGTTATTTCCTGTGTCTAATATTTGATTTGGGTGGTCCGTGAAGTGAATTACGAGGTAAGCCAAGTTTGTGATGATTACCCTTTTAAAACAGTATTGGCAGTGCCTTGACTATCAAATAAGAGTACTGCATTTAATTGGAAATACTTTGCAGATTAAATAATGGAGATGCTAACCCATCTTGGCTATCCCTGTGTATGGGAGAACTTGCAGATCTCAAGAACACCAGGCAAGAGATTATTTCCCTACTTGGCAGCACATGGAGGAGTATAGCCTCGTGGCTCAGGATTACAGGCATTTTGAAGAATGTTTGGCCCCTTTTAGAACATTACTTCTAGACTTTGCATCATCCTTAGCTGGATATCTGATTATGGCATATTATGCTGCTAAGATGATTCCAGTAGTATCACAGCATTATCATAATATTGCATACTGAAAAATTACCGTTTCTTTATACTGGAAAATAGTCTCAAAGCACTGTCTTGCTCAGATGATTACTACACTTGACCTCAACACTTCAATTCTACACTTCAGAACTGTTAGCACCATCTGGTATCCATGCACCAGGGTGAAGCATCACACGGTGCATCCAAGGGGGTGTTTTCAGCTCACTCTTACATCTCTTTAGATTAAAGTGAAAGGTCTGTTGAGGCCAGGTGCAGTGGCTCACGCCTGTAATCTCAACACTCTGGGAGGCTGAGGCAGGAGGACTGCTTGAGGTCAGGAGTTCAAGACCAGCTTGGGCAACATAGCGAGCCTCTGTCTCTACAAAATCTTTTAAAAAATTAACTGGGCATGGTAGCACCCACCTGTGGTTCCAACTACTCAGGAGGTTGAGGCAGGAGGAATGCTTAAACCTAGGAGATCGGGGCTGCAGTGATCATGACACTGCACTCCAGCCTGGGTGACAGAGTAAGACCCTGTCTCTAAAAAACATAATAATAATATTTTTTAAAAGTTCTGTTCAATTATCCAGGGGTCTGGAAGCAAAACTGACAGCAGGTCCAGACTCAATCCTAATAGGATATTGGGAATTAAGATTGATCCTGATTGACAACCTAATACTAGATAGTATCCCTCACTATCATGACTTCAAAGAACATTCTGTTTTCAGAATCCATCTTTCCACTTAGCCTATCATCAGAGGTGTTCTGGTTTGAAGATAAAATTTAATTACAACATTTCTAATTGGGCTAATAATTATTTTAGCTATATGCCATAGTCACTAGTATAGATTAATAATGTAAAAATGCCCAAACTGGGGGGCAGAGATCCAAGTTAAACTCCCAGCATGGGCATTTATAAGCAAGCTTAACTTGGACTAATTATTTTACTTCCATGGAACTTAGAATTCTCATCAAAGATGCTTACTCATAGGGTTCCTCTGAGGATTCAGTGAAGAGACCCCTCATCTCAGACACGTCCTCATATTGTCTGTGTGAGGATGTGATGATGGGATACATTCTCTTGCCCCAAAACAGGCTCACGCACTCTGTTGCCAAATCTGACGGTAGGCAATATATTTGAAAGCAGGATTGTTAGAGAAAAACTGAACCATATGCTCACCCATATGCATGGTAAAAGCACTTTGTAAACTGTAAAGTGTGATGGAAGTTAGGGTTATTATTCAGGCATATAGCCAGGGGCTGTGCTTATTCTGCAAAGAGCCCCATAATCTGCTCTGAGCTGCCTGGAATGTGCACTTTGAAAGGGTATATACATTAGCATCACCGCAGGACAGTGTAGATATGTTAGACATGTTTAGGAGCATTTATGGTCTCTTGTTTAGATTTCCCTGGAGGCCTTGAAGTATATTGTGAAGTGTCCCAAATACCTATCTTAATGGTAAGGAAATCTGAGCTAAATAAATGGATACAATTGGCCCTATGATATAACCCTGCTTCATTTTTTGCACACATAAATGGAGTGTGAATCCCTGCCTACTGTTTAGGAGGCCATCCAGGAGAAATTCAAAGGCAAAGACACTTTTAGTGTCTTGGTAACTGAAACTTTTTAAATCAAATTCCATTTACAGCAGAAAAAAAATATGCTAGATGACATTATTCTAGATAGTTGAGTAAATATTTTTTAAAAAAATCAAAATGGTGGCGCAGGGACATGGATGAAGTTGGAAGCCATTATCCTCAGCAAACTAAGGCAGAAACAGAAAGCCGAACACTGCATGTTCTCACTTATAAGTGGGAGCTGAACAATGAGAACATGTGGACACAGGGAGGGGAACGACACACACTGGGGCCTGTCTGGGGATGGCGAGGCAGGGAGAGAGCATTAGGAAAAATAGCTAATGCCTGCAGCGCTTAATACCTAGGTGATGGGTTGATAGGTACAGCAAACCACCATGGCACATGTTTACCTATGTAACAAACCTGCACATCCTGCACATGTACCCTGGAACTTAAAATTAAATTAAATTAAAATTTAAAAATGGTGGGGGCGGGGGGGGGCACAGAAAACAGAAAGTAAAACAAAATAAAAATTGTAACTTTTACCAGGAAAATATAATTTAACAAGCAAACCAATATCTTAGATAATTTCCACAAGAAAGTTGATTCAAGAGAAGGAATCAATTTAATGCCTTAACAAATAACTAGTAAATGAAGATGTTTATGAAAGAATTATTGATTATGGTTAAAAATGGGATCAAGACAACTGACATTGAGTATTATTTAATAAAATATTCATAATGTCAGATAATTTTAAGCTTCCCTTTAATCTTAGATATCATCCTATTTAGTCAAAGAGAGAAAAGGGTGATATATTTTGACAGACTGAGTGTTTACCAGGGAAGAGTGAATTAACCTGAAAAACTGTTTTCATCAGCACAAAAGCCTTGTCTGGAAGGTTTATGCCCCTATAATTCCCTTTATTAGGAAGATTTGCAAGCAAGTTGAGAACTCTTTTAGAACATTTAAAAAATTATGTTTAATACTTTAGGTGTATGAATTTTATTTCCCTACAATATCTGAATGAGTAAAACATAATGTGCTAAAATTAAACGTTTACCTTATGGTAGGATTGTATGTGATGATGATTTTACCTTGTTTTCTAAAGGATTTCTTTAATTTTGTGTATATTTTCTTTATACAGTACTAAAAAGAAAAGCCGCTGGCTCTTCGCAGTACTTCATGTATTGGGCTTGCTTCACCTGCACATAACCTCAAGTGTTAACCACTTTTTCACATCAAATAGCCATGTATTGATACAGAAAATACCTAAAACAGAGCTGGACCACATGACACTTTGAAGCCATGCCAAAAGACCCTTAATTTCTGACCTACAGCAAATAAGCTGCAAGGCACAATTGCAGGACAAAAATCAATTTACTTGCGGCATAGGTCATTGTATGGACTCTCATACACCTTCTTACCTTCCTAATGTCCCACATGTTTGGTAGACATGCATGCCTCCACCATCTCAAGCTAACAAGACACACGCCCAAGTCTCCAGCATCTCCCATCACTTCCAAACTTGGTTGAAGTTTCAGGCCTCAGTAGGTGCTGAAGGGGCCCGGGTGAAGCCACATAGATGTCCAGGAATGTCAACTCTCTATGGGACAACAGAGGCTAAGAGGAGAGAGGAGACAAGAGTGAATGAGTAGATGAAGTCCTCTCTCATCCTGCTCCAAAGCACAGAAAGCATGGATGCACCATATTGTTGACAATGAGACATCCTATGCCTTCAACCTCCAGCTCCATCTCTTGTGGTTCAGACTAAAACACGGGCAGTGCACATCATTCCGTTTCCTTCCCATCTTTCGCTGCCTCTGTGCCTTTTAGGTCCTCTCTCCATGGCTTTGGGATTGCTGCTTCCAGCAAAGCACCAGCCAGCACTTTGCCTAAGGTTTGTTTCTAGAGAAAATTGGCTAAGATCCCCTAACCCAATCCTAACATAAACTCACCCTAGCTCTAACCTTAACCCTACCCTACCCTAAACCAAACCCCAGCCCTAGCCCTAGCCCTAGTTTTAGCCTTAGCCTTGGGCTAAGATCCTTGTTTTTTTTGTTTGTTTGTTTATTTGTTTATCTTTATTTTCATGGCAATCACACACCATCTATGAAAAGACCAGAGTCCACCTTGAGATAATCAGATGACGCTCTGCAGATTTGGCCTCAAAGTCTGGCCCTGAAGGTCTCTTAGATGGGCCGTATGTACCTTCAAATACCAAATTTTTGTTTACACTCACATCCATGCATGCTAAGTTTTTGCTATTTTATTGTGCATGTCTGGAAACTATGACATTGAGTACATTTCTCAACCAAGCAAACATAGCAGGATGCAGTCCTCAATCTCGTTACTCTGTACGTCATGTTCTTTTGATGGTTTTGATCTCTCAACTGGAGATCAGTAAGGAAAAACTAGAAAATTCCACAAACGATGTCCTGCATATTAAGAAATGAAATTGAGGTGCCATGAAGATAGATTAACCAAGATTTATGGGTGGGACTCAGTAGTTGCTTTAAAATATGTGAAGTATCACAGCCTCAGTCTTATTGTTTAACAATTCATTTTGTTATCCTACGTATGTTTAAAGGAATTGTGATACTTGAACATATCCAATAGAAGACTAAAATATACCAAAGTAATTTGTGAGCTGGACTTATCAATCTATTATGAAAAAAAAAAACAAACAAAAGTAAAAGCTTTCCATCAGGCTATTTTTTTGAGCTTTCACTAAAACTGTAACAAGTTTGCATTGTTGGTAGCCTTTAAAAGCAGTGGTATAGTCCTCAGAATCATGAATTTTAAGAGAAAATAGCAAGCCAGTTCTCCTAAAAGAACAAGAGTAAAGGCTTTAAAATTGTCCTACCGACTTCAATTAGATACCCAGAAGAGCTATTTGACTCTAACAGTAATTAGGTAATGAAAGTATTTTCTGAAAGCAAGTGTGGAATCTTTGAACCTGAAAGAAACATTTAAAGATAGATTTCCAAGTATCTTGCTTTAATTGTCTAAGAGAAGACTGGTCTGGGAGTGAGATCTTGTTTTGACCTTTGTATAAATAGTGTTGAATAATGTAGCACATGCTGCCCACTGCCCACCAATATCCTCTCACCTTTGCTATTGGAGGGCACCCCAGTCACTTCTCAGTGGGATTTCTCGGGCCACTGAACTCCACTTTCTTCTGTCCCATTGGCAGGTGAGAAGTGATGAGGGAGTTAACGCCCCTGGGAGGAGCTCTCAACCCTCAAGTGACAGGACTTGCTGAATACATACCACAACTCACTTGCTCTCTCATAGGATATTTCTGACTTTAGTTACCAGCATTTTCTCAGCAGGATTAAGCACCAGTCAAACACAGAGATAGCTGCCTTATAACATCTCATTTATTACTGCGCAGCTCAATATGGTAGCCACTAACCACAACCCAATTGAGCATCTGAAATGCAGACTGCCTGAACTAAGATGTGCTTTAAGTACAGAATGCATGCCACAATCTGAAGACTTTATATAGAAAAAGTATAGAAAATATCTTTTTAATAATAGTATATTGATTGCATGCTGAAATAATGTTTTGGATATATTGGGTTAAGTAAAATATATTATTAAAATGAATATTGCCCCTGATTTTTCCTACATTTTAAGAAGTGTAGCTATTAGAAATTTTAAAATTATTTATGGATTTAGCTCTCAGTATTGTTCTATAGACTATATTGCTTTAATGCTTGCATTCTACTTCCTGGCTCATGTTCTCATTCACCTAGTTTTATGTCTCTAATAAGCCACTTGCATTTGAACACCGGTTTCCATGTATACATATAGGGAAGCCAAACAAAGGCAAATAATAAAATCCCCCCCTACAGTTGGAATAACAATTTATGTTTTTACTTTCAAGTAATACACAGTAAGTATAAAAAAACTGTTTCTCCAAAAACAGTGTATACGTGTGTGTGTTCAATTATAAAAATATAGTCAAAAGTAAAATTTTCAATAGGTGAGGTTTTTTAATACTTCCAATAAAATTGCAACCATTTGCATTGTTGGAAGATTTTAAAAAACAGGTGAGTGCTATAATCCCCAGAATCACACATTGTAAGATAGAAACTAGCAAGCCAGTTCTCCAGAAAGAATTGACTCTCACTTGGCCCTACAGATTTCAATTAGATACCCAGAAGAGTTAGTTGGCTCTAACAGGAATTAAATAATGAAAGTGTTTTCCAAAGACATATGTGAGATCCTTGTGGGTATGACTCATAATTGTTTCTGAATATATGAAGTGTCACAGCCTCAGTCTCATTATGTAGCATTTTGTATTGTTTGCTATGAACGATGAAAGAAATGGTGGCATATATATGTAAAGTCAGATCTCTCTTACTCTAAATGTCATATTTTTAAATCATTTTGCACACGATGCCCTTAATTGGCCTTTAGACATAGGACCTAAGTGGCAAATGTCTTTATTTTAAAGTTCTGGGCCTACAGAAAAGAGTGGACTAATTACTAACGCTGATGCTAGTAACTAATTTCCAAGCCTTTATGGGTTCTAGAGAGTCTGTCAATATCGCTGTAACCCTGATCCTTTGTTGAAATTCACCCAGCTGTTTAGACAAGTTTATGGCTTGAGAACCTTTTAGTAAAAGGTGTTTTTATTGGTTGTTTTCTTTTTTTACAAACCCGATTACTGGACCCAGAAACCTAGACTCAATTTGCCAAGTATCATGAGCAAGCCTCTAGCCTCAATCCTTGAACCCTTTATTCTTAATTGTGGTAATAAAACACACACACAAAATGAAATTTACTATCTTTTTTTTAAGTGCACTGTTCAGTAATGTTAACTATATGCATATTGTTGAGCAAAAGATCTCCAGAACTTTTTCATCTTGCAAAACTAAAACTCTGTAGGCATTAACAAAAATTCCCCATTTTCCCTCCCACCAGCCCCTGGCAACCACCATTCTACTTTCTGTTTCTATGAGTTTGATCACTTTAGATACCTCATATAAGTGGAAGCATACAGTATTTGTGTTTTCATGACTGGCTTCTTTCACTTAGCATTGTTTTCTCAAGGTTCATTCATATCGTAGCATGTGACATGATTTCTTTTTTTAAAGACTGAATAACATTCCATTGTATGTGTCCACCACATTATCCATTCATCTATCAATGGTTCTTCCACTTCTTGGCTATTGTGAATAATGCTGCAATAAACATGAGTGTGCATATATCTTTTCTATATTCTGGTTTCAATTCTTTTACCTGTTACCTAGAAGTGGGATTGCTGGATCATATAGCAGTTCTATTTTTAATTTTTTGAGGAATCTCCATTTTGTTTTCCACAAGGACTGCACCCTTTTCCATTTTCACCAACAGTACACAAGGGTTCCAATTTCTCCACATCCTCACCAACACTTGTTATTTTCTTGTTATTTAATACCAGACATCCTAATGGATGTGAGTTGATATATCATTGTAGTTTTGATTTGCATTTCCCTAGTGATTAGTGATGTTGAGCAGCTTTTCATATGCTCGTTGGCCATTAATATAGGTTTGTTTTGGAGAAATATCTATTCAAGTCTTTTGCCCATTTATTAATCAGTTTTTTTGTTTTATTTTGTTACTGTTTTGGGGTTGTAGAATTTCTTTATAGTCTAGATATTAACCCTGTTTCAGATACATGATTTTCAAATTTTTTTCCCATCCTGTAGGTTGCCTTTTCACTCTGTTAATTGTTTCCTTTAGTGTGCAGAAGTTTTTTAAGTTTGATGTAGTCTCACCTGTCAATTTGTGGTTTTTTTGACTGGGCTTTGGTATCATGTCTAAGAAATCATTGTCAAGACCAATATTATGAAGCTTTTGCTCTATGTTTTCCTCTAGGACTTTTATAGCTGTAGATATTGTTTAGGTTTTGAACCTATTTTGAATTAACTTTTGTACATGGCATAAGGTAAAAGCTCAACTTTATTCTTTTGCATGTGGATATCTAGTTTCCCCAATACCATTTGTTGAAGAGACTATCCTTTTCCCATTGAGTAGTGCTGCCATCCTTGTAAAAGATCATTTGAATATATACATGAGGATTTATTTCTCGTGTGTTTCTAGTATTCCATCCCACTGGTCTACATGCCTGTCTTTATGCCTGTACCACACTGTTTTGATTACTGTAGTTTTGTAATAAGCTTGGAAATCAGGAAGCATGTGATCTCCAAATTTGTTCTTTTTCAAGAATCTTTTGGCTATTTGGAGTCCCTTCTGACTCCATGTAAATTGTAGGCTTTTTTATATTTCTGCAAAAAAAAATGCCTTGGCATTTTGATAGGGATTTCATTTACTCTGTAGATCTCTTTGTGTAGTATGGACATTTTAACAATGTTATCTTTCAATCTATGAACACAGGATGTCTTCCTATTCATTTTCATCTTTTTTATTTCTTTCAGCAATGTTTTATATTTTCAGTATATAAATCTTTCACCTCTTTGGTTAAGTTTCTTCCTAAGTATTTTATTCTTCTTGATGCTATTGCAAATGAGGTTGTTTTCTTAATTTCCTTTTTTTGATAGATCATTGTTAGTGTACAGATATGCAACTGATTTTTGTGTGTTGATTTTGTCTCCTGCAACTTTATTTGTTAGTTCTAACAGTTTTTTATGTGGAGTCTTTAGGGTTTTTTACACGTAAAAATCAACATTGGCATTTTTGATCTCTAATCTTTGTATTACTGAAGTTGTCCCTATGGTCCCATAAGTGACACTATTTCTGCTTTGCAGAACCCTGCAAAGACATCTGGATAATTGATTCGTTATTTTAAAAATCACAACAACAGGCTAAATGAGATTATCACAAACTCAAGCTGTTTGATGACTGAGGCTTCAAACCTATCACTGGGACATTTCAATAAGGAAGTAGAGCAAAGAGAACTGCTTCTGCTGGTGTGCCTGGCAGACTCTCCTCCAGTTGGCAATGATGGGCTCTTATTCACGACCAGGATAAGAAACATAAAATGTATTCAGAAAGTACCACAGGGAAAAGGGAAGGCAAAAACACTCTTGTGTCTTTGACAGTCTCATCTATTCTACCAGTCTCTAGTTAAAATGAGCCAATTTTCTTCTAGCACTGGCTACTTATAGCTTGGTTATTTCTAGCACTGTCATGGATTTTTTTAAACCTGCAGTGTGGATGAAATGCATGAACATGTGTACAGATCTTCAGAAAGAATCTCCTACCCCCATGCAAATGTAAGTTGCTGTCAGAACCATTACACTAAAATTCCAAGGTGCTAAAATATTACAAGTTCCACTTGCCGATACCATAGGCTAGGAGATTAACACAAAGATAATATCCCCAGCATAGGAAGAAATACTACTCTGCATAATTTAATGAGTGCTATAGTAAACTTGCAGGAAATGAAATCCATAATTGCCCATCTTGGAGCACTGAAATTAAAAGAAGGCGCTAATGTATAGACAAAACTTGAAATTCAGGAAACTGTTAGGATCACTTAAATCATTGATCTTGGCTCTCTTCTACCTTTGAGGTAGAATTTGGAATGTAGACATTAAAAGGGTTAGGAGGGGTTCAGTTCAGAAGGAGAGGACAAGAAACCTGGAGGATTCTAGCTTGAATACTAATTCATCTCTTCTTCCTGGTCCAAGGCTAGACTCATTTTCCAACTTCCTTGAGGTTGGGCATCACATGACTGACTTCCAGAGGAAGGAATGTGAGCGGAAGTGTTGAGCGACACCATAAAAACCTCCCATGTGCACTTCCTTGTATTCCTTCCACTTGCACGGACTTGAGACTACAAGCACGGAGAACTTGGAAACTATTCATAGAAGATGGTAGATCCATAGGATGTAAGAGCTCAGGGTTCCCATTGGCTGCTTGGGGAACAGCTGCCTTCCATCAAGGATGCCTGTTTTGGTCTTTGCAGGAATGATAAATGAACTTCCAGCATGGTGGAGCCATTACATGTGCTCGGATTCACTTATTTTAGCAGCTAGAATTCCCTGACGAATGTAGTATCTGTGCAACATCGAATAAGATATTCCACATGTCTGAGACTCGATTTTATCATAAAAAAAATCACATTAGTCCATCTAGAAGGAAAAGAAGCAATGAAAATAATATATTTTGGATGCTGTAATCAGTATTATAAGCAGTGTTATCATAATCATCATCTCACATAAATGCAAAATTAGATAATTCCAGCCTAAATGTGCACCTAAGATTTAAAGACCATATTTCATTGATTCTAAGACCCAGATATGAAATTAGCATGTGACTCAAAATTGATGGACTGACATTGCCAAAGGGATAGCTTGTTGTTTTAGATGTGTGTGTATGTGTGTGGGTGTGTATTTTACATGCCCTCATTCTTTAGTGGCATGTAAAATAAGGATACAACTTTCAATCTATGGTATCTTAGAATTGATGAAGTGGCATGCCATGTTCTGGATTTCAGAATTATAATTTCCATACAGTTTCTGTTCTTCCAGGATTAGGCCACCCTTATTCTGAGTTTTCCAAAGCTACACCACCCCAGAAAGCAAGGATGTTACATAGTCAAGGCCAAAAGAAGTTAAAGTAAAACTCAAACATCAACAGTAACACAGTCCTGTCAGAGTTCTGTAAGAACAGGGTGAGAGATTTTACCTGGATATAACAGTTTTCCCCAAGCTAAGTACAGTACCCGAGGCTCAAAACTCTAATGTAATGGTTTATATAGATATTTAAATTTTGTCCTAGTGGTAACTGTATGGACATATGGAAATATTAAATAAAAAGAAATTGCAGTCATGTCCTAAAGCTCCAATTAAACCATAATTGGACAATAATTAATCTCTATAAATCATACTAAATGTATTTTATATGTCCCATTGATCCATAGTGTAATATTAAATACAGAACAATTAAACAGATGGTTGATATCTTCTCTAAATATAATTTCCAGAAATTAAAATAAACATGAAAAAACAAATGTGGTCTTAGTGTCTAATCTCCCAGGATAATGTTTTCTTAAAAGCACATGAAACTCTTTACTTCTTTTGCTTTTTCAGATAACTCCCATAAACAACTTGCATCTGGGGATGGAGGAGAATGTCTTGTTTTTATTCAAGTATAATCCACTTCTTGCAGATAGCTCAATCTACTATAGAATGATGAATTAAAGCAGAGATCAGTGCACTATGGTCCCAGGTCAAATCTGGCCCCCCACCTGTTTTCATACAGTCCATGAGCTAAGGAAGTTTTTTGCATTTTTAAATGTTTGAAAAAAACTTAAAATATAATATTTTGGCCTGGCATGGTGGTTCATACCTGTAATCGCAGTGTTTTGGGAGGCCAAGGCAAGAGGACTGCTTGAGGCCAGGAGGTCAAGACCAGCCTGGGCAACATAGTAAGGCCCTGTCTCTACAAAAAAAATTTTTTTAATTAACTAGGTATGGTGGCACATGCCTGTAGTCCCCCCTACTTGGGAGGCTGAGGCAGGAGGACCACTTAAGCCCAAAATGTGGAGGCTGCATTCAGCCATGATCATGCCACTGCCCTCCATCCTGGGAAACAGAGTGAGACCCTGCCTGAAAGAAAAAATAATATAAAATTCAAAACTTAGTGTCTGTAAATAAAACTCAACTGAAACACAGCTACAGTGTTTCATTTTTTCATTGTCTCTGGCTGCTTTTGGGCTAAACTGGGAGCACTGAGTAGATGGCACAGATCATCTAGACCAGAAATGTTTCCTATCTGGTGCTTTACAGAACACATTGGCTGATCCCTGACTTAAGCCTGACTACCCCAAGGACCTGAAGCAGCATGAACATGACCTAGCAGCTGGGCGGTAGAATGCAGAATCCCAGTTCCTGCTCCAGAGCTGCTAAATTATAATTCGTATTTTAAAAAGATCCCCAGGTGATTTATATA
Source organism: Homo sapiens (assembly GCF_000001405.40). Lineage (NCBI taxonomy): Eukaryota > Metazoa > Chordata > Mammalia > Primates > Hominidae > Homo > Homo sapiens. The sequence continues at coordinate 7,670,043 of NC_000023.11, read as the reverse complement.
AACATTAAAATTTGACAAGTACTGCTTTAAAAAATGGATATGCTATATATTAATCAAGAATAGGATATCTGTTTGAGAAAATGCAAACAAACAGATTCATAACTTCTATAAGTCATGGAAACGATGTGTCCTAGTTCATTTTCTGTTGCTTATAACAGAATAGCTAAAATTCGGTAATTTATTTAAAAAAAAGTAATTTACTTTTTGCAATCATAGAGGCTGAGATGTCTAAGGTTGAGAGGCTGCATCTGGTGAGAGCCCTCTTGCTGGTGGAGACTCTGCAGAATCCCAAGGCGATGCAGGGCAGTATGTGGTGAGGGGGCTGAATGTGCCAACCCGCTCGTTCAGGTCTCTCTTCCCCTTCTTATAAAGCCACCAGTTTCCCTCCCATAATAACCCATTAAGCCATTAGTGCATTAACCCATTAATCCGTTGAATAAATTAATCCATGAGGGCTCTGTCATGATCCAGTCACCTTTTAAAGGCCCCATCTCTCAACCCTGCTACATTGGGAACCAAGTTTCAACATGAGTTTTGAAGGTGACAGACATTCAAACCATAGCTCATAGTTGAGAAGTAAATATTAGATGAAGAGATGTTAGCTTTCATGGGGCAATACTCTGAGGAAATTTTGGATTTAACCCTAAACAACTGTATAATGTAAGAAAATAACAAATATAAATCTAGATTAGTTTTGTAAACCACACACTTGCTTAATTGTAGTAGTTTGTTGTTACTGTTTCTTTCATAATTGATCTTAACTGTTCCTTACTGTATGTATCTGAATAATTAAACAGGAGCACCATATAAACTCATTCATCTGTGCAAGAGAAGACTGAAGATTACAAGGGGATATATGTTCTAAGGTTGCATACTATTATAATAAAAAATAACAATAATTTTAAAAAGTCAGTTAGATCATGATATGGTTTGTCTCTGTGACTCCACCCAAATCCCATCTTGTAGCTCCCATAATTCCCCCGTGTTGTGGGAGGGACCAGGATGGAGATGATTGAATTATGGGGTCGGGTTTTCCTCGTGCTGTTCTGTTGATAGTGAATGGGTCTCACAAAATCTGATGGTCGTAAAAATCGGAGCTGCCCTGCACAAGCCCTTTTTTTGCCTGCCGCCTTCCACGTAAGATGTGACTTGCTTCCCTTTGCCTTCCACCATGATTGTGACGCCTCCCCAGCCAAGGGGAAGTGTGAGTCCAGTTAAACCTCTTTCTTTTATAAATTGCCCAGTCTTGGGTATGTCTTTATCAGCAGCGTGAAAACAGACTAATACAGATCACTTCTGTGGGACAGGTACCACAACCAATTAGTCAATATCCAGTTATCAGAATAAGCAATGTATTGTGCTTTTCACTTTGACATTTTCAGCCTGAAATTTCATCTTCCTTGGACAATGATTTCTTAAAGATGACTCAAGTATCCTATATACTCAGAGAGTAGTTTAAACTCTTAACATTCTGTATGTCTTAAATTTAAGCCCATGTTTCTTCTGAGGGTGTTCCAGACAATCCTTAGAAATGTCTTCTCTGGTCATTAATCATAGAGGAAGAGCTGACAAGATGAGGATTGTAGTAGCTTTTCCTTGGGCAATTGTTAATTTTCCCAAAATAAGGTATGTAGTCCAGGTTAGAAGGGATGACCTCAATGAATTATCATTTTCCAGGTATTTTTCTCACCAATGCATATGTTTTCTGTTGGTCTAATTTTAATTTAGGGTGAGAAATTTCAAAAGGTTTAACCTTCAAAATATTGGAGGGTGTGGAAGTGTTTGTAAAAGACAATGACATCTAGTTAAACCTCTCAAGTTAAAACAGTCATACTTATCAATCAATTTCATTTACTTAGCTGTCATTAAATGGATTTGCATAGAAATCAGCTGTCACATGCTATTTACAAACTTAATCGATCATCTGTATCTTTTCTTAATTATTGGCATTGTGGTGATCTATGCCCACACAGGGGTTTTCTGATTCAATTTCAACCAGTGGTTATGGCCCCATCAGTTTTGGTCCACATCACTACAGCCTCATTTACAACATGTCGCAATGAGTTTGCCCTTTAATCATTCCTACCCTTCATATTACCAGAATGTCCATTAATCTGCCTCTGACTTAATACCCAGCCTGGCCTCATTCTACTGGTTGTGACTTGGAGACTGGGAATACTAATGGTTGTTTATAACTGCAGCTATTTCCCCATAGGAAATGGAACCCTACTGTGTTAATTTAATTATTGTGACTTTCACAGTCTTGAGTCCTTCAATGGAAGAATCTTTATTACTAAAGGCATTCTGATTTTTATTTTAAACTGTTACAGTTATTAATGCAATTCCTGTAATAAATATAAGATTTACAATAATATCAATATTCTGCACTGGGCACCCTCAATGATTAAAAAAACAGGAAAATGACTAATCTAGTGTTTTGAACCAGACGGATAATTGATTTTAAGTAAATCATATTCACCTAACAAACTATCGTATGTTGAAATTAGTCATAAGGAATGTCAATGTGGATTTATTTATTAGTCCCAGTGATAGAAACCATTGCTAGCTAACTTAAGGAAAGAAACAAAAATGATTTAAACAATAGGATCATTCATAGCTCAGAAAGAATTAGGGCCAGAAACTAACAAGGACAAAGGTGTCTCCAGAATCCAGGAAATAATGATTGCTTGATTGCTTCTTTGTGTACAGCTCCTGGGATAAATGAGCTCCAATTATTTTTCTGCCCTGTGTAACATTCAAAGGCCTTGAAAAGAGAATCCAATTTCTCTAACATGGATTACATGCTCACCCTTTCACGATGTTCTTGGAGGCCATTTTATCATAAAGTCCCTTATAAGACCGCACACGATGAAGACATAGCAAACCGCGCAAAGAAGTGAAGATACTATTCTGGGGAGTGATGAATGATTGATATGTGTTCAAAAACAAAAACTCCCATGAAATTCCTTGCTGCTCCACTACCCAAAAATAGGCTCTTCTTCATATATACATTTTCATAATTATCCTCCACCTAACACGTTGCAACAATTCCATGTACAATAAAATCCTGACTGACTTCTCCCTGAAAGGAGACAACTGAAAGCCCAGCCTTGAGTCCTGGACATCATGGGAATATCTATCTCCTCTCTGGCTTTATTTGGATCCATGTTAATATTCAACAATAGAGGTAGTAAGTGGTACATTTAGCCATCACAGCCAACATACACTATCATTTTAGGGCAAAAGACAAGGAAATAAGGCATTTGATTTAAAAATGTAAATAAGTGAGATACCAAAACAGGAAATATGGGTAGAACCTACAGACTCCATATGGTATTTTCCGCTTGCATCCTTCACTACCTAGTTCAAATCCCTCTTTATTGTAGATGGCTCTTCTACTCATGAGGGTTCTTTACTTGATGGAATGAGACCAATGTAAGCAATCATGACATCTCAAGTGCTGCCCAGGTAGGGTTAATACTGTCTTCTATGAACACTGACCATTACACATGGTGTGAAAAGGAAGCAGCCTCCTGGATCTCCCAAGGCTCTTCTCTGTCCCCTTGTAGAAGAACACATTTCCCCTTAAGTGTCCAAGTCTGTGACGCCAGACAATACTACTAACACCTAACACGGGGATACAGGGGCATGAAAAGCTCCCCATACACAAACATGGACGCCTCAGCTTCACAATACTGCTACTAAGGGTATGTCCCATTGAAGGGGAATTTAGTCAATGAATAATAAAATGTCTGCATCAGCTGACTCAGAGTCAACTAAAGGAAAAATATTTTCTGAGTGGGACTTTAGGAATACTCATGAAGAGAGACAGAGAGAGAAAGAGAGAGGATAAATGAAAACATGCTAGTCTGATGATTAAGGTATTAAGGTAGGGAGAATATTTTGTCAAAAATATCTTGAGCACTGGCAAAAATGTTATGTGTTTTTACCTAAAATTCTGCAATTCTTTTTCACCTTAATTAAAAAAAATTAGTTGTATTTGGATTTTTTAAATCTATGTGTTTTATGTACTATAGGGTAAAAACTTTACTCTTCTCTGTAGAAAAACTGTGCAAATTCTTCTCCAAGGCCCTTTTCAGTTTTTAAAGGAATGGTATCCTAATATGATGATAATTTTGCTTTCCCCATGGAAATTTAATGTGGAATTTTTGCTCTGTATTGGAGATTTCCAGGAGATCTATATATGGGAGAGAAAAAAATAATGTATTTTTAGATGGTAAGTTCACTTACAGCATTAATAAAATAATTAATGGTGAGAAATGTAATAATTTGAACACAAAAAGCAAAAGCATCTGTGTTGTTTGACTGTTGTGATATTTTTCTGGAGTATGTGCTACAACTAAGAAAGGAAGAATAAGGAGTTAGAGTATGAAAAATTTATGATAAAGGAAACCATAATCCTGTGGATTTATATGTGATTATTGCAAAGGGTAATATAGAAAGAGTGTAATAGGACAAAACCAATTACCTACTTATTACTACAGAGATGTGCTGAGCAGGAGAAATGGGAATATTTGTGCTTTCCAAGGCTCATAAACCAGCAAACATTACTGATTCATGGGTGCAGGAGTTGAGTTAGCTGATGTAACCTACCAAAAATGCTCTCTTGGGATACCTAGAATTCTTCATTTTTGATTTATCACAACAACATTCTTTATTTTATAGCAATGTTTACAGTTTACTGATTTACTGGTAAACAGGTTCATCCATTTTGGGACAGCACTCTGCTTACAAATAAACCATAAAAATCATAAAATTAATAAAAAGAGGCATGGCAAGAGAAACTTGGGCATGAAATTGAAGTAATAAATAAGGCAAATTTTTCTTTTGATGTGTGTTTTTATGACCCAGACTGTGTTTTATTACAGAGAACTAATGTGACCATTTGTTGTAAATGAAAGAATTCTCCAAGTAATATTCACCAACCAAGTACTCAGGCAAGATAAAGTTGAGCATTAAAATCATTAAGAGTATTTTGTAACTAAAAGAGATAAGCCCGCATTTTAAATGTTTGTTCAGCGTTTGATTTATAAAATATCTCGCATTTTATATCATAATGTGTTGCATCCGTATCATCAAATGCCTTAATAGTCAATCCCCAGCTTTTACTATAATCTCCTAGAGGACAAGAACTATACCAATTTAACTTTCTTGGAGATACAACTAATAGAACAGCTTGAGCTTGGAGATGGGGAAAATGTTTCTTTTGGTAAAGTCTTTGATTCATTCCTCATTTCCTTTCCCAAGCCATTTGCATAATCCAACTCATAGTTGATATTTTGAGTACATTTATATAGTTTTCACTTGTGTCCCTATTGGAAGACCTCCACTTGCAACATGTGTCATTTCTAGAAGCATCTATTTCAGGGGTTTTCAATCTTGGCACTACTAACATTTGGGGCTGGATAATTCCTTGTTATAGGGGGCTGTCCTGTGCATTGTAGGAAGCTTAGTGGCATCTAGGCCTCTGCCCACTAGATGCCAGTCACATTTTTACCACCCAGCCATAGCATCCAAATATGTTCCCAGACATTGCCAAATATCTCCTGGGACAAAAGAGTCCCCACTTGAGAACCATTGCCATAATAGAAGTTAAATACAAATCTAGAAACTTCATTGCCATAGATTGGCAGAGAGAAAGATATATCTATATCTATATCTATTGTCTTTTCTTCCAGTTCTCTTCACCTTCAATATCTAAACTTCTTACTGTTTTTTTTATTATTCCTGTTATTAATAGCTTTCATTTTTGCACAGTCACTATCTGCTAGGTGTTTGACATGCATTTTTGTAGACTTCATATTTCGGAAGATTGATAATTTTTCTGTATTTTACAATAGAGGAAACTAAAATTCAGAGTGTCTAGTCCAGTGCTTCTCAAAATGTAACATGCACACACATCACCTGGGGACCTAGTTAAAATTCGAACTCTGGTTCTGGATTGGCACATCTGGAATGGAGCCTGCAAATCTGCATTTCTAATAAGCTTGCAGGTGATGCTGATGCTGATGCTGCAGCTCATGAAACTATACTTTGAGAAGCAATGGACTAGATAACTTACCCAGACTCCTACAGCTACAAAATGCTAGAGTCAGAATTTGAACCCAGGTCTGCTTCTCACACAGGATACCCTCTCTCTTCCTTCATGCTGCCTGTCTATGAGCAATGCTGTGCCAGGGAGTTAGCTTTACTCTTCCTAGAACTGTCTCAGGTTCTGGTATTTTATCTCTACCTTTATGTTTAGCTATAGTGCTTCAGGTCTGGTGGTAAAAGATAGAATGAGTGTAGTCAGTTTAAGTAAATGGACAGTAGTTGGAATATAACTATGCTTCTTTAACTTTTCATGCATATATCCAATAGTCCCTGATTGTAACACATTCTGGCTGCTAGACAGGAGACTAGCAGCTTGAATTCACAGATGAAGGGATATAAACCTTTTGCTCTTAAAGTTCAAATTTAATTGGGGATATCAATGCATGCACAGATAATTATGAAACTACTTCCTAGATGTATCATTGAAGCCTGAACAGGGAAATTATTGGAGCATTGAAAAAGGAAGAATTACAATTGCTTGTTAGATTATGGTCATCGCAGACTGAAATTGATATTGTACCACCTCATCTAGGATAAGCCCGAACACTGGTCAAGTCCCCTCAAATTCTGTGGCCATTGCAATATGGCACCGCCATTTTGAAGTTGTTGCCCTGATCTTTGAACAAGCCTGTCCGGTTCTGCCTGACAAGCTGGAGGTGGTAATATAAGTTCACACTTGAACAAGGTATGTGACACACAATAGAACGAATAGAAAGCTTACTTAGAGAGATGAAAATGAAATAATCTACTGATAGCTTTCATAACTCTTCACCTTGCGATTTATCCAAAATGTATCCACTGTGTGCTACTGTATCTTTGCCTTTTATGAGATGTGTACTAAACACTTAAAAAAATGGTAGATAATGATTTCAACAATTGAAAAATGTTTCCAATTAAACTTGGGAGGTGAAGTTAACGATCTATGAGTTATTCAATGTGGTCCACTCATAAGATGGTGGAGTTGACTTAGATGCCTCCTAAAGGGACTTCATGGTTAAGGGATTACTCACATTCATGCTATCTCATCCTAAATTATTTGAGACCTCACTCCACCTACTTTGTCTCTCCTGCACCTTTAACATCATTATTTCTACAGATACATACCCATTTCTTTATCATTAATTAGCTGATAGGCCATTGAGAAATGGAAGAATAATGTCAGAAAAATGTGAAAGTTGCATTGGCTTATATTACTTTGATTCCAGAGATAAATGTTTCATACCACCAAATAACAGCAAAGGAATACAAAGTGTACTTTTAAAAGCATGAAGGCATCAGCCCCATACGAAAAAAAGAGAACTATAACAATTCCCGTTCACCCCATTTTCTCTTTCTGGCAGTTATTACCTGGTGCTCCCTGACTTTTGTGCATTTTTGCCTGTTTCTTCTGAAACCTTCTGTGCACCCCCTCCCATTAAACTATCACTATTTATTTTATGATAATATTCTACACTCATTTTGGCATCCTTTTAAAAATAGGACTTTAAACATCTGCATTTCCTGTGTTTTTGATACAGTTATATTTATTTTTTTAATTAGGTTAGAAAGTTGAGTTCAAAAAATTTTGAGAAAAGTATTTCCCACATATCTTCCCACGAGCCCTGCTATTTTTAGACAACAATTTTGCTAACTACTGGATATGTTTTTCAGGTGTGTATATATCATAACAGTAAAACAAACAAACAAGCAGGAACAAAAACTCTGTATTCTCCCTTTAAGTATCCCCCTTTAAGTATGATTAAATATCTATTTTCCTACAATAAAAGTAACAATCTTCATTTCAGCTGATTTCTCATTGGAACTACAGATCACTGTCTCTCCCTTGCTTCCCAGCCAAATTTCATAAAATATTAAACTAAAATTGCCTTCTCCTCTTCACAACTCCCCATTCCCTCCTCATCCAACGTCTGTTCAGCTTTCATTCCAACCACTGAACTAAAACAGCTTTTGCCTTGGTTACCAGTAACATTTTCTTAACTCAACTTAACAGATGAAAAAATAGAGACAGTACACATGCCCCTTGAATGGGGAATGTGGTTGCATCCATGCAATGGAATACTACTCAGCAATAAAGAGGAATGAACCACTTGTAAGCAGTGGCACAGATTTATCTCTTGTATATGATGTTAAGTGAAGGAAGGCAAATTCAAAGACTGACTACTTTGTAATTCCATTTATATGACATTCTTGCAAAGGCACCACTATATGGACAGAGAACAGGTGAGTACTGGCCAGGGCCTGCATTGTGGATGCTGTTAAGTGTAAAAGGGCATGTACTTCTGGAAGGTGTGTAGGAAGAGTGATGTTAATAAAGTTGATCTATATCTTCTTCATTTTGTGGTGTTGCACAACTGTCACTGTATATGCCATTCACATGATGAACACTTAAAGGGTTAATTTTACTGTATGTAAATTACATCATGTTGGGGCTCATAAAACAATATCCCAAAGTGAAGGTCTCAGAAACAGAAGGATTTCTCTGATCTTCTCCTGCCCTTCTGTCTCTCAGTTCCATTCTTTCCAGAGGCACCACAGAAACTAGAATCCCTCTTCCCCAAGGCAGGTCCTAGAAACCAAAACCCCTTTTCTCCAAATTCAGCCATAAAACCCTAAAAGTATGACTCTAATTTTCCCTCTGCCTTTCTGTGTAAAACCTGGCCATAACAAAATTCCCTGACCTACCTTGTTAGACTTTAGGTCTTAAGACCCCCTATTCCAGAGGGTCTTAAGACCTCAGAGTCTTAAGTGCTTTAAGACCCCAGAGGGTCCTGCCCCACACCCAGAAGGGAGAAATATTGCTCAGAGAGGCCAAGAAGAATCTCGACAGACAGGTCTTGCTGGGTTTCCCTGCTCAGTCTATTAGCATTAGATCAGGCCCTTTTTGTCCAACCCTGTTTCTACACAGCTTTTCAAACTTTGTCGAACCTAAGCATAAAAATGGGCAATTTCTCCGGTATCTTTGGGTCTTCATTTTGAAGTCTCCTGTGTGCACATTTTAAATAAATTTATATGCTTTTTCTCCAATTAATCTGCTTTTTGTGAGTTGATTTTTCAGCAAAACTTCAGAGGGCAAAGGTGTGAACTTTTCCCTTGGCTCTGACAACCACAATAAAATAAATAGGTTTTTAAAATAGACATATCTGGTCCCTGGTATATTTGATGCAATTGCTGTACATGGCATCCTTGGTTTTCTCTTCTTAGCTGCTTTCCGTGGACATCTTCATTTCGCTCCCTCCTTTCTGATGTCTTCTTAGTATCTCTCGTGGACCCCCACTTTCCTTTATCCAAATCCTCTGAAATGGCTCAGTTCCAAGGCATTCCTTCCTGACCCTCCTCTTGTCTTAGTCTGGCCTTTGCCAGCTCCTTCAACCCAGGAGCCAACAAGTCACCAGTTTCCCCAGGGATGTCTCCTGCTCTGGGGAACCCTAAATGACATGATTTTTGGACATCTCATTAATACGTATCCTATGTGCTCTACCCTTGACTTCCCTTCTGTGCCCTCCAGCTTGATAAAAAGCATCACAATTTCTCCTTCAATGTGGAGAAACACAACTTCATCATTGACTCCTCTCTTCCCCACCCTCCCTCTCCCACCACTGGATGAATGAACACCTGGGACTGAGTCCACTATTTCTCATCTTCCATGGGCCCTTGAATCTGTTTTCTCCTGTCAACATGCCTTGCCTCTGGCTTGGGTCAGACACCCATCATTCTCTCCTGGGTGACGGTGCTACCTTTCAGCTCTCCTTCCTCCCTCTCCCCCTGCTTCTTTCCCACCCACTTGTTGCAATGCAGTGAGAATGAACTTCCAGTCAGCTATTCATTTGCATAACATGTATTGGGCCCTCTCTGCAGGTCAGTACTCAATATGTGATTTCAAGGACCTCAAACCCCAGTCGGCACTGGCTAAAGTCCTGACAGGTACTTAAACCAGAAGATGCTCATGAGAGCTGCCCTCGAACTATGTTGAATTTCTCATAAGAAAAGTATTTATTTTCTGTGAAGTGACATACACTTACAAGCACTAAGCACTTAAAAGATGATGGATATTCTGTGCTTCCTTCAAGGAAGGAATTGATAAAAAGCATCACATGTTAACATGGTAAGTAGATAAGTTTAATAAAATGTCAATATAGACAGGCGTGCCTCAGCCAGGCTCTTCCCCACATCATTACCCACACACAGCCCTCAAAGGTACCTTCTGCAATACCTGTGTGTTTGGAAGAAATGGAGAGGAAAAGAGAAAAGGGGCTAGGCAGGGGAAGTGGATCGCTTGTTTTTGTCTTTGATTGTCCCCAAAGGAAAGCTGCTATTATGCTGTTTTTCAAGGTGAAAAATCAGTGCTGAATTGAAGTCCCTCCTCTATGTGGACACAAAATGACAAACAAAAACCTAACACAGTTGAAAGTGAGGAATTAAGGCATATCAAATATTCAGGTATGAGATCAAATCAACATTACCCCAAATTGATTAAACTATCACCTTAGCTTAAGAGAATGGAAGCAAGAGGATTGAAGAAGGAGATTTCCTACATTGGCAAAGCAAATGTCAGCAATGTTATTAAATAATGTTTAATATAATTTAATGTTGTTAAGTAGTAACGGTAATAACAAACACTTCTGACTTGCTTACTATACACCATGTAATGTCCAATACACTTCACATATATTCCTGATCATCACCACAACCTCATAAAATAGATACTTTTATTATCCCCATTTTACAATAAAACAAACCAAAAAGTAATCTAGAATAACCCAGAAGTCCAGTCATTTGCCTAAGATCACACATTTAGTAAATGCAGACTTAAGATTAGTAACCAGCCAGTATTACCCCATAGTATACACTCTGCATCATTTTACTTTTTCAGGAAATTGATCAAAATGAAGAAAAAAATGAAAAATTAATTTTTAATGCCCAAAGCTTTAAAACTGCAAAAAGAGAGAAGAGTAATGATTTCTGAAAAATCACTCCATAGAGAACAAGGGAATTAATAAGGACAACAATTCTGTACAAATTAGTCTTAAAAATGACATTTAAATTGATTAAAGAAAAGATGTCTCTATGAAGCCTATTGAATTATATGGACAAGACCAGGATGGACGGGTGACTATCTCCTTCCTGGGCCCATCAGTTTCTCCCTCGGAAAGCCTCTGGAGTTAGAATAGAATGCATTCACTCATAATGACTTCAAAACTTGGAAATCATATTTCAAGGGAACTCGCTCCATTTTTAAACTAAGCAGATAAAATATAGTCAGTTCTATTTTCAAAGGTATTTCACTCTGACAGACCTGGCAGAGTATGTGCTATAGCAGGTTGTTTTTCAAAAACTCACAAACTGTATCCTAATAACTTTTTTTCCCTGTTACCAGACAAAATATGGAGTATCATATATCTGAGAATGTTAAGTACCTTATTTTTTCAGTAAAAAAATAAAAAAGGAAAAATTTTTGCAGGGAAAAAATAAAGGAATGCTCATTTCATACTCAAACGTACTCTTTCATTTTCTTTTTACATATGCCCAGCATATGTCAGACTATAGAGGCAACATCATTCTGTTCTTTCAGTTTCCAGTAAATCTAATAGTAAATATGGAGCATTCTCTGGTAGCTGAATCCAATTTTTTTCAGATAAAAATATATGGAGGAAAATCTCTGCAGCATTTTCAAGATGGGCATTTCTTCAAAATATTAAGAATGCATCTGTTTGAATGGTCTATTTCAACATTTATCAAGTAAGTAATATCCATATGAGTGTCAACATGGCCAATTTTACAGTGATTGATTCCTTAAAAAGGATAATAACTTAGGGTGATAAACTACTTGTATGCTTTATGTTGCATTCCATGTCAATATTTGTATATCTACAGACCAGGACAATCTAGAGTCATACTTTGCTAGTAAAAGGTCTTTCCCAGAGTAAGGGGAAAAAGTCTGTGGGTGAAAAATCTATTGTATTTTTTTTTACTGTTGAAGTGTAGATCAATAATCCTCTATCTGGACGTTTTGTGTATTTTTTTAGATTTTTCTCCTGAGCTTGAACATCAAAGAAGGCATGCTAAACAATAATATATGCTCACTTGTCAAACTCAAAAATAACTGCACTTTACCCAGGTGCTTATACCTCATGCTACAAAAAGGGGGAAAAAATCTCCATTGAATGGAGAGTGGCCATCTCCCAGGATGTAACAGTGGCTCAGAACAGGAACCTCTGGAAGTCCTGGAATAGTCCTCATTGGTTACTCAAGTTCACACTGCATGGTGTGCTTGTGCCTTGGTGACCATGTGCATGTGCTTGTAGGATTTAAGGATTTATGCTCACTTGGTTTGGGCCAGCAGGGTAGACAAATGTGCTGAGTCTCCTATTCAAAGGAGGCCTGGTTTTTAATAAGGAGGTACAAGTGAAAGAGTAGGTCAGAGAAGCATTCTTTCCATTTTTGAAATGTATTCCTAAGACAGAAGGTGGTCGATGGCATTATCTTCCACATAGGGATTGATAAGTGAGTTTCATCTTCAATGGCTCAATGCTATTTATCTTCAGAGTTGGGGTGAAAATGATGCTACAGAGACGAGACATGAACTAAGAAATGAAACATATCGTGGTATTTCTGAGCCCCTCTAAATAGTCTCTAGGCAAAACTTAGAACCTAATATCCACCAAATCAAAATATTTTGGTCGGGTTGTTGATGTTGGTGTTTTCTCCTGCAGTTACGTGATCTCAGAGAAAGAAGTGTTCTAACCAAAAGCCTTCTCAACATGGCCTGGGATACAGCAGGACTAGATTTGAGTGTGCACTTGATCTCCTGAAATAGGCTGTTTTGTGCACCAGATGAAATTCACTGTCAGAAGTTCAGAGAACCAGTGTTGTCTGGTTTTTAAAGATAGGACTATTTAACCTTCACCTGTAATAGAAGAAAGTCTGTTTAAGGTTTTTTTATTGTGTTAATGTAGCTAAGGGAGTTCTACGCTTTTCAGAATTTGTTTACCTGTATGACTCTGGGTTAAGGTTGGCCACACAGAAAATTTTGTGAGACTGGTGAGATGGAGTAGAGAACCCTCTGAGGGACCTGCCAGTGCCCTTCCCCCATCCCCTGCCATGTATGGAAATAAAGGAAAGTCTTGAGTTCCTACAAGGGAAATTCCAGGCACCTAGCTAGCCTTGAGAAGTAAAGAAGCAACCTGATAAGCAAGGACGTAATAATAGCTTAAAACAATATTTAAGGAAGTTACAGTCCCAAAATGTTTGGTTCCTTATAGACACTAAAGATAATATCTTGACATATGACCCTAATTTTTCAGGAATCCAGGCTACTACCAAATGAAAAATGCCATCCATTTTCTAATTCCAAACTAATTCCAAACTGTAATTCCAAAACTCTAGTGAGTGATTCCATACTGTCTTATGAGAAGAATTTCTAAGCCTTGTAGTCATGTTCCTAATTCCCTTTATGTCCCTCAAAGTGCTAGGAGACTCTTTGAGGCTTACACCAACATACCTGGATCTGGACCTCAGATAAAGGGTGACCGAGGACTGACATCTGACTGCCATCCTTTGCTCTAAATTTATTCCTGAGGGGCCTGGAAGAACTCACACCCATAGAACAGAGTGAAAATTCTTTTCTGCTGATCCCAAGTCTGTAAACAAAGCTCTGCTTCCTTAACCAGTTGCAAATCAGAAAGTTTCTGAATCTACCTGTAAGCTCCCACTTCAAGATAAACTGCCTTTTTAGGTCAAACCAATGTATAGCCTCTGTGTACTGATTTATGACTTTGCCTGTAGCCTCTGCCTCCCTGCCTTAAAAACCCCCACTTTCTCGCACTGCAAACCCTGATGTCAGAATTTGGCTTTGTTGTGCCAAATGGGTAAACCCAAGTTGAGTTTAATAATACAGGGAAGTTATGAGGAATTAGCAGCCATTACAGAAGGCTGACATGGGGACAAGCAAGGATGTACCAGTTCAAGTTTTCATTGGTCACTTCCACTCCATGTTGGTATGGAGTGGTCACTGGGCCTATAACTCCTCCAAATCCTTCCAAGCACTTCCTCCAGTGACTCCAGGCCCCAGGCCAGGTCCACATGCAATTTCATCCAAAGGGCACTGGCTTTTTCTACAGATCACTGAATGGTCCAGTTTCAATGTGGAATTAAATAGATGTGGGTTCCAGTTTGTCTTGGTAGACTCCAACTAGTCTGCATGGGCTCCAGGTTATCCTTATTGGCTCTAGGTGTCCTTGCAGCTTTCAGTTCCAATACTCTCCATGAGTACTGGAGAGTATTTCTAGTTCCAATACTCTCCATGAGTGCCCAGTTATCCTAGAAAGCTCCAGTTTGTCCTTGCTTTCCACTGCTTCATGTCCAACTTTCTTCTCCCCTGTCTCCCCTGCTGGTAACTAGAATGCAATTTAATTAATTCCTCTACCAACCACATGAAGTAGGAATTTTTATACCCAGCTATTATGTGACAGAGCCAAACTGTAAACTCAGACTAATAAGTCTCTAATTCCATACTCTAGTGAGTGATTCCACACTCTTTCAAGAGAATGATTTCTAAGCCTTGGATTCATGTTCCTAATCTCCTTTGATTATGTCCCTCATAATGCTAGGAGATTCTTTGAGGCTTACACCAACATACCTGGATCTATATGTCTTGCAGCTGAAAAGCCCCTTTGAAACTATGTGCTATTCATCAGTTGCTTTATTTTAGAATTTCCCAAGTCCAGTGACCACCCACCTGAATGTCCTACTTGTTTGATTTCTTTGCTTCAAAGCTTGGCAAAGGGAGGCCAATGAGAAAATTCAGAGTGCCAGTAAAAACAAGAGTGGATCAGGGCTGCACAATGTGATGTGCTTTCACAGACACTTGAAATATAAACCAAAAGGGATGAAAAGCTATAGATAACTATGAAATACTTGTAACAAAGACAATGGTATGAATTCCATGCTGCTGCTCTGACTAGCTATTATACTCCTGTTTATATATGTTATGTTCAACCACATGAGTGTCTCAAAAGTGCAAAATAGCTCTGAAAAGAATTGCAGAACAAGCTCAGTCCCTCCATTTCTGTCTGCCCAAAGTTCAGCATGACAGAACCTGCTTTGTTCATGTCCAGGCTTCATGACATGCATTTCTATTGTTTTTGTGCTATTTCTGTCCCCAATTTCAGTCCCCCCTGAGTTGGTAAAATTAGAAACTGCTGGAGTTTGGATTCTGCACTGTGTTGTCCTATGAAGATCCTGGTGTGCCTGCAATTGTCTTCCTCCTTAGGTTGTTCAAGAGGATGCTTTAAGAAGAAAGAGGAAAAAAAGCAAATGTGTGTGTGTGTGCATGTACACTTCAATGCTGCTTCTAAACTCTCTGCATTACTCAGATTGCCCCTTTTCTGTGGTTAGATCCTGTCTGTAATGACAAATGCCTCCACTGGGGAGGAACCACCTGCTTCGTGGGCCTATTTGGGGAAACTTGGCTGAGCCAGCACTTTTATGTTAACTGCATAGTGCCCACACTCTGTACGCGACTCGTCAGGAGGAGAGAGACAACTGGGCAACATCCATCACGAAAAAAAGACCAAGCATAAAATGTATTCTTACATGATGGAGATAGATTTAGCCAGTAGTACATTATATAAGACTCATTAGTGAATTACTTCTATAAAGAAATATGTTATTACTGAACTATCCTGCTATGACTCTTTAATTTGAAGGTGGAAACCCTGCCTACTTCTATGTCTGAGAACAGACAAGTATTTATACATTAAACAATTAGGGAACGAAAATTCAAGTCCAACATAGACCTACTCCCTTAAAATGGGAAACAAATAAATATTGCTACTGGAAAGGAAGGGAGGCAATGTATAAGTAATTGATAAAAAGATATACACCATTTAAAAAAAAATGATTAGAAACATTAACAAGATACCAGCAATAGGTCATAATGGGCAATCTCTCAATTCTTCTCAAATTAGAGAGGAATCTCTTAGAGCTTAAAATACTGACACTTCATTATGGCCAAATAATTGGTTCTGATTTTTCCTACTTTTTCATTTAGATTTGTGACTAGGTTTAGGTGGATCAAGTGCTTACTTAGTTTTCCTTCAGGAAGACTCACTTGCTCCAAAACAGTCACACACACACACACAGACACACAGACACACAGACACACACACACACACACACACCACATTGCAGCAGCACTGAATGTCCATGCTTTACTTTTCTTTGCTTGTCAGATGCCTATGACAGTGCTTAACAAATATTTCCTGGAATTAATCTAATCTTTGTTAAGAATTTTCCCAAAGAACCTTTTTTCAAATACTATCTTGGAAGAAGCCATGCTTTAGCCACTAAGATCTCATTGATAATGAGATTATGAAGTCATTTTTTCTTTCTTTGAAAGAGAGAAATCAGAATCGTCCTTCATAACTGGGCAACACACGTGTGTGTGTGTGTGTGTGTGTGTGTGTGTGTGTGTGACAGAGAGAGACAGAGATACAGAGAGATACAGAGAGAAAAGAGAGAAAGGGGGTTGGGGGAGAGAGAGTGAAAAAGAAAGAGAGAGAAGGAGGAGGCGATGGGAGAAGAGGAGGAGGAGGAGGAGGAAGGAGGTGCTAATTTAAAGAAAGCTGAATGCAGAAAGAAAAGACAGCACCTACAGCAAAGAAGCAAGTACCTACCATAATTTTTCCTGGTAATACAATTGGTTTTTCTGGGATATGAGTGGAGGAGCAGGAATATCTACTTCTGTTCTCTCAAGTCACTCAGTGTGACACTACTGGCCTGTGTTTGAGCGAGGAACGACCTACACCTTAGTAATGACCTGGCAGGAAATAGCTTGGAGGACCCGGGACATGTGTGTCCAGTTCCAATACTCTCCAAAGTGCCTGTGATATTGTGACATACTAAGAAATATATTTTTGTTCTCTGTCCCCTGAGTCCTGGTACAGAGGTCCTAAAACCACATATGTAGGATTGCTAGGAGAATCATTTGTTTCTACACTTGGTCTTTGACCCTCAGTTCCCATCACAGAGCTCCTAAATTTGTAGGAATTTGCTGGGTGATAGGAGCATGTTTTTTTTCTCATGAGGAGACTCTTGGTGGGCTTCTGGACAGCCTCAGGATGGGGGCTGATGGCCAAGAAAACCAACCTTGTCATTAGAGGGTTGGAGCTTGCAGCCCCAACTCTTGACCTCTGGGGAGGGAAAAGGAGAAGTTTGAATTGATCACTGTCTTATCCTTTCATGTTGCTATGATAAAATATCTATCTTATCCTGGGTAATTTGTAAATAATAGAAATTCTTTTCTTGCAGTTCTCGAGACTGGGAAGTCCAAATCAAGGCATCTGCCAATTCAGTGTTGCATGAGGGCTTGCTCTGCTCCAGAGATGGTGCCTGTGGCTGGGTCCTTACATGGAGGAAGGGGCTGAAAAGACTACAGAGCTCCCATCAAGTTCCTTTCTAAAAGAACTAATCCCACTCATAAGAGCAGAGTGCTCCTGACTTGATCACTTCCCAAAAGGCCCCACCTCTTAATACTATCATATCACATTGGCTCTTAGGAGCCAATGTATGATTTTGGGAGCATACATGCATTCAGACTATAGCATAATCACCAATGGCTAATGATTTAACCAATCATGCCTGCATCATAAAGTCTCCATAAAAAGCCCAAAAGGATGGCATATTACTTCCTTCTCCTGCTGTTAATAAAGACACACCCCAGATTGGGTAATTTATAAAGGGAAGAGGTTTAATTGACTCATAGTTCCACAGGGCTGGAGAAGCCTCATGAAACTTACAATCATGGTGGAAAGGGAAGCAAACACGTCCTTCTTCACATGATGGCAGGAAGAAGTGCAGAGCAAAGGAGGGGAAAGCCCCTTATAAAACCATCAGATGTCGTGAGAACTCACTCACTATCACAAGAACAGGATGGGGAAAACTGCCCGCATGATTCACTTATCTCCACCTTGTCCCTCCCACAACACATGGGATTATCGGAACTACAATTCAAGATGAGATTTGTGTGGGGAAACAGCCAAACCATATCAGATGGGGCTCAGGGAGCATCCAGATATCTGAACACACGGAGCTTCCTCGAGGATGATGGACCCAGAAAGGGCATGGAAGCTCTGCATGTACCCTTACATCCCTTGCCCTGTGAATCCCTTCTATCTGCCCATTCATCTGTATCCTTTGTAATATCCTTCCTAATAAATGGGTAAAGTGTTTCACTGAGTTCTGTGACCACTCTAGAAAATTCACTGAACCTGAGGAGGAGGTTGTGGGAACCCCCAATTTATAGCCAGTCAGAAGCACAGGTCACAACCTGGGACTTGTGACTAGCATTGAAAGCGTGGGGGGCAGTCTTGTGGGACTCAGTCTTCAACCTGTGGGATTTGACACCATCTCTGGGTAGATAGTGCCAGAAATTAATTTAACTAGAGGAATCCCAGCTGGTGTCCGTGGGAGAATTGCTTGGCGTGTTGGGACAAATGCCCACCCATCTGGTGTCAGAAGAATTATATTGAGTGGCGTGTGAGTAGATGGGAAAAAACTCATTCTGTTATGGTGCCCCACGATGGGACTTGAATTGCTGGAGTAATTCAAACACTATAGCACCACTTACTCAACATATTATCTATAGGAGAAGAGATTATTTCCACTCACCCTGTGTGTGGAGGTATATAAGAAGGCACACACGTGTGTACATGCACACACATACACACACTATATATATAGACACTGTCTCCATTCTGTAGGGCAGACATTTGTGCACACTTAGGTTAGGAGAATACCTCCAAACATTGGAACATACATTTTTGTTGTTGTTATTATTGTTTGCTGTAATACGTCAGTTCTCCAATAAGATAAATTAGGGCTTTCCAACTACTCTAAACCAGGGATCTCAATTAGGGATGATTATGCCCTCACCCAGGGGATATTTGGCAATGTCTGAAGACATTTTTTAAATTTACAACTGGAGGCAGGATGTGCTACTGGCATCCAGTGGGTAGAGAACAGAGATTCTGCTAAACATCCTCCAATGCCCAGGTCAGCCCCTACTATGAAAAATTATCTGGTCCAAAAAGTCTGCAGTGCCAAGGTTGAGAAAGTTTGCCCAAAGTCTGTATAGGAAAAATCCACTGACAATAACTTGGTACAGGTTGCAGGATAGTGGTGCTTGGAAAAGAAGCAATCCCTGTATCCCTGAAGCTTCAGTTGTCCATTTTACTAGCACATATCAGACGCTTAAAAGTGGAGTGAAACCCATTCTGTTGTTTCACGTGCCCAATTACTTCAATACTCCATTGATAAGCCACTGGCCTTGAGGCAGGGATCAGAAAAAAAAAATAAGAGAAAGCCTCATATGCTAAGAAAAATCCACAGAGGAATACTAGGTGACAACACTCTATTAGGGCTGCTGGGAGTGTAATCTCCTGAGAGGGTAAACTGGACTCAACTCGCATGAGCCTTAATAAATTCATACCATACAGAATCATAATGTGGAAATAAGGGAGAGAAAAGAAATATTCATATCCTTGGGCACATTACATTTTCCTCATGAATTATATTTAACTGTGGGCAAAAGGGTTCTAAAATGCCTTCCAGTGAAAAACTCTATAATTAATATCTATGAATGTGAGCTTATATAGCTTTAGGGGAAACAAAACTAAAAAACTAAAGATCTTGAGGGGATAAGCATAAGCAGATTTTTTTTTTTTTAAGATGGAATTTTACTCTGTCTCCCAGGCTGGAGTGCAATGCCACGATCTCGGCTCACTGCAGTCTTCGCCTGCCAAGTTCAAATGATTCTTGTGCTTCAGCCTCCCGAGTAGCTGGGATTACAGACACCTGCCACCATCCCCAGCTGATTTTTGTATTTTTTAGTAGAGACAGAGCTTCCCCATGTTGGCCAGGCTGGTCTCGAACTCCTGACATCAAGGGATCTGCCCACATCGGCCTCCCAAAGTGCTGGGATAACAGGCATAAACCACCATGCCCAGCCAACACAAGCAGATTCTTAATGGTTTCCAGAATACAAAATACAAGTTGGCGCCTCTTTGAAATTTGTTATGTTTGGTGGGTTTCTGGTTGGTTGATTAGTTGGTTTTACATTAAAAAAATGTAAAGAGTCTGTTTCTTTTTCTGTTTATGTTTTAAATTTACATTTATTTTTTGTTCATTAGAGTTACGGATTCTGTCTTTCTGTCTGCTACAGGTACTTTTCCACCTAATGGTTGGATTTTTACATACAGTTTGTAACTCTTTTAGTGTTTTCATTACTTTAAAATTTTACAAACTCACCCATTCAGATTACATGATTACTAATTTGTTTATTTTTGTTGTTTGTTTGTTTTGAATTAGGGTCTTGTTCTATTGGCCAGGCTGGAGTACAGAGTCATGACCATAGCTCACTGCAGCCTCAACCTCTCAGGCTCAAGCGACTCTCCCACTACAGCCTCCTGAGTAGCTGGGATTACAGGCATGCACCACCATGCCCTGCTAATTATTGTATTATTATTATTATTTTTTTTTTTTAGTAGAGACAGGGTTTTGCCACGTTGCCCAGGCTGATCTCAAAGTCATGGATGGGCTCAAGCGATCCAGCCACCTTGGCCTCCTAAAGTGCTGAGATTACAGGCATGAGCCATTGCATTCATCCAATTCCTTTGTTTTCAAATTAAAATAGGTTAAGTATATCTAATTAGAATTAGAAAAACTAATTCATGCTCACGTAGAAAATTCAAGCATAATATCAGTCTTTGGCATTCAAAGAATTTTGATAAGTTTCAAACGCTCTGAATTATTTTAAGTTGACATCTAAAAATTTTAACATAAGTTTAAATAGTTGCAAGGGATGATTTTGCTTTCAGGATAAAATTTATTCTCTTTGTCATAATATCATTTGATTTAAAAAAATAATTCAAGCTTATTTCTTTAAGACTCTTCAAAATGATGATCCTGCAGACATTTACCTCCCCACTCTGTGTCCACAGGTCTCTGTTTTCCTCTAAAGGTCTTGGCTGATCTCCCCCACTCTGTCTCCAACATGATTGCTTTATTTAGTTCGCTCATCTGACTGCTCTCTTATCCTCCATCTCCACAGTGCATTTATTTTCTCAGTGGGAAAAACAAACATTTGCAAAGAGGCAGGTATTGGAGAGGGAAAGGATAAAGGAACTAGTTCCTGCTGCCAGGACTGACCTTTTGGCCATTTTGATAGACACAGACCTTAAGCCCAGGGGAACACTCCTGCACCACAACTACCCCAGCACTTGGCTGTTTGCTACAGAGCGGGCTTATTTTCCTAACTTAAGAAAACACAATATGTCCTTTAAGTCAGTCTGAAGACGTTTGCTTTCAGTGCCACAGAGTTGCGTGGCATTTTTCATGTTATGCCATGTTATGTCTTGTCGTGTGTGAACTTTGTTTTCTGTTATCAAAAATAAAAAATAAAAATAAAAGAGTGCATAGACAGGTTGATTGACCTGACAGAAAAGTAAGCTTGGAGGATTTTCAGAAGCATTGGTCACAGAAGCCCCTCTTTCCTCTCGAGAGCACAATTTCCCTTGTCCGTGATGATTTAAAGAATTGGAAAAGCATTTCAGGGGATAGATAAAATGTAGAGATTGAGAAGAGTCTCGACCTCTTTTCGGGCAAGGTTTTTATTCAATTTGAATAAAACAAAATGCACTAACTGATAAAGGAATTCAAACAGGCTGCTTTCCTAACATGATATATACCAGGCTCCAGGATTTTTTTTTTTTAAATCCAGCCTTTCTTCTTCACTGGGGGACAGGAGCAGTGAAATGGCCTAAAACAGAGTCTCACTTTAAATTGCTCTGTAGACCTCACTTTAAATTGCTCCGTGGACCATAAAAGCTACTTGATCTGTTTTGCTGGCTGAAATCTGATCAGGGATTTCCTGCGCAGGCTGAATGGAGAGAGAAGATTAAGGTAAATGCAGGCTGATCTTTAGGGCCCATCCTAAACGGTACCTTTTCTGTGATGCCTCCTCTCATTGCCTCCAGGTGGAATTTACAGCTCTGTCCATTGTACCTTCAAGGTATTTCTTATAACATTTCATTACTGATCATTCAGAAGATCATCTCTCCCACATAAATGGGAGAACCTCAGAGACAGCAGCAGCAGGACCTTGCTTATTTGTACTTTTTTTTTTTTTTTTTAATCTTAGAGACACGGTCTCCCTATGTTGCCCAGGCTGGTCTCAAACTCTTGGGTGCAAGTGATCCTCCTGCCTCTGCCTCCCAAAGTGCTAGGATGTACATTCTTCATATCCAATGCACAGTGGATGCCAATAAATGCTTATTAAATGAATGAATGCATGAATAAGAGCAATAGCTCACCCATTCAGCTTACCAAGTACCAGTTGCTATTCTAAGCCCTACAACACCATAAGGAGGGTAATTCAACTGGGGTTGCTCAACTCCAAAATGATGAAGCGAGTCCTTAAGGTCTTAAGGTCGTAGATCCTTTTGCTAAAGGCATCAAACTAATGGTTCAAAAGTAATGATGATAGGAAGCTCCCAAGGACAATGCCAATTGATCCTCAGAAGTTATTCATAAATCAAAATAATACACAGCACTAAACAAACTCCCTGCTAAGTGTCAGCAGACAGACAAGGGCATGGGCCATCTTATTATACAATCATCAAGTAAAATTAAAGATGTCGAATATTGTGACAAGGAGTCCTAGGCATATTATTCTGAATATAGGCAGATACGAAAAAGGAATGGAAAAGCATGTCACACAGATATAAATGTGCACATTCTGAGAACTACATTCTATAGGAACCTGCAGTTTACAATTCATGGAGTGAACAGGCTAAGACTTTGTCTGTGCATCTGCCAGAAAGGCTTAGAGGAAGAACCCCACCCCACTTCAGGCCCCAAGATGTCCTGTCTGGGAAGAAGAAGAAGGGGGAAAATTAAGGCCCTTCTTTAAGAGAAGCTGGATGTGAAAGCCAGAACTCAGCCTCTGTCTGCAAGCATTCTAAATAAGTAAAGAAAGACACAACTGGACTCAGTTTTAATTACTCCACTTATTCAATTATTTATTTATTTATTTATTTTTATTTATTTATTTTTTTGAGACGGAGTCTTGCTCTGTCACCAGGCTGGAGTGCTATGGTGCAATCTCGGCTCACTACAACCTCCAACTCCCTGGTTTAAGCGATTCTCCTGCCCCAGCCTCCCAAGTAGCTGGGATTACAGGCACGTGCCACCACGCCCGGAAAATTTTTGTATTTTTAGTAGAGACGGGGTTTCACTATGTTGGCCAGGATGGTCTCAAACTCCTGACCTCGTGATCTGCCTTGGCCTCCCAAAGTGCTGGGATTACAGGCGTGAGCCACCGTGCCCAGCCTATTCAATTATTTATTAATGTGAAACATTCATTTATTTATTCATGAATGTTGCACGTGAAAATAAATTTTACAAATTTATTCTATAAATACTTTCTATAAGTGATTACTGATCATCTGTTAGGGCCGCACTTCTCAAACTTTGATGGGCATGCGAATCAGCCAAGGGTTCTGTTAGAACGCACTTGCTAACTCAGTAGGTCTGAGGTGGGGCCTGGGATTCTGCATTTCTAGCAACCCCCCAGAAGATATAGATACTGATGGTCCGTGGATGACATTTTCCCAGGCACTGAGAATATTAAGATAAATAGGACACAGTCCTTCTGATCCAAGGAATGCCTCTACTAAACTAGGAAGATAACCAATGAGGCTTTCCTCAAAAGTTCATTCATACTGCAACCAACTTGGATGTTCAGGGACAAAAGTATATCCTTTGTATTCTGTCTCTATATGATTATGTATGTATATAATACATATAATATACATATGTACATATGCACATACAAGTTGACTATCCCTTATCCAAAATGCTTAGGACCAGAAGTGTTTCAGATTTTGGATTTTTTTGGATTTTGGAATCTTTGAATTTTACTTAGGGGTTGAGCATTTCTAATCTGAAAATCAAAAATCCAAAATACTCTAATGAGCATTTCCTTTGAGAGTCATGTTGGTGCTCAAAAAGTTCTGGATTTTGGAGCATTATGGATTTTGGATTTTTGGATAAGGGATACTCCACCCTTGTTTTAGAGGATAATTATTCTTTAATCTCATCTGGTTTGGAATTGTTATGAGGTTAATCTCAGTCTCTCACACTTGCTATGGTCTGTTCTCTGAATGGTACCACTATACTGATCTCTAGGTACATGGAAGGTCATGTGTGTGAATTGTCCTAACTCGATGAGAGGGATAGTCAGGGTGTCTGAACACAGCCTCTCTGGCTCCCATGTTCTCCTGGGAAGTGCACCCTAAAGGTCTCCTGGTCACTGCTTGTCCTGCTGGAAGTCACCACTGAAGCCCAGAGAGCTGACCACTTGGTCCCTGTCAGGACCCAATAGACCTCTCTGGTTGGTGTGGCCTGACTTTGGCCCTTCCTGGTACCACAGACCACGAGTCAGCTCTATGACTTCCGTCTTACTGAACCGAGCTTGGATCCAGCACCCCTGGAACAGCAAAGGCAAACATTGACAGGATTTGCAGCAAAAGAAGGTGAGGCATTTATTGCAGGGCTCTGAGAAAGAAGAATACAGTAGCTAACACTTAAGACCCAAACTCTTCAATGCCTTGTGTGTCAGGGTTTTCAAAGGCAGGAGGCAGAGGTTGCAGGCAAAGTCATAAATCAATACATGGAGGCTATACATTGGTTTGTGCTAAAAAGGTGAGCCACATTGAAAGGGGGGTCCACAGGTCAGAGGTGGATTCAAAGATTCTCTGATTTGGGATTGGTTAAGGAAGTGAAGCTTTGTCTAAAAACTTGGGGGTTTTAGACAAAGGAATTTGAGCTTGGCCTATAGGTGAAAGCTCCTCCAGCCACCTCAGAAACTTAGAACACAGAACAGCAGTCAGAGTTCAGTCCTCATTCACCCCTTATCTGAGGTCTACACGTAAGATCTCGTGAGAATTATTCACTATCATGAGAATAGCATGGGGGCAGACCTTCCCCTTGCTATTCTCATGATAGTGAATAAGTTTCATGAGATCTGATGGGTTTATCAGTGGTTTCCACTTTTGCTTCTTCCTCATTCTTCTCTCGCCACTGCCATGTAGGAAGTGCCTTTTGCCTCCTGGCATGATTCTGAGACCTCCCCAGCCATGTGGAACTATAAGTCCAATTAAACCTCTTTTTGCTTCCAGTTTCGGGTATGTCTTCATCAGTAGCGTGGAAACGAACTAATACAGTGAGTATTGCCCAAAAAAGATTAAAGTGGGTAGTGGGAAAAGGAAATCAGCTAAAACAATAAACTATAAGTCTTCACAGTCCTCTGTTTCATTTGTTAATTTTATTTTTATTTTTTATTTTAGATTCAGGAGGTACATGTGCAGGTTTGTTGGAAGGGTTTAATATGTGATGCTGAGGTTTGGACTTCTACTGATCCCATCACCCAGATAATGAACATAGTACCTAATAGGAAATTTCTCAGCCCTTGCCCTTCTCCCTCCCTCCTTCCTTCCTTTTGGAGTCTTCAGTGTCTATTGTTCCCATCTTTATGTCCATGTATACCCAAGATGTAGCTCCCACTTATAAGTGAGAACATGTGGTCCTCTGTTTCTACATTAATTTGCTTCGGTTATGGCCTCCAGCTGCGTCCATGTTGCTGCAAAAGATATAATTTTGGCTGCATAACATTTCATGGTGTATATGTTCCACATTTTCTTTATCCATTGCACCATTGACGGGCACGTGGCTCGATTTCATGTCTTTGCTATTGTGAATGGTGCTACAATTAACATACGCATGCATGTGTCTTTTTGGTAGAATAATTTATTTCCCTTTAAGTATATACCCAGTAATGGGATGGCTGGGTCGAACGGTAGTTCTATTTTTAGTGATTTGAGAAATCTCTGGAATGTCCTTCTGTTTCAGATGTAAATGTCACAAATATTTTGCATCTTTTCCTGAGAAAAACAAAAATCTTGGGACAATCTCCCTTCTGGTTTACAGTTTGGTCTCCCAGGCCTTGACTACAGCTTACCCTGGGAGGATGGGACCCTGCCTGATTATTGTGAATAGGTAAAAACTAAAACTCTGGGTTGTAAAATTAAAGATTTATTTCCTTATTTCACATACATTATGAGAAATACTCTCCTTTTCTAGAATTTTTCAAGACTCCAAGATTTTTGGCTATGATTTTCAGATAACTCAGATTCATTTACGGTACAGAGGGATAATTCTTAACGTTGTAGTGGCATTCTTCAGACAGAACAATTTCATTAAATCAACGTAAATAGTTTAGGTGAGCATACATGAAGAACATATTCATCACATGCCATAACAAGTATTTGTCATGCATTTCTGTGCATAAACACATATAGATAACATGTTACCATGTGTATATGTAGTCAGATATGTAATGACTGCATACTATACATAAATATGTAAACTTATATATGAACTCTCTCTGGATTCAAGCTTGTAGGAAATGCTCTTCACCTGGTGTTTTTTTTTTTTTTAATTTTGTTTTGGTTTAGCACCTAAATTAGCATTTAGGCCATGTCAGAGTGAGTGATGTTGTTAAGCCACTCACAATTGAAAATAATCTTTGTCTCCATTGATAAGGCATCTTTAAATCTTTTGAATACACACTGCTCTACAACAACATAACGTACTAATCCACTCCTGGAACTGCACAACTCCATTTCTCTGTTCTGTTTACTGTGTTCATTTCCAAGCCATAATGCTGTAGGCAATCAACGATCTAGTATCATTGTGTTCTGAACAAATACACTTCAATTTCAGTCACAAAGCACAGAGGATGAGATGATACCAAAGATGACAAAACATGGCCAAAGAGATAAAAGCAAACAAACATTCGCACAACCTTTTAAAACACAATACAGAGGCAACACATTCGGATAGCAACGTCTTTAACCTATTCTAACATTTCTATGTTCTACAGATGTTTTTTTCTCATCTCCATCATGCAAAAAATGTAATAATCAGCACACTTTTAAACTTACTGTTAAATAAGCCACTACAGCTTTAATTATGATAGCAGAAATGAGTCAACATCTAAAATGTCATGTTTTTTTAATGATCAAATAATGTATGCCCAAGTCAAAGGACAAAATTGTGAAAATGAAAAATCGTGGCTTAAGAGAAATTTTCAGTAACATGGGACAATATTTGTGGTGAAAGATTCAAGGAGGAAGTAGCATATTGTCCATGTATGCATTGTGTATATACTGTTTTATTAAATTTAAGCAATGGGTAGATAGGTGAGGGATAGACATAGCTATATAATGCTCTGATACATAAATATTAAGAAGAAAAAATGTAAAAGAAAAAGCTGCAAAGAGACATATCAAAATTATAACTATTTAGTGATGTGTGGAGGGGTTTTCTGAACAATTATTTTACAAAAGAGTTAAAGAACCCTGTAAACATCAATACATCTTGATAATTTGAGTGACATCTCATGGCTTTTCCCTAAATATAAAATTTTCATGGCCATATATGCTCATCTGTGTGTCTGTGCCTGCCCACCCAAGTTACCCCCTCAAATTAGTTCAAATCAATCATTAGTACAAATAAATTATTTATGTCAAATGTTTAATGCTTTTTTCTACTTCCCGAGTTACAGGCTGTTTAATATTCTAGATTATTTTAGTCTCAATGATGATGAGTAACTAAAACGTAGAAGCTAGGCACATGTGAATAACAATTGACTGTTGATTGTTAACACGTCATGTTAATATATATACACACACATATAGATACATATAAGTCTATACACACATGTATATATATAACACACATACACATATATATACATATTATATATACATATTTATAGTGTTTGTGTGTGTGTGTATATACATATGTATATATATATGAGATCATAAAGGTAAACATTACTGATTTAGGAGAGGTGTGATATTGTGATATAATAAAAAACATATATTTGATCTTCATCCCTAGCTCTTGAAAGAGAGGTCCTAAAATTCCTAAGCTCAGAATTTCCTAAGTAACAGAGATTTTTGTTATTTGTAATGAGCCCCTTTCAACCATAGTTGATGCTACCTGAGTTTATGCTAATAAGGTAAACTTTGGTGGGCCCATGGATAGTTTCACAATGGGTTCCACTTACCAGAGGAACCAGCCCTGTAATTAGAGAGTTGGGACTTTAAGCTCTACCCCCAACCTCCCAGAAGGGAAGAAAGGCTGAGACTTGACTCAAACACCAAAGGTCAATGATTTCATCAATCATGCCTATGTAATGGAAGCTCCATAAAAAACCCAAATGGAGGAGCTCAGAGAGATTCCAGGTTGATGAACGAGAATGTATCTATATGCTGGGAGAGTGGTGCACCCCAAGCTCCATGGGGCCAAAGCTGTCATGCTCAGGATCCTTCTGGACTTCACTCTATGCACCTCTTCATATGACTGTTCTTTTGTATCCTTTAAAATGTCCTTCATAGTAAATTGGTAATAGTAAGTAAACTGTTTGCCTTAGTTCTGTGAGCTGTTCTGGCAAATTGCCAAACCCAATTTGTAATCAAGTCTGATAGAAGTTGTGGGTAACCTGGGGACCACTACTTGCTATTAGTGTTGGGGTAAGAGTGGGCAGTCTTGTGCTACCAAACCCCTAACCTGTGAGTCTGAGTTAACTCCAGTGAGTTAGTATCGGAATTGAGGACACCCAGTCTGTATTAGCTGAGAACTGCAGAATTGGTTAGTATCGGGGGGATCCCCATAAATTTGTTGTCAGAAGTGTTGAGACTATAGAAAAACAGTTTATTTTCTTTTTAAGAGGCTGGTTTGGAAGAACAAACCCATGGCCTAAGGCCTCCTCCATCATCCTGTTTCCTGGTCTTGGTTCTGCTGGGACTCAGAGAATGATACCTCAAAGTGTCATTTGCTATTTTGGCATGCTGAGAACTTTTGAATTAAAGGACATTGGAAGGCCTTAGAAGTTGCCTCAGATTCAAAGACTTTCTAATCTTCTCATATTTCTGCCTCCAATGCTCAGGTAGGGCCTCTCTGGAAATTCCCTTATGTGACAAAGGAAAACTTCTTCCAAAAGACATGTTAATTGTCTTAAGGCCCCCTCCCTTGGAATCTCATGAAATAATCAGAAATGATTAACCACTGAAGAAGAGAAAAGACCAAAAGTTATCATGTGCCCAGAGAGATTTTTCATCTATTCTTCTGAGGACGGTTCCAAGAGATTACCTGGGAAATTTCATTTGCATAATAAGTCAACCTTTGTTCATTGTGCAATTCTGCTCCTCACCTTCCCTCCACTTCCTCCAGAGCTCCGAGGAACTTTGTCCCAGCCATTGTGTATTCTTTGGGCTCATTCATTTCTCTTGAAAATAATTTACTAGCCCTCACAATTGCCTACAGTTTCCATTCCCCTCTCTCCTATGAAGAGGGTATTTAACTGTCAGCCATCAGTGCCTTCTTTGAGTCTCATATTTTGTATGGTTTCCATGCTTATGCACGTTAGTAAATTTGTTTAACTTTTCTTCTGTTAATCTGTCTATTGTCAGTTCATTTCAGTAGACTTGAACCTTCAGTGGGGGGAAGGGTTTGGAGCGGAGAGGGAAGCTTTCCCTTGGCCCCTACAGTTCAAATCCTGCTTGCCCTTCTCCCCTCTACTCTCTTCATACACAGACATTCACTTCTCATCTGTGAGATTTTAGGAAAGCTACTTAATGTCACTTTGCCTCATCTTGTCAATCTGTAAAATGGGAGTAATAAGAGTAAGACAAGCTCTGATTTGTTTTAGGGGGATGTAAGTCTCAACACAGAGGCTAGTACACACTAAGGAATTAGTAACACTTATCTAGTATTGGGAATCAGAGTACTCTATTCCAATGTATTCACACTCACTGATTCCTCTCCAATCCCTTCTAAGCCAGCCTTCACCAATATTCAGAGGTATCCAGAGGTGGCCCATGTGGTAACACTCAGTTTCTATCCTGGGGCTAGAACAGGAATTAGCTAACTGCAGCCTGAGAGGCCACATCTGGCCAATGCTTGTTCTGTGCTGCCCTGAATTAAGCCAGCCACATTCATTCATTTCTGCACGGTTTGTGGCTGCTTTCTTGACGCAAATGCAGAGTGTATGTCTTGTTGGCCAGCAATGCCTAAAATATTTATTCTCTGATCCTTTACAGAGAAAGCTTGCTGAGTCCTGGGCTGGAATCTCGATGAGGGCTGTAGATAACATTTTTATTCTATATTCAAGGTTTTACTGATATATATTAATATAGTACCAAGACACGCACAGTTGCTTATGTTTGACACCAAGTACAGCGTCTCTATCCATTTGAAGTGCTACATGATGAGGTAATTGCTCAACTATAAATGATGATTTATGATTCATGGGCTTAAATAACCATGAAGAAATGTAATTACTAAAGACATAAGTGGGGAAACAGCACTAATCGAATCCATGCTACACAATAAATTCGCCAGCTGAGTGAATAATGCCATCTTTTAATAGGAAAGAAGACTAAAACAGTGACATGCTAATTTTCCCTAGAATCATCTTCTATTTCATTGGCTACATAATTATAACTCTCTGTGATTTTATTTTATTTCATTGTAGCATTCTCATTTTATAATGACTCTCCTCCAGTAGAATTCTCAGTGATTAGGGCTTTTGCTAGAACCAATGGTCCACATTGGTAACATTCCCCCTTCCACCATGGCACAACCATGGTCTTATGAATAAGTCAAATGTAAAGAGTAAAATATATGGACAGAAATTGATGAAGGGTGGTTTAGGAGGCCGGATGAAGGTAACAAGATGTCTCTTATTCCCTCAACCCTGAAAGACAGTGATGTGTCTTGTAAGTTATCAGGGCAGATGCTATCATTTATCTTTTCCAAATGGCAACCAGTATCCTCCTTTTTCTCTTTGTGGGCTGACAGTTGTGTCCAGAAGGCCTGGTTTTATGGGAAGATTCCCCAAGCTTTCTCAAACTTGCAAATTGTGTACCATTGACATTGAGTGTCAACCATTCCCTTTATAAGGGGAATGGAAGCATCGTGCTAATGATACTAGGCTTGGCAAGGCTTCAAAACTTATCTATCCACTCAAAAGAGCTTGTGCAAAGTTGAGGAACAATGGATCAATTCTCATTGAAATGGACTAGCCATTTCCCGATGGTAGAAAATAAAACAGAATTCTTAGGGTGGGCTACAATCATTAAGGAGCACGAATGCACCCACACTCTTGTCTTTTTAAGATCAGTGGACCAGAGTTTGAAAAGATTTAGCCCTAGAATGCCAGTTTCTGGAAGACTCTTTTCACTGATGACAAGCAGTTTATTTGCACTTTTGTTAGGGCTGCGGTGACTTACATGTCTGGCAAGCACTTCTTTGCAAAATGTGACAACTGCTGCCATGAAAATGCACTGGTTTTAATGACAATAACTTGATATTATGGGTGGCACCATCAATTGCTCAGAAATTGCTGTGGGTGATAAAAGGTCTGTAAACTTAAAACGTGATACAATGGTGGTTAAGAAGGAGAAAAAGACACTCTCGGGAAACCATCGTAATAAAAATGTCTGAGCTAGCGGTAAATTGGGACAAAGAAAATGCCCTTTGGGAAATAAAATTCCTGCCTGAAGGGGGCATAAAACCTGTTCCGGGTTACCAGATATCAGCTATCACTTGAGAACTAAACCAATTGTCTTCTATCTTTTTGAAAAATAGGATTTGAGTCTTTCTTTTCTGTTTTTCCCCTATAAAATAATAAAAGATTTTATCATCATTAAAATCAAATATAGAGGGTTACATGGCAGTTATCTGTACTCTGCTCAGGTTCTTCCGTAAATAAAAAACTCTTCTTAAAAATTAAATCTAGTAAAATGCAAAACTACAAAACGCTTAGAAGATGATTTCAACTATAAGGATGACATTCTGGAACAGGCAAAGCTATGGAGACAGTAAAAATATTAGGTGTTGCCAGGGGTTAGGGAGGGATGAATAGGTGGAGCTCAGAGGATTTTTAGGGCAGTGAACCTACTGTGTTATATTACGATGGTAGATACATGGCATTATACATTCATCCAAACCCATAGAATATGCAATATCAAGCGTGAACCCTAATGTAAACTGTCGACTTTGGGTGATAATGATGTGTCAATGTAGGTTCATAAATTGTAAAAAATCTATCACTCTGGTGAGGATGTTAATAATGGGGGAGGCTGTACATATGCAGGGGCAGGAGGTATATGGGAAATTTCTGTACTCAATTTTGCTGTGAAAAGAAAACTGCCCTAAAAGTGTAAAGTCTATTAAAACACACACACACACAGACACAAAATCCCCTTTTAAAAATAAAGTATATATATATATACCCAAAACCTGACAGTCAGTCAGAATGTTGTGGGAGAGATGAAAGAAGCACCGTGACTGTTTCGTTGGTGAAATTTGCTGGTTCTTAAGCTCAAGGCTGCTACCCATGGTTCCTTCCTTTCTGTTTCCTAAGCCTAGGGCTGCTTCACAGCTGTTTGCTAAAAATGTGGACAGATTCCAGAAAAAAAAGAAACTGAAGACAGTGTAACATGCTTTAGACTTTCTTTGGTGTATTTCAATGACAAAGAAAGGTCACTTGCTTTGAGGAAGCAGGCCCTGAAATACCATGTGCAAGTGCACTGCCAGGCCTGCCATCATTATGTCCAAGTCTGAATGAAATGTTTACCAGATGATGAAAGGGAACCTCCTGGCATGTGTCTCAGGAAGTCAGGCAGGATTCCAATACGAAGAGATGATTTGGGATGCTAAGATGGAAAATCTATTAGATCCTTAGGATACAGGGTTGAATGAAGTGTTTAATCTTATTTGATGTATTCACCTTTACCTACTTGTTTGGGTTTTTTTGGGGGGTTTTTTTTTTTGTTGTTTGTTTGTTTTTTGAGATGGAGTCTCACTCTGTCACCCTAGCTGGAGTGCAGTGGTGTGATCAGTGATCATAGCTCAAACTCCTGGGCTCAAGTGATCCTCCTACCTCAGCCTCCCGAGTAGCTAGGACTACAGGCGTGTGTCATCATGCCAAGTTAATTTTTTATTTTCTGTAGTGACGGGCTCTGGCTATGTTGTGGAGGCTGGTCTTGAACTCCTGGTCTCAAGCAGTCCTCCCACCTCAGCCTCCCAAGTTGCCACCACATCCAGCCCCCTCATCTGTTCTTTCAAGATATTCCATTTGTTCCCTAAAAATAAACGGCAGCCACACACTGGGATATTCTTTAAGTCCTGTTCCTGCTAGAGCTATAGAGAGAGAAAGAAGAGCAGAGAATGGAGGCCCTGGGGAACTCCAGGGCTTTCCGTCTCGGTGTCTGATTGGGGTACTGTGTACTAATGCCCTAAAGCTATACAAAGTGTGGCACCTGGGCACCTACCACCTCCACCTCCATTCTTGCTGGGAACACATAACCCCCTATTTGTAGCAGGTGTTCAGGTGATTGAACCTAACTCTCTCCATTCAGGTCATAGAATCTGAACCTCCACGAAATTGGTAGGCTGAAAACATGTGCTTTAGCTTGCTTGGGTTCTAGGGCAGTTAGGTTTTCTTGCTTAGGTCAAGAAGTAGGTTACTCTCTGTACTTCCTGGACCATATTAGCTCCCTATCGTTTTTATTTGTTTTTCAAATCTAAAAGTGCAGCTAATTACAAAACGTTTCTATGTCTCTTTGCATGTGCTTTCCTCAAAAACACACAGGACACGGCGGCTTGCTGAGGACAGAAATCATTTTCTCATGGTCAAGGTGGTTGGCAAAGTCAGTCTTCTGTTCAGGCCACTTAATTCTCTACTGCGACTGCCTCTCAACTAGTCATTTAAAGATGATTCTTGTCATTGAATTAAATGATTGTGGCAGTCTTAATGTAATAATTTTGTTTTAATATTCTAAAATAAAAGAAGATAACCCCCACCCCAACTCCCCTGTACATCTGTATGAATCGAATCCAGTTAGCTCAGGATCTTTTTGTTTGAAAAATTCATTCGATGTAAGACTGCTTTTAGCGAAGTATGAGTCATGCATTCAAAGTCATGCATACATTTAGATCCAGACTTCTGTACTGAGACTAGGAGATGACAGCTTTAGTGAGACTTTTTTCTACACTTTTGTGTTTACTGTCTCACTTACAAGGGACCACACTGACTTGTTTAAAGCAGTATTTCCTTTCATAAAATCTTATTTGCTGAAAAATGTTTTAAAATGAACTCTAATGCATTAATAAATTATGTCAAAATTCATTTGCAATTGACAAAAACATTATTTTATCAACTGTTTGAAAAATAACATTTCATCTGATTTGTAAAATTTAAATATTCCCTTTCCTCGCCAAAATTTAAAAAAAAAAAAAAGAAGCAGCAGCTTGTCATTTTCTTCATGATTAACATGAACAGGGCTTCTACTTGACATGTTAACTTGTTAAATTTTTTATATCTGAATTAACAGAACTTTCACCTTTTAATTAAACGAGGTACTTCAAAAGCTCTGACCTCTTTGGGCATGATCCTTTTCATCTTTCTCAGTCTCTGCCCAAAGGGGAGTTAATAGTGCTACAGAAGTTTTACTAACATGATTTCTTGAGATCTTCTAATAACTGTCAGCCTGGATGTGCCTCCTTTTATAATCCAGCAAATGCTGAAAGTTTGAAAAATGTCTGTTTTTTTCTCAAGGATTTTCTGCTTTCTTTGATTATACAAATCTGCTTTATGTGGGACCTGGAGGCTTTCTCCAGGTTGTTGGAGAATTGCTATTTCAGCTGACTACAGAATAACAGATACAATACTCCATCACTGTAGAAAAGGTAGGTTGAAAGATTTTAGATACACAGATATTGATACAATTAGTTATAATATATATTACATACTGATATATACAGCTATATATGATATACAATATACACAGCTTATATAAAATATGTATCATATGCTAAATTAGTTATGTAAATGTGTAACTACAAAGAAACCTTTAAGTGAACCAAGTATTAAAATTTATTTATTTTTTAAATTTCAACTTATAGGTTGGTGCAAAAGTAATTGTGGTTTTGCCATTGAAAGTAATGGTAAAAACTACAATTACTTTTGCACCAACCTAATATATTTTAGATACAGGGGTTACATGTGTACATTTATTACATGTTAATTTGAGATCTTTCTAACTTCTCGATGAAGATGTTTAACGCTACAAACTTTCCTCTTATTACTTCAGCTGTATCCTAGAGATTTTGGCAAGTTGTGTTTCTGTTTTCATAAATTTCAAATAATTTTTTGATTTCTGCCTTAATTTTGATGTTCACCCAGGAGTCATTCAGGAACAAGTTGTTTAATTTCCATGTATTTGCATAGTTTTGAGAGACCTTCTTGATATTGACTTCTGGTTTTATTGCACTGTGGTTCAAGAGTGTGCTTGGTATGATTTTGATTTTTTTAAAAATCATTAACACTTGCTTTATGACTGAGCATGTGGCCAAACTTAGAAAATGTTCTGTTTGCGGATGAGGAGAATGCATATTCTGCAGTTGTTGGGTACAGTGTTCTGTAGATATCCATTAGGTCCAAATAGGCAAATGTTGAGTTTAAGTCCAGAGTTTCTTTGTCAGTTTTCTGCCTTGATGATTATCTAACATTGTCATTGGGGTACTGAAATCTTCCAATGTTATTGTGTGGCTAAGTCTTTTTGTAGGTCGAGAAGAACTTGTTTTAGGAATCTGGGTGCTCCAGTGTTGGGTGTGCATATGTTTAGAATAGTTAAGTTTTCTTGCTGGATAGTATCCTTTATCAATATGTAGTGCTTTCATTGTCCTTCTTAATTGTTATTGGGTTAAAGTCTGTTTTATCTGATATAAGAATGGTGACTCCTGCTCTTTTTTTGCTTTCCATTTGCATAGTACATCTTTCTCCACTCCTGTACATTGAGCTTGTGGGTGTCATTACATGTGACATGGGTATCTTGAAGACAGCAGATGGTTGGGTCTTATCTTTTTATCCAGCTTGTCATTCTGTGTCTTTTGATTTTTGTTTTGTTTTGTTTGAGACAAAGTCTCACTCTGTTGCCCAGGCTGGAGTGCAATGGCATGATCTCAGCTCACTGCAACCTCTGCCTCCTGGGTTCAAGCAATTCTCCTGCCTCAGCCTCCTGAGTAGCTGAGACTACAGGCGTGTGCCACCACATCTGGCTAATGTTTGTATTTTCAGTAGAGATGGGGTTTCACTATGTTGGCCAGGCTGGTCTTGAACTCCTGACCTCATGTGATCCACCTGCCTCAGCCTCCCAAAGTGCTGGGATTACAGGCATGAGCCACCATGCCCGGCCCCATTCTGTGTCTTTTAATTGGGGTGTTTAGCCAATTTACATCCAGGGTTAGTATGTGAGATTTTGATCTTCCCATTGTATTGTTAGCTGGTTATTATGTAGACTTGATTGTGTAGTTGCTTTACAGTGTCTGTGGGCTATGTGCTTAAATGCGTTTTTGTGGTAGCAGATATCATGCTTTTGATTCCATGTTTAGCACTCCCTAAATGACCTCATGTAAAGCTGGTCTAGTTGAAACAAATTCTCTCAGCATTTGCTTGTCTGAGGATTTTATTTGTCCCTCACTTATGAAGCTTAGTTTGTCAGAATATGAAATTCTTGATTGAAATTTCTTTTATTTAAGGACACTAAAAATAGTTCCCAATCTCTTCTGGCTTGTAATATTTCTGTTGAGAGATCTGCTGCCATTCTAATGGGATTCTCTCTGTATATGACCTGTCTCTTCTCTCTAGCTGCCTTTAAGATTTCTTCTTTTGTATTGACCTTGGTGAATCTCATGACTATGTGCCTTGTGAATGGGCTTCTTATATAGTATCTAGCCAGGGGTTTCTGTATTTCTTGAATTTGCATGTAATCCTCTCTAATGAGATTAGGAAAATTTTCATGGACTACAGCTTCGCATATATTTTCCAAGTTGCTTATTCTCTCTCCTTCTCTTTCAAGAATGCCAATGCTCTTTACATAATCCCATATTTCTCAAAGGTTTTGTTCATTTTTAAAAAATATTTTTTCTTTATTTTTGTCTGGCTGAGTTGATTCAAAGAACAGGTCTTTGAGCTCTGAGAGTCTTTCCTCAGCTTGGTCTATTCTGTTGTCAATACTTCTTACTGAATTATGAAATTCTTGTGGTAAATTTTTCAGCTTTAGAAGTTCAGTTTGGTTCTTTTATAAAATGACTATTTCATCTTTTTGGCCCTTGGATCATTTTACTGGATCCTTTGGATTGTTTTTCAACTCTCTCCTGAATTTTGATGAGCTTCCTTGTCATCCAGGTTCTGAATTCTACATCTGTCATTTTAGTCATTTCTGAGTGGTTAAAAATCATTGCTGGGGAACTAGTGGACTTGTTTGGAAGTAAGGGGACACTCTGGCTTTTTGAGTTTCCAGAGTTCTTATGCTGATTATTTCTATCTGGGAGGGTTGGTGTTCCTTTAACTGTGGTGAAAGTTGAGTATAGTCAGTTGGCTTTGTTTCTGGGTGTTTTTACAGGGTCAAGGCTCTGCACAGGGTCTTTATTTGTGGCTGAATCCTTGCCCTTTGCTTCACAGGGGGGTATTTTAGCAAAATATTTTTGGTGTTGTAGTTTGGGCTGTGTTCCAGTAGATAATGCATAAGAGTAATGGCTGATAGGCTCTTAGCTGCCTGTATTTCCTCATGTTTGCAGCCATGCTCTGCAGTGTGGAGGGAAGAGAGGTGACTACCTCACCAGGCCCACTCCTGGGCCTTGGGGGAGCCCCCTCCAATCACTGGCATTATGCCTACACTTCTTTTGTTAGGTGTTCTGGGCCGTGGGGCTCCCTTGGGCAAAATCCATGGCAGGGAGCTAGGCCACGCCCTTTCTGGGCTGGCTCTATGGAAGGAGGCATGCCCCACTTCTGCAGCAGCCTATGAACCTGTGTATTTCACCCCTCTCAGTTCTCTGAGAGTGAGTGTTCCTCCCCAGCTCAAGTGCTGCCCACAGGTCTCAGCCCAGCACTCCTGAGCTGCACATCACAGCCCTGGGTGGTGGGACACCCCACACCTCCATCCTCCAGACACCTGGGCTTGGGTTCCTCATGTTCTAGGAGATCCAAAGTGCTTGGAGGATGCTGGGAATGTACTCAGGTGCAGCAAAGCACCTAGGCTGGGCAGCAGAGACTGTACTATGCACATGCACACACTCTTGTAGGTTGGCCAGATAGGGGCCCTGAGAGGGTCTGGCAGGCAAGAGGGCCTGCATAACAGACATGCCCCAGTCCCACAGGGAAGCTGGTTCCACTCTCTCCTGGCCCAGCAGTGAGCTGAGGCTAGAGCTTCTTGGAGGGAGGTGGGGAGCCCCAGGGGGATTGGCGCCTATGGTCGGGCTTGCTGGAGCTGCCCCATACACAAAGGCCCCCGGTTGTTCACTGGCTAAAGCCCTATCTCTGCCTACTCTCTGGATGATCCCCTGGCTGGCTCAAATGTCCATGGGGTTTGTGGGGTTCCCTCTAGCTAAGGATCCCCAAGGTCCACCGCAAGAGTGGGAAGTCCCACAGTCCTTCATGTACCCCTTCCCCAGGAGCCCTTCAGGGCTGGGAAGTAGCCCTAGCGTTCAAGTACCCAACGCCAGGTTCCCAGCTTCCTCCTTTTTGAGCCTCAGTGTCCACATCACATCTCCATCCATTCTCAGCATTTTCTCTCTAAGATCTATTCAAATTATGATGGTTTACTCAAAATGTTGGTCTCTCTTGGTGGGAACAGTACTTCCTGGCTATGTCTAGCTGGCCATCCTGTCCCACTCCAAGTATTGAAATTTAAATTCAAGAATGAAACATTTTCTCAAGATTGGGCAAGCCACATATGGTCTAGAAATTGTTTTTAAAATATGGACCTAGTTAGAAGAAAATGCCAACAGACACCATATGAAATGGTCATAGTACACTGTCTTATTGGAATGTGTTTATGCAGTTATCTAAAAGGTTTTTTTATTAAAAATCTCTAGTTTGGAAGGATTTTAAAGCCAGATTACCATAAACATTATTCATTTCTTCATAGCTGTATGTTTCTAAATGTATATGTACATGTTTAATATATTTGTACAACTATACCTGTTGGGGGTGTGTGGGTATGTTTATGTATACAAGTATCCATATCACTAAAAATATTTAATTTAGATGCAAATAATATATTTCATAGTGGATGATATTTTTACTATAAATTTTTTAAATACCATAGGAAGATTTTTAGAAAGGGGAATAAATTTGGCCAGCTTTCTAATTTTTTTCTAAATCAAATATTTCCCTAATATCCAAAATTTATATACAAAATTATGTGTCTTAATTAACTTCATCAGAAACATCCTGGGAACAGGCTTTTGCATAAGACTGATTATATTAATAAATGCTTTATACTGACTTTTTATTTTCTAATTAAATTTAAAATAAAGTCAAAACAATCTTTTACTTTTGATCCTTCATCAGAAGTAGAAAAGCGGTACAGAACGTAGGAAACAAAATAATCAAGGAGGAAGATAGGGTCACTGTTGGGAAGTTTATTTAAACATTTCTTTATGAATAGAATTTCAAGTTTGCAGAACAGATTACAGAATAAATCCTGTGTTGAATTCTAGACCAGAGAAGGTGAAATTAATGCAGGAAGGGCTCTGTATTTTGCCAACTCAGCTAATGACTGTAGAAATGTTCTTAGATTGAAACAGAAAATATTCCTTATAAGAGCAAATGTGATTATTTTTAAAGACATCAGAGAAGGCACCATTTGGTTGTGTAATCTCAGCAAAATAATTAAAATCAGCAGCAAGTAGAGCACAGAGGAAGATGAATGGAAAGGCAATGACATAACAGTCAACCCAAAGCAATTCTCCTTTAGAACCAGTCTTAACATACATACGGCTGCTGAGACCTCTGTTTCAGCAGAATTTGAGAAATAGCAGATCAGGTCTGGATATTGGAACACAATAGAGGGTAAGTTTATTTGAATTAAAAAGACTTAATAATACTATTAGATTATCAAATGAGCTATTTGAAAGGAAGCAAAGGCTAAAATGAAGACACTCCGTGCAACTGGAATGTGTACTAATTTTAGCTCCAATAAGGCAGTCTTTTATACTTTTTGTTCGCTCCTGTATTCCTCACACGTACAACCACGTCTGACACCCAGAATATGAATTACACATTGGAAATGACTCACCCATATTTCCATAACTAGGTAATATTATAACGAAGCCATAGAAAGCATAATGATCAAATTGAATCAACCAATTTTCATGGTGCACCAAAGAGGAGGCATTTTTAAAAAATCACACTGGTGTTATATGACTCCAGTTTTCCTAACAGAAAATGTGTGTGTGTGTGTGTGTGTGTGTGTGTGTGTCTGTCTGTCTGTCTGTCTGTTCTTCAATTTGATATAACTTTTGCCTAAAAATTATTGCTTGCTTCCTTGAGAAATCTACTGCCTCTCATACATCGCATTCTATAACTGTTAAAATTAGCCAAGAAAATTACCTAAAGAAGATATATTTAACAGAATTTGGAAGAACGGTGACTCAGGACATAGAAGAGGGAATCTGCATTGATAGGCTGAAGTCTGAGCTGTCTGGAGATAAGTGGCTTTCAAACAGAAGAACCGGGAATTGAACGTACACAGGAAAAACCAGTGTGAAGACCAAGAGGAATGCGGATAGGCAATGCAGTAGGGAAGCTTTAGTAGCCCCTGCATGGAAATGTTGTGCAATTCAGTAACAGGAGAGGCTTCAGGAGGCTTCATTCTTCTCCAAAGTGAGGACCTATTCAATCCTGTCTGTAACTGTCATTAGGACTCTCTTCTTTGCTTGTGTCCACATATCTGTGCTCATTAACAACCAAGTTTTTTAGCTTAAGCTTTCCTGTTGATCTCTTTGGTATAGGTATATCTCCCACTTTCCAGAAACCAGATATATCAAAACTACAGTCACTCAATCTCAGTTACAGAAGCCTGGTAATAAAA
Source organism: Homo sapiens (assembly GCF_000001405.40). Taxonomy (NCBI): domain Eukaryota; kingdom Metazoa; phylum Chordata; class Mammalia; order Primates; family Hominidae; genus Homo; species Homo sapiens. Next base: position 7,628,863 of record NC_000023.11, on the reverse strand, counting down.
CCAATTAACTAAGCTTAGGCTCCCACGAGTCAAAATGGGAACAGGGTGTGTGATCACAGTACATGAGTTTGCATGTTAGTAATTTTGGTGGCATCCAATTTCACCCTGGAAAATGTTTGTGGCCCTCTTCAATGAGAAGTCAATTTAAAGCCCAATATTTCTTCTGTTTTCCCCTGGGATGCAGCAGAGTCCCCTAAGGTGCAACACAGTTCGTGCATTGTATCCCTGGAGCTGGGACAGAGGCAAGGACTTCATTATAAGGAGGCAAAGGAACCAAGAGGATACCCAAGCCTCAAGGAAACTAGTGTAGCACCATCCTGCCACCTAAAGTTTTGAAGTTCACCCCATACCCAGGGGCACATATCTAATTTTGGAGGGGTGATTACTGGGATTACAACATCCTTCCTCTTCATTCACCAATAGATGCAGAAGTTGTGACAAGATGGGTGGCTCATTATCATATTATTAAAGTCTACACAAACTCTGCTTGGATATCTTTAAGACATGGGACCTATTCTCTACCCATAAGCAGACAGTATGTTGCTTACATTTCTTCCAATCAGAAAAAAACACAGACAATTGCTTTGTAATCTCAGAAATGCCATTGTATATCCAGGTTCTGCAGCCCTCAGCTATAAATTCATTCCTGTCCATAGTAGTAATTGTTCACAGCAATGTGAGACTTTGCAAAGTTAGAAATTAATATCAAGAGGATTTAGGTAAACCCTCTCTCATACAGAAGTTCCTCCCTTTGAGCCAGTCCATTTTGTACTAATTTCCTGGTATGTTCTAATCATGAATCTGACTACTTTTCTCTAAACCTAGCATAGTACTTGCTTGTGACTCTTAATTTTCTCTTAGAAAGTAGTCTGTGTCCTAGGCTACAAAAGTTGTTTGGTTTTAAAATTCACAACTTCAGCCACAAGACCACACATGAGCATGACTTAGCAGGCAGCTGCCTTGAGCCACTACAGAAAAGATATTTCTTGGACCACCTCTCTCAGGACTAAATACAGGAACATTTAGTTCCAAACTCTGCCATTGGAAAAATGTACATTGTATCTTCACTATGATATTTATTTCCCACATTATTCCAAAAACTGTCACGACAGAGATTTGATCAAATCTCAGTATTTGGTCATTGTTCCAATAGTCTGGCCATTCGAGTGAAGTGTGTTCATGATTCAGGTTTAAAGTCGTGATTTTAGCTCCAAATAAGACTAGATGATGTGCTTTAGCTAACACATGCTAGGCTACCCTTGACAGGCCAGCTACTATAAGCCCATTGAAGTCACCATCTAGGTGGACCATTCTCAGTGGGGCTTAACAGTCAAGGGAATAAAATCCAGCATCCAAAAGGTGACTTTGAAACTGTGCTCAATCTCCATACTTGTATTTCTTGAACACCATGGCATGATAGATTGCCCACAGCGATAGTTTACAAACTTAATTTCTTTCTCCCTGAGTTGCATCTGATTCCCTCCTAATCAGTGGCTCCTACAGCACTGCAACGTTCCAGACTTAGTCTAAAGCTCCTCATTTAGATGTAGCCTGGGGCATGGGGAAAGCTGAACAGGCAAATCCACGCTTCTTTTAAACAGACAAGGAAAGAAAAAAAGTGAGAAGCACAGATACACCTGCATTGTTATTCCTCAACAAGATATGCTTGTAGAAGACAGAACTCTGATTAAGAGCTTCCTGCTATTTTAAAAAGGAATTAAGTTCAAATATTTAGGGGACTTGCTTAGGTGACCTCTAAGCGATGGACTGATCCCTCTGTTTTTTTTTTCCCCAAACAAGCATGTTTCTTTGGGTCCAGCACTGCAACTTCAATTTCATCTGCTTCTGTTTTGTGAGATGATGCCCTCTTTGTGCCCTGTATTATCAAAACTTTGATAATGTGTTAGAAGATGAGGAAGTGGGTTCTCCTAAAGTTAATTGGTTTTATTACCAGGCTTCTGTAACTGAGTGAATCTAGTCTGGATACATCTGGTCTCTGGAAGGCAGGAGATATGCCTACCACATAGATCAATAGGAAACCTTCACCTAAGCTGAAAAAGTTGGTTGTTAATGAGCACAGGTGTGCAGACACAAGCAAACATCACACCTCCAATAAATAACCCCTGTTCATGGTAGTCTACGTGGGAAGGCTTCCTGGTAAAGGTGCCATTTCTGCTGCTAGAAGAATTAAGTCAACATTCAACTCGCCACACAGTAGAAGGTGGACATTTGCACAGATGCAAAATCATACCCACCTAAGGGACAAAGGACCTTCTAGAACTTACTTGAATCTGCCTGGAAGTTTAGATTTGGGCAGACAACTTGCAGAAAAGGAAGGACCAGGTTGTTTTTATTGCTAAAGCAGTTTGCTGTTTATGTGCATCCTTTGCTATGCCTGGAACTTGGAACTGTTGCAGGGCTGTCCTGGGAAAGCCAAGGAGACAGAGCTTAGCATATGAGAAGTTTGGGGAATGGGGGGCATCCTCTCAGGAGGAGGAAAGGAAGGAGGCACATCTGAGCAAAGGGAAAAATTTGAGCTATAGTGCTCTCACAGTAAGGACTTGGCTGAGCCCATGAGAGCTCTGAGGTTGCAGTGGCCTGGTAGAGTGCTCTGGAGTACATGAGGTTGCAGTGGCCTGGTAGAGTGCTCTGGAGTAGATAAGGTTGCAGTGGCCTGGTAGAGTGCTATTGAGTAGATGAGGTTGCAGTGGCCTGGTAGAGTGCTCTGGAGTAGATGAGGTTGCAGTGGCCTGGTAGAGTGCTGTTGAGTAGATGAGGCTGCAGTGGCCTGGTAAAGTGCTATTGAGTAGATGAGGCTGCAGTGGCCTGGTAAAGTGCTATTGAGTAGATGAGGTTGCAGTGGCCTGGTAGAGTGCTCCAGAGTAGATGAGGTTGCAGTGGCCTGGTAGAGTGCTCCGGAGTAGATGAGGGTGCAGTGGCCTGGTAGAGTGCTCCGGAGTAGATGAGGGTGCAGTGGCCTGGTAGAGTGCTCCGGAATAGATGAGGGTGCAGTGGCCTGGTAGAGTGCTCCGGAGTAGATGAGGGTGCAGTGGCCTGGTAGAGTGCTCTGGAGTAGATGAGGGTGCAGTGGCCTGGTAGAGTGCGCTGGAGTAGATGAGGTTGCAGTGGCCTGGTAAAGTGCTATTGAGTAGATGACGTTTCAGTGACTTGGTAGAGTGCTATTGAGTAGATGAGGTTGCAGTGGCCTGGTAATGTGCTATTGAGTAGATGACATTTCAGTGATTTGGTAGAGTGCTCTGGAGTACATGAGGTTGCAGTGGCCTGGTAAAGTGCTATTGAGTAGATGAGGTTGCAGTGGCCTGGTAGAGTGCTCTGAGGTGTGTTTGTGGGGAGGAAGATTTATACCCTTGCACTGAACAGTTACTGGATGCAGGATGGTCCTGAAGTAACAGCACGACCTAGGAAAAGAGATGTCTTCAGAGAAGGGTAATTCTTGGAGAGGATGAAGAGTTGAGGGCTACTAGCAGGGACAGCACCTCCTAGCAGCTGGAGGAGTAATCCCTTATCCTATCCTGTAGTGGGGCTGGCAGAGTAGCATGGTCTTCATCACAGGTCCTGATAAGATACTCCTGGGGGGCCAACACCGCCATGTGCATGATGTTCAGGGATGGGATGCGGGCAGCCAGTGTCCGTGGATAAAAGGTATTTCCTGAGCTGAGATGGAATGTGGACAGGGAGCACTCAAACTGATCATCTGACTGCTCAAGAGATGTCTCTGCAGGCTTTCCTGGATCCATTAGTACTGCCCAGCCCTTGATGGAAATGTTTGCTTCTCATCCAGGGACCACCCCACTGCCTCTCTTTCTTCCACTCAGTTCTGGGCCACTGGGAGCCCTGGGATGTAGTTAAACAAAAGTTCACTGGGGATGGGAGGAGAGGAGGAATGGGGACTCTCCCAGGACATGGGAAGTATGGTCAGGGAAGGCTTCTGGGGAAATATGATCTTTCTGCTGCCCTAGAATAAGTCAACATTCTACTAACCACATACTAGAAGTGGATACTTGCACAGATGCAAAACCATACCCACTGACAGGACAAAGAACTTTCTAGGAGTAATTTGTGTGCCTGGACTATGGTCCATTTGGGGCATAGGTTGAGGAGGGCCTTGGGAGAGGCTAGAATGGGGTCAGCTGAAGGGCCTGGAGAGCACTTGAGATTTTACCTTGATACTGAGAAGGGATCACTAAGGCCCTTTGAGCTGTTGAGAGAGATGCTTAGATGTGCGATTTGGTACAGGAGTCAAAAGGGAATGTTGCTAATACAAGTCAGTGCTGTGAACAAGACTTTTGTAATACTCTCAATGCTAATGCCTTTCACCTTTACTATGCAAATCCATACTTCAATTTCATCCACTTGAACTGGCAAGAAAATAAATGCCTGTAGTCAGTCCTTTGTACTTAGAGATAAGATTAGCTACTTCTGTAAGGCAGGTATTTAGTAACACTTTCAGGACAAAGAACCTTGTGATTAAAATATTTAAAAAATCTCAAACACTTAGGAAATTGTCTTTTAAAAGATCAAATAAATAATTTAAAGTAGTAATGGCAAGACCATCTTATCTGCTGTAGGAGCTATTTCTGTGAACCTTCCTTAATAATCATTTTTTTTTTCAGTCTGATAAATGTTGTGTACCAAGGCAGGGATAGACATTTCTCCACCTAAAGAAAATGCTGAGATTATAAAATATGCCTTCTCTATTGAGGAGGCATCAAGGGTAGGTATCCTGCAGCCACACATTACTTAAAACGAGCAAATAAAAGGCTCTAACATAATGCCCAAGCCGTGGCAGAGGGACACCCTATCCCTGAACTCCCAAGACCTTTAAGATAACAATTTATAAAGTCGAGGTCTCAGGCATTTCATGAATGAATAGTCCATGGGCTTCCTGTCTAAATAATTGCTAATTTTCAAAAAAGAATTGATTGGATGCAGGACAGATGAGAGCATCTTTAATAATTGAAAGGCTCAAACATTGTTTGCCTTAAATCAAAGAAAAAAGAAAAATGACTTACACCAGGAGGACAGGATAGCTTCCTTGGCAATTTAGGAAGCTCACTGCCATTGTCAATAAAGTCTCTGCAGAGAAACACTGCAGCCTGTCACCTATGCACACTGTTTCCCAGAGCACAGCCTCTCTCATACAGTTTAGACAATTATTTCCTCTTAACCAAAAATTGCCTTTTGGCTTATCTAACAGAATCAACTCTCTTTGCTGGAATAGGTGCTCTTTATTTCTAGGTCCCAGTAGAAAGGTCTGGGAATAGAACCACTTGGATTGTCTACCTTTGCCCACTACAGAGGAGATGCAATGAGTGATACAGCAGTTTGGGGAACAGAGCCAAGCTTATTAGAAGCATGTTCTCTTCCTAGGTCATTGCATAGCCACTCATAAGAATAACAATTTCATCCATAGGGCACACAGCACTGCTTACTGAGGATACTATAATAACCCTGGCCACACATAAGCAGATTCTGGTAGGTGATACTATTATAACCCTGTAGTATATTTCCAATACCAAGCACCAAATGTTACTAGAAGAAAACATGTGGTGTAATGGAAACAGAACTGTAGAAAGGGAGTATAAATACCAGCCTATAGAGTTATTGTGAATGTTAAATGAGCTATCATGTGTGGGGTGGTATATGACACAAGGGGAGAGAGTTACTACCATTTGGGTTGTTGGCTTTTCATATGGTATGCTCATATTTTCATCCCTTCATTTATTTATCTGTCCATTTATTCAACAGATGAGGAGTAGAGATAGAATTCTAAGCAAAATAGACTTAGTTTCTGTCCATAGGAAGCTTAGGGCTAAGATGAAGCGATGTCAACTTAAAAAGGAGAAGATAGTACAAGAAAGGATAATGAAGAAAGAAAAACAGAATGAGGAAGAAGGGAGGGAGGGAGGGAGGAAGGAAGGAAGGAAGGAGGGAAGGGATTAAGGAAGGGAGGGAGGGAAGGACAGAGGAAGGGAGGGAGGGAGGAAAGAAGGAAGGAAGGATGGATGGAAGGGAGGGAGATAGGGAGGAAGGAAGGAAGAAAAAAAGGAAAAGAGGAAGAGAGGGATGGAAGGAGAGGAGGAGGAAGGGAGGGAGGGAGGAAGGAAGGAAGGAAGGAAAAGGAAAGGAAAGAAGGAAGGAAGAGAGGGAAGGAGGAAGGAAGGAAGGAAGGGAAGGAGGGAGGCAGGAAGGGAGAGAAGGAGGGAGGAGGATGGAAGGAAGGGATTAAGGAAGGGAGGGAGGGAAGGACAGAAGAAGGGAGGGGAGGAAAAGGGAGGGAGTGAGGAAAGAAGGAAGGAAGGGAGGGAGGGAGGGGAAGGGAGGAAAGAAGGAAAGGAGGAAGAGGGGGATGGAGGGAGAGGAAGAGGAAGGGAGGAAGGAAGGAAGGAAAAGAAGGAAGGCAGGGAGGGAAGGAGGAAGGAAGGGAGAGAAGGAGGTAGGGAGGAAGGAAGGAAAGAAAGCAGGGAGGGAGACAGGAAGGGAGGGAGGAGAAAGGAAGCAAGGAAGGGAGGAGAGGAGAGCAGGAAGGGAGGGTGGGAAGAAAAGGAGGAAGGAAGAAAGAGAGGAAGGGAGGAAGGAAGGGAGATAGAAAGGAAAGACGAAAGGATGGAGGAAAGAAAGAAAGGGAGGGAGGGAGGAAAAAAGGTGTAAGGCTAACAAGATAGAAATAAGGGAGAAAGAAAATGACAGAAGGAAAGAGAGAAGGAAGGGAGGGAGGGAGGGAGGGAAGCTGTAAGATGGTAGCTGTAATAGTAGCTATGAAAGAGAGAATGGTGGCCCTTTTCCTAGACTGGAGTGCACACGGAGGGTGTCCCAACACTCAATGTTGGGGTGGTAATTTGACCACAGCAAGGAAGTACTACAGAAAGGTGTCTGGAAATGAAGACTCTGACAGAAGGTAAGATGTAGCAGATTTATGAAGATGGGAGTTGGAAAGTAAGACAATTTTCTGTGTGCCTGAATGTCTTCCTCTCCAAAGGGGGAGTAATACCATTGAGTTCCAAGTTGCTGTCAGGACTGACTCAGGTAAAGTAGAGGAAGACACCTGACAGGTCCTCACACTAATTAGGTCGTCTTAGGTTTGTTTATACATCTATCATTTTGCCTCTTTGTTCTTTGCATAAGTTTTGGTAATGATTCAGGCATGAGACGAGAGAGAGGAGAAATAGAGGCAAATACTAAGATTGTGGCTAAGAAAAGCTACTGTACTTGGAAACGTGTAGAAAATAAGATTAAAAATTAATGGACCACTGATTGTTATGGGAAATGGAAAATTTCTATTGCTTTGGGGTTTATGAGAGGGCAAGAAAATTAGAGGGTTGCTAAACTAATGTTTCTTGACTGCTCCCCTTAGGGGAAAAAAAAACTAAAAAATACAGAGCATCAGATTAGAGTCTCTTACCATTAAATGATCAACATATTAACGTTAATTCTTTTTTTCTTTTTTCATAAATGACCTTACTAAGTTATTAATGTTAATTCTTTACAAGGTTCACCTAGAAAAGTGTTGTTTTCTTTTGTTTTTTTTGCTTTTTGGTCTTTAAATATGGAAGAGGAAGAAACAGATTATAAACGCAAAGAAATAAGATTGCTGCATAGTGTATTGGAAAAAGCCCTGAGAAACAGGTAGGCCATTGCCTAGCACATACATGTATTGGAACTTATTTTACATACCTCCTTAGTGTCGGGGTGCAAAAAATGCTACCCCAAAACCTAGCACCTCAGAAACTGAGAAAATAGCAGAAGCAAGGATGGTCACTCTCTGACCATATCCCATCCTTCCTCCCTGAGAGCTGGCCATAAAAGAATTCTGGCCTACCTCCCCTGAAATGAAGTCATAAGACCTCATTTCAGAGGGATCCTGCCATATATACCTGGAGGGAAGGAATGCTGCACAAAGAGGCCATGAGGAATCTAAACAAACAGGCCCTGCTAAGGTCCTCCCCGCTGCCCCCAGCCCCCAGAGTTTCTTGGATGGCCCTGAAGTACAACAGTGTTAAGACCCCGTAGGGGAGCTCAGATGCAAAGCCATACCTATTAATATATACCCCTTCCTCCCCCGGTGCACTTCTCTGGATGATGTCATTCTTCCTATGCAGACATGTCCAGCCTGCCTGAACAGCCAGCTGTGCTTGCTCCTCAAGCTATAGCCAGTTCTTTAAATGCATCAATTCCTCCTTGATTTCCTTGAGCTTACTTTCTCTTGGTAAAATGTAATTCTGGGGGTAATCACTCTCTCATTCTCCCCATGTACATGTTGACATGTTGATAAATGTGTATGCCTTTTCTTTTATTAAAAAAAAAGTAGGCTGGGCATACCAGCTCATGCGGAAGATTGGTTGAGGCCAGGAGTTCACTACCAGGCTGGGCAACAAAGAGAGACCCCCATCTCTACAAGAAATGTAAACATTAGCTGGGCGTGGTGGCCTGCACTTGTAATCCCAGCTACTCTGGAGGCTGAAGCAGGAGGATTGCTTGCACCCAGGAGTTGGAAGCTGCAGTGAGCTATGATTGCACCACTGTACTCCAGTCTGGGTGAGACCTTGTCTCTAAAAATAAAGAAATAAATAATGTAATCCCACAAGCTGTGCCTTAGCCACTAGTTTCTATGGAATCCAGGTACAGACAATAAGCACCTTCTTGGACTAGAAAACAGACCCACTGGAGAGGATTCAGGACTTAAGTCGTCCATGTCATTTGAAGCAGTAGGGACTAGCTCGCTGGAGGTAAGTGGAGATGGTGATTACACTTTGCAAACAGTGGCCTCATGGTAGCAAAAGCTTTCACCTGTGGATAATTGGGATGCATTACAGATGGAAGAAAAGGCTTTGAAAGACGAGTGGCTGCTATCCTTAACTGCTATGCGGGCAGTGATCATTGGAATGAGTCTGGTGTGGGAGGGCTACTTTCAACAGGACTGAAGAAGGACCGCACTAAAAGAAAATGAGAGACTCAGAGTGGCATGTTGCCCATTTAAGGGATACTGTGATGGCCAGGAGGCCCCTTGGGAAGGTCTAGAGAAGACTTTCATCTTCTGCAGCTACAGGGCTGATTATGTAACAAATCAGTCCCAAGTTGGATAATAATAAGACTAAGCTCCAAAAGTGACTAAACAAGGAGCCCCAAGAGCAGCACCTTGAGACCTGTGATGGAAATATTTCGGTGGACAAGCTTGAGGATCTCAAGCTCCCAACATCTCCTGGAACATTCCTAAATGGCACAAGCAGCCCCATTCCACCGAGCAGAGGAAACATTTCTGCCATTGCAGTGACCTCACCTGGCAGAGGTGCCTTGAAAATGAAGCACAGGTTCTGCAAGACCCACCCCCATCTGTGTTTGTGTTCTCCAGAACTGTGGTTTTCAAACCTGAGCATGCATGAGAATCACTTGGAAGACTAGTTAAAGCACAGGTTGCTAAGACCTACTCTCAAGGTGTCTGATTCATTTGGGTTGGAGTTGGTGCTGAGAATGTGTCCTGTTAATTATTTACCAGGTGATGCTGCTGCTGGTGGTCTGGAGGCCACACGTGTAGGAACCTCTGGCAGATAAGAACTCTTATACAAGTGGTCTATATAGGAACCTCTGGCCTAGTCCTATAACCAGGTCTTATCATAGCCCGAGTTGGGCAGTACAAGCCCAACTCCTCAGAAATAAACTCCTGTATGTCAGAGGAGTTGCAACACTGGGCTCATCTGTATCAGTTGTGAAAACATAGGTTTGTATGCTTGTTTGTTTGTTTTTAGATACAGGATCTTGCTCTACCACCCAGGCTGTGCAGTGGCACAACCACAGCTCCCTGCAGCCTCAACCTCCCAGGCTCAAGCAATCCTCCTGCCTCAGCCTCCTGAGTAGCTGGGACTACAGGCATGTGCCACCATACCAAGATAAGTTTTTAACTTGGGTGTAGAGATGGGGTCTTCCTGTGTTGCCCAGGCTGGTCTCTAACTCCTGGCCTCAAGCAATCCTCCCACCTCGGCCTCTCAAAGTGCTGGGATTACAGGTGTGAGCCACTGCGCCTGCTTTGGGACTTGGATCTTAAAACAATGAGAGTGGAATTGGAGGATAATAATATAAAGCTAAAGAAGAGAGAAGTCATTGATTAGGTAGCACTCACACGTTCCTTGAGGTTCAAATTCTGGAAGGACATCTAGAGCTGATCATGAGAGTCTGACGTGAAGGCACCTGGAATAGTGGACATAGCAATGCCTTCTATAAATATGGTGGAGTTGCCAGATCTCCTTAGCATAGAGATGGGAAGGGGTGAGAAGGATAAGAGAAGCTGGGATGCTAGAATGAATTGCACATGGAAAATAAGAGACCTCCTACCTGACTTTGTTCTCTGGGAGGATTCAAAGGGACCCCTCCCCACTTCACTGTGGCTCTAAGCAACGCATGAATGAATGGGGCATTAGCCCATTTTAGAAGCTACTCAGTGGCTGTTATCTACAGGCCAGGGTTGAGACTGAATGATGCAGCCATACAACTAGGTTCCCTAATACCAATGACATGACTGAATTCTGGTGGAGGAAATGCCAGCAGTTAGCCATCAGATGCAAGGTGGATCTAATTCCTGTAACTAGCGTCGACCCAGGGTAACAGTCAGGATGTCTGATGCCTGGGGAACCTGTGGTTTCAGTGGTGTTTCTCTATTGCTTTCATAAAAAGAAACTAGAACTAGCAAACAGAAAACTCTATCAGCTGCATCAGTGCCGAGCCCCTTAATCAGTTTGCAAAGCTAAGGCAGCTCACAGACCTAGAGCCCACTGATAGGAGGGAAAACTAGATTCTGCTGAGGAAAGACCCTACAGCACTATTACAAGAACATAATGGGTAAATATTTCAGTTACTTTTCCTCAATGGTATCCATAGACAATTGCCAGGACATTAGGGAGAATGGAATACCCAGAAATTTTTAGGAGCCTTACATATGAACTTTTGACCCAAATTCTTCTCACAGTAGATTCACTGGTTCTGTAGAGTTTCCCAGGTCATTCTCCAAGTTTGCAAGTGTATAACTGAGATTATCTACTGAAGCGGGCAGAGGCTTCGTGTGAGTTTTCTGACCTAAGAAGTAAGTGTCATTATAATAGGAAAAGCCAAGAAGAATCCCCTAAACTCGTCAAGACAGTGCATCAGTAGCAATCATACATGTAGGAGAAATGGCAAAGGTTAGGGGAAGCATGAAGACATGAAGGACTCAGGAGCTGTAAGTACCATCATATCCTATTCAAATCACTTGTCTAATCTGTGCCAAAGTCAATTGGGACATAGAAAGTAATTGCTGTTCACCATAGACCTAACCAGACAGTAGCCCCAACTGCAGCCACTACTCCAGAAATGGTATGTTGTTTAGTGGAGCAGTTCAAAATCATGTTTGGTGTGTCACTATTTGAGAATTATTCCTTCTGTGTACTCATCATCAGGGATGATCAAAAGCATTTCCCTTTCACATGTTGACTCTTCTACTCTCTCGCTATCTTGCTCTCTCTCTCTCTATTTTTGATCATCTTGACATTCTGCACAGCATCACACTAGTCTATTGTATTTATAACATCACATCATTGAGCAGGAAGTGGCAAGTTCTGTTTATGGTCTACTAAGACAGGCACACCAAAAGGGGAGAGATTAACTCAATGAAGACTTCACGGCCTGCCACACTGGTGGAGTTTGAGGGGTCCAGCAGTCTGGGGCATGCTGGAACATCACTTCTAAGGTAAAGGGCAATTTGTTGTACCATAAACTTCCTCCTACTGACAGACAGGCACAGAGCTTGGGGGGGTATGAGAGAAACAGCAAAGTCCAAGTTGTATCCAAAGCTTGGGTCAAATTAACTTGATGAAGATTTCGTTTACTGAACAGAGGAGCAGGTTGGGTAAAATAGCAAAAATCACTCACTTTAGACATATGAAATTTAAGATTCCTATTCAAGAAGCACTTGAATATGTGGGTGTGTATTCAGGGTGGAAGTCACTGCTAGAGTCATCAGCACTCAGGTACTGGTTAGAATCATGGAACTGAATAAGATCACCTAGAAAAGTGAGCATAGCTAAGAGATTCAAGGACTGAATGCCTTAATATTTAGGGGCATTGAAGTGACACTGCCTGACAGAGCTCTCACAGGTGAGCTGATGGATTCTTGGCTCACATTTACGGAGGGGGCTTAGCCTGAAGTTTGTTTTACATTTATGAAACCACCATCCCAATTCTTTTCTGGGGAGTGAACTCCCCAGATGTGATGGAATCAAGCATTTAATAGACATAATGATTGCTCAACAAGAAGTGCCTCACAAAAGCATTTAGCCAGGTTTCAGTTCACCCAGGAAATGAAGATTTTCTTTAAGCCTTCAACAATTGCATGGCAAAATTTAAACAGCCTGTTAGACGGGCTGCTCACTCAGCTTGAATATTAACACACTTCATTTTCACAAGCCCCGGGTCCTTTTTTGTTTGTTTGTTTTTAGACAGAGGCTTGCTCTGTTGTCCAGGCTGGAGTGCAGTGGCTGGGACCTTGGCTTGCTGCAACCTCTGCCTCCCGGGTTCAAGATTCTCCCACCTCAGCCTCTTGAGTAACTGGGAATACAGGTGCGCACCACCATGCCTGGCTAATTTTTGTATTTTTTTGTAGATACAGGGTTTCACCATGTTGGCCAGGCTGGTCTTGAACTCCTGGACTCAAGCAGTCTGCCTGCCTCTGCCTCCCAAAGTGCTGGGATTACAGGCATGAGCCACTGTGCCCAGCCAGCCCTGGGTGGCTTTGAGGAGATTCTAACTATGACTTATTTAGGATTAGATGACACAAGAAAATTTGAGAATGCTTTGAGCTCCTGAGCTTACGACAAACACATATACATATATAAATTATAGTCATTTATTTTTTCTTATTTAAAAATGATTTTTTATTATATACGATATGAAAAATAGGGAAAGTTATAATGAAAAGAGTAAAACTATCCCAAATCCACTTCCTAGATTTAACTCTTGATAACTTATTGCATGTTCAACTCCAACCAAAATCTAGGTTGTGAATTTGCTCAAAGAAGATTGTAATGCAGGACTCCTATTTGGGGGATAAGAAGAGACTCATGGAGGTGGTTTCAAGCTAAGCAAAAAAGCATAGGCTTTGCAGAGTGTGAAAGAACGTCTGAGAAAACAGCTCAGAATATAAAATCTATAGGTATTTAACATGAATGGAATCTAAATATAAAAATAAATATATATGCATGTGTGTGTGTGTGCGTGTAAGGGTCTGTGCAAAGACCCACCCAAAAATGAGGATTCCATTATTGCCTTTGCACCTAGTACATAGTTGCCGATGTTACCTCTTAATTATCAGTTCCAGGTATCCAAGGATTAAATGAGAAAGAATATTTGGAAGAATAGATACATTTTAATTGGGATCTCTATATATGTGTCTTTTCCAGAGCAAAAGTCATCTCCCTTTTCAAGGAAACCACAGTGTGTGATTTTCCAAGAATGTGAATTCTGTCTCTTGGTTTATGGTCATTGTACTCCAAGCAGAGCGCAATGGGAGTTTTCTTTTTTATTAAAAAAATAAACAAAGAGAGCAATGAGACGTCACTTTTGCCAACTTTTTAATTATATTATGATGGTTTTTCAGGAATAATACCTTTCTGTAATCATACATCATAAGTAAACACAATTAAACCCACACCTGAGGGCCTACAAAATCACAGTGACCTTTACTGAAACAACACAAAATTATTTGAGAAATGTTTATAGGAAAACATTTTCCCCTCACTCTTATGTCTTCTATATATCAATACCTAAATGTTTGTATTACTTTTCATCGCTGCAGTTGGTAACCAGGTGCTGACATTGCCAGGATTGCAATAATCAGGAAAGGGTTTTTTTTTTTCTGCCCTCTGCTGTGGGCCATCTCAGTCTTTCTGAGGAGGCCTCTCTGTCAGTCCCCTGCATGACAGGCCTGCATCAATAACACCTCTCATGACACTCGGTGATTTTCCAAGAGTGTTGAGAGTGAAACCCACAAAGAGGTGCTTCAGATCCCCACATGCTAGGTGTTTGCCATTTGAAGAGCTCTCTCAAATCTGTGTCGAAAAGAACAATATGAGTGCTATTAATGTCTTTGCCCGGAACTCCCATCCCCCACCTTAGTATCAGAATACAGTTGCTGTCCTTGCCAAAACAAAGACACCTGGTTCCATGTGTCAGTGTTTTCTTCTGCTTCTCACTACTGAACAGCTACTTCCAACAATTCCTGAATTTACGTCAAATCCCAGTCCCATAAATCAGACAACAGTCCAATGGAAACATAGATGGTTGAGTGATAACATTGAAAGTATAAGGATCATATGCCTTTTGGTTATTAAACTCCGGCTTATAGGTGTGCAATATTTTAAAATCCAAACTCTTCATTAATTCATTCAACAAATATTTACTGGATACCACTGTGCATTAGACCCTGAGCCACGTGCGGGGAATTCACCACAAAGGGTGACCCTTTTTGTATGTGTTTTTTGTTATTTAAAATTTATTTTTTCTTCCTATATTCAACAACTTTTATTGGATACCTCCTAGTTCTAAAAACTGAATTTTGCAGTGAATTTTTGAATCGCCCAGCAGATTACATAGGAGTCCCTAGGAACAATGACTACCCAGAGATGGTCCCTTATTGCTTCTGCTAAATGGATAAGATCTGTGGTGGTAATACTACTAAAATGGATAACTAATTACAACTGGGATGATCCTAACATCAAAACTAACGTGTAGGAAGCTCTTGATCCCTGCCAGAGGCCATGCTATAGCTTTTTGCATGTTTTTAAAATGTTTAATTTAGAAAAAAATTTAATTGACAAAAACCTGTGTAAGTGTACAGTGTACAATATGATGTTTTGGTATATGTATATATTGTGAAATGGTTAAATCAAGCTAATTAACATATGTAACCTCATGTACTTATCATTGGTTTTGTGGTAAGAAAACTTAAAATTTACTCTTTTAGCAATTTTCAAAGATACAATATGTTGTTTTTAACTATAGTCACCATGTTGTACAATAGATCTCTTGAACTTACTCCTTCTGTCTCATTGAAATTTGTTTCCTTCGTCCAACATCTAAATAACCTGACATTGGTCTTATTAAAACTCCACTCATATAGATGCCAAATCTAAAATTTTAGAGTAACTGGTCCAATATCAGCACATCATTAAAAAGAAAGAAAATACTGAAATGCAGACGCACCCACCCTATAACATGGATGTCCCTCAAACACATTGCACTATGTGAAAAAGCCAGACAAAAAACAACTGCAAATTGCATAAATCCTTTTACATTAAAAGTCCAGAATAGCAAATTTGTAGACACAGAAAGTAGATTAGTGGTTGCCAGGGGCTGGAGGTGGAAGAAGGAATTGATTACACTTAGGCACAAGTGATTTTTTAGGGCAACGCCAATTGAATTGTGGTGGTGGGTGCACAACTCTATAAATTATTAAAAGCCATTAAACATGCGAGTTCTATGGTATATAAATTACACCTCAATACAGCTGTTTTAAAAAAGAAAGAAATGGTCCTTGTCTCGGGAACAATGAGGGACCTTGTCTTTCAGGGTGGTTAATCCACATTTCCACATGGTTTCATGTTTATCATCTCCCTCACCAGGAGACTGCAGGTCTTTTGCATGGCTTCCGGACCCCAGCTTTTCAGCTGAAGTTTAGCTGCCCTTCAGAATACAGGATGAATTGCCTCTGAGCCCCACTCCTATCTGAGCTGTCCATGCCTGAGGTTTCAGCGAAGTACAGGGTGCAAGTTCTGTTCTCTATGCCCTCTCTCCCTGAACAAGTCGGCGAGCCTGAGTCTTGGTATGTAGGAGAAGCAGTATGTATCCAGCCCCTGCTGTGTGCCAAACACAGCCACTTTGCAGAGGTATTTTATTATTCCTCATAAAACCATGGAGAACGCATCTCATCATCCCACTTTTCAGGTGCAGAAAGTAACACGTAGAGAGGGGAGCTATTTAGATCCAAGGTCACACAGATAATAAATGGCAGGGCCAGAATGTGATCCCAGCCATCTCTAGTTCCAAGAGCTCTCATGTTGATTGATTTGGTCTGCTCAGGTAGTGGTTCCTTATCCCCATATGCACTCTGAGTGTGTCATAATTCCATCTTATCGATGGGCATCTTAAAGCTGCCAGAAGGTTGGTGAAACTTGTATTTTGCAACCATAGAGTGCTCAGCTGTGGGACAAAGTTCAATAAATAGCCAGGCACAGTGGCTCATGTCTGTAGTCCCAGCATTTTGGGAGGCCAAAGGGGGAGAATTGCTTGAGGACAGGAGTTTAAGACCAGCATGGGAAACATTGTGAGGTCTCATTTCTGCAAAAATTTTAAAAATCAGCCAGGCATGGTGGTGTGCACCTGTAGTCCCAGCTACCCAGGAGGCTGAAGTGGAAGCATCACTTGAGCCTGGGAGATCAAGGCTCAGTAAGCTATGATCGTGCTACCGCACTTAACCTGGGCAACAGAGTGAGAACTTGTCTCAAAAAAAAAAAAAAAGAAAAAAGAAGAAGAAAAAAGAAAAAGAAATTTCAGTAAATACGTTTGCAATGCCTTCATTGCTTGAACTCTAATTACATTTTAACTAAAGCCACGCAAAAACCTTGAATAAATGTAGTACTAAGTTGTCTGTACCTAACGTATATCTTCAACATTTAGTTGAAGATTGGCCACACCAATGAGGCCAAACACACTTTAATTACTATATATATTTTTTCAAAATTCTACTAAAGTCCTTTTCTAAAAATAACATTTTCATTGCTCAAGGATCACGTAAGACAAGCTGAGAGGATGAACAGCATTCTGGTCTTAATAGAGGACACAAAAAATCCAGATAAAGAAATCGGGACATGTAGGGAGAAAGCGAGGCACACATGTTTGTCAAAGTGTTTAAAAAATGCTGGAGTGTTTTTCATGACAATTCAGAAAAAGACAATGAGAATGGAAGCATATGTATAAGAGGAACTCATAAGATTGTATTTAATTTCAAGAACATCAATATTGAGTAGTGCAGCAAGTAAGTTTCTATTTAAAGAATTATATAAATTGTGTTATTTATATCAGTCCTTCTCAAATGGGGGGATTTTATATGTGGGTACACACACACTTTATGTGATACAGTCAGCAATGTGTGGAGACATTTTTTTCTTTTCACAACTGCGGGAAAAAAGGGCTACCAGCATTAGGCAGGGACCAGGGACTCTTCCAAATATCCTACAATGCACAAGGTAGTTCCCCCCAACAAAGCTATTCAGCCCCAAATGCCGAGAGTGACAAGGTTGAAGAAATCTGGTTTCTACTGAAGCCGTGAAGAACCTCATGTGCTGCTAAAAAAATAACCGGCCTTAGGACTTTTACTTAGTGATGATTTGGATTATATATTTTCTTAGTATCACTTGATATCATTTATTAGAATTCTACAGACTCCCAGGCTGGGCATGGTGGCTCGCACCTGTAATCCCACTTTGGGAGGCCAAGGCAGGTGGATCATCTGTGGTCAGGAGTTCGAGACCAGCCAGTCCAACATGGTGAAACTTCATCTCTACTAAAAATATAAAAATTAGCTGGGCCTTGTGGCGCATGCCTTTAGTCCCAGCTACTTGGGAGGCTGAGGCAGGAGAATCATTTGAACCCGGGAGGGAGAGGTTGCAGTGAGCTAAGATCATGCCACTGCACTCCAGCCTGGACAACAGAGCGAGACTCTGTCTCAAAACAAAACAAAACAAAACAAAACAAACGAACAAACAAACAAACAAAAAAAGAATTCTACAGACTCCCAAGTCATCAAACCGGAGCATCATTTCAACCCTTCTTTGAGGAAAGGACTTTTTTTTTTTTTTTTTTTTGTAGAATAACTGTGCTACCGAAGTACTGTCCAGCAACATCCCGTGGGGAGGTTCATAGCTGGACTTGGAAGACAGCCATTTTCATCTGTTTTTAACATTGCCCATCATTGTGTGTAGTGCAGAATGATATACTGGATCACATAACCACTCAAACCAGCCTTTGCAGAAAAATGTTCCCTAGATGAAATGAACAGATTTTTGAAATCTCTGTTACAAGTATGAGATGTCATCAAGGAGCTTCATTTCAGAGCTACCTTTCGCTGTGAGATAGGAATTCATCTCTCTTTAGGATTTTTGTTTAGAAACTGCTCAGCTATGGATGTTTTGGTTTTCAGGCTAAGTTTCCCAGGCCTGATCATTGAATAAGTAGACTGATTGTGCTTCAAACAGAAGGACCTACAAATAAAGCTGCTCCAAGCTGCTCTATTCATTAATTTTGTGCAGTCACAGCAGCAACAATTATATATTGATTTATTAGAGAAATTTTGGGTTACTATAGCTGCGTTGCGTTCTCACTCATGAGAGTCACTTACGGTTTACCAAACAAAAAGCATTTTTCCAGTTAATAAACTTCTTATTTATCTATTAATCCTCACACAAAAGGACATTCATAAAATCCTTCTGGCTCTCCCTCTCCCTCTCCCTCTCTCCACGGTCTCCCTCTCCCTCTCTCCACGGTCTCCCTCTGATGCCGAGCTGAAGCTGGACGGTACTGCTGCCTGATTCTCCTGCCTCAGCCTGCCGACTGCCTGCGATTGCAGGCGCGTGCCGCCACGCCTGACTGGTTTTCGTATTTTTTTGGTGGAGACGGGGTTTCGCTGTGTTGGCTGGGCTGGTCTCCAGCTCCTAACCGCGAGTGATCCGCCAGCCTCGGCATCCTGAGATGCCGGGATTGCAGACGGAGTCTGGTTCACTCCGTGCTCAATGGTGCCCAGGCTGGAGTGCAGTGGCGTGATCTCGGCTCGCTACAACCTTCACCTCCCAGCAGCCTGCCTTGGCCTCCCAAAGTGCCGAGATTGCAGCCTCTGCCCGGCCGCCACCCCGTCTGGGAAGTGAGGAGCGTCTCTGCCCGGCCGCCCATCGTCTGGGATGTGAGGAGCCCCTCTGCCTGGCTGCCCAGTCTGGAAAGTGAGGAGCGTCTCTGCCCGGCCGCCATCCCATCTAGGAAGTGAGGAGCGCCTCTTCCCGGCCGCCATCCCATCTGGGAAGTGAGGAGCGTCTCTGCCCAGCCGCCCATAGTCTGAGATGTGAGGAGCGTCTCTGCCCAGCCGCCCCGTCTGAGAAGTGAGGAGACCCTCCGCCCGGCAACCGCCCCGTCTGAGAAGTGAGGAGCCCCTCCGCCCGGCAGCCACCCCGTCTGGGAAGTGAGGAGCGTCTCTGCCCGGCAGCCACCTCGTCCGGCAGGGAGGTGGGGGGGTCAGCCCCCCGCCCGGCCAGCCGCCCCGTCCGGGAGGTGAGGGGCGCCTCTGCCCGGCCGCCCCTACTGGGAAGTGAGGAGCCCCTCTGCCCGGCCAGCCGCTCAGTCCAGGAGGGAGGTGGGGGGGTCAGCCCCCTGCCCAGCCAGCCGCCTCGTCCGAGAGGTGAGGGGCGCCTCTGCCCGGCCGCCCCTACTGGGAAGTGAGGAGCCCCTCTGCCCGGCCAGACGCTCAGTCCAGGAGGGAGGTGGGGGGGTCAGCCCCCTGCCCGGCCAGCCGCCCCGTCCAAGAGGTGAGGGGCGCCTCTGCCCGGCCGCCCCTACTGGGAAGTGAGGAGCCCCTCTGCCCGGCCAGCCGCTCAGTCCAGGAGGGAGGTGGGGGGGTCAGCTCCCCGCCCGGCCAGCCGCCCCGTCCGGGAGGGAGGTGGGGGGGTCAGCCCCCCGCCCAGCCAGCCGCCCCGTCCAGGAGGGAGGTGGGGGGGTCAGCCCCCCACCTGGCCAGCCGCCCCGTCCGAGAGGTGAGGGGCGCCTCTGCCCGGCCGCCCCTACTGGGAAGTGAGGAGCCCCTCTGCCCGGCCGGCCGCCCTGTCCGGGAGGGAGGTGGGGGGGTCCGCCCCCTGCCCGGCCAGCCGCCCCGTCCGGGAGATGAGGGGCGCCTCTGCCCGGCCACCCCTACTGGGAAGTGAGGAGCCCCTCTGCCCAGCCAGCCGCCCCATCCAGGAGGGAGGTGGGAGGGTCAGCCCCCCGCCCGGCTAGCTGCCCCGTCCGGGAGGTGAGGGGCGCCTCTGCCCGGCCGCCCCTACTGGGAAGTGAGGAGTCCCTCTGCCCGGCCAGCCGCCCCGTCCAGGAGGGAGGTGGGGGGGTCAGCCCCCCGCCCGGCCAGCCGCTCTGTCCGGGAGGGAGGTGGGGGGGTCAGCCCCCCGCCCGGCCAGCCGCCCCGTCCGGGAGGTGAGGGGCGCCTCTGCCCGGCCGCCCCTACTGGGAAGTGAGGAGCCCCTCTGTCCGGCCGCCACCCCATCTGGGAGGTGTACCCAACAGCTCATTGAGAACTGGCCATGATGACAATGGCGGTTTTGTGGAATAGAAAGGGGGGAAAGGTGGGGAAAAGATTGAGAAATCGGATGGTTGCCGTGTCTGTGTAGAAAGAAGTAGACATGGGAGACTTTTCATTTTGTTCTGTACTAAGAAAAATTCTTCTGCCTTGGGATCCTGTTGATCTGTGACCTTACCCCCAACCCTGTGCTATCTGAAACATGTGCTGTATCCACTCAGGGTTGAATGGATTAAGGGCGGTGCAAGATGTGCTTTGTTAAACAGATGCTTGAAGGCAGCATGCTCCTTAAGAGTCATCACCACTCCCTAATCTCAAGTACCCAGGGACACAAACACTGCGGAAGGCCGCAGGGTCCTCTGCCTAGGAAAACCAGAGACCTTTGTTCACTTGTTTATCTGCTGACCTTCCCTCCACTATTGTCCTGTGACCCTGCCAAATCCCCCTCTGCGAGAAACACCCAAGAATGATCAATTAAAAAAAAAATTAAAAAAAAAAATAAAAAAAAAATTAAAATTAAAACATCAGCTTCGAAAAAAAAAAAAAATCCTTCTGAAGGCTTGCTTTGGAATTTTGAATGAAAGGCATCCACTGTAGGGAACCACATTTTATTCCTACAGCTCAGGTTTTTTATGATTCTGTGCAATCCTGGGTGCGTTCTGCCTTCGGCCAAGGATGGAATGTGGTCCACATCCTCCATTCAAAGGCAATACTTTAGCTTCATGCAGCGCTAAAACTCACCACATTGGTGAGACAAGCAAGACTTGAAGGTTGCCATAACTCTTGATTTTGAGGTTTGGAAATCTTGTACCCAAAACTACTCTCTCTTTATTTATGTTTTTCTTTTTTGAGACAGGGTCTCCCTCTGTTGCCGACACTGGAGTGGAGTGGCACACTCTCGGCGCACTGCAACCTCTGCCTCCCAGGTTCAAGTGATTCTCCTACCTCAGTCTCCAGAGCAGCTGGGATTACAGGCATGCGCCACTGTGCCTGGCTAATTTTTGTGTTTTTAGTAGAAACGGGGTTTCACCATGTTGGCCAGGCTGGTCTCCAACTTCTGACCTCAGGTGATCTGCCTGCCTCGGCCTCCCAAAGTGCCAGGATTACAGGCGTGAGCCCCAGTGCCTGGCCAAATCTCTCTTAAGAAGGGATATGAATGCTAACGGGGGTCTTTAATGGAGGATGCAACAAGTGTGTTTGAGTTCTGTCATTGACTTTACAAAGTAGTGTATTAGTCAAGGTTCTCTAGAGGGACAGAACTAATAGGATATATTAGTTAATATATATATAAAATATATAATATATAAACTCATGTATATATATATGAGTTTATTAAGTATTAACTTACACAATCACAAGGTCCCATAATAGGCTGTCTGTAAGCTGAGGAGCAAGGAAAGCCAGCCCGAGTCCCAAAACTAAAGAACTTGGAGTCCAGTGTTCGAGGGCAGAAGCATCCAGCATGGGAGAAAGATGCAGGCTGGGAGGCTAGGCCAGTCTCTCCTTTCACATTTTTCTGCTTGCTTTGTATTTGCTGGCAGCTGATTAGATTGTGCCCACCAGATTGAGGGTGGATCTGCCTTCCCCAGCCCACTGACTCAAATGTTAATCTCTTTTGGCAACACCCTCACAGACACACCCAGGATCAATAGTTTGTATCCTTCCATCCAATCAAGTTGATACTCAGTATTAACTATTAACCATCACAATTAGGGTGGAGTATCTGAGCATAAGGATGGAGAAGTCTCATCTATTAGACGTACCTAGCTGTGGTTAAAAAGAGGATCACTTCCTCCAACTCATGGGAATTAAATTAGGGTGTGAAGGGTGTTTGTCAGAGGAGATTAGAATGCTATTGCCTCTTGTCTTTCTCCTTATTCTCTCTTCTCCCTCCATCCTTTCTCCCCATCCTCCACCCTGTCTCTTCCTCCTCCTTTCTCCCATGCAATGCGAATATCCAGGAAGAATTGGAAACCGCTGCTCATAAAGCAGCGGTTCATGAGTTAAGTTGTCTTTGTGTTGGGAGAGCACCTGCATGTGAACACAACACCACGTTGTTTGCAACCACAGAATGACGCTTCAACTCCTTTCTTCTTTCCCACTTCCCGTGAATGTTTGTATAATATTTAACCATTAATTATGTAATGTTTGTCAAGTGTTTGAAGCTCCTAGGGAAAAGGCAGTAAATTAACAGCATTATTATTAGCATTTTCCCCATTAAATTTCCATTACAAAACACATCAAGAAATGAGAAGCAGCCATCTGTCACGCAGCTTAAATGCTTACAATCTACAGGACTGTGTTTACCTCAGAGTGGTGGTACTTTGTAAGCCATATATGAAAATAATTTGCAAAAATGAGTTGAACAGCTGCTGTGTCTTGTACTAAATTTAACACCTTGCTGGCAGTTATTATTTTTAACAACATGAAAAGCAAATCACAGTTTGCATTGCTCAGTTCTAATAATGACCATGTAAGCATGCATTGTGTTATACCACAAATAATTTCATTGGGAATGAACAAAGGCAGAGACTCATGTTTGGCTTTTTGATGGATCTCAGGGTCTCTGTCAAGGTCAGTTTTTGCCCAAGCCACAGCACAGCCTGGAGAATGACCAGAGAGGTTGTTTTCAAGTAGGGTTCAGTGAGCAGGGGCATCGTGGCCCTGCCTAATCTTCACCTGTGCTTTTCATCAACACTGAGATTACCCCACTTTTGATCCCTGCTAATCTAATAGGTGTAAAAAGCATCTTAGCTTTTAAAAATTTCTTCAGTGTTCCGTAGAATTGAATATTTTCTATGCATATTTGTGTTAAAGAAAATAATATTCAATGATACTTGTTAAAGCATGGTAAGGAAGACTTTAATCAGGACCTTTGAGTTAGGTGTAGGGCCCATAGCCATGGAAACCAGCGGTTTCCGATTCTTCCTGGAAATTTGCATTGCGTGGGGGAAAGGAGGAGGAAGAGGAAGAAGAGATGGGGTGGAGGTCTGGGAGAAAGGATGGAGGGAGAAGAGAGAAGAAGGAGGAGAAAGACAGTATGGGGTCTTGCAGTGAGGGAGAGAGATTGGGCTCAACTCTGAATATAGCATGGGCAAGTGGGAATTTATAGCCAAGGAGCAGAGGGAGGGTCAGTAGAAATTTGGACATTGGATGGAAAATGACTAGAAGGAAACATCAGGGGTAAAGGAGGTTCTGGATAAACCCATCTAACAGGATTCTAGCTGAAGACAGGCCAGAGTCACCAGATATCACCTGGGGAGGGTGGAGGATGAGGAACTCACTCAGGTATTGAGGGTGATAGGATATCGAGTGTGGGGAGTTCCTGCCAAACTGACTTAGCAGGGTTCTCTGCTAAAACTGGATTTTACAGGGAGGTACACAGGTGGGCCTAGGAGAAGATTCAGAAGCCTGACTACAGTTTGGCCAGACAGAGAATCTTTGTCATTCGCCATTGGTACTTTATTTTCTTTAAACTTCTTGTTCATACTCTTGTCCATATTTGACTTGAGTTGTGATCTTTTTCTTTTTTATTTCTAAGAGACCTTATTTTAGAAAGAAAAGCAACTTAACTAGACATACTGTTCTAAGTACTATTTTTCCCTCCAAATTTTCATTTCACTTTTAGATTGCTTATGCAATGGTGAGTGTGTGTGTGTGTGTGTGTGTGTGTGTGTGTGTGTGTGAGAGAGAGAGAGAGAGAGACAGACTTCACTATTTGGAAGACATCAACTTATAATACATTTTCTTTTTGACTTCTGGGCTTAACAGTGATAAGAAAAGCTGTTTCCAAGCCCCTCTTACCCCCTCAAAAAGCTATCAAATGATTTCTTTTTTTTTTTCCTCCAGACTGAGTCTCGCTTTGTCACCCAGGCTGGAGTCCAGTGGCACGATTTCAGCTCACTGCAACCTCCACCTCCTGGGTTCAAGTGATTCTCATGCCTCAGCCTCCCAAATAGCTGGGATTACAGGTGCCTGCCACCACGCCCAGCTAATTTTTTTGTATATTTAGTACAGACGGAGTTTCACTGTGTTGGTCAGGCTGGTCTTGAACTCCTGACCTCGTGATCCGCCCGCCTCGGCCTCCCAAAGTGCTGGGATTACAAGCATAAGCCACCGCACCTGGGCTATATTTTCATTTTTTAAGTAGATGTTTACATTACATATAATTTATTTTGGTGCAAATTGTAAGAAAGGAATACCAGTTGTGTTATTTTTCCAAATGGTTTTTTAGTTGCCCCAACATCTGTATTTTTTTAATTATTCATGTTTCTAAAATATAACACTAACATTGACTAAATTCCCATGTCTATCTGGTCATTTTTGCTGACATTCTGCTCGCTATATTGATCTGTCACTCAGGCCAATAGCAAACCATTTAGATGTGGTTTTTCAAATGCACGTTACTGAGGATTAAAAGCATCCTCAGTAGTTGCATTTTCTTTCTTGAATGACTTGGGATGGAAGCTACTATTTGCAAACCCTGAAATATGTCTTTACACATAGGAGAAATTAAGTGCCAATGCATTGACCAGAAACCCCATCAATATTTTCACAAAGCAAAGCCATTCTTGTCACTGAAAAATTTTTGTAGCAAAGCAAATCCATTCTTGTCACTGAAAAATTTTTGTAGCAAAGCAAAGCCATTTTTGTCACTGAAAAGTTTTTGTAGCATTGAAACTACACAACTCCTAGAGGTGAATGACCTAGAGTTTATCAGATATGTTACAAAATATCTTTAGGGTGCCTTATTTAAAAGTACAATTGATAGTTTTCTATTAGGATCTTTGAACTTTGTGTGTAAATGTGCAGACCTGAAGGCCACGGTGACTTTCCTCTTAGATACAGTAGTAGATACAGAGTATTTGGTCTTGACTCCAAACACAGATGTATGAAAAACCATGTGTCAGGACTTCCTTTAGCTGTTACCATATCCTTTGGCTATGAGTCACACAAAGCTCTGCTAGGGTAACTTAAATAGACAAGGGGTTTGTGATGGTTAGTTTTAGATGTCAACTTGAGTGGATTGAGAGATACTCAGATAGCTCTTCAAGCATGATTTCAGGGTGTGCCTGTCAGGGAGTTTTTGGAAGAGACCGGCATTTGAATCAGTGGACTGAGTAAGGATCCACCATCATCCAGTATGGGTGGGCACCATTCAATCATCTGTAGGCCCGGATAGAAGAAAAAACAGAGAAAGGCAAATGAATTTGCATAATCTTTCTCTTGTGGAGCTGGGAGACACTTCTCCTGTTCTTGGACATCATCACCCCAGCTTCTTCACCCTTTGGACTCCAGGACTTGAACCAACAATGCCCCTCTCACTCTGCTTATTGTCTGCGGGATCTCAGGCCTCTAGCGCTGAACTGATAATTACACCATCAGCTTCCCTGGTTCTGAGGGAAGTCCCTTGGACTGAGCCATGCTATTAGCTTCCCTGGTTCTCCAGCTTGTAGATAGCCTGTGGTGGGACTTCTCAGCCTCCTAATTGTCTGAGCCAACTCCTCCAATAAATCCCCGTTTCTCTATCTCTCTATCCATCTCTCCATATCTCTCTCTACTTGTCTATCTATCACCTATCTATTCATGTATTCTATCTATCTGTCTGTCTGTCTGTCTGTCTATCTATCTATCTATCTATCTATCTATCTATCTATCTATCTATTCATCCAGCTAGCTATCAGATCTGTTTATCCAGCCACTTAGCTATCCATCTATCATATCTATCTCTCTATTCATCAATCACATTTAACTATCTATCCAGCTAGCTATCAGATCTATCTATTCAGCTACCTAGCTATTCATCTATCACATATACTTCTTCATCCATCCATCATATCTATCTATATATCTATATCTATTCATCTATCTCTATATCCATCTATCTCTCTACCTACCTACCTACCTACTTACCTACTTACCTTCTACTCATTCATTTATTCTATCTATCTATCTATCTATCTATCTATCTATCTATCTATCTATCAATCATCTATCCATCCTATTGGTTCTCTTTCTCTAGGGAAACCTGATGAATACAAGGTTGATTCATCTCTGGAAACTATAGGGATTGGTGTGTTTATGGTTATTCAAGAAATGTACCTATGACATTGACTTCTTCTGTCTTTACTCACAAGTGGTTTTATCTGCATGGTCATCGAATGTCTGCTGAGCCTATAGATATCGTGCTAAATTTCTAAGCAGAAATAAAAGGGAAAAGAAAAACGGACAACAATAAATGATACATATGTTTCATTGGCCACTCTCACAGCACATGGACACTCATCGCTGCAGAAAAGGTAGATGAATCTAGTTATTTTCATAGCCTTTGGAAAGAGGCAAATTAAGAGGAAAGGAACTAGACATGGTGATAGAGTTAGCTAAGCTATAGTGTCATACTGTAAAAAAAAGGAGTCTTTCATCTTCACGTCAGTGGGAGCTCTAAATTAATTAAACTAAACCCATGCCTAAATATATCTTGAGAAAATGCTTAAATTCAAAGCCATGAAAAAAATATTGTTGGAAATGGGTGCTTGGTGTCACGAAATCACCACTGAGACAAAGGATCTCTCAGCAAGGCTAGCTTATTTTCTGCAGAAAGGGTGCCCTCTTGCTAGCAGTCTTGCCATGAGAGCACACCCAAACAAAGGAGACAGGGACATTTATAATCTTTGTAACCTGATGCAATCGTCCTATGGCTGTGTCCCATTTCCATTGGCTGGAACAGGACCTCACCTTCTAAGCTTGACACGATTGGCTAACAGCTTGAAACTGTTCTAAAGAGGCAAAGGGGAAAGAGAACAAAGAAAAGAGGAAGCTAGTCATGAGAGGGTTAGGAGGGTTTCCAAATAAGGAATGTCATGCACTATGGTTCGGGGCTCGCTTAAGCCTGTCCAGGCATGCCAGGTCAAGTCAGAAGAGCTCCACTGGAACATATATAGACATGCATAGAGCAAAGAAATGCCAAGCTCTTTATGGTTTTAAGAAACTTTGAAGAAGAACTTCTCCATTCCTCACAAATATGAAGACTTCAATCCTCCATATCTTTAAGAAATAAGATATTTTTGATATTTTGATATTTTTGATATTTTCTTTGAGAAAATATCAAGTTAGGTCCATAATTCTCCTCCAAAGTATAAGCTGTGAAAAGGACATGAGGATTTGGGGACCTAGCATTGTAACTCACAAATTCTACAACCAAACAAGGAAAATATTCTGTCATGCAAGAATTTTAAATGGATGCTGATCTTTAAAATACTCAAGTACTCCAATAAGCTAATAGATGAATCAAATTAATATCCCCATGAAGAGAAGTTATACGTATAAACAAAAGGTCAGTGAGCAACGGAACAGTGAAACTCTTGGCTAATGTCTGAACACTGGATGATATCATGGTGACTAAGCATAAGACAAGAGCCAAAACTAAATCTTAGAAGAGAAAAAAACGATG
This sequence comes from Homo sapiens, assembly GCF_000001405.40. Classification (NCBI taxonomy): domain Eukaryota; kingdom Metazoa; phylum Chordata; class Mammalia; order Primates; family Hominidae; genus Homo; species Homo sapiens. The sequence goes on along the minus strand of NC_000023.11, from coordinate 7,601,045 downwards.
TAGCATTTATACATTAAAACATAATGAAATATGTTATATATAACATATATAATACATTGTAACTAACATGGTTACACTAGTCTTGATCTAAAAACTCAATTCATTTTAATACAAATCTATGCAAAGTGAAGTTAAATGCTACTGAAGATTGTGCTAAATCTCTCATTACTAAGGGGCAGAGGGCAGTTGATGCTAGTATAGAGCTAAGTATCCAAATATATTTTGTTTGATATAATTTCTAAATAACCAGAGGAGGGAAAAAGCCAATAATATTTGAGCCATCAAGTAAAACAGAGGACATAAGTAAGAAAATAAGAAAAAACAAAAATACAGATTTGAGAAAAAAAAATGGCAAAGCATCAAATATCATCCACTGATGGAATTATATATACTTAGACTGCTAACTTGGTAGTTGTACTTTAGACTTTAGACATGTGGTTCCTTAAACATTTTTCCCAAAGCAACTTGCCTTGTTCCTTTAAAAAGTTAACAGGTTCTCACTGATAACAACAGGTCAATATAACTGCTAGTTTCAAATCAGGGATTATGTCCCACTTCATCTCAGCATCAAGTGTGTGAGTCAACAGTCTCAAAACAATAACACACAGGTAATTCTGATCTATCTCTAACTTACGGAGGTTGGAAAACACTTGAGAATCACTCATTAGAGGCTTCAGTATTGGTACTCTTTTTTGGCAAGAAATAAACCAGGTGGCGGTAATATTCCACCATGAATCATGGCTCAGGAGATAAATAGATAAATTAGATATGCCTTACCAGAAACAATAAAACCCTTCTTAACCAAGGTGGAAAATCCTTATTTAGCATCTACTGGGGACACCCCCCATTAATTATGTGGGTTTTTCATAAAAAGTTTAAAGTCTGCTAAAGAGAAATTCCATTGTTGATACTAGGTAGCACATGGTATCAGTAACTGTCAAATTCAGAGGAAGCTATGTGACTTGGGCTGAGATAATTAAGAAAGGCAGGTGGAAAATGTAGTATTTAACTTAATCTTAAATTATGAGCTGCTTTTGATATCTATAACTGTGTAAAAAGGAGATGTATAATCATGTGAATTGGTCTTTTTTTTTTTTTTTTTTTGGTTTTTGGAGTTTTTGTTGTTTTGGGACAAGGTCTCGCTCTGTCACCCAGGCTGGAGTGCAGAGGCATGATCTCAGCTCACTGCAGCCCCAACTTCCTGGTCTCAAGTGATCCTCCCATCTCAGCCTCCTGAGTAGCTGGGATTACAGGTGTGAGCTGCCATGTCAGGCCTCGTGTGAATTGTTTTAAGTAAAAATACAAAGAACAAAGCCAAGTGCAGTGGCTCATGACTATAATCCCAGCACTTTGGGAGGCTAAGGCAGGAGGTTCACTTGAGGCCAGGAGTTTGAGACCAGCCTGGGAAACACAGCAAAACCCCATCTCTACAAAAAATTTAAAAATTAGCTGAGCCCGATAGTGCACACCTGTAATCCCAGCTGCTTGGGAGTCTGAGGGGCAGATTGCTTGAGTCCAGGAGTTTGGGGTTATAGTGAGCTCTGATCACATCGCTGCACTCCATCCTGGGCAACAGAGTGAGACCTTGTCTTTGAAAAAAAATAGAAAGAGGAAGGCATAATCAGGTTGGCTGAAATACAGAATGAACATAAGAAACAGGCAATAGATAAAGCTGTTCAAAAACGTGCTTGCCCTGCCTGAGGGTTAAGGATTATTGATTCAGGAAGAGCTGCCCAATGAGTGTGGCACAAATAACTTATATGTGATTTTCACAACTGAAATAAATTAAGGCTACTTTTCTTCAGACAGCTTACCTTTGGGATTCCAGCTCTATCTTTGCTCCAAAGATGTGAGCTAGACAAGGTTATTTAACTTCTAACCCTTAGTTTCATCTCTGTGAAATATGGATCATAATATTTCCTAGGTCATGGGGATTTTTATGATTTTGAATTAATTCAGGCAAAGCACTTAGCATCTCCCTGGTCATATATTCATGTTTCTTTAACTATTGCCATTTGTACTTGTTCAGAAGAAAAATATTGAAGAGCTAGTGGTGTCTCAAGGTGAAACTATTCAACCAGAGTTGGAAATTAGAAACTAGAAACTAAGTCAATGTACAGTGGGATGTATCTGCATGGAAATGACACCTGAAATCAAAGGAAGGAGGTACAAGGATATACAAATAGTGATTTCACAACAAGGATTTATGTTTCTGTTACTAAAACATTCAGGGAAAGATTAATTTGTCATAAGATTTAAAGATACATAAACCTGGAACTAAAGCAGAGGTTTCTATGAATTCTCCCAAGTATTGGCTTAGTTTATAACTTTGGCCATATGAAAGTCTTTCCCTCTCCTCCCTGCAGTCAGGAGAATATTCAGCCTGCTCTTCTTGGCTCAGCTTTTTGATTAGTCCTCACAAAGCTTTGTATTTCAAGTTGTGACACATTTAACTTTCTGACCTTCCTCTCCATCTACTTAAAAAAATCTGGTCATGCCCAGGTGTGGAGGCTCACACCTGTAACCTCAGCACTTTGGGAGACCAAGGCAAGAAAATTGCTTGAGGCCAGGAGTTTGAGACCAGCCTGGGCAATAAAGCGAGACCCTGTCACTAAAAAAATTTTTTTTTAAATGAGCTGGGTGTCTTGGCGGTGGTTGTAGTCTCAGCTACTCGGGACGCTGAGGTGAGAGGATAGCTTGAGTCCAGGAGGTCGAGGCTGCAGTGAGCTACGATCGCACCACTGCACGCCATCTGAGGTGACAGAGCAAGACTCTGTCTCAAAACAAGCAAAAAAATAAACAATAGAGTCTTTCTCTGATGTTTGGCATAAGCAAGATGTGGCATTTACCTCCACACCCAACTGTATTTCCTTAGGCACTAAACTTTGGCTTGTTCCGGTATTGCCTTGGTTTCCCCTAGACCTTCCAAAATTGAAGCTTTGGTCTGCATTGAAATATGGGACCCATGCTGAAAAGACTAAAGCCAAAATGTACAATGTAGATATTAGGAAGATGGCTACTTCTTCACCAAATCGATTGCCTCTTTTTCACTGGCACTTGGCCAAACAGTACTTCACAGCCTATCTTTCAGTTAGGTGCAGTTCCTGGACATATTCTAGACAATAGTTAATGAACAGAAGTGATGTGTGCCACTTCCAAGACTGGCTCACAAATTTCTCCAATGAATTTCCTCTGTGTTTCTCTCACTTTCTGTGGCCTGGGATAGAAATAAACCCTACCACTTCCCCACAGGGAAACCTTGGACACCATGCATTGAAGATGAGTCCTGAAAAGATGGCTTGGAAACAATGATCAGAGTGAAGAGACAAACCACAGATGACTGTGAGAAAATACTGGCAAACCATACATCTGATAAGGGGCCAATTCCAAAATGTATAAGGAACTCAATTCAATAGCAGTAAAACAAACAACACAAGTAAAAACTGGAAAAAAGGACCAGAACAGACATTTCTACAAAGAAGACATATGAATGGCCAGCAGATTTATGAAAAAATGCTCAACATCTCTAATCACCAGGGAAATGCAAATTAAAACCACAATGAGACATCACCTCACACCTATTAGAATGGCTATTATCAAAAAGATGAAAGATAAGTGTTGGCAATGATGTGGAGAAAAGGGAACCGTTATACATAGTTGGTAAGAATGTGAATTAGTACAGCATTTTGGAAAACAGTATAAAGAGTCTTCAAAAAATTAAAAACACAATTACCATATGATCCAGCAATCCAATTTTTGGGTATCTATCCCTTAGCGGATGAATAGATGCAGAAAATATGGCTTATATATACACAATGGAACACTAGATAAACTTTTAAATAAAAGGGAAATTCTGTCATTTCGAACAACATGGATGAACCTGGAGGACATTATGCTCTGTGAAATAAGCCAGGCACAGAAAGACAAATACTGCATGTTCTCACTTACATGTGGAATCTAAAAATATTGAACTCACTGAAGCAGAGAGTAGAATGGTGGTTACCAGGGGCTGGTTGTGGGGAAACAGTGAGATGTTGGTCAAAAGGTACAAACTTTCAGTTCGAAGAAAGTTTCACTGATCTAGTGCACAGCATGGAGAACATAGTTAATAATGCATGGTGTATTTCAAAATTGCTAAAAGAGTAGCTGATTGATATGTTAATTGGCTTGATTTGTTCTTTCTCCAATGTATAAATATATCAGAACATCACCTTGTACCCCATAAATATATACTGTTATTGGTTGTCAATTTTTTTAAAAAAAGATTGCTTGGAGCAGAGAACCCCTTCCATCCAATCCTGATAACTAGGTACCACATCTTAGATTGTTAGCAAGAAGACAACTTCTATTAAGCCAGAACATTATTCATTTTTATTTTATTCGTTACAGCAGTTTGGCATCCTCAAACTAACTTGGCAATTCTAACTATCTTGACCCAACAGGAGAATTCCAGAAAATGCTGGCCACCTGGGAGGGCCATCCACATTAGCAAGGGCTCCTCTTCTGCAGGATATATTGGATATAACACCAGCTGACTCCAAGAAGACACAGGTGGAGTGTCAAATCTATTTCTTATGTAGGCATAGTCTACATTTGTATAAGGCTTCAAATCCTTTTATCTCTCACAGTAAATTCGTATTAGGAAATTTTGATTTAAGAGGTCATTCTTTCACCTTTTAAGTATGTACACATATTGGGATTAGTAAAACGCTGGTAAAATATTAAATATTCTGAGAATGGTCCCCACAAAGTTTACGGAAAATGAATATATATCCATATATATTCATATATGTGTGTGTATATATACACATATATACATACGTGAATACATATTCACTTGTATATGCATATATACATGTATACAAATGAATATATATTATAAATATACAGATATCTTATAAATATACCTATAGTCAATGTGTATATATACTATATATGTATATATAAACAAATTATATATACTTACGATTATACACATATTCACTTATATATGTATATATACACTGTATGTTATGTACAATATATACATACACAACATATGTATATATTAGGTATATACATATATACTATATACATTATGATATATAATGTATATATGTATACATATACATAAAAGAATATATGTATATTTGTAAGTGTATATATATTTGAAATATATATATTTAAAATTGCAGTAAGGATATTGCCCACTGTCCAGGTCTCTGCATTTCAATAAAATAAAAACACAGCAGAAAAAGGCTCAAAGAAGAAGAACAGGATGATTAAAAGTCCAGAGCCGTTGCTGTATGCAGACAGCCTTAGAGGCTTAGTATGATTCCATCTGCAAACACTGAAGCTGACAGGGGATATGACTGAAGTCTATAAAACTCATAAAAGGTAGGGCTGTGATGAACACAAACATGTTCACTAAATCTCAGTTTGCCAGGACAACAGTCTTTCCCTTATATCTTGAAAGAGGGAAATTTAGAACAAACAGAGAAAGGATAAGTTAACAAAACAGAGCAAGTAGCAATGGCCACATTGGCAGAAATCATAACCTTGAAAACTAGAGGCAGACTGCAAATATAAATAACTTCAACTAAGTACTAGAAAAATCCATGCATGACAGTTCCATTAAGGGAGCTAAAATGATGCCTAAAAATTTAAAGAGGCTAAAAGTGATTGACCAAAAATGAATGACTTAGAATTAGGCATCTTTCTAGATTTAGAGTCTTCATAACAACAGCATTGCACACACATCCTCACCAGCTGTGCACCTTTGGAAATTGCCCCTGCATTGCTTCCTCTGGTTTGCTGCAAAATATTGTTTCTGGTAAATTTATCTCATGTCAGCCAAAGTGCTGTTTTTATGGAATTGCCCATGGAGAGAAGCCCATCACAGATTCTGAGCGACATGGAGAAGCCCTGGTACACCACTAAATTTAGACAGAATTGAGCCATACACTAAAACTCTTAAATGACTTCACTTTTCAAATCTCCAGGCATGAAATAGACCCACTAGTGTAAGATGTAGCATGGACATTTTCGGAGGAAATAGGAGATATTCTACTCTTCCAACAGCAGGCATATGAATCACAACGAAGTCATTGATTAAATCCCTGGATGCTTGCAGATTAAATTTAGTTACTTTTTTAAACCTTGCCTTCTGGATGATTGCACTCTAAAGCAAGTAGCATGGCTTCTGGTTACTGCCAGCCCAAGACTTTTTGCTTTTCTAGGAACTGTTTCAATTGGAAAAGGGCACTTAGTCTTTGGAAACAATCCCATTTCGAAATAGCAATGATCATACTCAACTGATTAAAAATTAGTATGTACTGTGCTTGAATGCTACACCACACAATTTCTCAAAAAAAAGGCTGAACTTCTAGGATTCTTCTCTTCAGTATTCCTTACCACACAAAATATGTGTTTTGTGTTAATTCCTAAATTATAGATCATGACTAATCTCTGTCTACTCAATAAATAGATGTTTGTTAAATATTTACTGGTTCTCTTTGGACTTACAAGGAAAAACACTTTTTGCAGTTATTTTTTCTTAAGACAGTGGATAAACACTGCCCAGCTGGAAATGTACTGCCTGGAAGTAGCTTCTGATGCATGTCTGCATGTCTGCATGGTACTCAATTTCAGGGCACCAATATCTTTACTGGGTATGGTGCTCTACCAGGTTATTGTTACCTTTTTCCTTCTGTAGGCACTTTCTAATAAAAGCATGAAATTAAGTACTCCTTGTGATTTACCAGTTAAAAACTTGCAAATCCCTGCTGGCCAAACATGTTATAGTCTTAATTGTGGAGGTATAAATAGACATCCTCCTAGTAAAATGTTCTATAATCAACCAAAGGGAAACCCTTTATAACCATTGTCATATCAACCTTATAACTAACCCTAAATCCCCTACCTGGACTGACAGTCTAACTGGGACCACAAGGAACAGAATAATATAGTTCCCAAAGAATTGTCCAAAGTAGGAGGAAAGATTTTAAGTAAGCCATGCACAAAAACTCTGCTACATAAAGTTCATAGTCTTGTGGTTTGCAAGATTGAGGCAACAGTCATTTTGTCCCATAAATACAATATTATTAAGGGCTGGAAAATTATGGAGGAATCAATAGTATAGAGGTCATTTTTTTCCAACAGCTAAAAAGAAGTGTGTGTGTGTGTGTGTGTGCGTGTGTGTGTTTTAGGTAAGTAGAATCCAGCTAGAAAGTGTAATTCAAAATACAGGAAGCTCCATCACAAGACACTCACCATTTGTTGTATCTTCATGTCCTCTTGAAAATCAGCCACTCTGAGGAGCCAAGATGGCCGAACAGGAACAGCTCCGGTCTACAGCTCCCAGCGTGAGCGACGCAGAAGACGGGTGATTTCTGCTTTTCCATCTGAGGTACCGGGTTCATCTCACTAGGGAGTGCCAGACAGTGGGCGCAGGCCAGTGGGTGCAGCGCACCGCGTGCGAGCGGAAGCAGGGCGAGGCAGTGCCTCACTTGGGAAGCGCAAGGGGTCAGGGAGTTCCCTTTCCAGGTCAAAGAAAGGGGTGACGGACGGCACCTGGAAAATCGGGTCATTCCCACCCGAACACTGCGCTTTTCCGACAGGCTTAAAAAACGGCGCACCACGAGATTATATCCTGCAACTGGCTCGGAGGGTCCTACGCCCACGGAGTCTCGCTGATTGCTAGCACAGCAGTCTGAGATCAAACTGCAAGGCGGCAGCGAGGCTGGGGGAGGGGCGCCCGCCATTGCCCAGGCTTGCTGAGGTAAACAAAGCAGCCGGGAAGCTCGAACTGGGTGGAGCCCACCACAGCTCAAGGAGGCCTGCCTGCCTCTGTAGGCTCCACCTCTGGGGGCAGGGCACAGACAAACAAAAAGACAGCAGCAACCTCTGCAGACTTAAATGTCCCTGTCTGGCAGCTTTGAAGAGAGCAGTGGTTCTCCCAGCAGGCAGCTGGAGATCTGAGAACGGGCAGACTGCCTCCTCAAGTGGGTCCCTGACCCCTGACCCCTGACCCCTGAGCAGCCTAACTGGGAGGCACCCCCCAGTAGGGGCAGACTGACACTTCACACGGCCGGGTACTCCTCTGAGACAAAACTTCCAGAGGAATGATCAGACAGCAGCATTCGCGGCTCACGAAAAGCTGCTGTTCTGCAAACACCAATGCGGATACCCAGGCAAACAAGTCTGGAGTGGACCTCTAGCAAACTCCAACAGACCTGCAGCTGAGGGTCCTGTCTGTTAGAAGGAAAACTAACAAACAGAAAGGACATCCACACCAAAAACCCATCTGTACATCACCATCATCAAAGACCAAAAGTAGATAAAACCACAAAGATGGGGAAAAAACAGAGCAGAAAAACTGGAAACTCTAAAAAGCAGAGTGCCTCTCCTCCTACAAAGGAACGCAGTTCCTCACCAGCAATGGAACAAAGCTGGATGGAGAATTACTTTGACGAGTTGAGAGAAGAAGGCTTCAGACGATCAAACTCCAAGCTACAAGAGGAAATTCAAATCAAAGGCAAAGAAGTTAAAAACTTTGAAAAAAATTTAGACGAATGTATAACTTGAATAACCAATACAGAGAAGTGCTTAAAGGAGCTGATGGAGCTCAAAGCCAAGGCTCGAGAACTATGTGAAGAATGCAGAAGCCTCAGGAGCCGATGCGATCAACTGGAAGAAAGGGTATCAGCGATGGAAGATGAAATGAATGAAATGAAGCGAGAAGGGAAGTTTAGAGAAAAAAGAATAAAAAGAAACGAACAAAGCCTCCAAGAAATATGGGACTATGTGAAAAGACCAAATCTACGTCTGATGGGTGTACCTGAAAGTGACGGGGAGAATGGAACCAAGTTGGAAAACACTCTGCAGGATATTATCCAGGAGAACTTCCCCAATCTAGCAAGGCAGGCCAACATTCAGATTCAGGAAATACAGAGAACGTGAGAAAGATACTCCTCGAGAAGAGCAACTCCAAGACACATAATTGTCAGATTCACCAAAGTTGAAATGAAGGAAAAAATGTTAAGGGCAGCCAGAGAGAAAGGTTGGGTTACCCACAAAGGGAAGCCCATCAGACTAACAGCGGATCTCTCAGCAGAAACTCTACAAGCCAGAAGAGAGTGGGGGCCAATATTCAACATTCTTAAAGAAAAGAATTTTCAACCCAGAATTTCATATCCAGCCAAACTAAGCTTCATAAGTGAAGGAGAAATAAAATACTTTACAGACAAGCAAATGCTGAGAGATTTTGTCACCACCAGGCCTGCCCTAAAAGAGCTCCTGAAGGAAGCACTAAACATGGAAAGGAACAACCGGTACCAGCCAATGCAAAATCACGCCAAAATGTAAAGACCATCGAGACTAGGAAGAAACTGCATCAACTAACGAGCAAAATAACCAGCTAACATCATAATGACAGGATCAAATTCACACATAACAATATTAACTTTAAATGTAAATGGACTAAATGCTCCAATTAAAAGACACAGACTGGCAAATTGGATAAAGAGTCAAGACCCATCAGTGTGCTGTATTCAGGAAACCCATCTCACATGCAGAGACACGCATAGGCTCAAAATAAAAGGATGGAGGAAGATCTACCAAGCAAATGGAAAACAAAAAAAGGCAGGGGTTGCAATCCTAGTCTCTGATAAAGCTGACTTTAAATCAACAAAGATCAAAAGAGACAAAGAAGGCCATTACATAATGGTAAAGGGATCAATTCAACAAGAAGAGCTAACTATCCTAAATATATATGCACCCAATACAGGAGCACCCAGATTCATAAAGCAAGTCCTGAGTGACCTACAAAGAGACTTAGACTCCCACACATTAATAATGGGAGACCTTAACACCCCACTGTCAACATTAGACAGATCAACGAGACAGAAAGTTAACAAGGATACCCAGGAATTGAACTCAACTCTGCACCAAGCGGACCTAATAGACATCTACAGAACTCTCCACCCCAAATCAACAGAATATACATTTTTTTAAGCACCACACCACACCTATTCCAAAGTTGACCACATAGTTGGAAGTAAAGCTCTCCTCAGCAAATGTAAAAGAACAGAAATTATAACAAACTATCTCTCAGACCACAGTGCAATCAAACTAGAACTCAGGATTAAGAAACTCACTCAAAACCGCTCAACTAAATGGAAACTGAACAACCTGCTCCTGAATGACTACTGGGTACATAAGGAAATGAAGGCAGAAATAAAGATGTTCTTTGAAACCAATGAGAACAAAGACACAACATAGCAGAATCTCTGGGACACATTCAAAGCAGTGTGTAGAGGGAAATTTATAGCACTAAATGCCCACAAGAGAAAGCAGGAAAGATCCAAAATTGACACCCTAACATCACAATTAAAAGAACTAGAAAAGCAAGAGCAAACTCATTCAAAAGCTAGCAGAAGGCAAGAAATAACTAAAAACAGAGCAGAACTGAAGGAAATAGAGACACAAAAAACCCTTCAAAAAATTAATGAATCCAGGAGCTGGTTTTTTGAAAGGATCAACAAAATTGATAGACCGCTAGCAAGACTAATAAAGAAAAAAAGAGAGAAGAATCAAATAGACTCAATAAAAAATGACAAAGGGGATATCACCACCGATCCCACAGAAATACAAACTACCATCAGAGATTACTACAAACACCTCTACGCAAATAAACTAGAAAATCTAGAAGAAATGGATAAATTCCTCGACACATACACTCTCCCAAGACTAAACCAGGAAGAAGTTGAATCTCTGAATAGACCAATAACAGGAGCTGAAATTGTGGCAATAATCAATAGCTTACCAACCAAAAAGAGTCCAGGACCAGATGGATTCACAGCTGAATTCTACCAGAGGTACAAGGAGGAACTGGTACCATTCCTTCTGAAACTATTCCAATCAATAGAAAAAGAGGGAATCCTCCCTAACTCATTTTATGAGGCCAGCATCATCCTGATACCAAAGCCGGGCAGAGACACAACCAAAAAAGAGAATTTTAGACCAATATCCTTGATGAACATTGATGCAAAAATCCTCAATAAAATACTGGCAAACCAAATCCAGCAGCACATCAAAAAGCTTATCCACCATGATCAAGTGGGCTTCATCCCTGGGATGCAAGGCTGGTTCAATATACGCAAATCAATAAATGTAATCCAGCATATAAACAGAACCAAAGACAAAAACCACATGATTATCTCAGTAGATGCAGAAAAGGCCTTTGACAAAATTCAACAACCCTTCATGCTAAGAACTCTCAATAAATTAGGTATTGATGGGACGTATCTCAAAATAATAAGAGCTATCTATGACAAACCCACAGCCAATATCATACTGAATGGGCAAAAACTGGAATCATTCCCTTTGAAAACCAGCACAAGACAGGGATGCCCTCTCTCACCACTCCTATTCAACATAGTGTTGGAAGTTCTGGCCAGGGCAATTAGGCAGGAGAAGGAAATAAAGGGTATTCAATTAGGAAAAGAGGAAGTCAAATTGTCCCTGTTTGCAGACGACATGATTGTATATCTAGAAAACCCCATTGTCTCAGCCCAAAATCTCCTTAAGCTGATAAGCAACTTCAGCAAAGTCTCAGGATACAAAATCAATGTACAAAAATCACAAGCATTCTTATACACCAATAACAGACAAACAGAGAGCCAAATCATGAGTGAACTCCCATTCACAATTGCTTCAAAGAGAATAAAATACCTAGGAATCCACCTTACAAGGGATGTGAAGGACCTCTTCAAGGAGAACTACAAACCACTGCTCAAGGAAATAAAAGAGGATACAAACAAATGGAAGAACATTCCATGCTCATGGGTAGGAAGAATCAATATCGTGAAAATGGCCATACTGCCCAAGGTAATTGATAGATTCAATGCCATCCCCATCAAGCTACCAATGACTTTCTTCACAGAACTGGAAAAAACTACTTTAAAGTTCATATGGAACCAAAAAAGAGCCCGCATCGCCAAGTCAATCCTAAGCAAAAAGAACAAAGCTGGAGGCATCACACTACCTGACTTCAAACTATACTACAAGGCTACAGTAACCAAAACAGCATGGTACTGGTACCAAAACAGAGATATAGATCAATGGAACAGAACAGAGCCCTCAGAAATAACACCGTATATCTACAACTATCTGATCTTTGACAAACCTGAGAAAAACAAGCAATGGGGAAAGGATTCCCTATTTAATAAATGGTGCTGGGAAAACTGGCTAGCCGTATGTAGAAAGCTGAAACTGGATCCCTTCCTTTCACCTTATACAAAAATCAATTCAAGATGGTTTAAAGACTTAAATGGTAAACCTAAAACCATAAAAACCCTAGAAGAAAACCTAGGCATTACCATTCAGGACATAGGCATGGGCAAGGACTTCATGTCTAAAACACCAAAAGCGATGGCAACAAAAGCCAAAATTGACAAATGGGATCTAATTAAACTAAAGAGCTTCTGCACAGCAAAAGAAACTATCATCAGAGTGAACAGGCAACCCACAAAATGGGAGAAAATTTTCGCAACCTACTCATCTGACAAAGGGCTAATATCCAGAATCTACAATGAACTCAAACAAATTTACAAGAAAAAAACAAACAACCCCATCAAAAAGTGGGCAAAGGACATGAACAGACACTTCTCAAAAGAAGACATTTATGCAGCCAAAAAACACATGAAAAAATGCTCACCATCACTGGCCATTAGAGAAATGCAAATCAAAACCACAATGAGATACCATCTCACACCAGTTAGAATGGCAATCATTACAAAGTCAGGAAACAACAGGTGCTGGAGAGGATGTGGAGAAATAGGAACACTTTTACACTGTTGGCGGGACTGTAAACTAGTTCAACCATTGTGGAAGTCAGTGTGGCGATTCCTCAGGGATCCAGAACTAGAAATACCATTTGACCCAGCCATCCCATTACTGGGTATATACCCAAAGGACTATAAATCATGCTGGTATAAAGACACATGCACACGTATGTTTATTGCGGCACTATTCACAATAGCAAAGACTTGGAACCAACCCAAATGTCCAACAATGATAGACTGGATTAATAAAATGTGGCACATATACACCATTGAATACTATGCAACCATAAAAAATGATGAGTTCATGTCCTTTGTAGGGACATGGATGAAATTGGAAATCATCATTCTCAGTAAACTATCGCAAGAACAAAAAACCAAACACCGCATATTCTCACTCATAGGTGGGAATTGAACAATGAGAACACATGGACACAGGAAGGGGAACATCACACTCTGGGGACTGTTGTGGGGTGGGGCGGGGGGGGGAGGGATAGCATTGGGAGATATACCTAATGCTAGATGACGAGTTAGTGGGTGCAGCGCACCAGCATGGCACATGTATACATATGTAACTAACCTGCACATTGTGCACATGTACCCTAAAACTTAAAGTATAAATAATTAAAAAAAAAAAAAAAAAGAAAATCAGCCACTCATAATGCATGCTCCAAGACTGCATAAGGAAAGATGAAACACAAGCAAGCATTGGTCTTTTAAGTGCAATACGAGAGCCAGGAGCTGAGGCAGCATGGCCAAGATCATAGGCTCTTACTATGACAACATGTAATTCAGAGGCCCCCTGTGAAGGGAGATGTCATAGGCAACTGCTGGAAATTTAATTGGTGTCTGGGACTTTATGAGTGACAGCTCCTTATTTGTGTTACCCAGAGAAGAGGAGGAAAAACACACTAACCAGCATCCTTTCAAAAGCAAGTCTCAAAGACCCAACTGCAGCTTACATGCAAACAGCATTTTTTAGAGGTGACACCAGACATTGACACCACACATGTTAGAAACAAACCCAGGCTGGGCGTGGTGGCTCATGCCCGTAATCCCAGCACTTTGGGAGGCCAAGGTGGGTGGATTACCTGGGTCAGGAGTTTGAGACCAGCCTGGCCAACATGGTGAAACCCCGTCTCTACTAAAAATACAAAAATCAGACGGGTGTGGTGGTAGGCACCTGTAATCCCAGCTATTTGAGAGGCTGAGGCATGAGAATCGCTTGAACCCGGGAGGGGGAGGTTGCAGTGAGCCGAGATAGCACCACTGCACTCCCGCCTGGGTGACACAGTGAGATTCTATCTCAAAAAAAAAAAAAAAAAAAAAAAGGAAAGAAAAGAAAAGAAAGAAACAAACTCAGGCTTAAGGCTGAGTGGCAAAAACAGCTGCTTGTATTGCTATTGTGCACTCAAGCCTCTTGCCTCAATGAAACTTGAGTGTTTTCATTTAGAACTTTTGAATTACAGTTTCTGGCCTTATGGCATGTTTCATCTGGGCCACTTCCAAATGGACCCTCTGGCATGGTTATATCCAACGATAGAGAGATGTTCAGTTTAAAAATAATTACCTAAATCATCTCTGCCACTTTGATTTAGTTTGAGGGGTGGCTGATTTTGTTTTCTTGCTCACTGTGAAAATTTTACTCATGGTAACATTACTTTGACTTTTAAATTGAACTTATAGACAACAAAATGCAAATTTAGAGTATATAGTTTTGGGGTTTTGTTTCTGACACCTGTGTTGAATCAAATTTGACAATGTAACTTTTCCTGAGTTGAACCAACCACAAAAATTTAGTGTTTGCTTGAGATAAGAGAACAGAAGAACTGAATGTATTGGGAATCTTCTGAATCTAGTTGGAGAACATTGTACTGTCAGTAGTTTCCATACTCACCCACTAGGAGGAAGACTCGAGCATGTTATGCAGCCAGATCTGTGAAACAACTTCTTGTCTTCATTCAGCTTGGCTTAATGACTTCATCTTGAGATGTTTCCTAATTTCTTAAAAATAGTTTCTTACAGGGAACAAAAAGAAAAATAGGTAATTTAAACTACTTCAAACGTAAAAACATCTGTGCAGCAAATAATATAATTAACACAGTGAAAAAGCAACCTATGGAACAGGAGAAAAGAATTGCAAATCAGATATCTGATAAGGGGTTACTCTCCAGGATACCAAACAAACAAACAAACAAACAAACAAACAAACAAAAACTCTTGCAATTTAACCACAGCAACAACAAAATATTCTGATTTTAAAACGCACAAAGGCCTGGAATAGACATTTCTCCAAAGATGACATGAAAATGGCCAACAAGCTTAGGGGAAGATACTCAACATCACCAGTCATTAGGGAAATCCAAATCAAGACCACAATGAGATATCATCTCATACCCATAAGAATGGCTACTGTTTAAACCAAACAAACAAACAACAGAAAATAAGTGTTGGGAAGGATGTGGAAATATTGGAACCCTTCTGCACAGTTGGTGGGAATGTAAAACCCTTCTGCACTGTTGGTGGGAATGGTGTAGTTGCTACTGTTTAATGGAGGTTCCTCCAAAAATTAAAAGTTGAATTATCATATGATCCAGCAATTCCATATCTGAGCGTGTGTTCAAAAGAACTGAAATCAGAGTCCTGAAAAAGTATCAGTGTTCCCATGTTCATAGCAGCATTGTTCACAATAGTCAGGAAGTGGAAACAACTCAAGTATTCATTGACAGATGAATGGATAAAGAAAATATAATGTATACACACAAAGAAATATTATTCATACTTAAAAAGGAAGAAAATTCTGACACATGCTACTACATGGATGAACCTTGAGGACATTATGCTAAATGAAATGAACCAGTCACAAAAAGACAACTACATCATGATTCAATTTACATAAGATATCTAGAGTCATCAAATTCATAAAAACAGAAAATAGAATGGTAGTGTCCAGGGGTTGGGAAAAGAGATTGGATAATTATTGCTTTGGGTAAAGAATTTCAGTTTTGTAACATAAAAAAGTTGTAGAGATTGGTTGCACAATAATATGTCTACACTTAACACTACTGAACTGTTAAGATGGAAAATTTTACATGTATTTTACCACAATTAAAACTGTTTAAATTTAAAAATAGTTTCAACCTAGCACAGTGGCTTATCCCTGCTATCTCAGTACTTTGTGAGGCTGAGGCAGGAGGATTGCTTGAGGCCAAGAGTTCGAGACCAACCTGGACAAGATGGCAAGATCCCTGACTCTATAAAAATTTTAAAAATTAGCAAAGTGTGGTGGCACATGCCTGTGATCCCAGCTACTCAGGAGGCTATGGTGGGAGGATCCCTTGAGCTTGGGAAGTCGAGGCTGCAGTGAGCTGTGATCATGCCACTATACTCCAGCCTGGGTAACAGAGCAAGACCCTGTCTCAAAAAAAGAAAAAAAAAATCGAACATCAAGAGATTTGCCCTTTTTTCCCCTTTCAATCAAAAACTTCTAAGCCACGTGTAGAATGCCATGTGTATCTACCTAAAACTAAATTGGGCCACTTTAATCAAACATAATGATTGAACAGTTCAAAAAACTGCCGAATTTTTGGAAAGATTTTCAAGCCAGACAGAAATGTTGGGATTTGATGTTACATTCCTAAAGCTACCTTTATCATTCCTTCTTTTGAACATCATGCGTAGACTTCTTGTAATGTTTAGCTTCAAAATACCAAAGTGCCATTTATAAACTGTGGATGTTAGCCCACAAGCCTTCAGTTAAAATAAGCATTAAAGTTTTATGTTTTCTAAGCTTTTTTAATTGATGATACAAATGAATGGGGGAGGGGTGGTGGTGAAGTGTGTGTTATCTGTCTGATGCTTAAATAAATATTTCAGTTTCAGAAAGCTAACATTTTTAAAGAGGCCTTGTAAAATAACATTATTTGGTGTCATCAACAAACACTGGTCAATCAATCTTGGGTATCTTGGTAGCTACCAATAAACAAACAAAAAAAGACATCCTATTTTTTGTCTTCATACACATATACAAAATTAACCCTGGGAAATAAAATAACAAGAAATTCCACATGCTTATGTCAGAATGTGTAAGTGTCATAGCACAAAATATAAATGCTATCATATCTAACCCAGTACCTCTTTTCTAAGAGGTGGATCCAGGAAGAGCTTACTGGAGTGTCCAGGACCCCAAACATGTGGTGGAGCAAGAATCTTGGGGCTAAAAAACAAGCTGGCAAGGCAAAGGTCACTAAGTGTGCAGGTGAGACACACAGACACTGGAACCAACTGATGTTGCCAGGTTAAGTGCCGTTGCTGGAGTGAAGGAGACAGCAATAGCAACCTTACAAGATGTAGTAAGTTCTTTCTCACCTCTTCCTGTCCGCCAATATCTTCTAGGTCCCCCTATTGGTAGCACTAAATATAGAGTCAACTGACAAAGGAGAAAGACATTTGCCCCATCATCACCGTGGAGAATATAGATGGTGGATTTGGAACTGAGAGATAAATGCTTAATAACTAGCACAGGAACCCTCTTGAATTTTTTACAATCCATTCTCAATGGGTATTATACGCTCTGCACACCACAAAAGAATGATTCCTTGCTGACTGGCATACAGAAGTGCCTAGCTTTGGTTTATCCTGAAAGTCCAAAGAATAAACCTCTGCACTGAGAAACAGCAAAGTAGGAATCTGTGAAACTCTTGCCTGAGTTTCCTGCCTGTCATCTTATCCTATGGAATTCAGACGTGCCAGACCCCCAATTACATGAATCAAGTCATTAAAGTAAATTTTTCTCTTTCTCACTCTTTTTCAATAGATTAGATAGATAGATAGATGATAGATAGATAGATAGATAGATAGATAGATAGATAGATACAGTGAGTGAGCTATCATTTGAATGCTTGTGTTCCTTCAAAATTTATGTTGAAACAACACTATTCCAATGCAATAGTATTAAGAGGTGGGGTATTTAGAAGGTGATTAGGTCATGAGCACTTATGAGGGATTAAAGGCTTTATAAAAGAGACTTCACACAGCATTTGACACTATTGCCCTTGCATCCCTTCCACCATGTGAAGACACAGTGTTTGTCCCTTCCAGAGAGTGCAGCAATAGGAAGCCACTTTGGAAGCAAATAGCAGCCTTCACATAACACCAAACCTGCTAGCACCTTGATCTTGGACTTCCCAGCCTCCAGAAGTGTGAGAAAAAAATATATTGTTTATAATTATATATGGTATTCTGTAATAGCAGCACAAATGGACTAAGATATGTAGATTATATATGACAGATAGATAGATAGATAGATAGATAGATAGATAGATAGATAGATAGAGTTCTTTGGCATATCCTATTGTTTGAAGAACCCCAATTAATACAGTTCTTTACCTGTGCAGGAAATCAATGGTCAGGAAGCAGAAACCTGAGCTGCAGAGACAATAGTGGCAACATCTTATGTCATACTCTCCCTGGGAGAGATAATGCTGCTTTTTCTCCCTGATGATTATTTTTGCTTGGTAAGGATTGAGCAGAAAAATTATTTCTCAATGTTGCTTGAATCCAGTGATCCCACAGAACTGGAATCATCTCAGTTTCCTTCTTTCCATCATTGCCATTGCCCTTTAAATATTGAGGGAGTGTTCTATCTGGTTATCGATGATGTGTCCTGCTGCATAATTCATTCTGGAGACTGGTGACACTGTGGCCACTTCCCTTCTCGAGATACCTAAGCCTGGAGAAGTGTAAACATACATGTGAGGACTCCCCATCAGACTTTGCAAATCCTTTCCCAAGCGAGACTCATAAATAAACATAAGCAGTAGCCAAAATGTGGTTAGCCAGCAGGGAAGTGCTCACGAATAATAGCTTTATTGTGGAGTGCAGCAGACCATAAACACAGAATGCCTGTGGGCAGCCTAATGAAACATGAATTGTAAGATGGAGTAAATGCATTTCCTTCATCTACCCTTACTTCTAAGATAGATTAAATAGCTTTTCTTAAAACAAAAACTATATATTTTCTTATTTAGGAAACTCAGTTTCAGTTCCCTAGGTGGATAATAATTAAAACCAATATCCATAAAGGAGATGCCACAGTAGATTTGGACAGTTAAAAACAGAATAGCTAGTTTGGAGCATAATCTTTGGGTTTTTGTCTCTTCAAATATGTTTTCTGTCGACAAAGGTGAATAGCTTCCAGTTTATTCACTGAAACCACTTCTTTACATCTCATTTGCCCTTATTTTCTCTTATTTTTGTGGGAATTATCACACCCAGACCTTCAAAATTTCTCACTTGACTTCTCAGTCATTTCTGTGGAGTTTTGCAGGTATTTCTTGGTACCTATATTATTAGCCAGGACACTAGAAAGTATCAAGGGATCCAGACATCTCTCTACATACCTTGTAGATAAACATCATTCATATCACCTAGATATTTCCCTCCTAAAGGATCATGGCGCACAGGAGGTAAAATATTTTGTGCAAACATCGTGCTAAGAAGAATAGTGATAAATTTTGGGAGAAATATTTCCTGGCTTCTTTAATGCATTTTGCATGGTGGGATTCAAAATATTGTACTACAGAATTCTGTGAGCAAAGCAAAGTCCTCTGGAATGTCATGAAATTTATTTCTGCCAATATATAGGTAATGTTAGTTTTTATGGAAATGGTATAACTAGGCTTGCAGACAGTAATTTCTATGTCCATCTTTATATTAAGAGAAAATTATTATTTAAAGGTAGATTCCAATCACAGGGTATCTTGTAAGCATACCTATGGGCATGTTCTATCAGAAATAACCCTAATAAACACATTAGTTTATTCTACAAAGTCTTTTCATGTATGAAGAGGCAGAAGACAAGGCATAAAGTACTGTAATTTAAAAGCATCTCTATAATTACCTGAGAAGTTCTTCTTCCCTACCCGTCTTTTCCCTGCCATCCTTTCCTATTTCTTTTCTGCTTAGCTTCAGAGGTTTTTGCTTAAGACAATATAATGCAAAAGATATAACTCTCACCCCGTTGACCTCTTTCTACCTTCTATTTACTACCTCTATTTCTTTTCTAGAGATAACTACTTTTGTGAGGTTAGTGTACAATTTCCCCTCCTCTTTTTATAGTTTCAGTTACAGGACAGTGCATTATTATTTTAATTTAAATTTTCATAAGTACTAATCAGGCTCATTCATTCCCACAAACCTGTCTGTATCCTCTGGCCACTTTTAGATTGAGTTGTTTGTCTTTTATATTGACTTTTAGAAATTCTTTACATATTTTAGGTACAAACATTTAGTCACTTGTATATGTTACAAATATAAACATTCCCAGTCCGTGGTTTCTTACTTGTTTGTTACTTGCTGGTTTCCTTTTAATGAAGATGGTTTTAATTTGTATGCAGTCACATTTACTTTATTTAGGGAGGAAATCTATGCATTCCTATTCCAGGCACTAACTTAGTATTCCATGTAGTGAAGAGGAAAAAAAGATGGAGGCTCAAAAATTTGATATGCATCTTTTAATTTCTTCTTCTGTTTCCTCCCTGTGTGTCTCTTATAACTATCATGTACCTTGTTTCATTGATTTACAAGTTTCTCAGGGTTAAATCATTTTCCTCCCCGTTGCCCTAATCACTCTCTACAAGTATCTAAGAAAAAGGATTCACCCACTTTCCACGCTCAATACCAATACTCTTCTATATGTGTTTCTGTGTTCAGAATTTTTGTGATTTATTTAAATACACCCTCCACTCTTCTCTTTATCATTTTATTATCTTAATATCATTGGGTGTAGGAAGAAATAAATAAATGTGTGTGATCCATTTATGCTTTTTAATGTAAAGACCACACAACTGTTGCCAACTCAAGGGATTTGTCTAATGCCCTCCAGAGAGCTAGTAGGGAGATGTCCATGGTTCTGATTTTAAGAACAACTCTTAGATGCTGTGATTGACTAATAATGTAGTCTGGCTTTGTATCCCCACCCAAATCTCACCTTGAATTGCAATCTCCATGATCCAAATGTGTCAAGGGCAGGGCCAGGTGGAAGTAACGGAATCTTGGGGGCGGTCTCCCCCATGCTGTTCTCATGATAATGAGTGAGTCTCATGAGATCTGATGGTTTTATAAGCATCTGGAGTTTCCCCTGCTTGGATTCACTCTGTTCTGCTGCCCTGTGAAGAAGGTGACTGCTTATCCTTTGTCTTCTGCCATGACTGTAAGTTTCCTGAGGTCTCCAAAGCAATACAGAACTGTGAGTCAATTAAACCTCTTTCCTTTATAAATTACCCAGTCTCAGGAAGTTCTTTATAAAAGAGAATGGACTAATACAACTAACAAGTAAAAATGTCCATAAAAATATAAAATGAGAAACTACTGCTTAGTGATATGGAAAGTAAACATATTACAATGTGTTTTCTATTTCTGCATGCATCTTTACATGTGGCTATATGTTAAATAACCACATATGTTTATGACTGTACAACACTGAATTTAATATATTATTATTTGCATAACCACTCCCCTATTGTTGGACCAGTTTAAAATTAGCCTATTCTTTATTTTGGAGATTCTAGAAGTGTGTGTTTGAGCAACTTACATTATAATTATCTTACATTATTTTGAAAAATCAGATTCCTTGACACCACCCAAGCCTTGCCAGAAAAGAAGCAATGATAAAATCAACACTTGAACTACCTCCTTAGTTGATTTGCATATGCCTCAAATTTTTTATATTATGTCTTAATTCTGTGCTTGCTATTTTGATTATGCTAGTCCAGCACCATAATAGGGAAGTCTGTAGAAAGAAATTGGTGATAAAACACTGAGAATAGAAGCAGAGAGGCAATTGGAGTGGGTAAATTTAAGTATATTCCTCTCCTTGACTACTCTACTGACTTCTAGTTCCAAATTTTTCATTTAATGAGAATACTAATACATGTTCCACTATCACTGCAAACTCAAAATGTTTGAAACAGATAATGAATTTTCAGTTATGACAGTTATATAAACAGTAAATTAAGCCCTCTGGGGACACAAAGTGTGGTTTGTGGATGCTGGGATGGGAAGACAGGAGTGGCTTCTCTTAGAAGATGAAATTTGAACAAGCAACAATAATTATGAAGCACCAAAATGTGTTCCACAAAAGGAGATAATATGAGAAAGAGCCTGACAATGAGGGAATGGGAGATAGGAGAGGGTAAGCCAAGAACGATACAAAGGCTGGTCATATGAAATAAGAAAATATGTGTTTGAAATTAAAGTGTTTCCATTGTTATGGGTCTCTTTAATAGGAGAATGATACATTGACATTCTAAGAAATAACATGGAGAGACTGCAGATTTCTGAACTGGTAAATAATATCTGTTGTGTGATCCAGATTATTCTGACTGAATGAAGCCCTATTTTAACCATGGCAAAATCCAGGTGTAAAATGATGAACGGTTGGATGGTGGTTTTGTGTTGCTAGATGAAGAAATAGAGAATAGGCAAAGAGACATGTGGAGCTCTTGCTGGGATTGGCAACCCAATCCAGAAAACTGCTACAATGTGTCTGCTAAATGAGCAACTTCCTCAGCTAAACTGTATTACTAAAGTGACACAAGTATAAAATAATTACCTAACATGTCCAAATTCCTTCTCATTCAAGCCTGACACAGCTGTTACTGTATCACTCACAGCTTGCTCTTGCCGACAGCTTAACCACCTTGAAAACCCATGCCCCTTCCATTCTTAGGCATCTGTTAGTAGGCAATTTAAGCCATCATTCTATGTCTGCATCCTCTGGGGCCATTTCATTAACTATGAGCAATGTTGCTAGTCAGAGAGAGGTGTAAATTAAAGCAGCCAAAATTGAATCTAGTAAATTTGATTACTTGATAATCATGCTCATGCAGATATTGAGACAGAGTTTGAGACTATTGAATGGAATTAGGTTTGAGATTTAACTTACCCTTATTCCTTTTGTTTATAATCAGCATAAATTACAGAGTTGAGCTTGCACTGAAAACAAATTGTACTTCTCACCATACGTATCACATTCATTTTTGCCAGAAAAATGGTGATATGTTTCTGAGAATATAAAACCTAGTGAGAATTTGTCTTGTACTATTTGTAGCTTTCTAATTGTTCACATTTTTCTTATTTTTTTTTAAACAGAGACAGGGTCTTGCTATGTTCCCCAGGCTGGTCTCAGACTCCTGGGCTCAAGCAATCCTTCTGCCTCAGTCTCCCAAAATGCTAGAATTGCAGATATGAGCCACTGCTCCTGGGCATGAAATCGCTTTTTCTTTACTTTCAGTACTTTAGCTTGCATATTGGTCAGGAGAGATTTAAAAAAAAAAAAAGAATGATAAAACAGTTAATTAGAAGAATGAGAGAGAAGTTCTACTTCAACCTCATTGCACTCCCAGTAGTGAATACTACTTAGAGAGGCCTAAGGAGGTGAAGCAAGAAGAATTTTTGAAGAATCAGATGTCTTCTCAATCTGTGACCTATTCATCTTGCCTTTATGGGGAGAAGAAGCATGTTTTGCTAGTATTCTAAAATCATGGACTGCAAATCACTTACAGCATGGATCATAACATCCATCTCTCTAACAGCAGAAAATATATTTTGAATTGTCATATGTTGTTATTGACCATTTATTGAATACTACATGCATTAATCTGCGAAAGCACACAGAAATGAGATAGACAAAGATGTTTCAGCAAACAGCTTGGAACTGGCTTTGGCCTTCTGAGATTAAAATCAGCTACAGGTTTTGTTCCTGTCTTATGAGAGTGATAGATAAAAGAACAAATCCCTACTGTAAAAAGTGCCTTGTGTTATTTTTATGTAAAAATGTTGGACATGTAAGGCTAACAACAATTTTGTAATGCCTACCTGTCTTAAGCCAGGTCCCAAAAAGCAAAATTTAATAAGAAGACACACATGAAAACAATTGATTAATAAAGTAGCCAGGTGTATTAGTCTGTTTTTATGATGCTGTTAAAGACATACTTGAGACTGGGCAATTTATAAAGAAAAAGAGGTTTTACGGACGCACAGTTCCACGTGGCTGGGGAGGCCTCACAATCATGGTGGAAGGTGAAAGGCATGTCTTATATGGCAGCAGGCAAAGAGAGAAATGAGAACCAAGTAAAAGGGGTTTCCCCTTATAAAGCCATCAGGTCTCATGAGACTTATTCACTATGACAAGAACAGTATGGGGGAAACTGCCCCCATGATTCAATTACCTCCCACTGGGTCCCTCCCCAAACACATGGGAACTATGGAAGCTATAATTCAAAATGAGATTTGGGTGGGGACACAGCCAAATCATATCACCAAGAAAGATAAATTCTCAATTTGATAAGAAAAAAAAGCTCTGGAAAATCTACAGCAAAAATTATACTTAATCATGAAATATTATAATTTCTTTCAAAGATTGGGAATAAAAGAAGGATATTGACTCTAACCACTTATAGCCAACATTGTATTGAAGTTGCTAGGACAAGAAAAAGAAATACAAGGCATAAGAACAGAAAGAAAGAAGTTAAACTATTTATATTTGAAGATAACATATTTTTTTCCATGAAAAATCGTAAAGAACTTATCAAACACACACTACAACACTTAATTTAGCAAGACCTTAAGACATAAAATCAACATATAAAAATCACTTGTATTTCTATGTCAGTAGCAAGAAACCAGAAAATGACATTTGGGAACCAAACCGTTTGCACTATTATCATCAATAAAAATAGTTAGGTGTCTACAATGAAAATGACAAGGCATTCCTGAGAGAAATGAACAGAGACATTAATAGGGACTTGAAAACAAAAGCAATAGCCCTCTGGCCCTTGAAAGCTTTGGGCAACAACTCTCTCCTCCAATACCCTAACTGTGGTCCTTAGCAGACAGTCCTTCTAAAGAAGAATGCAAGTGAGAGTGTTCGGAAAGAAACACATGAAGTTGGGGGGTAGGCACTCAGAACCAATTGTCTGAGTAGCTGGCAGAGCAGGACTGTCATTTCCTCAGCTGGTGAAAACCAGTAACACGTTTCAAGTAGGGAGATGAAGAGCTTGATATGGAGCTTGGTAAGTGAGAGCTGCCTACTAGACCCTCAAGTGAAAATGCTGAAAAAGAAGTTAGATTTATGAGTCTGGGCTTCAGGACTCATTATGTACCTTCAGGGCTGGAGATTTAATTTGGCTTTTAACATCATCCAGTTAACATTTTAATTTGAGATTATGTAAGATAATCAAGGCAGTGAATACAGAAGAAGAAGAAGAAACTGCCCAAGAAATAAATACTGAGGCATACTCCAAGATTTAGAATTGGGAGAGAGGAGAAAAAAGTGAAGGAGACTGATAAAAATTGACCACAAAAGTAGGGAGAAAATCACCAGAGTGTGTTCTCTTAGAATATAAATTAAAAATAACTATATTATGTAAGTTGAAGGACATCAATTGTCTCAAATAATGTTAATAGAGCAGACAAACTGAAGATTAAGAATTGGCCATTAGATTTAACAATATGAAGATTATCAGCGACTTTGGCAAGGGATGTTTTGTGGGATTGTTGGTGGCAAAGGTTTTAGTAGAGCACATTCAAGAGCAAATAGGCATTTAAAAGATAAATTATACAAATGTTAATGCTTTATATTTTCATCATGTAGCTACCATGTTTCTAGTAATGATAAAAAGTATTCATTGGTATATTAAGCTTACTGGAAGACTTTTTTTGAGACAAAATCTCTCTCTATAACTCACTGCAGCCTCGACCTCCCAGGGTCAAGTGATCCTCCCACCTCAGCCTCCTGAGTA
The DNA here is from genome assembly GCF_000001405.40 of Homo sapiens. NCBI lineage: Eukaryota > Metazoa > Chordata > Mammalia > Primates > Hominidae > Homo > Homo sapiens. The sequence goes on along the minus strand of NC_000023.11, from coordinate 7,575,421 downwards.
CCTGGGACAAAAGGCACTTGTCACCACTCCTGGCTAATTTTTTTTTTATTTTTTCAGAGACAAGATTTCACTATGTTGCCCAGGCTGGTCTCAAACACCTGGGCTCAAATGATCCTCCTGCTTCAGCCTCCCAAAGTGCTGGGATTACAGGTGTGAGCCACTGTGCCTGGCTGGAAGATATTTTTCAACTTAAAAATATATATAATGCCAAAGGCATGTTTTTCCTCAGTATATATTCCCCTAAATTTTCAGGAAGCAGAGAAAACATGCTTAAAGACAAAATACTTATATACCAGTATTCAGGAGCCAGTTCTCTGACACTATGGCCAAGAAGAAGAAGAAAAAAAAACCATGGATGGAGCTCCTTATTAGGATTCAGTTGGAGGGTGTTGGAAACCTAGGAGAAGACTTTAGTTGTAAAAAAGTTTAAAGAACCAAAGCAGGAAAAGGAGACAAGAAGGCCAGAGGATACCAAGCTAATGGCTGAGAGCTCAGATCAATAAGGATGTCAAAATGAGGTACAAGAGATGAATTGAAGGGTTAACATAAACCAAGCAGAGACAGCAAGGAGCTGATAGGTGAAGAGACAGTTCAGTGTGAATCTTGCAAACACTAAATTTTTGTCTCCATGTTTCCTCTCATTCAGGATTTGCCACTACTGCCCTACTGGAAGTTACATTTTTTTTAAGGATCCATTTAACTGGAGAAATAAGTGAATTGAGAAATTGAAAGTATAAAATGAAAGTATCCCTCAGTCATGAAACATATTGTAATATTTCAATTGGCTTGGACGACAAGCAGATAGCATTTCGTTTCAGAGAGTTGTTCAGAGGGCAAAGGGAGTTTGTGTAAAGATTCCTAGGACTGCTCTCTGCTGTCCCTGGTCCTGAAAGTTGAATATCAGCGTGATAGACAGTGTCATGGCAGTCAGGACTGTGTCTGTTCTTGTCAGCTCTGATTCATAAGGTACAAGGCAGGACTGAACTGTCCTTGTCTGTTACTAACTAAGCATACAATAAGATGGGGCAGATCAAATGTAGTTTTGGTGAATGGAATACTTTAATTCATATATTACTTGCAAAGGATGCTCTTGGTTTTAATAGTTAATGCTATTCTTGTATGTAAATGAGTTTAAGCATTATAGACCCAACTTTGATGGGTTACTAAGGACTCTTTTCTTCTGACACTAAAATCATTTAAGGGACCTGCAGTTTTGTGTCCATTTGTAAAACACTAAAATATATAATTGGTTTTTAAAAAGGGAACAATAATTGTAAACCATGGTGTCAAGAATTAGAAAAAGATTAATTGCAAGTGGTCCTTGTTTAGGGTGAATTAACAACCCCAACTAGCAAGGTTCTAGCAATTAATAAAACACCCAGCCATAAGACTTACATTAGTGTTCAAAGGTCAATCTATTACAATGAAGGAGTGTATTCATTAGGAAAAGGAAACTTCAGGGAAATCCTATAACTACCCCTCATTCTGCGCACTTCTATCAGTCTTTCCACTGGCGAAAGTCTATAGAAAGAACATGATGTTCCAATGGTAATGGATATGAACTGCTCCTCATAAACACTGAGTAGTAATTGGATTATTGTTTAGCTCTTGAACTGGCTTTCAGGAAACACAATAAAGGCTTGAGGAAGCGAATATGTTGCTCCACTTTCAATAATACAGAAATAATGACTTATTTCTGTCAATGAAAACGAAGAGGGCAGTGAGATATCTCAGAGCTTTCAAAATGTAAAATCTACTTTCTTTCATTCAAACCTTTTATCTTTTGATACAGATGAGATGTGTGAAGTTGTGATGGCAAGATTTCCGATTTGTAGAGAAGCAAGCCAATATAGTTGTATGGAAACACTCAATTTAAAAATGATGGATTCTAAAATACATATAGTAAAGTACATATTACTTACACTATAGCTTATATTAAAACTGAATATAGCTTGATTTTTTTTTCTTTTCTCTTTTCTTTTTTTTTATTTTTTGAGACAGGGTCTCACTCTCACCCAAGCTGGAGTGCAGTCGTGCAATCAGCTCACTGCAGTCTCAACCTCCCAGGTTCAAGCGATCTTCCCACCTCAGCCCCCTGAGTAGCTGGGACTACAGGCATGCACCACCATGCCCAGCTAATTTTGTAGCAACTGGGTTTTGCCATGTTGCCCAGGCTGATCTCTAACTTCTGGACTCAAGCAATCCACCCACCTCAGCCTCCCATAGTGCTGGGACTACAGGCATAAGCCACCATACCCAGCCTTGATATTTTTTTTTCTGTACATATATACCTCTGTAACCAAATACAAGAATAAAACATAAAACTTTTTCACTACCCAAAAGCCCCCTTATTTTTCTTTCCAGTCAACATTCTCTGAAGTTAAGCACTGTTTTGACCCCTAGTGTATGCTCTTGAAATTTACACCAATGAAATCATACAACACGTACTCTTTTGTGTCTAGCCTCTTTTACTTAATATTATATCTGTGCCATCCATCCATATTCTTGCATGGAATCATTCATTTTTTTGTTATTATATAATATTCCATTTTAAGAATACAGAACAACGCCTTTATTTTAATAATGGACATTTGGCTTCTTTTCAGTTTGGGGCTATGATGAACAAAGTTCCTATACACATTCTTGTTCACGTCTTTTGGAGAGAATAAACACTTATTTCTTGTGACCTAGGAATAGAATTTCTGTATTATATAGTAGGTGTGTTTTCAGTTCAAATTAATACTGCCCAACAATTTTTGTAGCAATTTATATTCCTACCAGCTGTGCATGAAAATTGCTTCCATTGTGACTAACTTTTGACATTTTCTTTCTTTTTAACTTTAGCCATTTTGTTAGGTTAAAATGCCATACTTTTGATGCATATTTGGCTTGCTTATGTATGTTACAATATCGAGTTATTTTCATATTTTTAAAATTTAAGATATCTTGTAAAATATGTATTAAGATATGTATTACTTTGTGCTTGATATTAAAGATGTTATCTCATATTAACCAACATTTATTTAATTACAAAAAATAGAGTTTGCAAGATTTACATTGCTTTCATTGGACTTAGTATGACTAAGACCTGGTTACATTTTCTTTCTAATGTCTCAGACCATTCCAGAGATTAGTATTTCTAAGCCCTTCTCATTTTTATCTCATTTTATTCCACTGCACCTGGCCATTTTCTCTTCTTTCTATTGATCTTCTGATTTTTCTATAATAAGCAGATGCTACACTTAACATTTTAGAAAGACTATGTGAAACATTTTTAAATAAATTATGTACAATTTATGAATAACTAGTGATTTAAGGTTCCTAAATGTCCCTTTTGAGGTCTTGGCATAAGTGTGCTTCATTTGATAACAATGATTGCTAGTTTAGCCTGGTGAAAATGTGATATCTGTGTTGCATACTCACATGGTATTTTATGCACAAAACAAACCTTGGGTCTCACAAATTAGTGCAAAACAAAACCCTAAACTTTTATGTGCCTTTAGCATGGCTACAGACCCTGAATAAAACAAGAAAACAATGAGCTGGTATAAATTTGACTCATAGATCTAAATGTTAGTATATCTAAAATGACTATAGCCTTTTTCAGATCCAGATGAGTAGCATTTTAAAAATAAAAGAATATCAACTCAAAGAGTTTCTACTGAAATCCTTAAAATGTATATTTACTGAGTATTTTATAAAAAATAAGAGAAAACAATTCAATATTCGAATGCAATACGTATTCACTTTTAAATTCATTCAACTGACATTTATTGAACACCTACTAGTCTATGCCAGGATTAAAGTGTGAGACTTTATTTCATGTTTACCTAGTTAAGGAGACAGAAATTAAAGTAACCAAATACATATTTAACAGTTTCAGGTAATTATTCCTTCAGGTCATTTGGTGATATGATCGCTAAATTTTAACCCAAGTCACTCACTGATATGGTTTGGCTGTGTCCCTACTCAAATCTCATTTTGAATTACAGCTCCCATAATTCCCACATGTTGTGGAAGAAATCTGGTAGGAGATAATTGAATCATGGGGGCGGTTTCCCCATACTGTTCTTGTGGTAGTGAATAAGTCTCACGAAATCTGATGGTTTTATAAGGGGTTTCCCCTTTCACCTGGCTTTCATTCTCTCTTGTCTGCTGCCATGTGAGACGTGCCTTTCATCTTCCACCAGGATTGTGAGGCCTCCCCAGCCATGTGGAACTGTGAGTCCATTAAACTTCTTTTTCTTCATAAATTACCCAGTCTTGGGTATGTCTTTATCAGCAGCATGAGAACAGACTAATACACTCACTGATTTTAAACTAAACATGGAATTTGATCTTTGGAAAAGTTTATTCCAAGTCAGGGATTTCAAACTTCAACATTTGGCATGATGTGCATTTTTTTGTTTTGTTTGTTTGTTTTGTCTCCTACCAACCAATATGAGTCACATTTTGGATGAAAAATGGACTCTAGCAGGCAGCTTAAACATCACAGGTTGCTGATTGGTTCTCGGCAATGCAATTCTTACAAGTGCCACTTTCTCGAGGAGGCAATTTGAGAAATGATTTTCCAACACCATCTGCCTGAAGCACCTGATGACATTCATGCTGAGCTATTTCATAAGGAAAATGTAGGATGAAAAAGACAGTGAGCTGAGGCACGTTCCTGGAATGTTCTGCAAGCACCAGTGCACCAAGCTGATAGATGACTGTCATCTGCCACCGGGGCTCACTTGTGCAAAAGGTTTTCTTCCTAGTTGATTTAATTTTTGTTAATTCAGCAACTTCCTGGAAGAAATTTGCAGTGTGTGCATTTTCCTTACAACAGCGGAAATCCCTGCGGAGGATTTCCTTGGAATACAAGACTAACGAAAGTAATCCAGATTGCCTTTCATGCAGCAAACCATTTACAAGAAAACCACACGTGTGCACAGAGCGAAAAAGCCCTCCTATTGAAATTGCCATTGTTCAGAAGAAGAGTAACTTTAAATCCCTAACTGAAGGTGAACTGGGTCAGGAATTGTGCAAGTTAGCACTGCCAAGGGACTCAAGACTCTTCTAGGGAGGCTTCAAATACATTTTCTGAGATTCCCATGAGTAGACATTTTGCTTAATGTAGCCTGAATTTACTATATCTCTGAGCTATTCTCCCTAGAATAGTAAATGTGAGAAATAATGAAATAAGAAATGAAGGTTCCACATCAGTAATATTATATTTTGTTATAATTTTAATTGCCATTTAACACTTAGCTCACCATGTTGATTGAAGGAGAGAAAATGCTTCAATTTTGTCATCACTGACAACATTTAACTGACAACATTTAACAGGCTTAAAATCTATATGTCAAATAAGAGATGAAATAACTAAATGCAATTCATCTCCATAAGTTACCTCCCGGTTATTGACTGATCTTTATGAAACATATAAATTCCTTGGAGTGTGTGATTCTACTTATGGAAGAATTGAGATAAGGAATGCATCATTCATATAGGTGACTCCACTGATGTAATTGCATGAAACTAGCACTTCTTATGCACCAATATTTTATTTATAAAATGTAGATAAAATCTACTTCTTAGAAAGTTAAAAATAATCATTCCCAAGTTTCCTCTGGTGGTCCATTTTTACGAAGCAACATTCATCTGATTTCTCCATCTGCAAAGGTATTTTAAGACCAACAAGATCAGGGGCCAGAAATCTATATTTCAAACCTGGGCTCCGCTTGTTTTTGTACATAAAGTTTTATTGGAACACAGCCACACCCATTGATTTATATTCTGTTTACAGTGTCTTTTGAGTGCCACACCAACAGAGTTGAATAGCTGCACTAGAGATAGTATGGCTTCCCAAATATTTACTGGCTGGCCTTTTAAGAAAAAGTTTCTTCATACCTGAACTGGCCCAATCCCCTCATTTAGTGATGAGGAGGCTGAGGTTCACATATATTCAGACAGCCACCCTAGAACCAAGCAAAAACCTCATTCAAAAAAAATCCAGGCTGGACATGGTGGCCCACGCCGGTAATCCCAGCACTTTGGGAGGCTGAGGAGGGTGGATTGCTTGAGCCCAGGAGTTCAAGACCAGCCTGGGAAACCCCGTCTCTACAAAAAATACAAAAAATAAAAAATAGGCATGGTAGCACCCGCCTGTAGTACCAGCTACTTAGGAGACTGAGGTGGGAGGATCACCTGAGCCCAGGAGGTTGAGGCTGCAGTGAGCCATGATCACACTACTGCACTCCAGCCTGGACAACAGAGTCAGACCCTGGCTCAAAAAAAAACAAAAAACAAAAAACAATAAATTCCAAGGCCACCTTTTGAACTTGATATTTGGATAGAACTGCAATGTTATATAAAATAATTGGTTTTCATTGGTGCCTTTCAAAGAGGGGTAAAATGAAATATTAATATACTTTTTTTAGTGTAACAGGTAAAAAGAACTCTTTGTATTATTGTTATACAAAATAAATTAGCTAAACATCAATGTGGATAAGATGTTAGTACTTATGTCAATTTAATCAAGCACTTTCTATAGTATTGCGACTGAGGGGGAAATGGTGTCTTTCCTTTTCTCGGTGCACATTACCACATAAGAAGTATGTATGAAACTGATACCACAGAACAGTGGTTGGCGAACTACATCCCAAGGACCAGATCTGCTTGCTGCCTGATTTTATGCAGCCTACGAGCTACAAATGATGCTTACATTTGTAAATAGTGTTCCAAAAGAAAAACCAAAAGAAGAATATTTCATGACATGTGAAGTGTATAAGAAATTTAAATTTTAGTGTCCATACATACAGTTTTACTAACATGCAGCCATGTGCATTGTGTATCATGTGTGGATTGCCCACTGTGACTTTTGTGTTAAAATGGTGCAGCTGAGTATTAGTGGCAAAGACTGGCCTGAAAAGCCTAAAATCTGATAATAGAGCTTTTTGCAGAAAAAAAGTTTGCTGACCCCTGATCTAGAAGCACTTGTGTCTCTCCTGGTGCCTGACAAGTCTCGCCTTTCAAAGTTCTGAATGCATAAGGAAAAGTTAAAACAGAGGCTTGCTTTGTTCTTGTTATAAAAATATAACTTCAGTTCTCAGCAGCTTCTCAAAAGGCCACGTGCTTCTGACCTTGTGTCCCTGTATATCTCTCTTGTGTAGTTCAGACCCTTTTCCCAAGCCCTCAAAAGAGTTGTTTTTCTTTGCACAGCTCAATGCAATTGCACAAGAACCTTGTCTGATAATAACCTGTCCCACGAATGTTGGGTAGGAGCTTAATGATGGTTGATTTAAATTGAAGTAAATGAGCACAAAATGAAGATAATCAGCGAAATCACTCCCATTTGATTAGATAAGCAGAAAGCCTGAATTCTGCCATTCCTTTCCAAACGAGTTGTGGAAGCATAATTTATGCTAATCAAATGGTATAGTCCTGACCTATGACATGGGAGTATTTGGAAAAGACTTTAATCCATTTACACAATGTGTGCATAAGTAGAGAAGATAGCTATATTAGTCAGGGATCTCCAGATAAATAGAATTGATATGAGATCTGTATGTCTCCAATAAAGATATACATATTAAGATGTGTCTGTGTGTGTGCATGTGTGTAGTCAGCCTCTATAACTGCATAAGCCAATTCTTTAAAACAAGTCTCTCCCTACATAGAGAGATACAGGATAGACAGCTCCAGTAAAGATATACATGATATATATAATCTGTGCACACACACATACACACAGAGAGAGACAGAAAGAGACTTATGATAAGAAATTAGTTCATGCAATTGTAGAAGCTGAAAAGTCGAAAACCTGTAGAAACTCCAAATGATCTCCCAATACAAGTCCTAAGGCTGGCAGGCAGCTGCAGAACCAGGAAGAGTCTATGCCCCAGTTTGAAAGCTGACAGGCAGGAGAATTCTCTGTCGCTCGGGGAAGGTCAGTCTTTGTACTTTTCAGGCATTTGACTGATTGGACAAGGTCCAGCCACATTGGCAAGGACAATCTGCTTCATTCAGTCATCGATGTAAATGTTAATCTCATCCTAAAACCCCCTCCCACCAGAGGTTAAATGCTGGAAGGAATGAATACCTAATTTTCCATGATGTGATTATTATGTACTGCATGACTGTACCAAAGTATCTCACGTGCCCCATAGTTATATGTGCCTACTATGTACCCACAAGAATTAAAAATAAAACATCTAAAACACCTTCCCAGACAGACTCAATAAGTTTGACCACGTATCTGGGCACCCTGTGGCCCAGTCAAGATGACAGATGCAATTAACCAGCCCAAGAGACTTGAGTAACCAATGACTGATACTTTCAGAGTCCAAGGACACTACAGATATGCAATAGATAATCTCTAAGCTTAGAAATGCAACAATCCTGATGGGAAAATAGAATAGGCTTGAAGGGAGGCCTTAGCAGTTTCAGAGCTTAATACACATGAAGTCCCTCACACTGCCAAACCTGCCAGACTGTGTCGGAAATCAACACCAAGGCCCAGAAATCATTATCTTTGTTATTACTCAACCCCATGAAACAAATAAACCTATCCCGCTTTCTGAGTGTGTTTCATCTTCTGCCCAGGTTTAAAAAAATTAATTTACATTTTATTTAGGCAATAAATCTGCTAATAAAGGTGTGAAACTTAAATTCTATAAGAAAGCTATGCAAAATATCGAGACCTTAAGGATGCTTCCAATATTATTTTTCTCACTTGTCCGTTCTCATAAATGCTTTTCGTTAACACCCTTTTCAAGGGTTTCAGTATGGATTGTTTATTATTATTTATTTATGTTTACAATCCTAACCCTCCTAATTATTTCTGCTTCCTGAAACGTTCCACCTGGACCTGATTCAGCACATCAAAATAAAACTCTTATGTTTTTTAGAGTATGTACATTTAACTTCCTTTTTTTGATGTGTCTGAACATCCAATTACACTTACTGGGTTAAAAGGAGCCTAAACACTCACTCAGGAGGCTGAGGTGGGAGGATCACCTGAGCACAGCAGTTTCAGGCTGCAGTGAACCATGACTGCGGCACTGCATTCCAGCCTGGGCAATAGAGCAAGATCCTATTTCAATAAATAAATAAATAAATAAATAAATAAATAAATAAATAAATAAGTGAATAAATTTTTTCCCAGGGCAATGAGGAAGAGAAGCCTATTTAGAAAATAAAGGAAAGGAAAAAAAAAAAGAAAATATGAGCAAAGGAAAAAAGAAATGGATGGAAAATGAAGGGAAGGAAAAGCAAAAGTATTTTTGTGATTTCCCCTCAAAAACCTATAAACCCAGTCTAATCCTGGGAGAAAAACATCTCATTCATATCAACTGAGGGGCATTTTACAAAATATCTGATTCTCTAACTGTCCCCATAATTGTCAAGATCACCAATAAAGCGTTTGAAAAATTGTCAAAACCAAAGAGAGCTCAAGAAAACATGACAAATAGTGCGATATGTTACCCCGGATGAGATCCTGGAACAGAAAAGAGACATTAAATAAAAATGTAAGGGAAATCCGAATAAGAAGTGGACTTTAGTTAACACTAACATGTCAACCTTGGTTTACTAAAATTTTGATAAATTTAGCAGATGTTTACAATAAGGGAAGGAGGGTCTGGGGTATATGGGAACTCTCTGTACTACTACTCATTGTAATTTTCCTGTAATTATAAAACTATCCCAAAATCTTAAGTTTATTCTTAAAAGAAAAACAGAATAAGAAGAAAACTAGAATTAGTTGAGCTGCTACTAAAAGTAAGGACTATTCCGGGGGGATAATGCCATTAGCCTCATTTTGTGGAAGACAGTGACTTACCTTGGGAATTATCTTGGGTAACTTTTGTACCATCCTGCTAAGGGATGACCATTCTTTCCACTGTTGTAGATGAAAACAAAACAAAACAAAAGAACAACTGAAGCTGAAAGAAGGAATCTTTGCCCAAGTCCAAAGAGGTAAAATACCCAACTCTTCCTATTTCCACTCTCATCTTCTCTCGACCACAGCAAGTATAGAAATAATTATTGTAATCTATCTATTAGAGTAATTGCAATGTTAATAAAATTTCAGACCGAGGATATTAAAGCAGTTCAAATGCCATTCCTTTTTACCAAGAGATCACAATTTGCACAACCAAGGAAAACTTTAGAGAACCACTCAAAACCTCATATAATTACATGCTAAGATGTACTACGTGATAAGACTGCCAACGATTGTTACTTTGGAATCACACACCCTAAAATAATCAGTGTGAGCCAGAAGGTAACTAAGTGGTAAGTGGGAAGATGTCTTAAAACCAGAATTGATTTTCCTCACTGAATTGTTAATGCCTAAAGAGAGGTGGTTCTTAAAATTTTGGAGCTGTGTTACCCTCCCCCAAATGAAAAGGCTACAAGTATGTCAGTATTTTCTCAGTGATTTGCTTTGAACTTATCTGTGCAGAATCATCCGCAACGCTCATTAACAGTGCTGGGAGTTGGATATGCCACAGTGAATTTCCTGATTTTCTAATTCACTGGTGATTATTAGCTAAGGAGCTACTTGCAGACAATAATACATATTGGAAGTATGACAGTCTGTGAATGGAAATATCAAAAAGAGACTGTTTCATTATGTCTTTTTTCTCCATATAGGAAGGTAGTTCCTTAGACTAGTATTTTAAGTAACTGTGATTTTTTTAAAGCCATCACAAACAGTTTTGAAAAAAAGACAGGTGGCTCTCAAAGATAAATAGCTAGAAGCGTCCACTAATGACTTCAGGTTTTCACTTTTTGTACAGAAGAGAATGGAAAGTACAAGGCACTATTTAAAATTGAATTCTAATAACAACTACCAGAAGCCAATACTAATTCCACCCCATCTCCAGCCCTGTCTGCCTCACAAGATGATGAATCGCCAAAAAAATGCTAACTTTGATTCCATGTGCTCTATTTAATATGGCAGCAAAACGTGCTGGTACAATCTGGAATTTTTTGCAATCACAAGAGTAGAAAGATGTCTCAATGTCCTTACATGAAATGGAACATTCAAATAATCAGGCCATCTATTCTCAAATATAGAGAATGTACACTATTTTTAAATTTTAAATCATACTAATTTTAATATATAAGTGAGGACAAAAGTGAGCTAATTTTATGCCGAGATAGGTAAACAAGATCGTTATAGATATGCATGTATATGTAAATATAGGCATAGATGCAGATGGAAATAGGTCATTTCCATCACTAAACACAGGTTCTGTCTCCACATGTGACATTAGACATGCAGCCTTTCAGTGGGTGGTGAAAATTACTACAAAATGCCTGTAAATGAACACTTGCATAATCCTCTGATTTCAGGCTCACTCATTTATACGTCTGTCTTGTCCTCCAGAATGGCAAGAGGGAAATTGCCAAATAACATGTTAGCATCTAGACAAGTTATATCCAGGGCTTTTAATAAAACTGGCTTGGTAGGGACATACTTTGGGCAAACCCATTGAGCCTCTGGAAATTGCTATTTCATTTGCTATGGGCTTATAAGACATTTGTTAGGTAATCTATTCTAGAACACAGAGGATTATTGTCAAATTTAATAGTCTGTAATTTCCAGAATGCTATCCTCTTTTAAGAAAAGAAAAGAAAGGGGAAATGGGGTTATATTTACCCATCTCTTATATTTCAGTAGTTCTCTTGTCAAGCATCATTAATCAACAACTACTAGCAAATATTCTCCATTCTGGAGATAGAATTCTTCTGAGTTGGAATTTATTTTAAGAAGCTTTGTCCTCTCATTGTTTCTTCACCTATCAAACGCTTAAATCCTTGTCACCTCTATTTGCTTTCACCTTTAAAATTTAAAGGCCATTTTCTTTGGTGTAGAAATAGAAGAAGAAAGTCAGTATTTGAAAAAGCTCTGAACTCTCTTTACAGCTGCTAACATACCACCTGCTCTCAGAAATAGGCGTGGGTTTTCTTGGTCTTCTTACCCAAAAGCTACCACCAAAATACTTCTTAGCTTTCCTTAGCATTTTTCATAAGCCTGCGATTCAATGTTCTTGACATTCATTTACTGTGATCTGATCACTGCATATTTTAAAATGTCATTTCGATTGTCAGTGTCAGTCAGGGAACATCTTGAGTTGCCACACACTCTCCCAGCCCTGAGAACTCTACTACTCCTGTTAGCTTAAAACATGGTATAATTGCTTTCATCTTCTTAATAATAAAAAAATCCCTGTTACTTCTATTGCTTCCCTTTATAGCAAAATTTGTATTTTTTCTTTTTAGAATATTTTAAACTTTTTACTGTGAAAAATATCAAATACAGAAAAAGTAAACAGACTGGTTTATTGACTCTCCCCCAAATCCACCACCACACCTCAGTGCTATCCATATTCTGCCATTCTCTATGATCAATACCTCTACCCATTCCCAAACCCTAGGTAATTATTATTTTCACAGTGCTTTTTTTAACGATAAAGTATGTAGTGCTAAAACACACAAAAAATAACTGCACAATTTTGACAAACAGATACACTTCCATAATCCACAACCTTGCTACCATATAGATCATTTTCATCCCTTTTACCTCTTCCCAGTTAATCATCCAACAAGAGGCAACCACAGTTCTGATACAGTTTTCCTTTTGTTAGCTTTACCTGCTCTAGCATTTTGTGTAAATGGAGCCATACAGTGCAAGCTCTCTGCTATCAAGTTTCTTTTTACTCATCACCGTGTATGTGAGCTTCATAAGCATTGTTGATGTGTCAGTCCTTTGTCCCTTATGATTACTGAGTGGCACTGCACTGTAGGAACATTAAAAAAAAACAGCTCCTTTACCCATTCTCCTTTTGCACATTTCGGTTGCTTGCAGCTTTTGGCAACTGTAAATACAGAAGTTATGATGATTCCTGTACAGTTGTTTTTCATAGATTAACCCCTAGGCATGAAATTTTGGGGTCAAAAGGTAGGTGCATATTTAATTCCATAAGAATTTGCCAACAATATTATTGGACCATTTTATACTTCCACCACCAATGCAGGAGAGCTTCACAAATATTTTGTTCTCAACTTAAAAAAAAATTTTAGCCATTCTAGTTGCTATACAAATGGCATTTTGTCTTGTTTCTAATTTGCTTTCCCCTGATGACTAATGACGTTGGAAGACATTTTCATGTGTTTATCAGCTATTTGTGCATCACCTTTTATTTAAAACAATTGTTTTGAACTAATGTTAGACTTACCCCAAAGTTGTAAAAATAATATTGTCCTTACCTCATACCCCAATGTGAACATCTTACATAACCATAATGTAATTATCAACCATAGGAAATTAACATCGGTAGAATGTTAAACTAGATCTTACTTGATTCAATGTATCTTAGACAAAAATTTATGTGGTTCCAAAATCATGGTATGAAAAGGCATATATTGAGTAATCTCCTACCTGTTAATCCCTCCTCTCCATTTCTGGCCTCCCCATTCTATATGCTTCAAACGTTTATTCAAATATGAATATATATTATTACTCCCCTTTTCCTAAGCAAAAACTGGCATACTGTATATACTCTGTTTCTGTTCCTAACTTTTTCTATGTAAAAGCTTTCTGGAGATTTTACATATCAGCACATAAAGCACTTTCTCATCCTGTTCACAACTGCACATTATTTCATTGTTGGGATGTGCTCTAGTTTATGTAACCAAATGTATTTTTAAAGGTTCCTCACCTTCCCATTTATTAGAGTGATCTTTTATGATGGTGGTGTCAGAATTGCATCTCGTTTAAGAATTTCCAATCAGATTGTAATCCAAGCACTTTGGGAGGCTGAGGCAGAAAAATCACTTGAGCCCAGGAGTTGCAGAGCAGCCTGAACAGCATAGTGAATCCTGGTTTCTACCAAAAAAATAATAATAATAAAATAAAAAAAGAAGGCCAAGGCGGGTGGATCATGAGGTCAGGAGATCGAGACCATCCTGGCTAACATTGTGAAACCCCGTCTCTACTAAAAAATACAAAAAAATTAGCTGGGCGTGGTGGTGAGCACCTGTAGTCCCAGCTACTCGGGAGGCTGAGGCAGGAGAATGGCGTGAACCCGGGAGGCGGAGCTTGCAGTGAGCTGAGATCGTGCCACTGCACTCCAGCCTGGGAGACAGAGAGAGACTCCGTCAAAAAAAAAAAAAAAAAAAAAAGGAAAGAAAATTAGCCTGGTGTGGTTGCATGCCTGTAGTCTCAGCTATTTGGGAGGCTGAGGCAGGAGGATTCATGGAGCCCAGGAGGCTGCAGTGAGCCATGATTATGCCATTGCACTCCAATGTAGGCAACAGAGTAAGACCCTATCTGAAAAATATTATTATTATTATAGTTTCTAGTCAGAGGACCCTAACCACATAAGTTCTGGTGTGAAGTACATGGGGTTAACCTCGTTAAGGTTTGGTTGTCACAAACTCTGAAACAGGGCCCCTCATGGCAAAAACCTCAGCTCATTCACAGCGAGCTGCTGAACTCCAGAGAACAAGGACTCCAGGGACAATGGGAGGGTGGACCTGCTGACTGCTACAGGAAGCAGAATGCCTCATGAAGACCCCAGCCCATCTGGTGGGCGTATTAATACACACTGACTCAAATATTGGAAGGTTCTAGACATAAGAGGACAGAACCTTCTACCTCCAGGAACTGTTTACTGATCTACCTGGCCTGTAAAATGGAGAAGGTCCTCTCTTTGTCACCTCCCACTTACCCTAGGCAGATCTCACAAAGTAGCTAAGACACATGCAGAGGAATGGGGTTCACAGGCTCTAGTCCAGAATCCAATCCCATAGCACCCTTGAAGATGTCCGGCATACGGTGTGTCAGGCAGTTCTTGTCATCTTCTTTCCTTCTCCAACAGGACCTACGCCAAGCTTTAGCAAGAGCTTTGGAGCTCAATTCATTTCCTGTCCTCATGCAGCATGACTTGGAGGCAATTCCTTAACCTCACTTGTTCTCTATGGTCTCGCCTTTATATCATGAAGTTCTTGTGAGCCACTTTTCCTTTTTGAAGAGCTCACAAATCATACTGTAACACATCTGTTCTAGAGTCCTTTGGTGATTAATTTTGAACTCAACAGCATAAATTTCTATAGTGATTCCCCCATTGATGAAAGGATAAAACACAGTCGTCATTGCAGAAGGGTGTATGCTATAACTCTATATTTATAAACCTCTTAAATATGTAAAATTATGTAATTTAAGAATGCACACCTATGTTATAAAAGTATAAAGACATGTATAAGAGTGCTAAACACCCATTCAGGATAGTGCTCATATCCATGGTGAAAAAGGAGAGAAATGAAATCAGGGAGGGGTATTTAGAGGGCTTCACTTAACACACACCATTAAATAAAAGAGAGAGCCTCCTCCTCCTTTGTTCTCCAGAGATAAAAATAATCAGCTACCAGCCCTGGTTTGGTCGCATGGTTCCCATGCGTGGGGTAGACTAGCTGAACCTGCCTAGCACAGAAGCCAGCGTTCACGTGATTCTAAGATGTTACAGATGGCATTTTCTGGACTAACAATGGTACCAAAAAAATCATGTCAGCAGCACAAAAGTATTTGTTAGTAAAAGTAAGCATAAGCCAAATTTTAACTTCAAATTCCATCAAGAGCTGGAGGATTGGAACTATTTTTAATTTAAGTTTGATGTCATGAGTGTAAGCATGGGAATAATATACTATTCACAAGTTGGTGGGAAATAAGACTTAAAATACACTGTTTTGTGGAGTAGTCAGGGGAGAAGTTGCATTCCTACTGTTTTTCCATTTATTTAATCATTGGAGTGTAGACTTTCTTATCCCCCACTAAGTTTTTAAGTTGAAACAAAGAAAATCATTTTTCAGTCTAGATGGATTAAACCCACATCCTGTTTTTCTCCAAATGCGCAAATGACTGGAACAATTTGATTAACACATATTTGGAGAGGTTGAAATCAAAAGTGTTTACTAAGAGAGCACTTAAAAAGCCTTCAAAGTTAAGGCTTTGTCACTCATAAAGCCTTAACTTGTGGATGTGCCATTTGTATATTGATGGAATTACTGCACATTCTCTATTGTCTTCTTTTAGCTACTTTATTCTAAAAACGCAGAGGGAAAAAAAGAAAGAAGGTAGGAAAGAAGTAAAGAAAGAAAGAGATAGAAAGAGAGAAGGAGGAAAGAATGATGGAAGGAAGGAAAAAAGGATGGAAGGAAGAGAAGAAGGAAGGAAGGGAGGAAAGGAGAGAGGGAGGGAGAATAAAAATTAATTTATCTACTATTTAATCTACCCTTATCAAATATAATATGGTGGTTGAGTGGCTGGGCGTTGTTTGCTGTTTCTGAACCACTGTTATTTTATTTATTTATCTGAGATATAGATCAACACTAAGACAATCAGTTCCTTATTTAAGCTGTCATGTCAAATGCCCTAACAGTATGCACGGATTTACTCTATGAACATTTATTGGGCATCCCGTATCTGGCTGGCTGTTTAAAGCCATCAAGAATCCAAGGTAGAATGATACATGGAACAAGTACTAAAGAGTTACAACAGTTACATCTCATTTTTAAAACTATGCATGGATAATTTTTTTCTTGATTCTTTCTAGAAAACTTATATTTCAAAAAAAAACACACCAAATTCCTTTGCTCTGGGCTAGTTTGGGATTTCTTTCAAGGAAGAGCAGGGAGGGGAGCAGATCACAGAGTCAGCAGTTGATGTCTTGTTAGGATTTTCTATTTTGTGCAGGGTATTTGAGGAGTAAAAGGCGGCATACTAAGATGGAATAAGTAATTGAGATTTAGTGAAGAACTACTTACAGATGTGCAGGAAGTTGGCTTGTGAGGGTAAGAAAATACATGGGGAATATGGAGCACCCTGAGTTTAGGGACTAGGGAGCCATTCTTATCCTGAGTCTGAAGGATCAGGAGGAGAGAGCAGGTACCAGAATTAGAAACAGCCTCCTTCAGCTCAGGAATGCAGCCAGCAGCGGGGTGTGGTCTCCTAGGCAGAGAGCACAGAGGATGCAGACCATGGCTTCACTCCCAGCTCACCTTTGGATACATTACTAGCTCACCCGGAGAGTTCAGCTGACAGAAAGCAAAGGGCAAAGGGACCTGTTAATGATGTCCACTGTAGGTCAGCTGAGAGCAGGCTGGAGAAGGGTTCAGAAGAGATACGAGGTGGAGAATGTCCAGGAAAATATTCAGGCATCGAGGGAGATTGCCAAGACTTCATTTTTCCTACTACACACCATGAAGATCCATCAGCAATTTTAACTGAGATGTCCCTAAGGAGACCAAATCTTGAGAAGCAGAGATTCCACTAAGAAGAGTTTGACCTATTGGCTCACTTGTTATTTTTCTTCCATATTAGACTCGAAGCAAGATGTTCATTTTCTTTCATATATCCCCAGCACTTATTAGGACAGTGACTGCACATCACGGGTGTTCAAAAAATAGCTACTAAGTCATCTGGCATAAATTCAGAAATATCCATGTGAGACAATTAGACACAAGGGCAGACACTGTTTAACAGTGAGTATTTTGTTCTAATTGCATCTCCATGGTGCTGAGACTTGCTCTCACAGAACCTAGCTCTGTAAACTAGAGTTAAATAATGTGCAGTTGCAATGGAATCACAGCAGCCTGCCCTGGTTCGCAGGAGGATGGAAGCATAAGTCAATGGTTAAAACTTGTCAGTTCTAAGTTTTTCCAAAAGCTTTTCTCAAGTCACAGGAATTTGCTACTGCCTGTCTACTTGTAAAAGACAAACCACTCTCAAAGAAGCAAATAAATAGCCTGAGGAAAAATTCAGAACTGGCCTGTTATAGAGAAGCACAGCTGTGGCTGAGCTTTGGGACTGCACATAGAACATGGTCATATTTTATTATAGAATTTCTCTTCAATAATTTCATGGAATTAAAATATCAACATCCCACCATGCCCTACAAAGAACGTTATGAATTTCAGTCTCTCTGTCAGCTGAAAACAGGACCCATGTCAGGGTGTCCGAATGTTCTTTTTTCATGTCCCTTTCATCCTGATAGACAGATCTTAGGTGGGATATAAATCAAGAATGTGACACCCATAGACCCTTGAGGAAACGTGCTGCATCTTCCCCGAATTTCTCCCAGGCAAGATTTTGGTTGGGATTACAGGTATGAGTGACTGTGCCCAGCCCCTAGTTGTTGGCAAAGATGGGAAGGTGGATAATGAGCTCCACTCTCAAAAATGAGATAAACAGAGTGATGACGCTTAGGGAATAGCTGCCAAGCCCATCAGAATGGGTAAGTCAAAATAGTGACAAGGAAAATTCAGCGGGGTTCTTTTCATTCATTCATTCATTCATTCATTCAACAAATGAGTAGATTATATGACTATATTAGAAGGTCATAAACATTACAGGGGAAAATAACGCAGGGTGAAGAGCCAAGATTTATTTTTAAGACTTTCTACTGGCTAGCCATATGCAGAAAACTGAAACTGGACCTCCTCCTTACACCTTATACAAAAATTAACTCAAGATGGATTAAAGACTTAAATGTAAAACCGAAAACCATAAAAACCCTAGTAGATAACCTAGGCAATACCAATCAGGACATAGGCATGGGCAAAGACTTCATGACAAAAATGCAAAAAGCAATTGCAACAGAAGCCAAAATGGGATCTAATTAAACTAAAGAGCTTCTGCACAGCAAAAGAAACTAGCATCAGAGTGAACAGGCAACCTACAGAATGGGAGAAATTTTTTACAATCTACTCATCTGACAAAGGTCTAATATCCAGAATCTACAATGAACTTAAACAAATCTACAAGAAAAAAACAAACAACCCCATCAAAAAGCGGGCAAAGGATATGAAAAGACACTTCTCAAAAGAAGACATTTATGTGGTCAACAAACATGAAAAAAAGCTCAGCATCACTGATCATTAGAGAAATGCAAATCAAAACAACAATAAGATACCATCTCACACCAGTTAGAATGGCGATCATTAAAAAGTCAGGAAACAACAGGTGCTGGAGAGGATGTGGAGAAATAGGAACACTTTTCCACTGTTGGTGGGAATGTAAACTAGTTCAACCATTGTGGAAGTCGGTGTGGCGATTCCTCAGGGATGTAGAACTAGAAATACTATTTGACCCAGCCATCCCATTACTGGGTATATACCCAAAGGATTATAAATCATGCTGCTATAAAGACACATGCACACGTATGTTTATTGCGGCACTATTCACAATAGCAAAGACTTGGAACCAACCCAAATGTCCAACAATGATAGACTGGATTAAGAAAATGTGGCACATATACACCATGGAATACTATGCAGCCATAAAAAATGATGAGTTCATGTCCTTTGTAGGGACATGGATGAAGCTGTAAACTATCATTCTCAGCAAACTATCGCAAGGACAAAAAACCAAACACCGCATGTTCTCACTCATAGGTGGGAATTGAACAATGAGAACACATGGACACAGGAAGGGGAGCATCACACATCAGGGACTGTTGTGGGGTGGGGGGAGGGGGGAGGGATAGCATTAGGAAATATACCTAATGCTAAATGACGAGTTAATGGGTGCAGCACACCAACATGGCACATGTATACATATGTAACAAACCTGCACGTTGTGCACATGTACCCTAAAACTTAAAGTATAATAAAAATAAAAATAAAAATAAAAAATAAAAGGAAGAATTGTATTTTATCCTCTCAAGGATCCCTCAAGAGGAGATGGCCAAGGCATCGATTTAAAGGAGTGCTTGATTTGGGAACGTCACAGTTATGAAGGGTAAAGTTCAGGACTTGGGGTTGTGTGGTGCCCAAGCATGGAGGCTCTCACAGACAATGGAGACTGCAGGGCTACCCTGGCAAGCTCATTCTCCCGCCATCCTCCCTCCTTCCCTCCTTCCCTTATTTTCTTCCTCCCTCTCATCCCCTTCTTTCTCTTCTTCCTCCCTTCCTCCTTCTCTTCCTCCCTCCCTTTTTCCCTCCCTTCTTCCTCTCTTCCTTCCTCCCTCCTTCCTTTCCTTCCTTCCCTCCTCTCTTCTCCCTTCCTCCCTTACTTCCTCTCTCCTGTCTCCCTTACTCTTTCCCTTCCTCCTCCTTCCTCCCTTCCTTCTTTCTTTCCTCTCTTCTCCCTTACTTCCTCCCTCTCTCCCTCCCTTCTTCTCTCCCTCCTGTTTTCCTTTTTCCTTCCCTTCCTCCCTCGCTTCCTCCTTCCCTTCCTTCCTCCCATCCTTTCTCCCTTTCTCCCTTCTTTCTTCCCTCCTTCCATTCCCTCCCTTCCCTCTCCCTTTCCTTTTTCCTTTCTTTCCCCTTTCTTTTCCTTCCTTTCCTCACTTCCTCCATCCTCTCTTCATTTCCTCCTTCTTTCCTTCCTTTCTTCTTTCCATCATCCCTCCTTCCAACCTCTCTTTCTCTTCTCATTCTAAAATCATTTCACTTACAGGATTTCTAAAACGTAATATGCATTACAAAATCTATGAAAATATATTTATGACAACAACATCAAAAAAACCTACCCACAAACTGAAACTATTATGAGAGGAGTTAGAATAGAGGCTGCAACCTGGGGATCTGGGTAGAAAAGAACATGAACAAGCTTCCCAGGGTGTCAGAAATCGCCCATGTCTACATTTGGGTGAATGTTACACAGGATTCTCATAGGTAAAAACTCATCCAACTGATCAACAAAACTGTTTGCACTTTTAGGCATTTGATACCTCAAATAGGGACAGAAATTTTAAAAATAAAAATATAGACCAGGCGTGGTGGCTCATGCCTGTAATCTCTACACTTTGGGAGGCTGAGTTGGGAGCATTGCTTGAGGCCAGGAGTTTGAGACTAGCCCAGGCAACATAGTGAGAAATCCTGTATCTACAAAAAATAAAAAATTGAAAACATTAGCCAGGTGCGGTGGTGTGCACCTGTAGTCCCAACTACTTGGGAAGCGGAGGTGGGAGGATCACTTGTGCCCAGGAGTTCAAGGTTGCAGTGAGCCACGATCAAGTCACTCTAGCCTGGGCAACAGAGCAAGAGCAAGCCCCTGTCTCAGAAAATAATATGTGTATATATTCATATAAATGCCTTACTCTTACCACCAAGAGGAAACTGATGTGTAGCTGTTTCTGACCATGTGTTGCATGAGTGCGTGAGTCCATTTGTGTGTGTGCACATGTATGTATGTGTGGAATTGCATGCACATAAGGTTTTCAACCCCTTTTTCCTCCCCTTAATAAATGAGAACATTTAGTCACATCCCTCCTTCCTCCTCCTCTTCCTCCTCCTCCTCTTCCTCTTCTTCTTCCTCTTCCTCTTCTTCTTCCTCTTCCTCTTCTTCTTCCTCTTCTTCTTCTTGTTCTTCTCCTCCTCCTCCTTCTTCTTCTTCTTCCTCGAGATGGGGTCTCCTTCTGTCACCCAGGCTGGAGTGCGGTGGTGCAATCTAGGCTCACTGAAACCTCTGCACCCCAGGTTCAAGCGATTCTCCTGCCTCAGCCTCTGAAATAGCTGGGAATACAGGCACCTGCCACCACACCCCAACTAATTTTTGTATTTTTAATAGAGACAGCTTTTCACCATGATGGCCAGGCTGGTCTCGAACTCCTGACCTCAAATGATCCACCTGCCTCTGTCTCCCAAAGTGCTGGGATTATAGGCGTGAGCTACCACACCCGGCCCCCTTAGTATTCTTCCTAATTATACCTTTTAAAGATGATAATATTCCATTGTGTGGAGTGCTCTCTATAGTAGGACCCTTAAGTAATCTTCTGTTTTCAACCATTAAAAATAATACTCTAAGAAGCATACTTGCAGCACGTTATGTGTTCAGTATGCTGCTATTTTGTTGTATAGTTAAAATATTTTTTTTTCTAAATTAGTCCTTTGAAATTGCCGCCCTTAATTAATCTTCTGATGTCCCTACAGAATTAAGGGACCGTAAGTTTAATGTTGGGCATCAGTATTTTGTATTTGAATGTTGAAAAGAAAATCATATTTTATTTTATAGTAAAGAGAAAAGTTATTTTGAAGAAGTAGCTGAAGAAAATAAAGAAGCCCTTTCCCCTTCCTTTTTGCTCTTATATATACCAATACATCTTTTAAATGGAGTTTCCATTTTTAAAACCCATTTAACCATCTGGGAGTTTTTAAAATTATTTGAGAAGTTGGACTGGGAAGGAGATTTTTCTCATAAAAAAAACCAAAGCCTATTCCACACGAATAAAGAGCCTCTCTTATTTTTTAAAAAATAAGAAACATATTATTAAACCGACTATTCCCTAATGTAAACAGAATTAGGTTAATTTTTAAATTATTAATGGATGAGTAAGGGCTCAATACGATTCCAAGGAAACCAAGGGGTATTTGGAAAGGAATGAAAGACTGAAACTGAATTTGAACACTGGCAAAGGAAATAACAAAACAAAATATACAAGGCATGTAATGCCACAGTCACACAGCAGAGAGCAGGAGGTTCATTCTTTCCTGGCCTACCATGGTGGACCCTAGGGCATATCTGAAGTTGCAGAAAAAGAGTGGGTTCTGGGATTTACTGGAGCAAAGTTGAATCTGATTCTTGAAAATGAGGGAGAACAGATTTCACAGGGAAATGGCAGAACACACAGAGACATTGTTTTTGTAAATGGTGTGATCTGCAAGAAATGGCAATAATACTGGTTACGACCCCATCATCCATGTAGAATGCCATGCTACATAAGGGTAAACCTGGTAGCAGGAAAGAAGTGACAGGGAGTGAATTTTTTTGTGGATAACGTGGTTTAAGCAAGAAAAGAAATTTAGGAAATAACCACATAATGTTAATTTCATTCTACATGTCTTAAGGATCTGTTGGTGTCAGGCTCTTTGATGGGAGGAGGGGAGGGGAGAAGGAAGACTCCAAGAATGAATAAGATATGGCTCATGTTCTAAGGCAGGATTCCTCAATCCCAGTTATTATTGACATTTTTTGCGTGGTGGGTCTTTGTCATGGGGGCTGTCCTGGGCATTGTAGGATGTTTAGGAGCATTCTTGGCTTATACACACTAGACACCAGCTCTTCCTAATAGTGACAACCAAGAATGTCTCCAGATATGGCCAAATGTTTCCTGGAGAACACACTTATTTTCAGTTCAGAATTACCGTGCTACATAAGACATGTCAATGTAATGTGTTAGGTGCTGTAGGGAGGATATTGCAAAGTGTCTGAGGAGAATAGAAGATAACTCTGCTAAAGTTAGAAGGAAAATAGATCAGCAAGTGTGATATTTGACCTGGATTATAAAATAGGATTTCCCCAGGTGAACTAGAAGGAAAAAGCTAATCTAGGTAGAAGGAAAATGGCAGGCTTAAAAGGGTCTTTTGAAGGGGTAGGTGCAGACCACTGGGGACAGGGCTTTTAATTGGTGAGGATTTCCAGGCTAATAGTGAAGGCTCTTGTACACACCATGGGAAATTTGAGCGTTATCCTCTAGAAAATGGAAAATACTGAGGGTTCTTAAACAGAGGAGTGATAATCAGAGGTCAAATAGATGACTTTTAGAAAGTCATTTTGGCTGCTAACTGCTTATTTGAAATTAGGACAGATGACGGGGGAAAAAAGGCCTTTGTAAGTTTCCAGAAAAGCAGTCAGTCAGTCTCATGTAACCAAATTGAAAACATGGTAACATACAGACTCCAAACAAAAAGTGATTGTTCCACTTACTGGATTAGAGGAAACATGTAGAAGAAAAAAAATCTTGTAAGTGAAAAACTTTAAGAAATTATTCCTTTTCTTTCTCTACCATACTAATTTTCAGTATTTATATTTATATCCCAGCTGTTAATTAGGAAATCTAAGAAAACACTTTTACAACCTGAATTATGTCTGTGTAAGATTTTTGGGCAGAGGTTTTATCATGAATGTATCTGAAGGGAGAGAAAAAAGCAATATGAAGGCCCACGTTCATGGAGCAAAGCTATTTAAAAACACACTGGGCCGGGCGTGGTAGCTCACACCTGTAATCCCAGAACTTTGGGAGGCCAAGGTGGGTGGATCACTTGAGGTCAGGAGTTTGAGACCAGCCTGGCCAACATGGTGAAACCCCATCTCTACTAAAAATACAAAAATTAGCCGGGTGTGGTGGTGTGTGCCTGTAATCCCAGCTACTCGGGAGGCTGAGGCAGGAGAATGGCTTGAACCCGGGAGGCAGAGCTTGCAGTGAGCCAAGATTGTGCCACTGCACTCCAGCCTGGGTGACAGAGCGAGACTCCGTCTCAAAAAAACAAAAACAAAAACAAAAACAAACAAAAAACAAACAAATAAAAATACATTGGATCCGACCTAGCATCCCATTCAACCTAAAACACAACTAGTAAATTCACTCTCATCTGTATACTTCTGTAACATTTTGCTGGCTTTAAAATGTCTGCAATATACCTAATGTAAATGACGAGTTAATGGGTGCAGCACACCAACATGGTACATGTATACATATGTAACAAACTTGCACGTTGTGCACATGTACCCTAGAACTTAAAGTATAATAAAAAAAAAAGTCTGAAATAAATGATTCCTCTTTGTCATTCATGAATCCAATACGTCAGAATGATATCAGCTTCCACCTCTGTATTCAACAAGAAGTTTTAATATTTTATAAAGCAGAGGCTGAGGTGGGATGTTAAGCCAGGAGCTAGAAACTAGCCTGGGCAAAATAGTGAGGCCCTATCTCCACAAAAATAAAAAAGTAAAATTAGCTGGGCATGGTGGCACTCACCTGTACTCCCAGCTAGTTACTGGGGAGGCTAAGGCAGGAGGATTACCTGAGCCCAGGAGTTCGAGGCTGTACTAAGCTATGATTGTGCCACTTTACTCCAGCCTGGGCAACACAGCAATACTCTGTCTCCAAAAAAAAAAAAATGTTAATGCATTCTTTTGCATGGGCCATTCCATTTTTTTCTCCACTGGGGATAGGGAAACCTTAGTGAAAGATATATGAAATCTGACATTAGATTCCAAAAACCCAACCCAATTGTCTATTACAAAAGTGTTAATGAGGAAAGCTAACAGAGAAGAAATAAGAGCTACTGTCAATAGTAATCACTCAGTAATCAGCTACTTAAGTTTGATAGCCTCTTTCCCACTATTATATTGTTAATTAGCTTAAGTACTATTGAATACCGTACTACTAAAACGTCCATGTAGAAGTATAAAAAGATCCTAGGGGAAAAAAAGTGAATCGCACTGACAAAATCAGCACCAATCTATAATAACTTAAACAGATATTCTATTTTAGCCGAAGAGTTAATTTCTAACTTGCAAATCATTTTTTAATTTTAATGGTATCATTCACAGTGGATTCCTGGGCAAATGACTTTGTTGTAACTGACTTGAATTCATGTTCTCTTTGAATTCCACAAACAGGATGTGACTTACTACAAAGCAGCCTTAATTTAGATATTACCAAGAACATATTGAATCTATCTTTCAAGAGAATGATTTTCAAACTATGCTTCAAGGATGGGCAGAAGACAGAGAATATGGAAGAATGAATAAGGGAAAGGGGGAGATGAGTGGGTGGGCTTAGAGTCCCCCATCTCCTCAACTTCCAGAGAAGGGTGGTTTAATTTTTTTTTAACATATTAGCCATATTCTAAAGAGATTTCAGTACAGACTAAATATTGGAAGAAGGTTTAGAAGAACAGTTTGTCTTCGTAATCATCCCCTGAGCATTATGGGATTCTAAAATAGACAAGGAAATTGAATTTGCTTTCTACTTTTACTTTCCTCTCACGTTTTCACTCAATAACACAGGAAAATCTTATGTGTGTAGCAATGTGGAGTTGCTGGATTAAGAAAAGAAGAGCTCATTTTCAAGTGTCTGTTTGCTTACTTCTAATACAGGGATTGCAATATCCACCCCCAATTTCCTTTACAAAAGGTACTAAAGTCCAAATGAAACACTAATTTTAAGAATGCCTTATGAACTATAAAGTGTTGTGCAAAGGATGGTATATTTACATAAAATCCCAAAGAGTAGGTGGTAAATGATTCTTCTCTCCGGAAGGTAAGGATATTGTGTCTCTGATATCTTCTATATTTTCTGATTTTTGTATAAGGCATAAGAATATTTATTTGATATATTCAGTGTTGGAGTACAGTAATTTTCTCAGAATCACTAATAACATGAGTTGGCAAAATTCTTAAAAGGGCCTTGTGTGTATTTCTGTGAAGTTGACATTGGTGGTGCTTTGAAACTGCAACCTCTTGCCTTAGACTGCATTTCCATAGACTCCGATTCCACGTTAAAGGTGAACCCCTAAGGTTTTCGTAATAAAATCTAGATTTTTCCTAAGAAATTCTACATTTTCCTAGAAAGAAGATCTGTGCAAATCTGGATGGGAAAGAATTTTCCAGTTACTAGTTTTTCTTTCTCCAGTAATGCTTTCACATTTCCAGCGGTCAGATGTACTGATAACCTCAGTCAGACATACAGTAGCTTCAGACTGTGAAACAATTGCAAGAAAAAAAAGGGGGGAGGAAACATCAGTGTTGGCGAACTTTGCTGCAAAGGGAGGCATGATGCTGGCCCAACCACAACCTACCAAATGGACAAGGTATATAATCACTATTTTAATGATGTCAATGATGTCATTTCTACTGCAGTGCTTTTCTAGGCTATATGTGTTAGGCTGAGTGTCAAGGAAGACAGAAAACAAAATCATTTAAATTTAAAACTGATAAACTAACAAATAATAAACTGAGAGCACCCTGGAATCCTAATGGCCCTTTGAAGACATCTAGTTGAGTAGTCAAAAGCTTTATAGATCTCTCTTTCTCTCTATATATACTGTATATAGTTATATATATAGTAGTGTGTATATATATACATGTATATATATATACTGTAATTTTTGAAGGAGCTTCCTGGAATAGTGTACTTTAAAAAATCAATATGCAATATCTAGAAAATTCACTTTTAATGAGTGCCCTCCCTCTTCAGTGATGATGGGGGAAATAATCTTGTGTTCATTCATTTATTCAATAAGTATGTTTAAATATTTACTACATGAATGGCAATAACCAATGAGTTAGAAATGTAACAGCCTCCAAAGGAGCCAAAAAACTCCACCTGCATGCTGATGTCAGCTTGTGGGTAATGTCACATTACTCTACCAGAAGAAATTTATATTAAAAGACAGAAACTAACTGTTACTGGTGGCATTGTCATATAGACTACCATCTATAAAAAGTATGCTTTCTGTTATCAATCCTTTCCTCCTACTATACTGGAGACACTGCTATCTTCAGATGGCATATGTAGTGTGTATATATATATATATATATATATATATATATATATATATATATATATTAGGATATACAATTATCTTCCAATCACATCTTCACCTTTCAGGGTTAGAATGACCATGATCATCCTATAACATCTAAATCTTCCTTCTAATTCCTAGCATCTTCTTCACTATACCCATAGGAATCTAAAGTTCACTTTGTCCAACACAAAACTAATTTTCTTCTTTCCCCCAGTCCAGACCCAGTTATTAGATCTCTTTTCCCACTCAACAATGGCACCATCCACACTTGCTGGAAACATCCACTCTCATATGTGCCTTTCCTTATGGTGATGATTTGTTACCAAGACAGCAGGGGTTTGGTCTAGGTCCTGCTTCTTACCACATGGAAAGCCAATCACTGAGACAAGTATTGCCAAAGAAGAAGGCTTTAATCAGGTGCTGTAGCCAAGGAGATGGGATATCAGTCTTGAATCTATCTCCCTGACCAACTAGAATCAGAAGTTTATATAGCAGGGAAGAAAGGTTAACTATGCCTGAGAAAACAGGAACTTGGGAGGGGTAAGAAAGCAATCATGAGGAATGAAGGGCCTGGACCCTCATTGTCTACATGCAGTGATCTGGTGAGTTTCAGCCCTTCGATACTTTTTTTTTTTTTTTTTGAGATGGAGTCTCCCTTTTTTGTTGCCAGGCTGGAGTGCAGTGGTGCGATCTCGGCTCACTGCAACTTCCGCCTCCCAGGTTCAAGCGATTCTCCTGCCTCAGCCTCCCAAGTAGCTGGGACTACAGGCACACACTATGACGCCCAGCTAATTTTTGTATTTTTAATAGAGACGGGGTTTCACCATGTTGGCCAGGATGGTCTTGATCTCTTGACCTCGTGATCCACCCGCCTCGGCCTCCCAAAGTGCTAGGATTACAGGCATGAGCCACCGTGCCCAGCGCCCTTTGATGCTTTTTGAGAGGCTTGGGGGGTCCTTTCCTGAGGATGGAACTCAGATAAAACAAATGTAAGTTTCAAGCTTTAATACCAGAAGGGCCCATTTTTATGTTTATCAAAAAACTCTGTGCAACTACTGAGTAGGTTTCAGATTCATGTAGTCTCCAATCTATCAGGTATAAGTTCTTCTGTGACCTTGTTATGTTTTTAAAACACAAACATCATCGATGCAGGATATTTTCTTGACCCCTTGGCGGGACTCTTGACAGGGGTGCCCCTGCCGTGCGGCGGGGAGCGTGCAAGCGAACAAGTGCAGGAACCAGATCAAGCGAGTGCAGGAACCTGCCGGAAGCCTGGCAGGAGCAAATTCCATTCACTAGGGTCCCCCGGGCTCCAACCCTTGTGGGAGGGAGCGTGTGAGTGAACGAATGCAGGAACTGGTCGGCCACTTCAGCGCCGGCAGGAGCAAACTCTGTGCAGGCCTTGTGGCAGCATCCAGGTTAGGGTGTGTTATCAGCTCAGTGGGCCCTTTGCCTCATCACATGGGACGGCTGCCCTCTGGCAGCGAGGGCAAAGGGCCAGTGTGACTGCCTTTTGGGGTACCCCACTTGGTGCATCCCAAATTCTTGTCTGGTTCCCTAGAAGAATGAGGTCATGCAGACAAATTGAAGGATGATGAATGTGGAGAATTTTATTGAGTAATGAAAGCAGCTCTCAGCAGAGAGGGAAGCTGGAAAGGGGACAAGAAGGGTAGTTTGCTCTCCCTTAAAGTCAAGCCACCTTTCAGTCTTTCTCTTCCAAAGTCAAGTTGCCTCAACCAGCCGCCATCTCTGAAGTTAAGTCTCCTCTCCCCGACGTCCAGCTGCTTCTCTCCTTTGCTGACTGAGTCTGTGCTCTTTATAGGCACAGGATGGGGGCAGGGCGGGCCATAGGTAGTTTTGGAAAAGTCAACATTCAATTGGTAAAAAGACATTATTCAGAAACAACCAACTGGGAGACAGAAGGCACACAGGGATGGAAGTTCTCCCTTTGGGCCTCAGGTTTCAGGCTTTCTGGCTCAATGGTGAGGTTTTGCCAGGGACCCACCCCTGTCTACTAAAATTTCTCTGCCTCCTGTAGCTATCATCATCATGTATTGCTCTGCTTAAAACCCTTCAAGGACCCTATATTTTTTTACCTAATAAAAGTCAAGCTCCTTAACATGGCACACAAGTTCCTCTCATCCTTTCCCTAGTCTCTCTACTCTCCTGCTCTTCAGTTCTCATCTCCTTTGTCTAATAATTCAGCAGCCACTCTCTTCTAGCTGTTATCTATCTAAAAAGAGCATTTGCTTCTGCCTCTGAGCCTGTGCCTAGGCATCCCCTGTTTCTGGAATGTCTTTCTCCTTCTTTGTTCAATGGAGATCCCTCCTCAGTCTTTAAGACCTGGCATTGTTGTCAGCCTCTGAGTCACTTGCTGACCTTTCAATTGGTGTCCTTGTTAAAATCACCCTCCCCTCTGCACTGGGTGCACACTTTGATTTGCGCCTGTGACCAGGCAGTATTACAAACCTCTTTTACTTCCTTTTACTCCTACTTTAGAGAGTTATTTTTATGCATAAAAGGCACTCAACTCATCTTGGCTTCTGCTGTATGTGGTCCAGCCCTTAAAATGAGTAGATGCCCTATTCAGAAAAGGTTGGTAGAAGTAAAGAGTTGAATACAAATCACATTTTAAAAATTATATCATGGCGTATATCTAAAAAGAGACTTTACTGTTCAAAGTACTATGCCAGCCTCAACTAATCTTGATGGAGATTCCTTGTGAATTGTGAATCTCTTCCTCAATTAATTATTCTGAAATGTTTAATGTTTCCAAAAATAGGCTAGCATCTGCATTTGCAGAAATATTGGCAATAAAAGTGCTTTACTTTGGAGGTTTGCTCCACTAGAGCTTGTAGTAAACTACATTGCAATACCTGCTAGCAAAAAGAAACCTCATGGAAGGTCATGAAGAGAACATCTGGGCTTGTCCTCAAGCACAGAATTAAAAAGCTCTAAGGATTTTATCTAGTAGGAACACTGCTTATCAAAGCCCTATTCACATTCTAGTTAATAACAAAAAACAATTTTGAAAAATCTTTCCAAATTGAGAGTTTGTGGGAAGCAGCACAAAACCAGATAGGTCCACATGTTCCTGATGCAAATCTGCCTTGTACATCCTTGGAAGCTTATTCATTACTGGCCTCTTGGCTTTTATTTTGTGCAACTCCCATTTCTTTTGCTTCAAAACAAAGAAAATATTCCACTGTGCATCTTAGGAAAGCAGAGGTGAGGAGCTCAGTGATTCCATAAAAGATCGACTGACAAGTGGGATGTAGACCAGTAAAGGATGTATTATATAAATTCTTATTTTGTTGGTGACAGAGAGAAATCATGGAAGTAGGAAATAACACGCAGACAATCAAAGATAAATTTTCCTTCAAATGTGCAGGTTTTAGAAAATATCTTCTTAGAAATCTGGATATTAATTGGTCAATGCTTAAAAAATAAAACACCTATCTGCTATAGTGAGCTGTTCATTATGAATACCTCTGGGCTAAAGAAAAATCACACACACACACACACACACACACACACACACACACATGCACACACAAACCTATGTTCACACTATGCATTCTGCATGTAGATAACAAAGAAACAGATAGTGTGGAGACAGAAGGAATGGAAAGTGTATTAGTCTGTGTTACCAGCATACTGAGAACTTAAGCAACATGCGTGCCCTCTCTGGGCTTCTGTTCCTCATCTGAAAAAGCAAATGAACAAAAAAAGTCTTGCACCAGAATATCTAAGGGTCCCAAACTCAAGTGCCTACAGCATTGAGCAAGGTGATGGAAATGAATCCTCAAAGCACTTGATTTAAGGCAATAGGAATAGGAATGCTACACTTCTTTCTTGTTCAGATGAGACTATCTTTGGGCTGGATAATTACTCACTGTAGTCAGGAAGGGAGGGAATGTCCTGTGCGTTATAGGGTATTGAGAAGCATCCCTGGCCTCTCCCCACCAAATGCTAGTAACCTCACATTCCTCCCCAAGTTGTGACAACCAAAAGTGTCTTCAAGCATAACCAAATGTCCCCTGGGGGATAAAATTGTCCTCCTTCATTTAAGAATTTGTTTTCTAGATATAAAGTCAAAGGGAAATGATTTTCTTTTAGTATCAATTGACTACATCTGAAAATAGAGAAGAATAGATTTTTTTTTTTTACTTTCTTGTTTCAAAATCATTACAAAAAAATCATATTTATTCCTCTGGCCCTTTCCTTTAAACTGATGAAGACAGAGTCGGATTAATCCGTTGGCTTCTCAAGCCCTGGTAGAAGGACGGTGAGGACATTCATATTTTCGCTGCCCTCTTAACCTTGCCACGACTCCTTTCCCATTGACAGAGCAGGCAGGCAGGCAGCCACATAATCTTACCATCTGTTTGCATCTAATTCACACAATTTCCTTCTGTGAAATTTTTTTCTCACATTCAACAAATGTCTAATTTCATTTTTATGATAGTTTTTTTTTTTTCAGAAAGATTGGACCCACTAAAAAGTCAAAAGACACATTCACGGTAGAAGACTAGATAATATTTTTTTCCCATGACAGTGCCAGATTTCTCATTAGAGAATCAAATTACATACATCTTTAATGCTCATACAGCCGTTTGTGAGAACATCATGCTGTATTATTCATTATGACACATAAATCACTAATACATTTAAATTTTAAATAAAAATTCGTGCCAACACTAGATGCCTTTGATCTTCTATGGGTAAGTTTTCCTCCTAGGTCCTGGCTAGAAACAAAGCTCTTATGAAGGAAACGCATCCAGTTGGGCATAAGCACAACAACTGTGGAAAAGAACACATTGTTTTGTGTTTGTGTGGCATGTGGAGGGCAAAAGGGCCTGAGCAGAATTGACCAGCAAAGCTTTTGTTCCTTTTTGAAGGTTTCACTCACAGCTGTGCGAGAAGAATTATTCCACACAATATATGACACCCTGGGGAGTCCATTGGCATGTAATTAATTTTCTTGCCTGTATTATGAGACCATTTGCAAGCTGTTTAGAAGCCAAGTGTCTGTCTTTTGAAATCACTTTTTAAAGACCAGCTTCCAGTTGTCCCTCACCATGCTGAGATACCGATTTTATCTGAAGTATTGGCAATGCGCTGCAGGCAGGATCAATATCATGCATTGCTAATAAGAAACAAACAAGCCATATTTGCAAGGAAGCAATGCTTTTCTTGATTCTTTCTGTCATGCTTCGGTATGTTGAGCCAGCACTCCCAGGGCCCCTGGCGATTGTTGACTCTGAGCTTCATAATGTGTCTGGCTTAGCCATGACATGAACACATGGACAGTGTGCTCATTCCTACTGAGAACAGCTCAGTGTAGTTTTGCCTTATCCACCAGTTTGTCTTTTCCTAAGGAATGTGCCATGATGCCAGTAGAGAAGGATGTGATGAGTAGAGCCAGCTGCAGCCCCAGTTTCAGAATTCTTGTGCAGTTCCAGAGGTTTCATACTTTGAAGGATTTCCTTCTGTTTTTCTTCTTTAAATAGTTTACCAGCTACCAAGATAATAAATGTGATGGGGAAAGATAAGAAGATCTCTTGATTATAAGCTATTTATGGTTTTTTATGGTAGGGATTTATGGATTGCATACTAAATCAAATATGACATGTGTCAACCTACAGTTTCTTAGGTTTGGACTGGAAGTCCTTGCAGATTTTTCTCATCCACACTTGAAATAGTCTAGCCAAAGCAAGACTAAACAAAAAGAACAAATCTGGAGGCAGTGCACTATCCGATTTCAAACTATACTATAAGGTCATAGTCACCAAAATGGCGTGGTACTGGTATAAAAATAGACACATAGATCAATGGAACAGAATAAAGAACCCAGAAATAAACCCAAATACTTACAGTCAACTGATCTTTGACAAAGCAAACAAAAACATAAAGTGGGGGAAAGACATCCTTTTCAACAAATGGTACTCAGATAATTGGCTAGCCACATGTAGGAGAATGAAACTGGATCCTCATCTCTCACCTTATACAAAACTCAACTCAAGATGGATTAAGGGCTTAAACCTAAGACCTGAAGCTATAAAAATTATAGAAGATAACATTGGAAAAACCCTTCGAGACATTGGCTTAGGCAAGAATTTCATGACCAAGAACCCAAAAGCAAATGCAATAAAAACAAAGATAAATAGCTGGGACCTAATTAAACTAAAGAGCTTTTGCACGGCAAAAGGAACAGTCAGCAGAGTAAACAGACAACCCACGGAGTGGGAGAAAATCTTCACAATCTATACATCTGACAAAGGACTAATATCCAGAATCTACAACAAACTCAAACAAATCAGTAAGAACAAAACAAACAATCCCATCAAAAAGTGGGCTAAGGACATGAATAGATAATTCCAAAAGAAGATATACAAGTGGCCAACAAACATACGAAAAAATGCTCAACATCACCAATGATCATGGAAATGCAAATCAAAACCACAATGCAATACCACCTTACTCCCGCAAGAATGGCCATAATCAAAGAAATCAAAAAACAGTAGATGTTGGCATAGATGCGGTGAACAGGGAACACTTCTACACTGCTGGTAGGAATGCAAACTAGTACAGCTAGTATGGAAAACAGTGTGGAGAGTCCTTAAAGAACTAAAAGTAGAACTATCATTTGATCCAGCAATCCCACTCCTGGGTATCTACCCAAAGAAAAGAAGTCATTATACGAAAAAGATACTTGCACACACAACCCAAATGCCCATCAATCAATGAGAGGATAAACTGTGAGATACATATATGTATCTCACACACACACACAATGGAATACTATGCAGCTATAAAAAGGAATGAATTAACAGCATTGGCAGTGACCTGGATGAGATTGGAGACTATTATTCTAAGTGAAGTAACTCAGGAATGGAAAACCAAACATCAGATGTTCTCACTCATATGTGGGATCTAAGCTATGAGAACGCATAGGCATAAGAATGATACAATGGACTTTGGGGACTTGGGGGAAAGAGTAGGAGGGGGGCAAGGGATAAAAGACTGCAAATATGGTGCAGTGTATACTGCTCGGGTGATGGGTGCACCAAAATCTCCGAAATTACCACTGAAGAACTTACTAATGTAACCAAATACCACCTGGACCCCAATAACTTATGGGAAAAAAAAAGAAATACTTTTTTCCCTATCACATGGGAAAGTTGCTATTCACATGCAAACCTAAGACTTCAACAGAATATTGAAAAACTATTGTTTCCAAAATTCCATCATCCCTTCATCCTGTTCCAAATTATTTTAATAGGACTCGTGGTATATTTGTTTATTTTTTCCTTATATTTATTCATTCTGGAACTAAAATTTTAAAAAAACATACACATCTAGCGTTTTCTGAGAAAGAAAGAGTGTGTTTTCCTTGGATCTATCTTTTGGAGGATATCAGTTGCATAAACTGTCTTCCCAGAGTTACAGATATGGGATAATGGCTGATATGTGGAACTCCTTACTCAGTCTTCCATGTCTAGCAGATTTTTCTTCTACATCAGAGCTGCCAGTTCCATCATGCTTCACCATCATGACTTTCTATTCAGATGTGCACGTGGAAATGGCCACCAGCAACAGTACTTCACCCCAGAGACAGTGCAACCCTTGTAATATCTAACACTCAAGAGTGCTAATGGTGTATCAGGCACCATTCTGGGCACTTTACACATGTACCTCAGGCAATGCTTTTAGCATGTCTATGGGGAAGGACTTCAAATTATTCCAAACAAAGAGAGTAAGAAACTGAGGCACAGAGAAGTGAAAACATTTGCTGCAAATAATAATGTTGTTAAGTGGTGGCACCGGCATCAGGAACAGACATTTTTATGTCTAAGGATCATACACTTAATTTGTACCCTGTGGATATCTCCACCAGGTCCCCTCCACTCCCCATTCATTGTTCACTCAACTTGCTCTCCATGGCTAGATTTATTTGTTGATTCAGAAGTATTTACTGAGTAGAGATTGATGGAAGGATGAGGGTATAATTCAGGGTGATTTAAACAGATACAGTCAGTCCTGGCCTCAGAGAGCTAAAGTGCTACTTTAGTAGAAAACTAACAAACTACTATAGTCAATACTGATACATTCTGCTAGAGCAAAATTATAGTCAACACGTTGCAGGAACACGTAATTCAGCTTGGGGGATCAGAGGCTGCTTCCATGCAGAAATTACATTTTTGCTGAGACCTAAAGTTAGAATTAAAGTGAAAGGGTTATGACCGGGATCAAGTGTGTTCCAAAAGGAAGGCATGATTTTTGAAAGCCCCCAGTTCAGGAAAAAAAAAAAGTTTCTACTGTTATTTATTCATACCATTATGGTCAGAAATGATACTTAAGATGATTTTAATTTTTAAAAGTTGGTTAAGTCTTGTTTTGTGGCCTACCACATAAGCTACCTTGAAGGACATTACATGTGCACTAGAGAAAAATGCTGCTACCATTGGATATTAAGTTCTGTATGTATATTTTTGGTCTGTTTTGGCTAAAGTGCAGTTTAATTCCAATACTTCATTATTAATTTTCTGTCTGATTGATCTGTCTATTGTTGAAAATGGGGTATTAATGTCCTTTACTATTATTGTATTGCTACCCATTTCTCCCTTTATGTCCATTAATATTTGCTTTATATATTTAGGTACTCTAATGTGAGGTGCCTATATATTTCCAATTGTTTTGTCTTCGTGATGAATTGAGCCCTTTCTCATTAAATAATGATCTTCTTTGTCTCCTGTGACAGTTTTTGTCTTTAATCATATTTATATAAGCATAGCCAATCCTATTTTCTTTTTCTTTCTCCATTTGCATGGAATATCTTCTTCTATCCCTTTACTTTCAGTTTATGTGTATCTTTAAGGCTAAAGTGGGTCTCTTTTAGGCAACATATTCTTGGATCTTGGATTTTTTTGTCCATTCAGTCACTTTATGTATTTTGATTGGAGAATTTAATCCATTTACATCAAACTAATTATTGATGGGCAAGGACCTACTACTGCCTCTTTATTAATTGTTTTCTGGTTGCTTTGTAGATCATTTGTTTCTTTTTTGCTCCCTTTGGAAACTGTGCATATACATGGAAATTAAACAACATGCTCCAGAACAACCAACAGGTCAACGAAGAAATTAAAAGAGAAATTATAAAATTTCTAGAGTCAAATGAAAATGGAAATACAACATCCCAAAACATATAGGTTACCAAAAAAAGCAGTATTTGGAAGTTATAGCAATAAACTATATTAAAATGCCTACATTAAAAAAGAAGAAAGATCTCCCATAAACAACTTAATGTTGTACTTCAAAGAACTAGAAAAACAAGAACAAATTAAACCCACAACTAGTAGAAAGAAAGAACTAATAAAGATCAGAGCAGTATAAAGAAAACAGAGATAAAAAAGATAAACAATATAGTTTGTTTTTTGAAAAGATAAACAAGTGACAAAATTTTTGTGAGACTAAGAAAAGAGAGAGAATATTTAAATAAATAAAATCAGAGATGAAAATAGACATTATAATGGACACTACAGAGATACAAAGAATTATAAGAGTCATCTGTCAACAAGTGTATGCCAACAAATTGGAAAACACAGAAGACATGGATAAATCCCTGATCCCATATAACCTGCCAGGATTGAATCATGAAGAAGTAGAAAATCTGAACAGACCATAACAAATAACAAGATTGAATTAGTAATAAAAAGTCTCCATCAAAAAAAGAGCCCAGAACCTGACGTCTTCACTGCTGAATTCTACCAAACATTTAGAGAAAAATTAATATGAATTCTTCTCAAACTCTTCCAAAAAACTGAAGAGGAGGGAATTCTTCCACACTCATTCTATGAGGCCAGCATTACCCAGATACCAAAATTAGACAAGGACACATACAGACAAAGAAAACTACAGGTAAATATCTCCAATGAAGATAGGTGCAAAAAGCCTCAACAAAATACCAGCAAACTGAATTAAACAGCATATTATAAAGATCATTCACCATAATCAAGTGGGGTTCATCCCATGGATTCAAGAATGATTCAACATATGCAAATCAGTAAACGTGATACATCACATTAACAAAATGGAGGACAAAAAACATATGATCATTCCAATAGATTCAGAAAAAGCATTTGAAAAAATCAACATCTATTCATAATAAAAATTCTCAACAAATTACACACAGAAGGAACACACCTCAACATAATAAAATAAATATATGACAAATCCACAGCTAACATCATACTGAATGGGAAAAAAATAAAAATCTTCTTCTCTGAATCTGGAACAAGACAAGGATGCCCATTTTCACCATTTCTATTCAACACAGTACTGGAAATTCTAGCCAGAGCTGTTAGGCAATAGAAAATTTTAAAAGGCATCCAAATTGGAAAGGAAGAAATTAAATTATCTCTGTTTACAGATGACATGATTTTATATTCAGAAATCACTAAAGACTCCACCCCAAAACTCTTTGAATTAATAAACAAATTCAGTAAAGTCACAGGATATAAAATCAACATAAAAAAGCAACAGCATTTCTATATGCTAATAATAAACTATCTGAAAAATAAATATAAAAATTCCCATTTATAATAACTACAAAAATAAGTAACTAGGATACCTAAGAATAAATTTAAACAGTGAGGTGAAGGATCTCAACACTGAAAACTATAAAACATTGATGAAAAAAATGGAAGAGAACATAAATAAATGGAAAGATATCTTGTGTTCATGGAATGGAAGAATTAATATTGTAAAAACGTCCATACTACCCAAAGCAGTCTATGGTTTCAATGCAATGCCTATTAAAATATCAATGACATTCTTCACAGAAATGGAAAAACTAATCCCAAAATTTGTATGGAACCACAAAAGACTTTGAACAACCAAAGCAATCTTGAGTGAAAAGAACAAAGCTGGAGGCATCACATTCTTTGATTTCAAAATAAACCACAAAGCTACAGTAACCAAAGCAGCATGGTTCTGGCATAAAAACGGACACTTAATGGAACAGAATAGAGAACCCAGACATAAAACCACACATCTACAGGCAACCAATTTTTTACAAAGGTGCAAGAATATACATTGGAGAAAGGACAAGTCTCTTCAATAGATGGTTCTGGGAAAATTGGATCTCCATATGCAGAAAAATGAAACTAGACCCCCATGTTTCACCATATATAAATATCATCCCAAAGTGGATTAAAAACTTAAATTTAAGACCTGAAACCATGAAACCTAGAAGAAACTATTGGGGAAGGATTTTTGGTTAAGATCTCAAAAAGCACAGACAACAAAAGCAAAAATAAACAAATATGATTACATCAAACTAAAAAGCTTCTATTCAGCAAAGGACATAATCAACAGAGTAAAAAGACAACCCACAGAATGGGAGAAAACATTTGAAAACTATACATCTGACAAGTTGTGAATATTCAGAATATATAAGGAACTCAAACAACTCTATAGAAAAAAAAACCCAACAAATAGTCCAATTTTTTAAATGGGCAAAAGAAGACATACAAGTGGCCAATAGGTGTATGAAAAAATGCTCACCATTGTTAATCATCAAGGAAATGCAAATTAAAACTGCAATGACACATCACCTCACTCCAGTTAGAATGGCTATTATCGACAAGACAAAAGATAACAAATGCTGGCGAGGATGTGGGAAAAAGGGAAACCTTTACATGTTGTGGATGGGACTGTAAATTAATATAGCCATTATGGGAAACACTAAGACATTTCTCAAAAATTAAAAATAGAACTACCATATGAATCAGCAATCCAACTACTGCATATATTCAAACCCAGAGAAAATAAATGATTCACATTGCAAAAGAATAATTTTGCAAGAGAGTTTAAGTTAAGAGTCAATGCAGGAAAAATGATATCTGCACTCCCATGTTTATTGCAGCACTATTCACAATAGCCAAGCTATGGAATCAGCCTAAGTGTTCATCAATGGATGAATAGATAAAGAAAATGTGTATACATATACACAAGGAAATACTAGTTAGGAATGAGATTCTGTCATTTGCAGCAACATGGATCAACCTGGAGGGCATCAAGTTTAAGTGAAATAAATCAGACACAGAAAGAGGAATACTGCATGATCTCACTCATATGTATAATCTTAAAAAGTTTACCTCATAGAAGTAGAGAGTAGAATGGTAGTTACCAGAGGATGGAGAGAGTAGAGGGGAGGAGAGGTGGGAAGAAGTTGGTCAATGGGTACAAAGTTACTGTTAAATACAGGAGTAAATTCTGCTTTTCTATTGCATAGTGGGGTGACGATGGTTAACAACAATATAGTGTATATTTCAAAATAGCTAGAAGAGAGGATTTTGAGTGTTCTCACCACAAAGAAATGATAAATATTTGAGGTGATGAATTTGCTAGGTACCTTGATTTAATCATTATACAATGTATACATCTATCAAAACATCACATTGTATGCCATAAGTATGTACAATTATGTACAATTAAAAATAAAATGACTAAATTAAAAACAAAACAAAAAACAAGGTATAATTAAATAACAAGGTATAATTAAACAACTGGAGAAAAATATCAGTGCATCTGGAACGTGGATAGAGTATGGGTCTATAGGGTTGGTTTGGCCAGGTAAAAGGGCCAAGTGTCAATTGATGTGGTTACAGAGTTAGGGAAACTCTAGGTAAAAAATAGGCACATTAAAGTCAGCATGTGGTGCCACCAAAAATCTGGGGCCATGGCTGGGCACGGTGGCTCACCCATGTAATCCTAGCCCTTTGGGAGTCCAAGGCGGGCGGATCAAGAGGTCAGGAGTTTGAGACCAGCCTGACCAACATGGTGAAACCCCATCTCTACTAAAAATACAAAAATTAGCCGAGCGTGGTGCGCTCGTAATCCCAGCTAGTTGGGTGGCTGAGGCAGGAGAATCTCTTGAACCCGGGAGGCGAAGGTTGCAGTGAGCTGAGATCGCACCACTGCACTCCAGCCTGGGCGACAGAGTGAGACTCCATCTCTAAAAAAAAAAAAAAAAAAAATTCGCAGCCACGTAGTTGCATACAGTTGGCACTTCTGAAGAAGGGGGAATAGAAGGTGAAATACAGAGGTCTTGTTCTCATCTTTTGGGTAGACACAACATGGGCTGGGTGTCCATTTTATTTTTTAATTCTGTTTTTCCTCTAAAGGTTCACAGATTAGCATTCTTAACTTCTGACTATGAATTGTTGGCAAAGTTCTCCAAGTTCTTCCCTTTGCTAGATTATTCTCTTGAACCTATCTGAAGCCATTGTTTCTAAGCTCTCACTTTTCTTTCCCAAAACACTCTTCCATGTTTATCAGAGATAGTCATGGCCCAGCATGTGTTCTTCCAGCTGTGGGGGGGCTTGGGTCTGCTGCTATATCATGAGGAGGTGGCTACAGAAATGGTTGCCAAAGAATATCTGAAAAATATTTGGACAATAAAAGATAAATATATGCTTCCCTAGTAGACAAGAGAACAAAGGTATTCTAGATTAATGAGTCCTTTCCTGCATTGATTTTCATCCTAGACACTCTTACCAGATCATTCTTCTGCAATGTGAATCATTCATTCACTTTTATTGATTACCTATACTGACTAAGTCACTGATATTTACCAGGGATTCTGGGGGTGACGTAATAATGACCTGCAGTAAAACATATGTTATCCTAGATAAAAAGCACAGATTTTATTTCCGTTTACTTACATCATTCTCAAAAAGGGAAGAAATGAAGTAGCATTTATTGATGTCCTCTATCAGCCAGGTGCTGTTCTATGTGTTTGGGATACCACCATAATTAGACGAGTATGGTATCCCAAACTCTGGGATAGACAATCAGACAGTCTGCTATCCCAAACTGAA
Organism: Homo sapiens; assembly: GCF_000001405.40. Classification (NCBI taxonomy): domain Eukaryota; kingdom Metazoa; phylum Chordata; class Mammalia; order Primates; family Hominidae; genus Homo; species Homo sapiens. The sequence continues at coordinate 7,534,226 of NC_000023.11, read as the reverse complement.
TGTACCATGTCCGAGATGAGAATTGCCTTTTAAAGAGTCCAAGATCAATTCTCTTGCAAACAGTACATTCAGTTGACTACCAAAATAGAGACTCCAGGGTATTTATTTGTCTATTATTTAAAAATTGGCAAAAAAATACCTCAAGGATGAAACACTCAAACTATCATATCCAGTCAATTTGAAGTTGTAACTTTAGGTAAACACAGGAATGCTTCTTTTTAGGCATTATGTTAGAAGACTATGTTTATATTATAAGATAATGGTTTGCTTACTCTTGTCATTTCTAGTTTTGCATAGAGATCAACAACAACTTCTATCATTTAGGATACATTTTTGATGCACTAGGCATTTTACATTTGTCAATGATTTAATTCCTAGAACAATTCCCTAGTGTAGGTGTTACTATTTTTATCAATTTTACAGACGAAGAAACTGAACTTATAGAGACATTAAAGAACTTTCTACATGTGTGAGAGGCCAAGTAGGACCTGAGACAGAGCTGTCCACCTGCATTCACTTGCTCTATGAATTATTAAAGCAAAACACCTACATCAATATGTGGTTCAGCCAGCTAAGCTCTAGCCTGCTGTTCAGGCATCTGTCACAAGCTAGCAGCAATGATGAAAATGCAGCAAATCAACCCAAACCCCCACATTATTTATATCTGTGGTTGCATTGGCAGCCAACAGAGTTGAAGAATTTTCAAAAAATCGATGTTGCAAAAATCTTTTCTTTAAGTTCTTGAATAAGCAGAAACCTGGATCAAAGCACTAGAACCTTTAAACAAATTCTATAGATACTTCTGAAATGAATCAAATTCCACTTGAACATCAGAGTCACTATTACTATCATCTGCAACATCCCTCCACCCTGTAATGGCAAAGAAAAGACCTTTGAGAGACAGAATATAATCTTTTATAATCTTTTTCCTGTTAATTGCAATTCTTTTTTATTTATTTTTATTTGTTTATTTATTTTGAGACAGAGTTTTGTTCTTGTTGCCTAGGCTGGAGTGCAATGGCACGATCTCGGCTCACTGCAACCTCCACCTCCCAGGTTCAAGCGATTCTCCTGCCTCAGCCTCCCGAGTAGTTGGGATTACACCCATGCACCACCACGCCTGGCTAATTTTGTATTTTTAGCAGAGATGGGGTTTCTCCATGTTGGTCAGGCTGGTCTCAAACTCCCAACCTCGGCCTCCCAAAGTGCTGGGATTACAGGCACCCACCTTGGCCTCCCAAAATGCTGGGATTACAGGCGTGAGCCACCGTGCCCGGCCTATTAATTGCAATTCTTAAAGAAAAAAGGGCCCATGCTTTTAGACAGCTATTCTTTGTGTGTAAACATGTAGATTTCAGAGCGGTGAATCTGTACACTATAGGTTTTATTTATGTACGTCAGTTCTGTCATTGCCAGTAACATGCAACATCTCCCGTCCTGGTTACTCACATTTAATGGGTGGGGTGGATATGTGTTCTGGCTCCAGAGAGATTAAGTTGCTGGCACTCATAGTCTATACCTCATTTATTTTGTATCTCACCAGTACAGAGCTAGTTTCAGGTACTCTATGAATGTGAGTGGGTGAGCATGTGGGCTGGTACAAAAAGAGCAAATTATTTCCCAAAAGGAGCACAAGAAGGTAGCAACAGACTTGAAGCATGGTCTAGAAATAATACTTTTAAGAACCCCAGCTCAACTTGGTGGTGGTAATCATTCCATAATATATACGTATAGTAAATCATCATATTGCACACCTTAAATACAAACATTATATTTGTCAACTATACCTAAATAAAGCTGGGAGGGGAAGCTAAAAAGAAAGAGCCCAGTTCAGTTCACAGTAGTTGCTAATGTCACCACTGCCTTCCATAGCTCAACACAAACCAAGTTTCTTTGAGCAGAAGATTTTGCTAGGTGCATTAAAGCAGGGGTCCCCAAGCCCCAGGCCATGAAATCGTACCGGCTCGTGGCCTGTTAGGAACCAGGCCACACAGCAGGAGGTGAGTGGCAGGCAAGAGAGAAAGGTGCATCTATATTTACAGCTGCTCCCTGTCACTCACGTTATGGCCTGAGCTCCCCCTCCTGTCAGATCATCAGGCATTAGATTCTCATAGGAGCGTGAACTACTGTGAACTGCACATGTGAGGGATCTAGATTGCATGCTCCTTATGAGAATCTAATGCCTGATGATCTGTCACTGTCTCCCATCACCCCCAGATGAGAGTGTCTAGTTGCAGGAAAACAAGCTGAAGTCTCTCACTGATTCTGAATTATGATGAGTTGTAGAATTATTTCATTACATATTACAATGTAATAATAACAGAAAAAAAGTGCACAGTGAATGTAATGAGCTTGAATCATCCCAAAAGCATCTCCTCCACCTGCTGGCCTGCAGAAAAATTGTCTTCCATGAAACCAGTCCCTGGTGCTTAAAAGGTTGGGGCCACTGCACTAAAGGACACCATCTGTCATCTTAGGGCACCTGAGTTCATGGTGCCCTATATCCCCCAGCTTTATGGCCCTACATCAATCACCAAGTCCTCTGGTCTCTGACCCATCTCCCTGAATCCATCCTTGTCTTGTCCTCACTTAGAGATTCTAATATGATCCTGTCCCTCTCCCATTTAAGATCCTCCAATACCTTCTCATTTCTCCCAGGATAAAGAGAGAAGCCCACAGGGCTGCTGCATCTCAAGCCTGCAGTTTGTTACCCCAGGGCCTTTGCACAGACAGCTCCCTCTCTCCAGTTTCCTCAGCCTGAAAGAACTGCCCAATCATTCTCTCCCAATTAGTCTATAAGCTTCCAGAGGGCAGGGAGAAGGTCTATTTTTTCTTACCTTTGTAATCTTTGCCATTATATCCATGAGACATGGGTATACCTGTGCACTTACGCACAAGGTAAGTGCACAGGTGTGTGTACAGGTGTATATACAAGTGTGTACATGCACACATACATACTGTACACAGCTAAGGGCATAATTATTTTTCCTGGTATATTTATCACTGAGAACAATGCCTGGCACATAAGAGTGTTCAATATATTCATGTGGAATGAATAAATATTAGCGGCAACTAACTATTTTTCTTATCAGATAAACACTCGGTGAATAATTATTGAATGAGTTTGATTGGGTGTTCTCTAAGACCCTGAGTGGTCTCTGTCATCTTTCATTCCACAGCCAAGAGGGTACCGTTATCTTTTTGCCTTCTTTGGTCCCATTAATCATAACAAATTGTACAAGGGCAAATTGAAGGGCACGGAAGAGAAATTCCAAATCTGCTTATGAACTTGCAGACAATGACAAATAGTTCCTCACCAGAATGAGTCACCTGAGTGTGGCACACAAATGACACTCAGTAGTTTGTCACATTCAGTGCAGAACTGACATCCTGAAGGAGAGGATGAGGAAATTCCAGCCCTTCCTGAACCGAGGCTGGGAAGAAGATTAGCAAACGAGGCACTTGGTTTGGATGTAAAATTTAAGAGGGCACACACAAAAAAACCCTCAGTCACAGAGATTATAATAGTGTAATGCATTTTTTTAATTTAACTTTAATTTTAGGTCCAGGGGTACATGTGCAAGTTTATTATATGGGTAAGTGTGTGTCATGGGGGTTTGTTGTGCCAATTATTTAGTTACTTAAGTTCTAAGCCTAGTACCCATTAGTTATTTTTCCCTGATTCTCTCCCTCCTCCCACCCTCCATCCTCCAATAAGTGCCAGTGTGTGTTGTTCCTCTCTATGTGTCCATGTGTTCTCACCATTTAGCTCCCACTTACAAATGAGAACATGCAGTATTTGGTTTACTGCTCCTGCATTAGCTTGCTAAGGATAATGGCCTCCTGCTCCATCCATGTTCCTGCAGAGGACATGATCTCATTACTTATTATATCTGCATAGTATTCCATGGTGTATATGTGCCACATTTTCTTTATCCAGTCTATCATTGAGTATTTAGGTTGATTCCATATCTTTAACGCAATTATTTCTTAAAAATCAGAATTAATACAAAACACCCATGAATAACAAAATACCAAAATTTGGAATGAAAGGAACATCAATATTGATTTTTTTTGCCTTAAGCTCCAATTTGGCTCATCACAAAAGGGCTACTGATTCTCAGTATTTAAGTCTGATATTTTGTTGTTCATGGATGTCTTACATTAATTTTTTTAAATATTGCATTAAAATACTATTTATCTCTATTACAGAGTTGAATTTTGCACTACAGGTAAATGGTCAACAAATAATAACACACCTCATTTACCATACCCTAATCCTGGCCCAGTTGCCAACTATCACAAAAAATATCCTGTTAAAAACCTTAGCAAGTCCTCCAAATTTTTCCAGCATTCGAAAAGAAATTAAACACTCCAAGAAAAACAGACCTTTTTTTTAAAAAAAAAAAAAGAAGAAAGAATAGTAAATGTGAAGTATATGTTGATAGTGTACCTCAATGATGTATATTACCCATCCCCCAAAAAAATCTTGGAGTTTAAATCAAAACTATCTACATTAAAATCCGAATAATTATTTTTACAAGGATCTTCCTTGAGTAGCTAATTAAAGAACAACTCATGAAAGTATATTTTATGCTGTAAGGTTTGCTGAGGAAGTATTTTTATTATTATTATTATACTTTAAGTTCTAGGGTACATGTGCACAACCTGCAGGTTTGTTACATAGGTATACATGTGCCATGTTGGCTTGCTGCACCCATCAACTCATCATTTACATTAGGTATTTCTCCTAATGCTATCCCTCCCCCAGTCCCCCATCCCCCAACGGGCCCCAGTGTGTGATGTTCCCCGCCCTGTGTCCAAGTGATCTCATTGTTCAGTTCCCACCTATGAGTGAGAACATGAGGTGTTTGGTTTTCTGTCCTTGTGATAGTTTGCTGAGAATGATGGTTTCCAGCTTCATCCATGTCCCCGCAAAGGACATGAACTCATCATTTTTTATGGCTGCATAGTATTCCATGGTGTATGTGTGCCACATTATCTTTTTTTTTTTTTTTTTTTTTTTGAGACGGAGTCTCGCTGTGTCTCCCAGGTTGGAGTGCGGTGGCACAATCTCGGCTCACTGCAAGCTCCGCCTCCCGGGTTCACACCATTCTCCTGCCTCAGCCTCCCGAGTAGCTGGGACTACAGGCGCCCGCCAACACGCCCGGCTAATTTTTTGTATTTTTAGTAGAAACGGGGTTTCACCGTGTTAGCCAAGATGGTCTCGATCTCCTGACCTCGTGATCCGCCCGTCTCGGCCTCCCAAAGTGCTGGGATTACAGGCGTGAGCCACCGCGCCCGGCCTGTGCCACATTATCTTAATCCAGTCTATCATTGATGGACATTTGGATTGGTTCCAAATCTTTGCTATTGTGAATACTGCCACAATAAACATACATGTGCATGTATCTTTATAGTAGCATGATTTATAATCCTTTGGGTATATACCCAGTAATGGGATTGGTGGGTCAAATGGTAATTCTAATTCTAGGTCCTTGAGGAATCGCCACACTGTCTTCCACAATGGTTGAACTAATTTACACTCCCACCAACAGCGTAAAAGCGCTCCTATTTCTCCACATCCTCTCCAGCATCTGTTGTTTCCTGACTTTTTAATGATTGCCATTCTAACTAGCATGAGATAGTATCTCATTGTGGTTTTGATTTGCATTTCTCTGATAACCAGTGATGATGAGCATTTTTTTCATGTGTCTGTTGGCTGCATAGATGTCTTCTTTTGAGAAGTGTCTGTTCATACCCTCTGCCCACTTTTTGATGGGGTTGTTTGTTTTTTTCTTGTAAATTTGTTTAAGTTCTTTGTAGATTCTGGATATTAGTCCTTTGTCAGATGGGTAGATTGCAAAAATTTTCTCCCACTGTGTAGGTTGCCTGTTCACTCTGATGGTAGTTTCTTTTGCTGTGCAGAAGCTCTTTAGTTTAATTAGATCCCATTTGTCTATTTTGGCTTTTGTTGCCATTGCTTTTGGTGTTTTAGTCATGATGTCCTTGCCCATCCCTATGTCCTGAATGGTATTGCCTAGGCTTTCTTCTAGTGTTTTTATGGTTTTAGGTCTAACATTTAAATCTTTAATCCATCTTGAATTGATTTTTGTATAAGGTGTAAGGAAGGGATCCAGTTTCAGCTTTCTACATATGGCTAGCCAGCTTTCCCAGCATCATTTATTAAATAGGGAATCCTTTCCCCATTTCTTGTTTTTGTCAGGTTTTTCAAAGATCAGATGGTTGTAGATATGTAGTGTTATTTCTGAGGGCTCTGTTCTGTTCCATTGATCTATATCTCTGTTTTGGTACCAGTACCATGCTGTTTTGGTTACTGTAGCCTTGTAGTATAGTTTGAAGTCAGGTAGTGTGATGCCTCCAGCTTTGTTCTTTTTGCTTAGGATTGTCTTGGCAATGTGGGCTCTTTTTTGGTTCCATATGAACTTTAAAATAGTTTTTTTCCAATTCTGTGAAGAAAGTAATTGGAAGCTTGATAGGGATGGCATTGAATCTATAAATTACTTTGGGCAGTATGGCCATTTTCAAGATATTGATTCTTCCTATGCATGAGCATGGAATATTCTTCCATTTGTTTGTGTCCTCTTATTTTCTTGAGCAGTGGTTTGTAGTTCTCCTTGAAGAGGTCCATCACATCCCTTGTAAGTTGGATTCTTAGGTGTTTTATTGTCTTTGTAGCAATTGTGAATGGGAATTCACTCATGATTTGGCTCTCTGTTTGTCTGTTAATGGTGTATAGGAATGCTTGTGATTGTTGCACATTGATTTTGTATCCTGAGTCTTTGCTGAAGTTGCTTATCATCTTAAGGAGATTTGGGGTGGAGATGATGGACTTTTCTAAATATACAATCATGTCATCTGCAAACAGGGACAATTTGACTTCCTCATTTCCTAATTGAATACCCTTTATTTCTTTCTCTTGCCTGATTGCCCTGGCCAGAACTTCCAACACTATGTTGAGTAGGAGTGGTGAGAGAGGGCATCTCCGTCCTGTGCAGGTTTTCAAAGGGAATGCTTCCAGTTGTTGCCCATTTGGTATGGTATTGGCTGTGGGTTTGTCATGAATAGCTCTTATTATTTTGAGATATATTCCATCAATACCTAGTTTATTGAGAGTTTTTAGCATGAAGGGCTGTTGAATTTTGTCAAAGGCGTTTTCTGCATTTATTGAGATAATCAGGGGGTTTTTGTCATTGGTTATGTTTATGTGATGGATTACGTTTATTGATTTGCTCATGGTGAACCAGCCTTGCATTCCAGGGATGAAGCCGACTTGATCGTGGTGGATAAGCTTTTTGATATGCTGCTGGATTCAGTCTGCCAGTATTTTATTGAGGAATTTTGCATTGATGTTCATCAGGGATATTGGTTTAAAATTCTCTTTTTTTGTTGTGTCTCTGCCAGGCTTTGGTATCAGGATGATGTTGGCCTCATAAAATGAGTTAGGGAGGATTCCCTCTTTTTCTATTGATTGGAATAGTTTCAGAAGAAATGGTACCAGCTCCTCTCTGTACCTCTGGTAGAATTCAGCTGCGAATCTCTCTGGTCCTGGGCTTTTTTTGGTTGGTAAGCTATTAATTATTGCCTCAATTTCAGAGCCTGTTATTGGTCTATTCAGAGATTCAACTTCTTCTCAGTTTAGTCTTGGGAGGTTGTATGTGTCGAGGAATTTGTCCATTTCTTCTAGATTTTCTAGTTTATTTGCGTAGAGGTGTTTATAGTATTCTCTGATGGTAGTTTGTATTTCTGTGGGAAAAGTGGTGATATTCTCTTTATCATTTTTATTGCATCTATTCGATTCTTCTCTCTTTTCTTCTTTATTAGTCTGGCTAGAAGTCTATCATTTTTGTTGACCTTTTCAAAAAACCAGCTCCTAGATTCATTAATTTTTTGAAGGGTTTTTTTGTGTCTCTATCTCTTTCAGTTCTGCTCTGATTTTAGTTATTTCTTGCCTTCTGCTAGCTTTTGAATTTGCTTGCTCTGGCTTCTCTAGTTCTTTTAATTGTGATGTTAGGGTGTAGATTTTAGATCTTTCCTGCTTTCTCTTGTGGGCATTTAGTGCTATAAATTTCCCTCTACACACTGCTTCAAATGTGTCCCAGAGATTCTGGTACATTGTGTCTTTGTTCTCATTGGTTTGAAAGAACATCTATATTTCTGCCTTCATTTCGTTATTTACCCAGTAGTCACTCAGGAGCAAGTTGTTCAGTTTCCATGTAGTTGTGCAGTTTTGAGTGAGTTTCTTAATCCTGAATTCTAATTTGATTGCACTGTGGTCTGAGAGACAGTTTGTTGTGATTTCTGTTCTTTTACATTTGCTGAGGAGAGCTTTACTTCCAACTATGTGGTCAATTTTAGAATAAGTGCAATGTGGTGCTGAGAATAATATATATTCTGTTGATTTGGGGTGGAGAGTTCTGTAGATGTCTATTAGGTCTGCTTGGTGCAGAGCTGAGTTCAATTCCTGGATATCCTTGTTAACTTTCTGTCTCATTGATCTGTCTAATATTGACAGTGGGGTGTTAAGGTCTCCCATTATTATTGTGTGGGAGTCTAAGTCTCTTTGTAGGTCTCTAAGGACTTGCTTTATGAATCTGGGTGCTCCTGTATTGGGCGCATATATATTTAGGATAGTTAGCTCTTCTTGTTGAATTGATCCATTTATGATTATGTAATAGCCTTTTTTGTCTCTTTTGATCTTTGTTGGTTTAAAGTCTGTTCTATCAGAGACTAGGATTGCAACCCCTGACTTTTTTTGTTTTCCATTTGCTTGGTAGATCTTCCTCCATCCCTTTATTTTGAGCCTATGTGCATCTTTGCCCATGAGATGGGTCTCCTGAATACAGCACACTGATGGGTCTTGGCTCTTTATCCAATTTGCCAGTTTGTGTCTTTTAACTGGGGCATTTAGCCCATTTACATTTGAGACTAATATTGTTATGTGTGAATTTGATCCTGTCATTATGATGTTCGCTAGTTATTTTGCCCATTAATTGATGCAGTTTCTTCATAGCATCGATGGTCTTTACAATTTGGCCTGTTTTTTCAGTGGCTGGTACCAGTTGTTTCTTTCCATGTTTAGTGCTTCCTTCAGGAGCTCTTGTAAGGCAGACTTGGTGGTGACAAAATCTCTCAGCATTTGCTTGTCTGTAAAGTATTTTATTTCTCCTTCACTTATTAAGCTTAGTTTGGCTGGATTTGAAATCCTGGGTTGAAAATTCTTTTTTTTAAGAATGTTGAATATTGGCCCCCACTCTCTTCTGGCTTGTAAGGGTTTCTACTGAGAGATCTGCTGTTAGTCTGATGGGCTTCCCTTTATGGGTAACTTGACCTTTCTCTCTGGCTGCCCTTAACACTTTTTCCTTCATTTCAACCTCGGTGAATCTGACAATTATGTTTCTTGGAGTTGCTCTTCTTGAAGAGTATCTTTGTGGTGTTCTCTGTATTTCTTGAATTTGAATGTTGGCCTGTCTTGCTATGTTGGGTAAGTTCTCCTGGATAATATCATGAAGAGTATTTTCCAACTTGGTTCCATTCTCCCCATCACTGTCAGGTACACCAATCAAACATAGATTTGGTCTTTTCACATAGTCCCATATTTCTTGGAGGCTTTGTTCGTTTCTTTTCACTCTTTTTTCTCTAACCTTGTCTTCTCATTTTATTTCATTAATTTGATCTTCAATCACTGATACTCTTTCTTCCACTGGATGGAATTGGCTATTGAAGCTTGTGCATGCGTCACGAAGTTCTTGTGCCATGGTTTTCAGCTCCACCAGGTCATTTAAATCTTCTCTACACTGTTTATTCTAGTTAGCCATTCTTCTAATCTTTGTTCAAGGTTTTTAGCTTCCTTGCGATGGGTTCGAACATGCTGAGGAATTATTTTACACACCCAGATGACAGAAATTCTCATTTGAGAATAATAGTTTTAGCAGCAGAATTTATAGTCTTCTCATAATCTATCTTAATGTTTAAGAATTGAAACTAGGGCAATCTGAAGTTTAAGAGAACTTTCAGGTTGCACTGTTTTTTGTCATTGTTGTGGAAGTTGAAATTTTCCAAATTGTCCACCCAAAGGTTGATCAAGATTTACATTCCCAGTTACCTTCAAAAGTGTCTATGATTTCATGTTTTCTTTGTTTTTATGTTTATGTATAAGTGGATCTCCCCAACTATTATTTGTTTTATTAAAAGCTGCCTCCTCTTATTCATATTATCATACGGACAGCTTGTGTCAACTCCTCCTTCTCTAAACCTTGGCATGTTTCTTGTCTTACAGACATAATTACCACTTATTTTCATATGTGTGGGCCTTGCCTCTCCAATTAGTTTGCAAGCATTTTGTGGATTAAAAGGTTTAAGTTCTTTTATAGCCAACTTACACTGGTATTAAAACAAAGTGTTAACAAAGTGTTTGTAGTACACTATTAGTACACTAATACTAAACGTTTAGTATTAGTGTACTAATACTAATACTAAATGATCTCTAAATGTTTCCATTTATTTTTAAATTGAAAAACCCAGAATGCAAAATTAATAATCATGAATTATAATATTTCTGCTTTGTTCCTCATTCTAGTTAACATACAAAACATTCACTTAGAAATTGCATTGAAGAGATTTTTAAAAATCTACTGTGTGAGAATTTTGCAGATTTTTAATGTAAGTGAAAGAGAATCTCTTTTTTTGGCAAATGAAAGGAATATAAAACAACAGATTGACTTTCTGGGCATGAACCTCAGCATGATAAAAATAAGAGTTACATATTGTGGACGAGAAGAAAAAAAAATCCCAAATTCTCATGAATCATGTGTAATGTTCAAGTGCTAAACTATTGAGACTTCATCACTGGAAAATAGTAAGCAAAAGTTGTACATTTGATTTTCATCAATTTCTTTTTCTCATCTAGCTTTACTAAACATCTTATGTGGAATATTCCATGCCTTTTATCTGTTTTAATAATCTACTTCTACCACGTTTTATTTTTGGTTAAATGTGTGAAAGCAGAACCTAGGATAGATATTCTGAGCTGATCTGGAAGGTAAGCCCAACACTAGACTGGTGTCACTGGCTCCTAATTTATGTCTGGGGGCATAGAATCTTCTTTTGACGCATCCTATAATTCCTTACAATGATAGATATGCATATGTCAGCAATATGCATTGCTCTCAGTTCCAGGGTATTTATTTGAATTATTTCTCCACTGGGCTGTTGGCCATTCTTTCTCTGTACAAAGATCCTCTTTTGTTTTATTGTAGTGCATAATTCTCTCACTCTTGTTCCACTCTCTTGCACACATTGTCACATGTGTAACTTTATGATCTATTCTGATCTTTGTGATCTGTTTATTCAAGATTTATTTAAGATTTATTTATGATATATTATTTAAGATCTTTATTATCTATTCTGCATACATGTATTAAGTATCTATCTACATAACCATGATAACTACACAGATCCAATGGCCATGAGCATCTCCTCTTTTGCACCCATTTGAAAGTTCTTGTGGGCTAGGAGTATGATTGTTGGTGATAGCCAGTTTCTTTCCATCTTGCTATATGGCTTTCCAAATTGATCGTTGATGGTAAATTGCTAACAGCTCACTGATCAGCTGGCTGTATTTTGAATGGTGCTGCAGGCAACAGCATATCCCCAATGAAAATCTGCACATAGGCTCAAGAGTCATTGGGAATAGCCCCTTGGTATGCTCAAGCCATTGGCTGTTGAGAATGAGTCTACTCTGACACACATTAAGGTGCAGTCTAGTTACCAACTCTATATTCATGTTCTGTGTGCGCATGCACAGTAAATCATGCTTTTGATACACGCCCAAGCCAATATGGTACATACAGCTGCACAACTTCTTTGTTCTCCTAGCTTGGCCGAACGTCTGTTTCTAGGCCGGCTCATCTGGGTGTCCTCAGTTATTTACAAGCTAAATTCAATCCCACCTGTCAAGAGCCTCTCTGTCTTGACTAAGAATTTAGGAACCTAAAGCAGAGCTGGGAAATAAGGAGAATTGGAAGGATTCCTAAAATTGAAAAAAAATGAAATCTCCTCCTGTTTCTGTTTTCTAATATGTTGTGGAATAATGGATGGGTGAGCCACAGTGTGAATATTAAAGGCACCTGCATGGACCTAAATTGGAAGACAAACTTTGCCTTAGGTTCTAGGGCCACCATCCTCTGTCCCCATATGTTCCTACAATGACAAACAACAGAAAACATATTTGTATGGAATATACAGGAAAGATTCAAATGTCATTGTCCAAAACAAGCAACATGGTTACATTTCACTTCCAGTGGACATGAAACACCAGGTGCTTCCAAAAGAGATTTAGAATATTTGCAAACAGGCTTCATGACTACTTAATTGTGTTTCTCTTTTAATTTTTCTTAGGAGGTTTTACTTATTTACTTATTTGTAGAAATACAAGTTTATATTTTAACTAATTGACTGTATTGAATGTTTTTCTTTTGCAGTTAAGTTTTTTGTGTTTTATGTAAGCAAGCCTTTCTTACTTGGAAGTCATAAAAATATTCCTATCTGTTGACTTCTAAATATTTTGCAGTTTTGTCTTTTACATTGATCCCTATGGGAGTCATTTTAATGTATGGTGTGAGAAAATGATTTTTATTTTTTTCCACATATAGTGAATTGCTACAGCAACAATTGTTAAGTGTTTCTCTTCTCAACCCTTGACTTTGTGAATTCTTGCTATAAGTTTGTCTAGGCTGCAGTGTAAGGTTGTTCAAATTTGAAATAAACAGTGTAGGGTGGAGTATTGTATAAATACACTACAATGCAAATAATGTTCTCTAGAGTTTGGCTATGCAGGTTCCTTAGGGTTTTGCTATGATTTTAACATTCCCTTCAAAACTTGTGTTGAAATTTAATTGTCATTGTGATGGTACTTAGAGCTCAGACCTTTGAATGGTGATTAGATCATAAGAGCTCCACCTTCATGCAAGGACCAATGTCATTACTGGAGAAGTGGGCTCCTTATCATAGACATGATTTTTAATAAAAGTGAGCTCTGCCTTGTCTTCCTCTCTCAGTCTTCCTCCGTCTTGCCCTTCTGCCTTCCACCATGGGATGACACAGAATGAAGGTCCTTGCCAGATGCTGGTGCCTTGCTCTTGAAGTCCCCAGTCTCCAGAACCACGAGCCACATTAGCTTCTATTGTTTATAAATTACCCAGTCTGTGGTATTCTGTTATAGCAACACAAAACAGACTAAGACAGGTTGTCTGTTTCTTTATTTGGCTTTGTTTTGTTTGTTTTTACATTCCCTTAGTTTCTACTTTTACCTTCATAATTTTACTGTTCATTTTCTATACTCTTAAGTTGGATGATTATTTATTGAGTTTTGATTTATTTTCTTCTCTTTTTCTAACATAACCATTTTGGTCTATAAATTTCCCTCTAATTTTGTTTTAGTGAAATTTACTGATTTTCATATGTAATACATTTATTTAGTCCTAATTATTTTCTCATTCTCATTACTATTTCCCTTTTTACCCATGAATATGTATCATTATATTTTAATTGTGAAAAATAAGATAATTTAATTATATTGTCACTTGAGTTCAAATTTTATTTTATTGTGTTCAGAGAATGTTATCTGCTTGATTTTTGTTGTTTCAATGTGTTGAGATTTACCATAGCAAATATGTTCATTTTGTGTTAAAATCATCAATATCTCTTTTAAATATTTTATTTTGAAAAAGTTCGAACTTACAGAAAGTTCATATATAATCTTCATTCAATTTTCCCTAATATTTACAACATATAACTATAGTATCATTGTCAAAATCAGGACACTAACAATGGTGTCCTATTTTGACAATGAACACTAACTATTAATTAAACCACAGACCTTAACATTACACCAGTGTTCCCCTAATATCTTTTTAATTTCTAGGATCCAATCCAGAATCTCACACTGCATTTTGTTTTTGTATATGTTTATTCTCCTGCAATTTGTGTGTCCTTATTCTACTCTAATTTATTTCCTTGTCTTTTATGCCCTTAATACTTTTGGTGAGTATTGGTCAGGTATTTTGTAGACTGTCTCTCAGTTTGGGTTTGTCTTAAGATTTCTCATAATTAGTTTGAAGTTATGCATGTGATGTTGTGTCTTCAGTGCATCCTACCAGGATACAATGTTTTTAAAGGAGAACCTTTTTATTTTCAAGAGTATAACAAAACTTTGTTTATATTGCCTCGTTCCCTCTTGTATTGTATAATTTTACTTTTTACTCCATGTCCTAGGAGTTATTAAAAAAGGTAATGTTGGCTGGGCGTGGTAGCTCATGCCTGTAATCCCAGCACTTTGGGAGGCTGAGGCGGGAGGACCATGAGGTCAAGAGATTGAGACCATCCTGGCCAACATGATGAAATCCCCGTCTCTACTAAAAATACAAAAATTAGCTGGGGGTGGTGGTGCGTGCCTGTAGTCCCAGCTGCTTGGGAGGCTGAGGCAGGAGAATCGCTTGAACCTGGGAGGCAGAAGTTGCAGTGAGTCAAGATCACACCACTGCACTCCAGCCTGGTGACAGAGCGAGACTCCATCTCAAAAAAAAAAAAAAAAAAAAGGTAATGTGAATTTTTAAAATACCTTCTTGTTCTTCTGATTTACTTGTTTTTGCAACATTTTTATTTACATACAAGATAATAATATTTTTATATTTTCCTGATGAATAAAATGTCTTTTTTGAATGTGGTATGTAGTGCCCTTCTCTGTCCCTATTAGTGAGATTTGCCTTGAAGGCTCTTTTCTCTGATAGTAATACATTTGCAGTAGATATATTTACTTTAATAATCATCTAGTATATATTTGTCCATTATTTACATTCCATTCTAGTAAGCTACACCTTTGTATTTGTAAAGTGTACTTTATTTATATAATAATTATATGTATAATTATTCCTGAGTCAATAAAACCCCTCTATAATGCAACTGTGTTCTAAAAATCTCATATGAACGGAATGTCTGTGGGATAAGCATGTTCTTCAGAGTTTAAATAATGTCCCAGGTAAGTGTGAGTTCCTAATGAGACATGTTTTAGAAAAAGGTTCTATAACCTTCCCACTCCTGATGGTGATTTGCCATCAGTGGGTAGCGGTTTACTCCAGATTAAATAACAATGGTGGAAGCTCTGGGTCTGTGGCTGGCTAGGAGAGTACCACTGAGTCCTGTAGTCATCCAAATAATTGGTGCTCAATTGGATGTTTAAAGATTTATATACAGTTTCTTGCTATTTTTTGCTCTTAATTATCCCCCATAAAATATTATGTTTCAAGACATATTTATTACTTATAGAGATGTGACACATATTTTTGTTTTGATAAATCATAATTAATAAAAATACAATGAAAGCTCAGAATAAAATGTTAACATATGAGTCACTACTATTTTAGGAATCAAAAAAGGTAAATTTTCAATTTCTATACTTATGTGAATATAGGAAAGGACATTATTATAATCAATATGTTTTCAAAAAATCTATTACATTGAGGTTAAAATTCTAGTCACTATGATATGAAAATACAGTTGGATACATTTGTAAGAACAATGTAAGAATTTTATTTTAATATGTCAAAGTTATACACAACTGAAAATTATGTTGTTTTCAGACATTTAAATTCATAATATAAAAATTTAAATGCTAACTTAATATGTATGCAGGTGAATAATGAGAGAATATTCCAGACCAATATTAGTTATGAATACTGATGCTTAAGTACTAAATAAAATATTGTCAAACAGAATCCAATATCACTTTGCAAAAAATGCCATGACCAAGTGGGATTCATGCTAGAAATGCAAGCCAGAATGTAAAATATCTCCACTGCTATTCAACATTATGCTGAAGGTGTTTTCTAAACAAGGAAATAAAATAAACCAATTAGAGGCATAGGGACTAGAAACAAATTAATTCCTATTATTTTTCAGATGATATCTGGAAAGCTTTAAAGAATTAATGTTCAAATTAATTCACAAAATAATATAATTCAGTAAAATTAGCAATAAAAGTAGCATATGTAAGTCCTTAATATAACCCTAAAATAAAAAATTATAGAGTTATTTAGCATGAAGTCCATGTACAATTACACCAAAGAAGATGACATACTACTTAAGAATAAACATAGTAAGAACTGTGCAAACTCTATATAATTTTTAAAAACCTTTAAAATCTCCTGAAAGAAATAAAAGTAGTAGGAACAAAAGGAAAATCATCTTTGAATAGGATGGCTCAAAAATGTAAAGAGGTAAATTCTAAGTGGGTGAATTTATAAAAGTAATGTTATCAAAATTTTTGAAAATTACAAATTGTCTTATGCAGTAGTTGACATGGAAGTTCATGTGGAATAACCAGCAGGCAAGAATAGCCAGAAAAACCCTTAGTAGGGTCAAGCCCTTTCAGATTTTAAACACATTATTAAGCATCTATAATGAAAATAATATGTTACAGGTGCATGAGAAGACAAAAAGACTAGAGGAATATAAGAGAACATCTAGAAACAGGTAGAGGTACAGAAGGAAGTTTAGTATACAATTAAGGTGGTATCTCAATTATTATTATTTCAATCCATTATTGCCCATCTCAAACCACTGGGCAATAATGGATTTTTTAAAGAAGGGTCTCACTCTGTTGCCCAGGCTGGAGTGCAGTGGCTCGATCATGGCTCACTGCAGCCTTGGTCTCCAGGCTCAAGCAATCCTCCTGACTCAGCCTCCAGAGTATCTGGGACTATAGGCATGCACTACCACGCCTGGCTACTTTATCATGTTTATTTTTAATTTAGAGACAGGGTCTCAATATGTTTCTTAGATGGGTCTTGAACTCCTGAGCTCAAGCCATTCCGCTGCCTCAGCCTCCTAAGTAGCTGGGACTACAGGTGCGCACCCCAGTGTCTGAAATAATGGATTTTTAAGTAAATGTTGGTGGGACCACCTGGAAAATGATATATTTAGATCCACAGTTTATTTATACACAGGAATAAACTCCACATGAATCATGTATCTAAACATACATGCACATACACATGCTTAGGGGTATGCACAATAACATACATACAGCCATGTAAGTACTAGAAGAAAAGTGAATTAATTCTTCTATAATCTCAGTGTGGAGAAAGGTTTCTAAGTACCACTCAAAATCCAAATGCAATCAAATATACAAAATTTGAATATATAATTTTTTAAAAAATTTGCTGGGCAAACAGTGCAATTAAAAAGTCATGAGAAATATAGAGATGTACCATATAAGAATATTTCAGTCAATGACAGACCACATATTTGACAGTGGTCCCATGAGATTATAATACCGTATATGTAGCCTACCTTACCTAGGTTTGGATACGTTTAGGTGCACAAATATCACATGTAACATGTGTTACAGTTGCCTAGAGTATTCAGTGCAGTCGCAGGTTGCACAGGAGTGTAGCAGGCTACACTATACAGCCCAGGTATGCAGTTACCTGTGCCATCCGGGTTTGGGTACATGCACTCTAGGATGATTGTACAAGGGCCAAATCAGCCAAGGATGCATTTCTCAGGAAGTGTTCCCAGCACAGAATTGTATAAGTTGCCTCATAAAGGGGCTAACGTTAACACATTTTTTTAAAAAATTGAAAATGGAAGGAAAAAACATTAAAAACATTCATGAAGAAGAAGTCCAAGTAAACTGATTGTAAAATGAGCACAACAGGAAACACAGACACCATTCCTCCCCTATCATACTGGGGGGAAAAATTAAAAGTTTTGCCACACATGAACTTTGGAAGGCATTGTTATGCATTCTCAGATGGGCTGAAACTTCCTGAAGGAGGCTTGGATACACATGTGTATAAAGATATGTTCATGTATTTGTGTACATATTTATGAAAATAAAAATATACTTTTATTACCAGCAATCTCCCTTCTAAGACGACTGAGGTGATGAAGAGATCAGTCCAGGAAAAGCAATCAATGACTGAGTCACTCCAGGGAACATAATCAATAACCGAGTCTGTCCAGGGAAAATAGTTGATGATCTAGGGATTCCAGGGAAAAGACGTGATTACACAACAGTTCAGGGAAAAGAAGAGATGACCGAGTCACTCCAGGGAAAATACTGATGACAAAAAGAAGAGGAGATGACCTCAGCCCAGGGAACACAGCCTCTGACAAAGTCACAACAAGGGAAATAAATAGTTGATGAGGTGGCAGGGCATGATCTCTTCAGTTCATTTAAAAAAGACAGTTACCAAGCCACACCAGAAAAAATAGTGATCATAAGTCATTCCAGAGATTGGAAAATAGTGATCATGAGTCATTCCAGAGATTAGAGTCTATGACTGACTTAGTCCAGGGAAAGCATTGATGATAGGAAGTCATGGAGATGCCCTCAGTGTGGAAAATAGTGAATGACTGAGTTGTTCCAAGTAAAACAGGAAATGAGGGCAAATGACTGAGTCAATCCAGGGAAAAGAGTTGAATACCAGACAGTCCAGGGCACAAATCATTTCAGGGTAGAGTCAGTCCAGGGAAATGAGTTGAATACCAAGTTAATCCAGGGAAACAAGTTGAATATGGTGTCAATCCAGGGAAACCAGCTGAGTACCAAGTCATTCCAGGGAAACCAGTTGAGTACCGAGTCGAATCAGGGAAATGAGTTGGGTACCAAATCATTCCAGGGAAATGAGTTGAGTACCCAGTCAAACTAGGAAAAAGAGTTAATGACTGAATTAATCCAGGGGAAATCAGTTGAGTACCAAGTCAGTCCAGGGAACACAGTCAATGACCGAGTAAATCCGGGGAAAAGAGTTGATGACCAATCAGTCCAGGGAAAGCAGTTGAGTACCAAATCATTCCAGGGACAACAGTCGATGACAGAGTCAGTCCAGGCAAAAGAATCGATGACCAAATCAATTCAGGGAAAATAATTGACCACCAAGTCACTCCAGGGGACACAGTTGATGGTGAACTGAGTCAATCTAGAGAAAAAATTGATGATGAAATGACAGGGAGATATCCAGGAGAAACAGTGAATGACTGTGTCACTCTAAGGAAAACAGTTGTTAAGAGGATGACAGGAAGTGATTGCCTCAGACCTGGGAAGACAGCCGACACTTGAGTCACTCCAAGGATAACAGTCAATCACTGAGTCAGTGGAGGGAACAGAGCCCAGGACAGAGTTGGTCCAGCAGAAACAATTGATGACCAATGACTGGGTATTCCCCTCATTCCAGGGAAAGCAGTCAATGACTGAGTGGCTCCAAAGGAAACAGCTACATGATGGCAGACAGTGATGGTCTCACTCCAGGGGACACAGTTTCTGATAGAGATACATAAATATTAAGCATGCATTTAATAAAGAGACAAAAGCACACCATGTAAACCAAACTCCTACCAAAGTAGAGAGCACAGGCTTCACCAGAGAGTTTCCTGTGTCAGTTTTCAGTAACATCCACAACTGCCCCAGCAAGCACTATGCTGACCTGATATTTTTCCAACAGGTATTGTTTTGCCTGTTCTAGACACTCATAAAGATGGAATCCTATAGTGGATGGTCATTGGTCAAGCCTTTATTCATTCAGCATATTTTTAATAAAATAATCCATATCCTATGTATCAACAGTTTGTGTCCCTTCATTGCCAAGTGTATTAAAATAGCAAAGTTTGTTTTCCCTTTCTCCTGTTCATAGATACCTGGGCCAGTTCCATTTTTAAACCTATTATAAATAAAGCTACTTTTAATTTTCTTGTACTAGTCTTTTTGGACATAAGATTTCATTTATCTTGGGTAAATAGGAGTGGAATGGCTAGGTCTTGGGTCATATCTAGAAGTTTGTGTAATTTCCAGCAGTTTTCCCAAGTCATTGTACCATTCTACACTCACTAAATGTATATAAAAGTTCCTTTTGCATGTGGGCACGGTGGCTCACTCCTGTAATCCCAGGACTTTGGGAGGCTGAGGCAGGCAGATCACCTGAGGTCAGGAGTTTGAGACTAGCCTGGCCAACATGGTGAAACCCCCAACTCTGCTAAAGAAAAGTACCAAAAAAAACTCCTTTTGCTTCATGTCATCGTGAACATTGACATTGTCAGTCTTTTCAATTTTAATGTTGGGATGTTGGGTGTCTAGTGGAATCTTGGTGCATATACCTGATGACCAAGGAAGCTGAGTTATTTTCCATGTGCATATTGGCCATTTATTTATGTTTTTATGAGAGTTGTTTAATTTTTTTGCCTTTTTAATGCAATAATTTGTCTTTTCATTACTGAGCTGTAAAACTTGCTCATAGATCATAGTTCTCAGTCTTTTATCCACAATTTATTTGGTGAGTATTTTCTCTGTCTTTGTCTTGAAGCTGTTGATGACTCCTGTGTATTATGAGATCTCTGCACTCTGGCTGGTGTGAACAAAAACTGTTTTCATTCCGGTGGGAATTCAGGGACTCATTCAGTGGACTTACTTCTGTTGGTTCTCTACAATATTGTAGAGATCTGAACAGAGAGGGTGGCTAGAGACTGCTCTGTAGATCCCAGGGGCTATTTCTTTGTAGTTATCCTTCCCCTCCACCACTGTGCCTTGCAAATCTCAGCAACCTCAGCCTCCTAACAGTTTTAACTTGGGTCTCTGTGTCATCAGTTCAGCAAAATCACCAGCTATTTAGCTTTCTCCTCCTTGCGTTGAAGCGTAGAAAGTACCCTAGGCAATAAGCCGGGGCCATGTGAGTGCTGACCTTTGGTGTTCTTCATCTCAAAGATCACCGTCATGTTTCCTCTTGTCCATAGTCTGAAAACCATAGTTTCATATATTTCCAGCTAATTGTTTACAGTGTTATAGCAATTCCCTTAGCTGTTAATCTTTCTTGAGGAGAAGTAGAGTGTTCCTAATTCCTTCATTATGTTTCTCTTTCTGTTGCAAATGTGGATCAAAAGTGCTAAAATTTACTATGTATAAATCAATTCTACAATTATAATATTCTTCTAGAATTGAATTCTTCATCTTAAACTTCTACTCTTCTCCTTTACTCAATATATACATCTATATAACTGGTGACGCTTCAATTTTCTTCCATCTCAACACAGAGCTCAAGTCATGGCCCAACCCTTTGTGGATACTCAGTGAATATTGCTGAACTACTGAGAGCCGTTAACTTAAGGCCATCAATTTACCTGTCAGCAATCCAGTTTTATTTTTCCTTTTAATTTCTTTTTCTTTTACTCATGTTCCCTTCTCCTGCCAGCAAATCTATTATCTCTGCATTTTATGTAGGTATTCAAACACTTTTCTTCATTATGTAAAGTTGCAAATTGTGTTTCCTGCTGCTTTTTTTTTCTTTGCACTGACTATAAATCCTTTTATTAGCATCTATCCCCCATGACTTTTACATTTTGTACTATTTCGTGCGACAGGCACAAATCACATGGCCTAGACCTTTTCAGAGAGTAAGAAAAATTAAATATTCTTTATACTGTGTTTTTTGTGCATCAACTGACATTAAAGTGTTGTCTCTCCTTTTTATCCTTAAATGTATATGTAAGTAATTACATGTGAATAACTTGCATTTATAACTTCTCAAAATATAATTTACAGCTTCTTGACTACAAAATTGAGGCCTTGAAATTCTGTGGTGTTGGAGGCTTAGTAGACATCTTTTCTTGTCCAATGTAACAATAAAAATGCCTTCCACTAACAACAAAAGGCCCGAAATAAAATGACTAGAAATATAAGAAAAATGACTGAAAATTAGTTTACACAACAAAAGGGAAGATAAAAAGGTGACTCCAGGATCAACAATTTCATGTGTTCAATTTTCTTCTAATAGTATATATATTTTCATTAATCATCAAACCCATGTGTAATTTGCTTGTAAATGTTATTGCCTGTAACAATGCAGGTATAAAGAATTTTTTCCGTGATAGAGCTACTTATCAATGAAATCAATCATATCAGTTTGTTTCCACTGAATTATACTGTTACCTTGATTACATATGTATTTAATATATATGTTATTTATTTAATAAGTATATATATGTATGTATAAGCACATACATATATCAGTAATCTCTTCAGGTTAATTAATATATTTATCCATTTCTTCACCAATATTATCTGCTTTAAATAGCAGGGACTTCATGGTAAGTGTTCATTTCTGCTGAATTATGCACATGCACACATGCACAGAGGCACACACTCGTAGACATCATGGTACAAACACCATTATTTTTCACAAGACCTTTCGCTCTTAAGGTAAGCTAACTAAGATTCTTATTGGAACGTTAAGAATATGTAATCAATTTCCTCTCCTTCTCCTCACTCACTGGGATTTTTATTGGAATGCATCTAGTTTACATATTTATGTATTTATAAAATTAAATATTCAGATCCAGGACAATGAACTATCTCTACATATGTTCAGGTTTTGTATTTTGTACTTAATAAGATTGTCCAGATTTCTGCATATAAATTCTAAATCTTTTTTATTAGAATACTCTCCATGAATTAATTATTTTCAACATTATTATGAGTTTTTTTTTAATTCCTTAAAGAGATGATTATCACCATGGGGTAAAAACTATTGACTTGTGTGTTTAACTTGTGTTGATGTTTCTAATTCAACCTGACAAGGTTTACTTAATTCTAGTTAGTTTTTATCAGTTTCCAAAAATACTCTGCAAATATAAATAATTTTGCCTCACATTCTAATCTTGCCATAAATTTTATCTCCTTCTTTTGTGTTTTATCATCTAAAGTAAACCAAAAAATTGATAATAGTGATGACAACTAATATCTCATTTCTGTACTTAACTGTAAAACAAATTTTCCAGAATGTTGCCGTTAGACTGATGATTATTATCGGTAAATAATATTTATCATATTTAAGCAGCTTCTTTCTATATCTATTTCACTTAGATTTTTTATTTGTAAGGGCTGTTTTATCTACCAAACACCTTTCTGGCACCCATTGGTAGTTATGTGTTTTTTCTCTTTCAATTTTTGTTATCAATTATGCTGATGTAATTGCTGATGTTGAGCCCTTTATCATTTATGGAATAAATTTTACTTGATTATAATATATTATTCTTTGGAGCTAGACTTGCGTAATGTCTGCCAACATTTTATTCAGAATTTTTCATTTGTGTTCATAATAAAAAATAATTTATTTATTTTCTTTTAATCTTACCATCTGATTTTTCATCAATGTTATACTCATGTATAAAATGAATTTGGATAGTTTACGTATTTTCTATTGTCTAGAATATTTTAAACCAGTGCTTCTCAAACTTAAGCATGCACAAGGCACCTAGAAAGCTTTTTAAATTACAGATTTCTGCTCCCATCCCCAGTGCTGTGTTTCAACTCAGTTATCTCCATGCGGGTCCTGAGGCTATGATTTCTAACTAGCTCCCAGTTGAGGCTGATACTTTTGGTTGACCAGCACTCTGTAGCACATTTAGAAATACTGGTACACCCATTTTGTAGGTTGCCTGTTCGCTCTGATGGTAGTTTCTTTTGCTGTGCAGAAGCTCTTTAGTTTAATTAGATCCCATTTGTCAATTTTGGCTTTTGTTGCCATTGCTTTTGGTGTTTTAGACATGAAGTCCTTGCCCATGCCTATGTCCTGAATGGTAATGCCTAGGTTTTCTTCTAGGGTTTTTATGGTTTTAGGTCTAACATTTAAGTCTTTAATCCATCTTGAATTAATTTTTGTATAAGGTGTAAGGAAAGGATCCAGTTTCAGCTTTCTACATATGGCTAGCCAGCTTTCCCAGCACCATTTACTAAATAGGGAATCCTTTCCCCATTGCTTGTTATTCTCAGGTTTGTCAAAGATCAGATAGTTGTAGATATACAGCGTTATTTCTGAGGGCTCTGTTCTGTTCCATTGATCTATATCTCTGTTTTGGTACCAGTACCATGCTGTTTTGGTTACTGTAGCCTTGTAGTATAGTTTGAAGTCAGGTAGCGTGATGCCTCCAGCTTTGTTCTTTTGGCTTAGGATTGACTTGGCGATGTGGGCTCTTTTTTGGTTCCATATGAACTTTAAAGTAGATTTTTCCAATTCTGTGAAGAAAGTCATTGGTAGCTTGATGGGGATGGCATTGAATCTATCAATTACCTTGGGCAGTATGGCCATTTTCATGATATTGATTCTTCCTACCCATGAGCATGGAATGTTCTTCCATTTGTTTGTATCCTCTTTTATTTCATTGAGTAGTGGTTTGTAGTTCTCCACAAAATGGGAGAAAATTTTCGCAACCTACTCATCTGACAAAGGGCTAATATCCAGAATCTATAATGAACTCAAACAAATTTACAAGAAAAAAACAAACAACCCCATCAAAAAGTGGGTGAAGGATATGAACAGACACTTCTCAAAAGAAGACATTTATGCAGCCAAAAGACACGTGAAAAAAATGCTCATCATCAATGGCCATCAGAGAAATGCAAATCAAAACCACAATGAGATACCATCTCACATCAGTTAGAATGGCAATCATTAAAAAGTCAGGAAACAACAGGTGCTGGAGAGGATGTGGAGAAATAGGAACACTTTTACACTGTTGGTGGGACTGTAAACTAGTTCAACCATTGTGGAAGTCGGTGTGGCGATTCCTCAGGGATCTAGAACTAGAAATACTATTTGACCCAGCCATCCCATTACTGGGTATATACCCAAAGGATTATAAATCATGCTGCTATAAAGACACATGCACAAGTATGTTTATTGTGGCACTATTCACAATAGCAAAGACTTGGAACCAACCCAAATGTCCAACAGTGATAGACTGGATTAAGAAAATGTGGCACATATACACCATGGAATACTATGCAGCCATAAAAAATGATGAGTTCATGTCCTTTGTAGGGATATGGATGAAATTGGAAATCATCATTCTCAGTAAACTATCGCAAGGACAAAAAACCAAACACCGCATGTTCTCACTCATAGATGGGAATTGAACAATGACAACACATGGACACAGGAAGGGGAACATCGCACTCTGGGGACTGTTGTGGGGTGGGGGAAGTGGGGGAGGGATAGCATTAGGAGATATACCTAATGCTAAATGACGAGTTAATGGGTGCAGCACACCAGCATGGCACATGTATACATATGTAACTAACCTGTACATTGTGCACATGTACCCTAAAACTTAAAGTATAATTAAAAAAAAAAAGAAATACTGCTACACACTGCACTGAATTATTAATCAAAGGGATACATGTAAATCAGACATAAACCCATCCATAAACCCATCAACTGCCATTTTTAACGACAGATTTTTTAAACTTACTAAGATTTTCTATATTGTGTAGATTAATTTTGGAAGTTTACATGTTCCTAGGAAATCATTCATTTCCCCTGGATAATCAAATATGTTGCCACCCTGGGCACTTAACATTATTTTATAATCCTTGTCTTAAGTTTTTAAAAGAACCTTGAATTAAAGGAGTATCTGCATTAGCATGACTTTGTAAACATTTTGTGAAGTATATGATACTTCAGTTTGGAGTGTGTGTGTGTGTGTGTGTGTGTGTGTGTGTGTGTTTTATTTTGTATTGTTCTGCTTTTTCAATGATAAAGTTTTTATTTTCCAAACAATTATACCATTTGTTATTATAGAAGAATGTATACCAAACCCAAGAGTCAAGGAGATATTTCTTACAATCAATTAGAGAAAGGCCATCCATTATTTTCATAAAGTATGTTTTCTGTTCCAAGAATGACAACATAAATATAAATCGATGAGTATAGGTTGGTGCAAATGTAATTGCTTTTAATGACCATTGCTTTTAATGGCCAAAACTGCAATTACTTTTGCACCAACCCAATAAAATCCAGCACACCATAAACAAAAAGAATCCCATGTGTCTTTGCTGCAGAGCCTGGTCTGGAATCCCGCATCTAAATAAAATGGCAGGATCCTATAAAATCCTTGAGATTGTGAGCCATAAAAATCACCTTTGAGTCTTCTTCACTGGCAGAGCCTACCCACCAAAACGTGAAGCAAGTTTAGCTATAATAACCTTCTAGAATGACAGCACCAATAGAAACCCTGGCTCTGAATCTGAAGTTGACCAGTTCATCTGGCAAGGGTAGATGGTTTTTCTGGACTTGGTAGGCAACCTCATCATAACTAACCATATTCCATGAAGTTCCTCCAGGTCAAAACTGGATGCAAATTGTTTTCGTAAGTCTTGTCAACATTCCACACTCTGTGGGTGTTGAAAGAAATACTCTTCCACAATAAAATGCCACAAGTGACCATGGAAATGGCTTCCCAGGAAAGGTGACCCATCTTCTTTAGGAAGATTTCAGGGGTCTTTCACACCCACCAATAACTGTCAGGCCAAGAACATGCCACAGGAATTGCATTTCCTGTTAAGGAAAAGCAGGCTGACATAAAGTGCTCTGCAGGCTGGTAATTGGAGATTGGTCTAAATTGCATGAAATCTAAAAGTAGATTCAGGAGCCTCTGTGAATCCTGATATCAAAGCTTGCAATGTGGGATACCCTCAAAATCTACTCTAAGACTCAAGTATCTCTGCTTCTGTTTCCACCCCTACAGAGTCATCTCAAAGATGGCCAGTTGTTGTCTCTCCTGAAAATCGTAGAATAATTTTACGCACTTTCCCTCTTCCTTACAAACCTCGTGGTCCCCCGCAATCACTGCTAAGATGATGTAACTCCTTCTCTCATACATTTCCATTCGTATCAAGTTTACCCTATGGCATTTATTACCCTAAATCCTACCTCTTTTTTCATTTTTTGCTGCTGCTTAATCTTGTCTAACACCCTTTCTCATGATTTCCATAGTGCAATGCTTCCCTAGTCATGTTTTGGAAACACTTCTAGAATATTTCAAATTATGTGCAATGGTTTCCAACTTTCTAATCCTTGTTCTAGATTTGAAATTCTTGAAAAAAACCCCAACTATATTCTATGCATCTCTCAGTCATAGTCTTGTGGTAGAATACACTGCAGGTGTGCAAAGGTTTTTTCAATCAAATTGAATCTTGGTGAATTCTTTTCCAGAATTCATTTCTGTTTCTCCAAGGCATTTATGATAAATCCTTTCTTTTGTGAATTCAACCCAATCATTTTACCTCCTCTCCTTACCACTATTAATTATTCTTTAAGTCATTTTTCTAGATTATGAAACAAAATGTTCATCTTCATTCCTCAGTTTATTTAGTTTCACACAAGAAGATGAATAACATAAGAATTATAAAGAAATTATGTATTTTAAAATGTACTCTGTTTTCTTTAATTGGATAGACAGCACTTAACAAGCTGTTCTTGTTTAGTTATAACTAGTTTGGTAAACAACATTTGTGTTTTATGCCTGACCGAATAAACCAAGTACGGACAAAAAGAAAAAAAAAAGCATTTCATATTCTAAGCATTGGATATAAGTAAAATGACTCTAAGCCCACATGTGCCATTATACAAGAGACTGATCCACCCGCCTGTTAAAAACATAAAGTAGCAACGAAGTCCCATGAAAGAACAGCAACAAAAGATCATTTATAGTTTCCCGAACAATAGCCATGTCCACTTATATTAGGAAATCTAAAAACCAGTAGCGTAGAAAGCATAAATTAGCATATTCTTTAAGATTTTCAAAAAGCATGGTACAGTATGAAATTTCTATTTTATTTTCAAAGCTTATCCCACGAATCATGCCTCTAAATACCACAGTGAGTACATTCACCCTGGCAAGGTTAGTGACACTTGGCTTGAATCACACCCCAGAATTAGAATTTTCAAAAGCTGGAGCCAAAGATTACACACCTAGAAAACTGCTCCATTGATTTTAATGATGGACTCTGTTTCAGGATTATTATTTTAAAGCTTGAAAGTTTTAGTCTCAGAACGCCTTTATATCCCTAAAGATTGTCAAGGACCCCAAGGAGCTTTGAAGGATACCCAGAGCATATATTTATTGTTATTTACCACCTTGGAAATTGAAACTGAGACATTTCTGTAATATGGACTGAGTAATGCTATGTCATAACGTAAATAACACATTTGTAGTTTGCAAAGCAAAGTGAAAAAGTGAGAAGGGTGCTATTGGTTTACACTCTTGCAAATCTCTTAATAGAAATGGTGGGATTCTAATACCTGCTCCTGCAAGCAATCTTTTGTCATATGTTGTTTTGGTTGGAGTCTATGAACAAAATCCAGTCTTGTGCAGATATGTATTTGGAAAAGAGAAGAGGCTTTAAACAACCTTTCAGATGATTGTGGACATTCTTTGACTCTATACCCAAAATCTAGAAAGAGAAGATTTTTAAAGATTAGTTGAAATTTGGAATCTGTCTTCAGTGTTCATAATCACACTGTTGTATTAAAATCCATGGATATATGGATTTAAATGAGTACTTCAAATGGGTCTCTTGGCTTCACTTGACCAGCCTAAAAAAAAATACATATTTTAAAATGGGTCTTTTAGCCATGCATCATTTTGTATCACAATGCATTCTTCATTTAAAAAATATTGTTTCAGTAAGTTTATTTAGATCTTCCAAATACTCACACATTTTATTATGTAGTATTAAAAATATCTTGCTGGTCAATATCACCATTCATCTTCTCAGAAAAGTCTTTAAGTATTGGAAAGCTGTTGAACATTATCATTGACAATTACTGTCAGGAATTTATCGTTGGAATACATACTTGGAATATACTGAAAGAGACCAAAGTGACCTCACTTTGGTCACTTTCAAGAAAATATCAACCAAATCCTCAAGTCCAAAGGACAATAGTTTATCTGGAAGTCATTATTTCAAATGAAAATTGTGCATCCTCTAAAAAGTGGCAAATTTAGCACACACTTCCCACATCTGCACAAGTGCTTTCCTTCACACATACACGAAATGACACTTTGGTATCTGGAGAACTCACAGTTTTTATCTTGTCATACCAAATATTGAATCTATGTTTACCCTAGGATTAAGGTTGAAGACAGTTAAGATTATTTTGTGCTTCATCAGGGACATTCTTCAGTGATACTGGCTTTTTATAAACTACTAGTGCATAGCAGGGAACCATACTGTGACAACTAGCACAGTTTAGTATCCCTGAATTGATTTGTGCTAAGGTACCGGCAGCTTAACTCTGCACTGTTTGGCACTGTCAGTACAAAAGAAACCCAGTAGGAAAAAGAAAAATATTATCTCAGCATTATTATCAAAATAGTTTTGGCTTAACCCCTGAAAGTGTTCAGAGACTCCCCGGGGTCTGTGAACCACACTATAAAACCCCCAATTTAGTGTCAGAAGTGTTTGTTTCCCTTGAAGACTTTGGACTATATAAGGTGTGTTTTTGTTTTTGTTTTGTTTTTCCTGTTATTACCACATAATTGCTCTTGCATTTGACAAAGTTTTAAAGGTCCTTGTCTGATGTTTGGAAATTGATCTTGTTTTATGCCTGGTATCCTGCAATGCATGAAGCACCTGTATTTGCAAAATGCACTATGATAATTGCAATGCATAATCGCCTTCCAGTCTCCAAAATGAACAATGCTAAGCTCTTATGAATTATATGGTCATGATTTGTAACAGAATGATTGATATATAAAAGGTGTTAGGGAGTAAAAAACTGCTTGCCCAGTGAAATTGAATTAAATTAGGCACAGGAAAGAGCAGAATAAAGTCAGGCAGGGTTCCGTGTTCTTGCCAATCCATCACTGGATGTCTTCAGGGAGCCTCACAGTTCCAAGAGCAGCTTCTCTGTAGAATGGAGTTCTGAAGAGGAATTCGAAAGGAAAAGGGTATAGCCCAGGGAGAAGAAGTTCAGAAAAGAGAAAAAGCAAAGCTTTGACTAATACCTCCTATAATCACCCTTTTGTGAACTGACAGGTCAGCACAGCCAGTTGACAACTTGGATAATCCAGGGATTTTTGCTAGTGACAAAGAATGCTGAAAAGACCGTTTGCTACTTTCTCATGGAAGCAAGACTGGGTAGACAGCCTATGTAAAGACCCCAAGGAACCTTTCCAGTCTTGAGTGTTGCTATGTATATTAAACTTACTAGAACTATTGAATCGATAAGCTGGATTCTAAACACACTTTGGACATCAAAGCTGCTTGGGTGAGAATCTTAGTGTTCTGATCAAACTGTGTAGCGTTTTTTGTTTTTGGGTTTTATTTTTACTTCTGGAATCAGCCCAGAGAATAAACAGGTCTCTGGAAAAACAGTGCATCCTTTCCTCTGTATTGTCTCGAAACACCTCCCTTCAAGAATTTGATAACGTGTGTAACTCCTTTAAATACACAGATGCACATACATAATTTTATGTATGTATGTATGTGAAGCCTTGAGTTTCACATACCCGCTAAAAAGTTTATCCACAAGGAGCTTTTTTATCTAAGTTAAGAACCTCAGTATAATGGTATCAGACATGTTTAATCCAAAGCTGGATGTACCTAGAACGTTTTCCTAGCACTCTTTAATTGCATTTGCTGGGATGTTGCAGACTGGCTGGGGTGTGTTGGGATGTTATTGTAACCCCTTCCACAACAACACATATCACTTCTCTTCCAGAAATTTCCACTTGGAATATTTACATTTTGGAATATTTAAATTTTAACAATAAAATTTGTTAATGTGAACTATACTGGAGCAGCCAGAACAATTCCAAAGCAGTTCAGTACCTCATTTCCTCTGCCGTTCTTCAGCTTATAATTATGCAAATGAACCTTGCCTTTTGCTAGTACTCATAATTCACACTCTCAGGGCTGCCCGCCGACAACTGCTTATTGAAAAACTGCCATGTATCCAGGGCTCCGCCAGGCGCTCTCAATCCATGACACAGCCCACTATTGAAGAATGCATAATAGGAATGAAAAGTCAAGGCTTGCATTAGCAGGAACCAGTGGAAAGAAAAAAGGCTAGATGGAATCAAGGGTTGAGTATGAAATATCAATAAGAGGTGCTACAGAGATCAGGAAATGGCATGTCCAAGTAAGGCTCCATCCTCCCTTGCAGAAATTGGGTGTAGGCTTAATGGCTTGGGGCAAAGTGCAGATACTGGCTAATTTTTAGCTCTGACTTTCAGGGGAAGGTGTGTGCCATTCCATGAAGTCTATAAGGATACACTATCTGAGGTCCACAGGGTATTAGCTTGATGAATCAAAGATGTTTGGAATTTTTTTCTTAAAAACAAGAAGTATTCCCATGGGAGTGACAGGATATTTGAGATGAAAGATACAAAAAGATACATCCTATAAACACAATGGCAATGCATTCATCTTCCAGCTAAGGAATCCTCTTACAGATGGCTCTTTTTTCCTGACCTCTTTTCCATAGCCTCTCCAGACTAAGCAAGAGGTAAGTCATATTTACATACCTAATCAGACACATGATTGCCTACTTCTGTTATATCAGATCACAAACAGCTTGAGAAATGATGGGGTGCCATTATTTGAGTCATTTGACAAGTAGGGTCTTCTACTAGTCCAGAAATACAGTCAGTATGATGTATGGATCTGTATATGCAGATTTTGGGGAAGTTAGATGGGAAGACAAAGATACAAGAATAAATACCATAAGAGTTCACAGGCTAACAGACAGACAGCTGCAGAGATGAATAATCATAAAATAGTGTCATGCTACAATGGAGATACGCCTAAAATGCTGAAAGAGCCCTGACAAGCTATGTTGAAGTTGCTAACACCTTATTGACACTCTGTAAATTGGGAACTGAATGAAAAAAGGAGTGCAAATTAAAAGCCAAGATCCCTGCACTGCAGAAAATATGCCATCCAGTGGAAATCAATACAGAAGACAGTATTGACAGTTGGTGGTGATGTGACACTTAAGTGACCCTCAGACAAGTCCAGCTGCTAATTAATGTGTGGCATGTTCCCGAGAAACAGAAAGGTACACTTTCGTATTTAATGCTGTGTGTTACTTGGGGATAGGATATGTCAATAAATACTAACAACAAAATAAGCTAAGTATTGTATTTGCTAAGAAAACAAGTATAAAACGCGCAGAGCTGTAATCTGAGAGCCACAAAAATAGAATGTAGCAAATTTATGACATAGTAACACAGTAATTCCATGTAAAAGGCAGATTAAGCTATGGTTGAGTAAACTGACAAACAAATATATATATATTTATATGTATATGTGTATATAAATATGTACACAAATATATACATTAATCTTAATTAATCTTAATCTGCCTTTTACATGGAATTACTGTTACTATGTCATAAATATGTTACATTCTATTTTTGTGGCTCTCAGATTACAGCTCTTATATATATATATTATATATAAACATATATATTATATATATTTCCATAGGTTTTTGGGGAACAGATAGTAGTTGGTTACACGAATAAGTTCTTTGGTGTTGATTTGTGAGATTTTGGTTCACCCATCACCTGAGCAATATACACTGAATCCGATTTACAGTCTTTTATCCCTCACCCCCTTCCCACTTTTTCCTCCTGACTCCCCAAACAAATATTTTTAACCCACTACACTAACATGTAAAACACTAATATGGAATAAAAGGCATTTTATTCCATAGCAATGACCACTACCTCAACAGCTGGTTTTTCTTCAGGTCTGTTCCACTGATGTGGGTTTCATTGTATTGCATCTATTTCTATCTTTTTGGTGGAAATGCATTTAGTACTTTGGTGGAAATGCTTCAGAATTATATACAGTGGTCAGTATATAATTCCACTAGATAGACAATAACAAATGATTTTGTAACTCTGGTGTAAAGCTGCTTGTGTTTCTCTCTCGTGCCATACACTTGTTAATGGCAATTTTAATAGGATGGTCACTCAATAGAATATCAAGATGTTCACTGTACAGCAAGTATACTAGACAAATATACTGGCTAGTGCGTCTATATATTGTTATTCTGCGAATGACCAAAGGGCTGACTTAGTAGAAAATGCCTTTCATCAAGGAAGTCGGCAGGGTTCATGCATTTTTTATTAGTGAATAACTAAAATCCAGCACTTTTTTTCAAAGTCACTTATAAACTAATCTAACCCAGTCAAAATAAATTCACTTCACATTTGAGCTTTAAAACTTATTGATTTCAAGTTTCTCATTTAGGCCTCTTTTTTAACTCTTCATACTCTTTATAATCTGATTCCACCGAACTTCCACCAAACCAGGTTCTTTCTCCCTCTGACAAATGCCACAGCCTTGTTCCATCTTTGCCATCATTTCCTTTCATTCTCCTGCTTTGAATGTCAAATTTCACAGAGCACAAGAGTGTCATTGACAGAGCTAATTCTCATTTTGATGATGAGTATGATGCTTGTTCTTTATTTTAAGCTTCCTTTGACTACAAAGTCTGATCTTTATGACTTTGAAACCCAGGCTCATTCCAGATCACTATTCTAAACTTAGATTTTGATTTTTCCTTTCATTCATTCTAATTGTGGGAAAAAAACAGATAACTAACTTCTCTATGAATATATTTTACCTTATTACTCTTTCGTCTATGTTTCTCCAAGCCATAATATGTTTATCTCATAGAAGAGCATGAGACCTGTCTCACACAGGGACCCTCCTGGCACCCTCTGTTTGCCTCTGATTTCAGCACTGTTGAAGTGAACAGCTCCAGGAACACTACCTCTGCCCCGCCTTTGACAATCTCTGTCCTGTTCCATGGCTTCATTCCAATTCAGCTCATAGAAGTGCAGGCCAAGAATGCCAATATGCCATAGGTTTCATTGCTTTACATTATCTACAATAGCAAAGTCGTAGAATCAACCTAGGCACCCATCAATGGTGGATTGAATAAAGAAAATATGGTACATATACACCATGGAATACTACACAGCCATAAAAAAGAATGAGATCATGCCCTTTGCAGCAACATGCATAGTGCTGGAGGCTATTGTCCTAAGTGAATTAATGCAGAAACAGAAAGTCAAATACCACATGTTCTCACTTACAAGCATGAGCTAAACGAAGGGTACTCATGGACATAAATGATGGAAACAATAGATACTGAAGACTTTTATAAAGAGAGAGTGAGAGAGGAAAGGAGGTAAAAAGAAACTACATATTGGGTAGTATGATCACTATTTGGATGATGGGTTCAATAGAAGCCAGCATTAGGCAATATACCCATGTAACAAACCTCCAAACGTACCCCCTGAATCTTTAAAAAAAAAAAAAAAAAAGACTTTCATGTTAGGAAGTTAAAACCCTGAGAACCACCTTCAAACCAACAGGAGATGGGAATCAGTGGGTAAATATCCTAACTTCCTATCCTTGTTTACCAAATTTTTGTTTACTAAAAATATCTCAATGGACTTTTGTAAGAGCGGTTGAGCAATGCCCTTTCTTTCTGATCAACCTTAATGTCAAATGGTAGGATGGCTAGCCAGGTAGATACTGACCTAATGGCCTACTGGCATTTCTTTTTACAAAGAAACACAAGATACATGTTTTAGAGGTGCCTTTTCTGTAAGCGATATTTCAAAGGCTGTCAATACCTGAAGATTTCAGGTGACTTTGTATCCAGAGACTGGTTAAATAGAAAGGCAAGCTCCACTGTAATTTTATCTGAAGGAGCGGTTGAAACAGAAATGGAAATTACCATCAAACATAGAAGATTGCTTTCGTGCAATTTCTCTATTTTATGTTCAAAAGCTTATATTTTCAGAAACATTGTCTGTCTTTTCCTTTCCAAGGGATCAAATTCACAACTTGTTCTTGAGTCTCTTTTGCTTAAATTGCCTTAGCATTAAACTGTACAATTCCTGGCTTCTTCAAAGCACCCACGTCCTGTTTCAGTGAAATTCCTGGAGAGACCAAGGGTTGTCTCTTAGAACAGACAGCACCAAAGGGCCTTCATTAGTTTCTCACAGAAACCTGGATGGTGAGAGACATCACACATGTCTAACTAGAGTGCTTCATCTTGTATTCGTTTTCTTACAAATGCCCACAGGTAAGACAGCACATTATAAGGGAGAAGTCCTTCAGAGGTGGATGCCTGGGATCTCATGATGCAACAGCGTAAAAAACCCAGACAAAATAACCCCACACAAAGAACTCCTGAAGCTAAACACCTTCATCATCTGTGGGCAGCACTGAGATGTAGCAAATTGCACAAAGAAAAGCTCCTATTCAGCTGTATATACTTTCCCTGAATCTCATCTTTCCCCAAAACCATCTGATAAATTGCCTTCCAATTGCTAAAATTTCCTCTGGGGAGGTATTAGATACATACTCAGAGTTTGTTTCTATACAAAATCAACTCTTACAATGGCTGACTGTTCACTTCCTGAATGGTTGTTAAAATGACTGACTATTCACTTCCTACTTCTTCCTCAACTCCCTGAGTTCTACACCCGTGCTCACTGTTTGCCTTGCTGACTACAGTTTCTGCTACAACTCTTGAGGTATACCACAGAAAAACAACAACAACAAGGGACAAGACAGGGTTTTCTGGGAAAGTGGTGCTGAATTTTTAATTAAAAAAACAAACAGCAAACATTACTCTTTTATTCTTTGAGAAGTTAACCATGATTATTCCCTATTCCCCCCAAATAGAAAAAGCTATAGTGCAATATGAAAATTAGCCCGTGTCAATAATAATTATAGTGAGGCGTTCAGCCTGTACCTACTCTATCCATCTGTATCAAAAACCATCTTAAGTTTGTGGAACTAAATAAAGACTTCCCCCTTCTTTCCAAAATGAGAGCAGAGACTTTTTAGTCAGAGCTTGCTCTAGCAAGGGAGTCCGGCACTATCGCTTGCATTTGGCAGAGACTCAAAGGCCAGTGGGGAGTGAGAATACTTTAAAGTGTTACAGGTAGTCAGGCATGAGCTGACTCTCCCCGCCACCCCCACTGGAAATATCAGGTGATGGTTCAGCAATTATGGCATTGCCTCTCTAAAAGGGATAAATTGCCAGCACTAGGAAGAGGCTAGTTGCTGCTGGTCCACACCTCTTAACATTAAAGTGTTAACTAAAGGCAGGCCCCAGGATGAAGCAACTTCCTGGGCATGCGCATTAAGAGACAAAAATGGTGACGTATGACCTTCCAGGTATACTCCACTGGAAGAAGGAAGAAATCCTCAGATGGGCATGCATACAATTCCCTAAACACACTGCGCATGCTCATCTCCCAAGGGTAAGGAGGACACTGCAGGTGGAAGGCCCACCCTAAGGGGAGAATCATGGGAAAGAGAGTACCCTATAAAGTCCAGGTACAAGACTAAAGTTTCTCCTCTTTTCTCTTTGACCTACAGGCGGCCACTTGGGTCTCTTCCAAGGGTTCTTTCCTTTCTTGCCTGTTCTAAAGCCTTTTTAATAAACTTCCACTCCTGCTCTAGAACTTGGCTTGGTCTCTTTTTCTGCTTTATGCTCCTCAGTCAAACTCTTTCTTCTGAGGAGGCAAGGGCTGAAGTTGCTGCAGACACACACGGATTCGCCGCTGGCAACTCAAGGTAACTTGGATCTCTTCCACCGCTAACAAAAGGAGAAGGCTGTGGATGTGCCGCATTTGGAGTTTGCTGGCATGGGGGAACCTCAGGTGAGCTGTCCGAAAGTGGGGCATCTCACGTCATTGGTTTGGGGAGCATATTTCACTTTCCCTGGTTGGTTCTGAGTTGGAAGAGGGGAAAAATATAGGAAAGCTGGCAGAAATGGATGAAGTCTTGATTGCTGGGGATGACTGTTGCAGAGATTGTAGTTTGGATCCCAGAACTGGGTGCTGAATGGGTGGTAGGACAGAGTTCTGTTGTCATATATGGTCTTACCATTGTCTGTTGGTGTACTTGGCCTCTAAAGTCCATTTGCAAAGCTCCACTATTGAAAAATGATTACCTGTTAGGATTAGTAATGAAATATTTGTTTACAAGAACAAAATAGATTCTTAAGAAATTACAAACTGCCAATAATTTGTTAACCAAACCAATGGAATTTTAGAATGATTTTATACATACACACACACACACACACACATATATACATGTATACATATGGACATATAGAAAATACAAAATATAATATGCACATATATAATACAAAATATATATAATACACATATAAACAATACAAAATATATACAATTACCATGATTATTGCTGGCTATAGGCATTGGAAGAGATCTCAATGGTACTGGGATATTTGGGGGCCAACTCTTTAATTTTCTAAATAAGGAAACTAAGGAATAGACAAATGTATGATCTTGTGCAAGATCATACAACTAGAAAAAGAAAGTCTGAACCACATATTCAAATATTTTCACATGGGGTATCCTGTGCAAGGTTCCTATTCGATTATGCTTTACTCTAAATTTGAAATCCACATGTCAAGTTTAGTAAAACTAGAGTCTCAATCGTGCATAAAACATTTACTTGGTATTGCGTTCACTTAATGTAAACTATTTGACTCCTAGTTTAAAGTGGTAATGCCAGATTCTGCATAAATGTTAGAACAGGCCATTCAGCAAGTGGACAGGGAATACAAGACTTTTTGTATCAACAATAACAACACATCTTGACAGGCACATTGAATGTGTTTGCAAAGTTCCAAACTTCAATATGGATTGAAGATGCCAAAAAACAATTATTAATTAGTTATATTAAATAATATTATAAAAACAGAAGATGAGCCTGATCTTAAAATTAAGAGAGTCTTTAGATAATTGTCTATGGGGTTGGGGGAAATTTAAGCATTATTGATGTACAGCAGTTACTCCTACCCTCTACTTTGATTTAGCCTGTATCTTCAAAGAAGCCAAGACTATTTTTGGAGAGAGAATCTTGCAAACAATGATCAAAGTGTAAATGTATGCAAATACAGTGCTTCACCTTAATTACCTAGCTAGCACTTGTCAGCAGTCTCTTCCTTGGTTTCGCTGATTAGCAAGCAATCACAAATAATTATTGTTTCATCTACAATTACAATGATTCTGAGTTCTGGCTTCCAGCCCAGCAACTGCACTGCCTTTTACCCAAGTTCACTCTTCATACATTCTGAATTAGCAGCGACCCCACCTCATTTTTAAATAAATCTCCATAAAGTCCATAAATTCCTTTATGATTTTGCAAGCCAGGATCTCTCCACCGCTACAGGTAAAGAAGGTGTGTAAAACTGACAAATAGGGTCTGTAATGTGGCCAGGAAAACCTTTGTGCTTACGTGATTCCAACCGCTCACCAAATCCACCCTTTTCGGTTTGCTGTAGCATGCTTTGACTTTCAAAGTTCACCTTTGCTGACTGAACTCAGAATCCTCAAAACTCTCAAAACAATGTTCCAAGAAAACAATTTCAAAATAACTACAAGATGAGATGGAAGTGTCGGGGCACATGAAATCAGCACGTTATTTCGTTCCATATAGAAATGACCAAAAGTTATATTTCACACTCAAGAGGAGCCAATTGACCTAATAGCCTGAACCAAGCCTTGTGTGTTTTAAGAACCCAGGCACTAGTATTAACTAAAGTTGGTGAGAAACCACCACAGTAGCTGGGAATGGGTTGTTAGCCTTTAAAGAAAAATCTCCCTTTTTGAAAGCTCATCCTTGTTTTAGCTCAATGAAGAAAGAGGAAAGATAAGACTTAGCTCCTGCTGAGTATTTAATATATATGTGTGTGTTGATCAGATGAAGAACAAATGAATAGCCACAAAGAGAACAGAAAAAGGGATGAATAAATGCCAGTTGAATTACTATGTTTCCAGAATCCTTTGGGGGTGATAATGAAGGGATATTAATTATATTCGTGCATTGGTTACATTGATTGGCAAAGTTTATCAAAATTTGAAAGTCCTTACATAGCCTTTCAAGGATCTTTGTGGTGCATATTCACAACCTCCCGTCCCAACATCATATTCTCCCGCTATGGGGCATTGGTTAATGTGGCCACAGGTGACACCCACTCGTGATGTGGTCAGGGTCCTGAGGGGGAGGTAGCTGCTTTCTGGACCTCCTGCAAATGCCTTTTGCCTATGAGCTTCCATTTTCTCATCTGTATCATGTGCGCTGCACAATTCACTTTGCAGGGTGGCGGTAAGGCTTAGCAACAGTTTAGGCAACATTCCTCAAACACACCAGGTTGTCAACAAAAATAGCTACTTCCATTGAACCTACCTGAATAAAATTTATTTTTATTGAGACAAGTGACTTTAAGAATTTTGACATAGAGTCTAAGAATATGTGATTATCTTCTCTACCTGAATAAGTAAATGGTTGATTTAGGGTACACTTTTCTTTGAAGTCTCTGTTTTTCTTTTTTCCTTTAAGTAAAAAGCTTAAATGTTTTGAATTTTTCTTGAGAATGCATGTGAACCACCTTGTGAAATATATATTTTCCTCATTTAATATATTCTATTTGTTATATTACTATATTAATGTCACGTATTTATTAACAGAAAAATATGGGGGCTGTGTTTTATTTTTTCCATGCAACAGTTTCTGAAAGGTTTAATGCTCTTTTGTATTCTTATATTTGTTTCCATAGAAGGATTTATTAAGACACAAAATGTCATTTGAACACTGAGTGAAATATTCCAGGTTACCAACCAACTTTATTTGTAACAGTATATTTTCCAAAACCTCCTTTAAACATTAAGGCTTAAAAAGATTGTTGGATGTGAAATATCAAAGGTTAAA
Organism: Homo sapiens; assembly: GCF_000001405.40. Lineage (NCBI taxonomy): Eukaryota > Metazoa > Chordata > Mammalia > Primates > Hominidae > Homo > Homo sapiens. The sequence goes on along the minus strand of NC_000023.11, from coordinate 7,494,583 downwards.
TAATATCACTGATTAAGAAGTGATCTGTCTATTGGCACAGCATGAAATTATAGATTTCAAAAATTATAAAACTAGATTTTTGAATATACATGGGACCCCTTAAAACATTTAAATCAATTCCATCCACCTACCATCAGATTCACTCTCAAAAAGGTCCTAAAATGTAACAAATGAGTCTATTGGTGCTAGCACCTAACTATAGAAAAGTGTTTATTTTGTTATTTTTTCCTCAATTCAGAGTTGAAGGTGGAAATAAACACTTGGAGTTTGACATGGAGTTTTAAATCCATAGGGTGTGCAGGTATACCTGTGTCTCCTTTTGCTTGTGTGTGTGTGGTTTTTTGTTTGTTTGTTTTTGAGACAGGGTCTCACTTTGTCACCCAGGCTGGAGTGCAGTGGTGTGATCTTGGCTTACTGCAATCTCTGCCTCCCAGGTTCAAGCAATTTTCCTGCCTCTGCCTTCCGAGAAGCTGAGATTACAGGCACGCGCCACCGTGCCCAGCGACCTTCTGTATTTTTAGTATAGATGTGGTTTCACCATGTTGGTCAGGCTGGACTTGAATTCCTGACTCCAAGTGATCTGCCCTCCTCGGCCTCCCAAAGTGCTGGGATTACAGTTGTGTGCCACCGTGCTTAACCCTTTTGCTTGTGTTTTGTTCTGCTTTGCTTTCTATGGAGGTGGCCTTTGCTATGACTTTCTGCATCTGCTCTTCATGCCTGTCATCGGGATGATGACAATATTTGAGATATCCACTACAGGGTTCTCAGCCTAAGGTGGGGGGGCATCACAGATCCAGGCCACACAGGTCCTTTTACATCAACAAAGGTCTAGGTCTAAAGCCTCACCTCCTCCTGTACCTTCCACCACTATGCTAACCATGTCTCTAATTCTATACCCTAAGTATACAGATGAGGAAATAGGTTCAGGAAATCACATGGAACCAGCAATCCCATTACTGGGTATATACCCAGAGTAATGTAACTCATTCTACCATAAAAATACATATATATGTGCATTCATTGCAGCACTATTCACAATAGCAAAGACACGGAATCAACCTAAATGCCCATCAGTGATAGACTGGATAAAGAAAATGTGGTACATATACACCATGTAGCCTTGAAAAAAGAACGAGATCTTGCCTTTTTGCGGGCACATGGATGGAGCTGGAGGCTATTATCCTTAGCAAACTAACACAGGAACTGAAAACCAAATACCACATGTTTCACTTATAAGTGGGAGCTAAATGATGAGAACTCATGAACTCAAAAGGAAACAGTACACTGGGGTCTACTGGAGGTTGGAGGGTGGGAGGAGGGAAAGGAGCAGAAAAAATAACCATTGGGTACTGGGCTTAATACCTGAGTGATGAAATAATCTGTACAGCAAACCCCCATGACTTGAGTTCACGTATAACAAACCTTCCTATGTACTCCTGGGCTTAAAATGAAAGTTAAAAATTAAACAAAAGAAAGCTTGGTGCCCGAGGTTCTAATGAAGAATGGAAGAATTCAGGTTGTACACATTTGCAATTCTATGATGACTTGTATGTCTTTTAGTGAGCAATTAGAAGGTATGAGAGGCACAGTAATTAATATCACTAGACATGATAATAGGGTTGGAATCTTCTTCCACCATGAGCTTTGGTGTGTACCTTAGCGTAAAACATTTTATAGCATACAACATGTTATTACTGTTCAGTGGGCTTTGAGCACCAACTTAGCTGTTGCTCAGAGCTGAATTTAGAATCAGGCAAGCTCCTGAACCGTTACTTGTTGATGCAAATAATGCTCTAATTTTGGTTCAAAGTAGATTAGTTCTATTCTTTGCTAGATGAGGTTTATTGCCTTTTCTGCTAACACTATAAATTGAGAAAAGCCAATTTTGACTGTTGAAAAATCACTGGTGAGTAAATTTTCAAGTGTTGATAGCCTAGGTGAAATTACTTTAGAATCTTTACCTGTGAAGGAACAGTTAACAGAGTGTTTCTCTTATTGAAATAGTCCCACTTCTAAGAAACTACTATAATTTCAGTTTATCCTGTATTTTGCTATTTTTTGGTGAGGTGTTCTTACTAAGTAGCCATATTATGTAAAATTAGATGTAGTTTTAAAGCACCTTTATAAAGATTAATTTCCTTCAGTCATTATAGTTCCTCTTAAATGTAACAGGAAATTCCCCTTATATTGTAAATTTGTGCCTTTTTATCTATTTCAAAGTTTCCTGACAAAACTAAGAACTCTAACTGTGAGAAAAAGCTCAATATGACAAATCATGTTATTCCTTACGTGTGAAGGACGGTATGAACTTGCAAATGAAGTGATGTTTACTGTATCCCCATTAGTGGAAACAGAATCTGCCTAAACATAACACTCTGGCTTCCTGATAAAGACACGGTCAATCTTCTGCAGCTAAATAATAATTACTCATATTTTGTGCACAGTTGGTCTGGTAAAATAGAAAATCCAAGAAAAAATGAGGTAGAGAAAGAGAGAAAAGGAACAAGTGAGAGAATGATGAAAAAAAAATTGGAAGTCCAATCCCAAGGTCAGTAGGTCAAAGAATTAATTGTAAAATATGAGTCAAAATGAAATAGGAAGATCAAACATCCAAAGATCTAATCAGCCTTGAGAAAACAGGTCATTATCCCGTGGGGTCAAATGTGTTTTGGGATCAGTACATACACATATTTTTGTTTAAAGAGAAGATGCAGAAATCTCAAAATCTCCATAAATCCATGATATAAAATAGGCTCTGATCATCTAGTTAATAATCATTTGTAAGGAAATTTTTAAGTGATAAGAGTGTCAACTGAGTCAGTTGCAGCCACATTTACCTCCTTCCCTCCTGGAAGTTATAAAAATAATTATCAATTCTGCAGTAGGGTGAAAAAGAAAAAAAGAGTCCACCGGTCTCCCAGGACATTTGAAACAACCAGAACTCACCCATCATGACAGATATCAGAAGAATGTTACCATTTTGGGATCTGTAGTGGTTCGGAGTGGGCAAGAATGGGTCTTCCAGAAGAGTCATGTTCCACTCCCTTTTTTTTTTTTTTTTTTTTTGAGACGGAGTCTCGCTCTGTCGCCCAGGCTGGAGTGCAGTGGCGGGATCTCGGCTCACTGCAAGCTCCGCCTCCCGGGTTCACGCCATTCTCCTGCCTCAGCCTCCCAAGTAGCTGGGACTACAGGCGCCCGCCACTACACCCGGCTAATTTTTTGTATTTTTAGTAGAGACGGGGTTTCACCGTTTTAGCCGGGATGGTCTCGATCTCCTGACCTCGTGATCCGCCCGCCTCGGCCTCCCAAAGTGCTGGGATTACAGGCGTGAGCCACCGCGCCCGGCCTCCACTCCCTTTTTTATCTTGTTACTGGTGACATACATCTGTCAGTTTGCAAAACAGAATAAGATGCTAAGTGTTGTGGACACCGATTTGGTCTGTGAGGGCCATAGAAAATTACCTTGAAATCTAAAGTAAGCATATTTCAGACAAACAAAGAAATGAGCTTTTGTGATTGAAGGTACTAAATAATGTTTTTTTTTTTTAGAGAAAAAGTCCACTGACCAGCATGGGAGGAGACATTTAACCAAGATCACACATAACATGAGAGGCGGATTTGGGGGCTAGTAAGTAGGGTCGTGCCATGGGAAGCAGAAAGCCCACATTCTTCCTCTGTCTTCATCTTTGCCAGGACAAGTAACCTCTGGCTCCATTTTCTCATGAGTAATTATAAACAATTCAGAACTTGGAGTGAGTATCTGAAAGAATGTATACCTCATAAGAGTGATCCTAATAGCTAGTCTATGTCTCAAGGATGTCATATCATCAATGATGCATTGATTAATAAGAGTTAACATTAACTGAACAGGCACTCCATTTTAGAGCCTGTGCTACTCAGTTTCTATCTATTGTGTCTTTCTCTAAAAAAAATTATTTTTTAAATTGACAAATAAAAATTGTATGCATTTATGATGTACAACATGTTTTGAAACAGCTACACATTGTGGAAAGGCTAGATTAACCTAATTGACATATGCATTACTTCACATACTTATTTTTTGCAGGTAAGAACATTTAAAATCTACTCTCTTAGCAATTTTCAAGTATACAATATCATTACTAACAGTAGTTACCATGTTCCTTAATATTCCTCCTGTCTAATTGACATTTTGTATCATTTGATCAACAGCTATTGTCGCTTTTAATCCTCATGGTATCAGAATGCCATAGAGTCTATTGGGTGTAGATCTTACACGTGGACAAAAAGTAGCTTATGAAGGTGGAGTTATTATACTTGGAACAGGTATGTGATGTTGGCATTCTGACTCCAGAGCTTACTGCTATGAACTCTGCCTATGCACTAACTTGGGATGAGAGGAAAAGGAGGGCCATGTGGTGTTTAGGTCCCCATCCTCTTCCCACTAAGAAAAGGCCTTCCCTCTAATCTACATGGCTCTGGTGGAGCCATCAGGCACATGTATGTATAAGATGACACATGTTTTTTATTGATTAAGCTGGCCCGTGAAGGTATCTGTGCCTTGCATACCCCCGTCCCCAGCCTGACTAATAAATCATAATGTGATAGACCTTGATGGACATTTGAGGTATTTCTGGAGCTGACAATTCCCATTTTGAAACAATGAAACCGTGCTTCTTTTTTACACAAAATTTATTTTAAGATAATTACTAATCCTAGGAGATATGGAAATGTGAGGCTAAGAAAACGGCAGATGAAAAAGAAAGCGGAAGAAGTCACAGGTTCTGAATCACAAGCAAATTCCCAAGGGCAGAAGTAAAACATGAAAGCCAAGTGTGGTAGAATAATGCTTACACACTTTGGGAGGTCGAGGCAGGCGGATCACGAGGTCAGGAGATCGAGACCACCCTAGCTAATACAGTGAAACCCTGTCTCTACTAAAAATACAAAATATTAGCTGGGCGTGGTGGCTGGCGCCTGTAATCCCAGCTACTTGGGAGGCTGAGGCAGGAGAATGGCGTGAACCCGGGAGGTGGAGCTTGCAGTGAGTCAAGATTGCGCCACTGCACTCCAGCCTGGGCGACAGAGCAAGACTCTGTCTCAAAAAAAAAAAAAAAAAAAAAAAAAAAAAAGAAGAATGCTTACAAACCTCACGTCACAGCAAAAATTCGAGTATTCAACAAAAAAATAGTAGTTTGTAATTAAGATCTACATTATCTATAACTCTGTGAGTAAAGTCATCCTCAGATTCAAACGCATCAGTATTAGCTCTGGGAGGACAGGAGTTTTTGTTTCTTTATACGTTGCTGTATAATACCTTGCACGTAGAAAGATGTTGTCACATAGTAGGCATTCAATAAATACATGTTGAATGAATGAATCATCCCACATTTCCCATCAAGTAATTCATAAGTTCCCTATGGTTTGAGTGTTCTGTGACAGGAATTATGGGACTTAAGTTTATCTTACAGCTGGAGGTTAAAGGGTACACATACGACAGCAGGTGGTTATGAATGCATGAGGTTACCTTGATAAAGTCCAGTGAGGCTAGAAACACAAAGCGGGTGAGGATATAGTCACTGTACTAAAAAGATCATACTTCACATGTGTTTCCAGAGAGAATGGATTTAGACTGGGGAACAAAAGACTGAAAAGTAAATCCTAGGAGGAAAATAATTAGGAGAAGGAGGAGGAGGAAACCACACTTCAGGGGTAGAATGTTTTGACTTCCTTGGCTCAAAAAAGGACATAAGAGATGATAGAGTTTTCACATCAGCTCAGAACGATATAAAAAAGGAAAAATAATACTATTGCACATTATGGGAAAACAGCGCATAATATCAAATTAAGTCTGAAGAGGAAAATAATTATATGAAAGAGAGTATCACTGTTCATCTTTTCCTCTCACTTTAATTCTCTCCCCCGCTGGCCCACATTAAATGTCTCCATTATAAGGTGATTTTAATATTTATAGCCGGATGCATGAAGGTTTATACTTCTTGGATTGAGATTACACTCATCTCTTTAGGATCACTATATATTGAATTTTAACATGAATGAATAGAACTCTTTTAGGTTAGTGCATTATACCATGAATTACAATGTTTGCCTGCATTGGATAGCAAGGCTACACATCAGCTCTCTTGCAGGTAAATGGGGAGATAGTTACTGTTACCGATGAGAAATAATTTTAAAGAAACTACTTACAGACATTCACTTAATTTCTTTTTACTTATAAAAGTTACAATAGAGAGACAACCGGGTTGTCCACAGGATAACACAGAGCAGCTGTCTCTTTTCTGGACAATAATGTACCTGGTACCAGTGCCCCCTCCTCTTCTCCCCAAAAGAGGGACTGTGCATAGGACATGTGACCTGCCTGTCCCCCTGCCTGGTAGCCCCAGCTTGCCCTGGGTGACACGGGGCTGTTTGCAGAGGCCTTTCACTCCACAGAGGAAATGATCAGAGAGTGAATGATAGGATGCCATTTGGAGGGAGAATGAAGTCAACACTTTTCTATGTACGTAAAGCATTGTGTGTGGAAAATGTAAAAAGATACTGCATGTGGACCAACAAGGTTGAATATTTAGTTTATCTTCAGGGAAGATTCCAGTACTTCTCCTTGCTGGTGACTCAGAATGTCACTGTGACATGGAGAAAAATTCATTTATTTAATAGTCCATTTCTTGGACAGTTTACACATTTATATAAATGGTATATAAATGGTTTTAAAGATTATCTATTTAGACCTTGGGCTAATAGTGAAAAGTTGGAAAAGGTATTCCTTTTCATAATACTAAGTATATCCAAGTGATATGTGTGTGTTTGTGTGTGTCTGTGTGTGAGTATAACTATAAATGTATATATGTTATAACAAATGTAGATTATATATAGTATTGTATACATACACATTATATAGAAAACACTGTATACATGTATATGTTATATATATTAAGCACATTACATATATAACTTATGAATTATAGTACAGTGAAAAGTATTATGTTATATATATGCATTGTTATATAACAATTTTACAATGTATAACATATATAGCATAATTTTTAACATTATATGTATCTCTACATATAGAGAAAAAGAGACATTATACATTGTGTGTAGATGGATAGATAGATAGATAGATAGATAGATAGATAGATAGATAGATAGAAAGAAAATTTCAATTTAAAGCTCAACTTTTCCCAATTACCTTTTTCAAAAAGTTCTCAGTCTAAAATTCAACAATCTTTGCATGCAGCTGAATCAAGAAGAGGTTTAATCTCCCATTATTCTCTGTACACAGAACCAATATCTTTTTCTCAGCTAATGGGAGTCACAGAAATAAAGAAAAAAATCTATAAAAATGTCTTATTTTATTTTTAATAGTTTCATAGTGTAGAAAACTTTAAATCCTCTCTGAAACTTAAGAAATGCTTCTCTGTGGCCTTTGCTGACCTCATTTTTCCACAGTCTCTTCCTTTTTGGTTTTAAACAAGCATGGTTGATACACTACATCAAAGGAAAATAAAGGTAATTTGTTCACTCTCTTTGTCCTAAGGGCAGTCAATGAATCTAGACAAGTTTTAAAAGATCCTTGAAGCAGATCTTCCATGACAAAATGAAGCAGATATTTTGAAAAGGGGAAGAGAAGAAAATTCAAGCAGACAAAATTATGAAATGTAGGTAAATCTCAGTTAAAATTCAGGCAGGGTGATTTAATGGCCTGGTTTGGTGCACAACATTAAACACATTTCTAAGATCTCTTTAGCAGATCTCAGAAAACCTCCATCAGTGGGATCTATGGATGCCCCTTGTAAACTGAGAAATAACTGGGCATTCTACTTCCGTGGAAAGTCCTCCAGAATGTGGCCATCTGGTGGTTTTCTCACACTGACAATTCACTCTAGCTAGAGTATGCATACTAAGTGCAGTCCCGCAGCCAGGAGTTGCTGAATTTCCATCACCTCCTTCATCAGACCTGGTTTTGCTTTTTCCTTGGAGGAACGCAGAAGAGTAGCCTTTGTCTGAAATAATATTTGCTTCCTTGCTTATCAACTAAACTCAACTCCCCTGCAGGAGGAATTTGTTGCTGTTTTCTTACCCACTTAGACTCAGTCTAACTACTGGCTGTGACCTTGAATCCCTGTTCTTCCCTGATTAGTGAGTCATCTCTAACTTTTGATCGTGGCTCCGTTTATGTTTTCCCTTTAAAATAATAGCTGACAGTTACAGAACTCTAACCACTTGCCAAACATCATTCTATTTGCTGGACAAGTATGAAGTTGCTTAGCTCTTCAAACACCCCTTGAGGTAGTTACCATCATTTTCTTCATCTCCCATTCAAGGACACTGAGAAGGAGGATTGCAGAAACTTGCCTAAAACAATGCATCTAGGGAAGGGCAACACTAGGATTGAAATCTGGAGTCCGCACAATTGTGACCCCTGAGAAGTTTCCATTCCTTAATCCCTGGGACTGTGAACATATTACCTTATGTGGAAAAAGGGAATTTGCAGATGTAATTAACATTACTAATCATTTGACTTTAAGATAGGGAAATTATCCTGCATGGTCCAGGTAGTTTCAAAGTAATCACAGGTGCCCTTAAAAGTCAAGGCAGGGCAAGCACAGTGCTTCACACCTGTAATCCCAGCACATTGGGGTTGCTTAAACCCAGGAATTTGAGACGAGCCTGGGCAACATAGCAAGACTCCATCTCTTAGTAAATAAATAAAATATAAAAACAAAGGCGGAGAGGAAGTCAAAGAAATTCAGTTTCCTTGCTGGCTTTGAAGATGGAAAGGGGGTATGAGCTAAGGAGTGTAGGTCACCTCTTGAAGCTGAGAATAATCCCAGGCTGAAGCCACTGAAGAAACAGGGATTTTAGTTCTGAATGAGAAGAGAAGCAGATCCTCCCCCTCTGACCCAGCCCAGACGACACCTTGACTTCAGATTTATAAGACTCTACACAAGGAGCACAGCCAAGTCCATCTGGACTTCTGACCTGAAGAACTGTGAGATAAAAAAATAGTGTTGTTTTCAGCTGCTTGGTTGGTGGTGATTTGTTAGGTTCTGGAAGCAATAGAAACCTAACACAAAATCTAAGCAAATCCGTAGCAGAATGGTTGCATTTGACACTGATGCTTCCAGCACTGCCACCTTGATATTTGGACATACATTCAACTCCCCAGCATCTTGGCACCCAGCTCCTGTTGCCTAATCATCACTGAAGAAAGTGTCAGATTCCCATGTATTCCCCTCATCATTTCCCCAAGCACTTCCCTTCTCTATTATTCTCACTTTCCAGAGGCCACCTCCTTTTGTTAAATATTTGCAGAGCGAAACAGAAAGACAAGAATGTCTAACTACAGTTGCTATCTCACTTCCCTTCATCAAGGTTAAGATTGAAACCTCATCCTTAATCATCTTGTCTCCTTAGCCACCTTGTCCCTGATACTACCAAAATTGATATATTCTGCTATGAATTTTTATGTTGATCTTCCAATTGAATCACACATAACCTAGCAATTTCCTCATTTCAGCATCTCTCTCTTCACTTAGTCCTCTGTTTCTTGGACACTATTTTTTAAGGTAAATATTTTAGGTAATATTCAGTGGAGATATGGATTAAGACTATGTGTGTTATATTTCTATAATGGATTCTTATTCAATTTATAATAAAATTCAAGCTACTTCTACAACCCCCAGAACCCTCTATAAACTGACCCCTGATAACTTTTCCTGTCTTATTCCTGTCATTCTAGCATTTACCCACCCAATTCTAGGCGGGACTGGCCTTTCTATTAATCAAACAACTACAGCAGCATCCAATAAATGTTTGTGATATTGATGTGCTTACCGAGGAAGGGCTTCCTTGGGAATTCCTCACCCCTCCAAGGGATTCTTTGGGTCTGAGGAAGTCCTTTCATTTTCATGAGTCAATCAAAGAGGAAATAGCCACTCTTTGGGCTACCAATTCTATGAGCTACCGTAACATGTCATCTCATATTTGTGCACCAGGAGAGTTTCAGTGAGGCCTACTGGATTCTCCGGGTTCATTTACAGAATCTTAACATAATCCTGTATACCATAGGAGTCTTTGAGGAAAACAAAATGATACCTAGGTGATATGGTTCAGCTCTTTGTCCCTACCCAAATCTCGTCCCGAATTGTAATCCTCATGTGTCAGGGAGAGACATGGTGGGAGGTGATTGGATCATGGGGGTGGTTTCTCTCACACTGTTCTCGTGACATTGAGGGAGTTCTCACAAGATCTGATGGTTTATAAGTGGCAGTTTCTCCTGCACTTGCTTCTCTCTCCTGTTGCCTTGTAAAGAGGTGCCTGCTTCTCCTTCATCTTCTCCAATGATTGTAAGTTTTCTGAGGCTTTCCCAGCCACGTGGAACTGTGAGTCAATTAAAACTCTTTTCTTTATAAATTACCCAGTCTTGGGGTAATATCTTTATAGCAGTGTGAAAATGGACTGATACACTAAGGAAAAACTCAATCCTTGAAATAGACTGTTGCATTAGTCTGTTCTCACACTGCTATAAAGAAATACCCAATACTGGGTAATTTATAAAGACAAGAGGTTTAACTGGCTCATGATTCTGCAGGCTGTACAGGAAGCATGGTGGCTTCTGCCTCTGGGAGGCCTCAGGAACTTACAATTATGGCAGAAGGTAAAGGAGGAGCCAGCACTTCACACGGCTAAAGCAGGAGGAAGGAGGGAGGTGCCACACACTTCTAAACAACCAGATCTCAGGAGAGCTCATTCACTACACAGTTCCAAAAGGAGTTGGTGCTAAACCATTCATGAACACTCCACCCCCATAATCCAATCACCTCCCATCAGGGCCCACCTTCAACACTAGGGATTACAATTTGACATGATATCTGGTGAGATCTGGGCAGTGATATGGTTTGGCTGTGTCCCTACCCAAATCCCATCTTGAATTATTGTTCTCATAATTTCCGTGTGTCATGAAAGGGACCCAGTGGGAGATAATTAAATCATGGTGTTGAATCATGGTGTCAGGTCTTTCCTGTGCAGTTTTCGTGATAGTGAATAAGTCTCATGAGATCTGATGGTTTTATAAAGAGGGTTTCCCCTGCACACACTCTCTTGCCTACTGCCATGTAAGACATGACTTTGCTCCTCTTTCACCTTCTGCCATGATTGTGAGGCCTCCCCAGCCATGCAGAACTGTGAGTGAATTAAGCCTCTCTCCTTTATAAATTACCCAGTCTTGGGTATGTCTTTATTAGCAGCATGAGAACAGACTAATACAGGCAGGGACACAAATCCAAACCATATCAATGTGTACAATTGTTTAACAGTGGAAATGTAATAGCAAACATAATGCAAGGACACTATCAATCCTTTCTAACCAGGGTTTGGTTTTCAGGCTGGTGTCCCTGGACCAGAGTCTCTGCTGTGCTCTTGGTCAAGAAACCTTAGTCACCTGAATTTTCTGTCTTGGACTAAGGTGAAACAGTACCTGAATGATGATACAAATTACTCTCAAAGAGTAAGAATCCAAGTGTGTGACATTACATAGCTTTGCATCTATGGAAACCTAAATCATAATTGTTTCCACTGCCCAATTATGTTCCTTTTCATAACATTTACTATTCTGGCTATATTTATCATAGAACCTAGGAACCTTAGAGTTGACCTGAATCTAATTAAATTTCAGACCTCCTGGCCAAAGACCCTAGTGGAAGAGCAAAACTAAATCAACATATTACCAATCTCAAGTATTTCTCTGAGGACCCAGACCACTGACTTTTTGTTGTCATTTTCAGGTTGATCCTATAACTGTATGTTCTACAATATCTGTGCTCCACCAGCTCAGTGAGGAATCAACGGAATATCAAAAGTAAATATTGGTCACCATATACCTTTTGGTACTAGTCTACGAAATAATTGGCTGAGGAACTGTTTCATATTAAAGAAAAGCTAAAAGCAATGTGTGATCTTAGATTAGACCTATGATTGGAATGTATGTATATTTTATATACAAAATATTGAGGAAATTGACAAAATTTAAATACAGAATATGGATTAGATAATAGGAATGTATCAAGGTCAATATTTAAAAAGATAATTTCAACTTTTATTTTATTCAGTGGGTACATGTGCAGACTTTGTTTTACATAGTACCCAACAGTTTTTCAACGCTTATCCCCCACCCTCTAGTAATCTGCAGTGTCTATTATTGTCATCTTCGTGGCTATTGTACATGGGATTCCATACTTGATTTTGCTCTCAACATGAACATTATTGGTGTAGAGAAATGCCACTAAGTTTTGTACGTTGCTTTTGTATCCTGAAACTTTGCTAAAGTTATTTATCATTTCCAGGAGCCTTTCGTTGGAGTCTTTAGGGTTTTCTAGTTAGAGAGTCATCAGTGAAGAGAGATAATTTGACTTCTTCTTTTCCTTTTTGGGTGCCTTTTACTTCTTTCTCTTCCCTGATTGCTCTGGCTAGGGTTTCTAACATCAAATTTTTTGATGTTGATCATTATACTGTAGTTATGCAGGGGAATGTCTTTGTTCTTTCTAAAGAACATTCAATGTTAAACATTGAAATGTTTAACAATGAAAGATCATTATATGTAATTTACTCTCAAATGGTCAAGGGAGAGGAGAGAGAAAGAGACAGAGAGAAAGAATAAGAAAAGAGAGTGAGTAAATGGGGCAAAATGCAAACAATTTGTCAATCTATGTAAAATGTTTACAAGAGTTCTGTGTTACATTTTTGCAACTCTTCTGTATGTTTAAAATAATGTTAAAATAACAATTTTCCCAAATGTCAAATGTTGCCACATACAAGCATTTATGAGCATGGAAAATGTGGCTTCTGAATGATAGGATACAAAATCTGGTGATGAGCGAATACACTGAATATATCAAGATTGAGTTGCCATCTTAGAAGGAGAATATTAGCTATAAATCACATGATGAATACATCAATATTAAATAGACTAGAAAACCAATAATTATAAGGTCACAAGAGTGCAATAAACATGAATTATCTCCATTGCATGTATTTTCATCTCTACTTGCCAGTTTTATGAGATTCAGTCCCCAATATATTTTCAATTAATTCAACATAGAAGATTCACTTCTAGTATGTTTTCAAATTGTTTCAAACCCTGACCATCTTTTTGATTGCTCTACCTTCCAAAAGAAAAGAAGGGAACACTAATTTTCTTTCCTGATTTACTTCATTGTTTTCTTCTGTTAGATTAACTTTACCTATAAAAGATTGTCTCTTGACTTTATATATATATATATGTGTGTGTGTGTGTGTGTGTGTGTGTGTGTGTGTGTGTGTGTATTTGAAGAGGACATGTGCCTCCATAAAAGGAAATAAAATGAGAGAATACATTATTGATTTTGTGAAATCAAAATATTTGAATTATGGTTTCTCAATATTCAAAAACTCTTGCAGTTTCTGTACTTATTTCTTCTGATGCATAGAGTTTCGGGGACTACATATGTTTCACAACCAAAGATATCCACTTGAAATAAAAACATTATAAAGTTAGAAAGTGACTCTGTCGAAGTTTTTCTTTAAACTCTCCAACCAATGCTTCCTAGCTATGACTCTTGTCTTTCCCATTCTTTCTCCTTGGCCATTGTATTCATCATTTATACCCACACCATGTGGCTGTGGACTAAAGAGGTTGATTTAAATTCCAATCCATTGTCTACCTCTGCTGGCTTATCCTGTGAAAGTTTAGCAATGGTGCTGCATCTACCCATGAATTCCATTTGTTGTTCCCTGCTTTTCCAATGAATAATAGAAATTTTGCTAGATTTTCTTCTGCCAGGGCACTTTTCAATCTTCCATGCCCTCAGGATTCAGAATTCAGTTAAGATGCTTCTATATGAACACAACCATCAAATTGTCTCCTAGGTTAGAGAGAAATCTCTCACTCGGCTGTCTAAATTTCAGCAACTGTAAAAGAATAAATAAAAAATAAATTGTTTTGTAATGCCAAAAGGATAAAAACAGCTAGTAGAAATGGAAAATATTTTTTATCATACCAAACTCTAAGCAAAAGAACTCCTTTAAGTTCAAAGAATGCAGTTCTGGAGCTGTGAGAAGTTCCAAAAATGTTTCTCCTAAAATTCACCTCAATCTGCTTTATACTATTTTAGATATCAGATTCACAGGTTTAAAGCTTCCTTGAGATAAACTATGATGTCATAAATTCAAAGATTCTTGGCTTTTTGTAAATCAAGCCTTATCTTGCCTTTATTGGCCCGTGGCTATATAGTGTCTCACCTACATTAATGATGTAAATCAGACCTTCCAGAAACTTTCTGATTTTTGTCTTTTAGGAGGTCCAACTTCCCTTTGCTGCCACAGGATGCCCCTTTGTCCTTAGAATAAACATGTTTTTATTTGATAAAATTAACTTGACTTGAATTCTGATGTTTGCATCCTTCATTAAGGGGGTTCAGAAAATCCACTCCCAATGCTGGCTGTGAGCCCTCGGAAGAATCATGCTTTGTATTAGAGTATGTAAATTGGTCCTCATCCCCAAACATGAATATCTCTTCACCCAGCCTGACCAATGTGTCAACGTGCTCAAACCATTCACACCTCCCTGCTTCCACCAAATAATTCTTTGCTTCTGAATATTCTGAACTTTGGCTTGGGCTGTCCCTGCATATAGAACATGTGAAACCCTTCTAAACCCTACTATCCCCACCACCACAACCTTGTCACCCATGTTCCAACCCGGTCTCTTATTGATGGTCTTCACTGCATGCCATTTATACTATAAAGACAAATTTAATTCCCTCAAAGAGGAAGTCATATTCTCCTCTTCCAAACTCCCATAGACCTTTATTTCAAACTCCCATAAACCTGGAATTCTTTATATTTATAGGACTTATCACACACTAACTTTTTTTTTTTTTTTTTTTTTTTTTAAGAGACAGTGTATCACTCTGTCACCCAGGCTGGAGTACAGTGGTGCAATCATAGCTCACTGCAGCCTCAAACTTCTGGGCTCAAGCAATCCTCCCACCTCAGCCTCCAAAGTAGCTAGGGCTACAGACAGAGCCACCACAACTGGGTGATTTTATTAAAAAAAATTCACAGAAACAAGTTCTTGCTGTGTTTCCCAGGATGGTCTCAAACTCTTAGCCTCAAGTGATCCTCTTGCCTCGGCCTCCCAAAGTGCTGGGATTACAGGCCTGAGCCACCACACCTGGCCACTAATTTGAATAACTGTGAGTCATGTGTCTCTTCTGTGTTCCCTTCATATACACAAGAACCTCTAGCAACGGGTTTACATAGTAGACATAATTTAATGAAGTTTTGTGAGGTGAAGGATGTGTGCTGTTTGTTCCTGTTTGAGGTCCTCTTTGGCCCCATAGATATCCCAATTCTGTTTCTACAGCCCTGACATTTGTGGCAATCAACTTGTTCTTGACTATCTACTGTGCAGAACAACCACTCAGAGCACCCAATCACTAAAAGCTCATGCACACACACACACACACACAAATACAACATACACACTCCTGAGAACTTCTCCCTCCACATCCCAACATTCTGGGCTGTTATCAAACATGATAGTAGGTAGTGCAGGCATCACCCTCTGGTCACGCTCAATTGTAGCAAACGTAGAATCATGCCAGCTGGACACTTAAAAACATATTTTTTCTCTAGGAGGAAATTAGAATTGAGATTTAGAAGCACTGTTCCTTTGAAGCAAGAT
This sequence comes from Homo sapiens, assembly GCF_000001405.40. NCBI lineage: Eukaryota > Metazoa > Chordata > Mammalia > Primates > Hominidae > Homo > Homo sapiens. The sequence goes on along the minus strand of NC_000023.11, from coordinate 7,478,859 downwards.
CTTGCAAAGTCAGCATGGGAGCCATGTATCTTTGTGCATTCAGAATTAGTAAAAGCAAGATAGGAAGAGATGCTTTTCAGAAAAAAAGATAAAAGCATGACTTCCATACAGGTAAAAAAAATGAACACATGTAAATGATTTTATTTTACTCATTAATCAAATGAGACAACCGGACAGATAATATAACTGGTTCAAGGGGGAAAATGCACAAATTCATATACAGCAAATCAGTTGAATTGCAAAAGAAGGCAAAACTGTAGACATTTTTGAGAATCAGTTGAAACTCTATCATACAAGACAGAGTTTGCGTATCAGTTACCTCCAATTTACAAAGAGTTACAAAATAGCTCAAAGTCAATGAACAGGGATAGAGTTGTACTGCCTGGAAAAGTGTGTAAGAGCCAACGCATGTGATACGGTTTGGCTGTGTCCCCACCCAAACCTCATCTTGAATTGTAACTCCCAAAATCCCCACGTGTCATGGGAGGGACCCAGTGGGAGGTAATTGAATCATGGGGGCGGTTACCTCCATGCTGTTCTCATGACAGTGAGTTCTCACGAGTTCTGATGGTTTTACAAGGGGCTTTTCCCCTTTTGCTCAGCACTTCTCTCTTCTGTCACCATGTGAAGAAGGACGTGTTTGCTTCTCCTTCTGCCATGATTGTAAGTTTCCTGAGGCCTCCCCAGCCATGGGGAACTGTGAGTCAATTAAACCTCTTTTCTTTATAAATTACCCAGTCTCAGGTGTTTCTTCATAGCAGCGTGAGAGCAGGCTAATATAGCATAGTTTTTCATTGAAGTACATTTATTCCCTACAGTGCCATATGGGCAGAGGGAGAGAGCTAATGCCTGTTTTCTAATATATTTGCAGCATCTTGTTTCAGTTCTCAAGAGGCTGAGTTACACATCTTCCCCTGAGTTTGAAGAATGCTACAGTATCCTTGTAATAAATTCCTCTTATTTGGTTAGTTCAGCTTGTTTAAGAGATTTTCTGTTGTGCATTTGATAAGATAACATTCATTTCTTCAGAAACAAATCAAAACAAAAAGCCACCAATACTTGCCAGGCATACTTTCTGAACCCTTGGTTCCTTTCCTTTCGGGTACACGGTTTCTGGAATTTCTTTGGTTAAATCAAGACAGAGGGCACCCTGGATAGAGACACTCATATAATTTCATATCCTTTTGGGGTAGCTCGATGCTGGTCTGTGATTTGGAAAACCGTAAAATAAAATAAATAATGGAAAGAAGGCAATGGTCTTAGATAATTGTACTCAGCACAAGTGAGGGGTCATGACATCAAGATCACGACAGAGGGTGGGCACATTCTCTTGGAAAGCAGATGGCCTAGTGACACATGACCAGCATTTCTACTGAGCAGCCGTGGACTGAAGCTGAGTAGGTGATCTCTTTAGACAGTGCACACCTGCCCCATCTCACCCAGGTGCCCACTCCACCTATTCCACCCTTTCACGTTTCTCTTTCTGGCCCCAGAAGACATCAGAATCTCCAAGTCCTTCTTCTAAGCCCCTAGAGTCTGACCTGTAAAAAAACTCTGACTCCATTCACACCCACATCCAAAGACACACCCCGCCGTGATACAATTGCTATTCCTTTTCAGGCTGCAATGAATGTTATGAGCTTCTTTTCACCTGGGATGAAGCCCACCTGCATGGAAACCTTGTCTCCATTGTTAGCATCCCTCAAAGATTATCCTGCTTTATGGATGAATGAACGGTTCCCAACAAACCCCCATGTGATGGCAGTTCCTGACCTGCCACTCAGACTCAGTCTTCTCATCAAACTCACTAATGCTAGGTGGAAAAAAAAAAGATAGCATTATTTAAATACACTTTGACTGCACCATATAAATCAAATTTTACAAAAGTTCCAGGGAAAACGCCACTTCTTACTCTAGTGAGAACACTTTTTAAAACATATATTCTAAATTTTAAGCATCTGTTAATTTTGTTGTGCTTTATAGTGTCTTAGTTTCTTCTTTCTTACTAATCATTTAGTCATTTTCAAAGAATGGCTTAGGTACCTTTATTATTTTCTCATAGATATTCTTGATAAAAATTACTAATTAAAATAGATAAAATGGTCTTTTGTTGTAAAAATTATACAGGCTTATATTGTTCTAATTTATATATCTTCTTCATAATAATAAAAAGCTCAATAGAGAGTTAAAACAGAAAGGCTTCTACTTTTGAGTTGTATTAAAAATTTGGGTCAGATTCCTAGACTCAGAGCTGGAAGTAACCCTAGAAATAAAAATAGTTCTATGGTTCTTAAATTTTGTATTATTCCTTAGTTAAGAATGCCCTTTTGAAATAAAATCAAACAAAAAATCAACCTGGTATATGAAGCAGATCAAAGCTGAGCCCATTTTATACATTGGAAAATTGAAACACAGAAAAATCAAGTGGCTTTTCCAAAGGTCCAATTGTCATAGAAGGCACAAGAACTCAGATGTCTTGACTCATATCTTTCCTTTCTCTACACCTATTAAGAGTTGACCCTCCCACTGTGTGTGTGTGTGTGTGTGTGTGTGGTCTATCTTTTAATTCTGTTTAAGTAGAGCTATCACTTACTACTTACAAGAAAATAGCCAGTGTTTCATTTAAATTATTTCTTTGGAAAACAAAATACTCCTGGGTTATCTGCCATCAATCATGGGTTTATCACCCAGTTGTAGGTGGCAACAGAGAGATGATGTGAGAATGGGATACAGAAGGAGACAGTGAAGCATGGTCCAGAACAACTCAATGGAAGGTGCTAAGCCAGCAATGTATGGATGAGATACACATGTGTAAAGGATCTCAAAATCACCATGGGTGTGATAAAAGGGACCAACCAGCAAAGCAGACTGCACTGACATTTACACAAAGAAAGCCCACCTAACTCAAGGTTTAGCCTTAGATGCCTGCAACCATTCTACAGAGTGGGGATTATGAACACATAATCCGGAATTTTTAAGAATGACAGTTTACACACCCTAAAGACACTTATTGTCTTGTCTTTTTCTTTCCAGTTGTTCTAATGATGGGAGTTTGGCAAAGAGGAGAAACCAGGCTGCTTCGTGCACCTCTTTCTGCCCTCCAACTCCTTTTTTTTTTTTTTTTTAAGACAGAGTCTCGCTCCGTCACCCAGGCTGGAATGCAGTGGTGCGATCTCGGCTCACTGCAACCTCTGCCTCCCGGGTTCAAGCGATTCTCCTGTCTCAGCCTCCTGTGTAGCTGAGATTACAGGCACCCTCTACCACACCTGGCTAATTTTCGTATTATTAGTAGAGACGGGGTTTCACCATGTTGGCCAAGCTGGTCTTGAACTCCTGACCTCATGTGACCCGCCTGCCTCGGCCTCCCAAAGTGCTGGGACTACAAGTGTGAGCCACTGCACCCAGCCCCAACTCCTTTTCAACAGCTCGTAGCAGCCCACCCGGCTCTGATTCCCTATTCTGTGGAAGAGACCATGACAATATCCCCAACCAATAAATAAGTACACAGAGGAGGTCTGAACAGATACCAGGGAAGGCAGAATCAAACTTTGTCTCAGTATAATAAAGACAAACTACAACAAGCCCACCAGGAATTATTAGAAAACTAGGGAAAAGAAATAGAAAAAGTATCCTCTATGGCAAAAAAGGAACATCTTTTATCACAATTGAGGAAAAACAATTGAATTTTAGAGTTTCCTCATTCATCTGGATTAAAAAAAGTCACTGTTTTGATAACTAAGATTGACAATGATGAAAAAAGTTGATAATGCCTAATATCAATATACAGTGTCAATAGTTGCACGGACAGTTGGAAGTAGGCTTCAAAAATCTTAATTGCATATGCACTTCTTTCTACTCAGAAACCTCACTTTAGAAATTTATCCCAGGAAAAAAGTCTGACAAATATAAAACGGATGTACAAATACACTCATCACATTTTTGTATGAAAGAGTGAAAAGTTTAAAAACACTTTAAATGTTCATCAATAGCGTTGATTTAACAAATTATAGTACAATGAAACATAGCGAGTTACTTAAAATGATAATAGAGACAGATGAGCTAGATGATAGATAAACAGGTAGATAGATACATAATAGAGACGCAGATGGTAACAGACAGATGAATAGATAGATGAGATAGAGACTAGATTAGATAGGTAGATAGATAGATATTAGATAGATGTTGGATGGAAAGATAAGATAGGTAGATAGATGATAGACGATAGATAGATAGACGGACACATAGATAGATAGTAGAGAGACAGATAGGCAGACAGCAAAACTGAGCAAAACTGTCCTTGATGTATTCTTGGGAGGGGGAAGCAAATTTGAGAGAGCATAAAAATAACCGATGTATCTTTCTGTACAAATATATGTGCACATGTGTAGAAAGCTAAGTAACACGTTCACCAGTATATTTACGGTGACTCTCTCTGGGAACGGAATTTGTACATACAATTTTATGTCTGCTTTACTTCTGTGTTGTTCGGAGTATTTCACAGTAAACCTACATTTATTTATATAATTTTTAAAAATAAAGCAATTTTTATTGTAATGAAGAAGGGAAGGCCCCTGTGAGTTTGAATCAATGTCCTCCAGAGATTGCACAAATGTTGTCTTCCATATAAAACTGTTGTTTCATATTTATTAGAGCAGCCTATAATCATGGCAATAATCACATTACATTTTTTGTGCCAGGATGCACATTTTTTCCCTAAAATAACTGAGGTATAATCCAAAGATTTGACATAAATAACCCAGAAAACATAAAAGTGGATGCAGTGAGCCACAAGGACATAGCCAAAAAACCCAGGATGGTGTCGATGACCCTAACAATACCCCTGACATATCCTACCAACGTCAGGTGTTTTAACATGGAGACAGTGCTGTCAGCAGTGGCCCATGTATCTGTTGATGATCACAATTCACGAAGACCTGCATTGAGTGCAAGGTCCTCTCACACCAACCAAGATCAACTCTGCATGTTTCCATCCAAGTAATCCCAGCTGAGGCATTTTTGCTGCTATTATAGAGTTTAAACAATATGCCAGAGACTTCTTTTATTTGTCCTTCTCTGAAAGACAAGAATGTAAACTGTCAGGGTCTAACTCGAGTTCCTCATTAGTGCAAAACCCTTCAGTTACTCCTACTATTCCTATTCCTATTACACACAGCCTTCTCTTGACATGCCCTCCTGATGCTAAACCTCATGCCCATCAGAACCGTGTTCTCTCCCTGAAAATCTGTGACCACAGAACGGTGCAAGGTGAAAACATGATTCCAACATGTGTGAGTTTTAATTGTCATGATAGTGTGCAAAGTGAGGACTGCGGATTGTCATCAACAGTAATACTGGCATTAACTGTAATGAAGGTTCACTCTGGTTAGCCCTACCTATGAGCCACATCTTGTGCTAGGAATTTTATATTGATTCTCTCACTAAATCTCTACAGCCTCCCATGAATGGAGTAGCATTATTGTTAGCATTTTACAAATGATTGCATAAAGGTGTGATGTAGCAGGTGACTTGTCATGAACAGAGAAAATATTTAGGCCTGAAGTTTCATGGAGGAGGTGGCATTTAAAGTGGGCTTTTGCTAAATAAAGAAGAATCTTCTGAGACAGAATATTCTGGAAAAAAGAATACAGAAACCCGCAGAACTCTAAAGCCAGAAAAGGGCAGTATGCATGTGGGGAAGAGTGAATGCTGCATTGTGTATGGGATGTGATGAGGATGTGGCCTTTGCGGGGTCATACTTCCCTGAGAGCCAGGGTCTCTCACCCATTCTTTTTTTTTTTTCATTTATTTTAGAATCAGGGGTTTATGTGCAGTTTTATAATGCGGGTATACTGCATGGTGCTGAGGTTTGGAATATATAAATGAATTGCATCCCCCAGGTGGTAAGCATGGTACCCAATAGAAAGATGTTTTTGACCCTTACACCTCCCTTTTCCTCCTCCCCTTATATTCCCTAGAGTCTATTTTCCCATATTTTTAAACTTTGTTCAGGGGCACATGTGCATGTTTGTTACATAGGTAAACTTGGGTCATGGGGATTTGTTGTAAAGATTATTCATCACCCAGGTATTAAGCCTAGTACCCATTAGTTATTTTTTCTGATCCTCTCCCTTCTCCCACCTTCCACCCTCTGATGGGCTCCAGTGTGTGTTGTTCCCCTCTATGTGCCCATGTGTTGTCATCATTTAGCTTCCACTTATAAGTGAGAACATGTGCTATTTACTTTTCTGTTCCAGCAATCCCATTATTGGGTATATACCCAAAGGAATATTGTTCCCATTTTTATGACCATGTGTACCCAATGTTTAGCTCCCACTTATAAGTGGGAATGTGTGGCATTTGGTTTTCTGTTTCTCTATTAGTTCACTTGGGATAACGGTTTCCAGATGCATCCATGTTGCTGTAAAGGACATGATCACATTCTTTTTTATGGCTGAATAGTATTCCATGGTGTATATGTACCACATTTTCTTTATCCGATCCACTGTTGATGGGTACCTGGGTTGATTCCATGTCTTTGCTATTGTGACAAGTGCTGCAATGAAAATATGAGTGCCTGTGTCTTTTTGATAGAACAATTTCCCCTTCTTACTATCGGCCTTGGCAAAGAATTTATGGCTAAGTCCTCAAAAGCAATTGCAACAAAAACACAAACTGACAAATGAGACCTAAACTCTTGCCCTTTCTAAATTACTTTCACCACGTGTTATCTGTCCCACAGAATTGTGACAATACATACAGGATTGCCCTCTTCTATTGCTCCATTTGATAATATCTTTGGTTTTGAACTAGGTTATTATTACATTTAAACTTATTTTTTAAATTTAACTTTTAAGTTCAAGAATACGTGCGCAGGTTTGTTACATAGGTGAATTTGTGTTATGGGGGTTTCTTGTACAGATTATTTCATCACCCAGGTATTAAGCCTAGTACCCATTAGTTATTTTTCCTGATCCTCTCCCTCCTCCCTCCCTCTTGTCCTCTGACAGGCCCCAGTGTCTGTTGTTCCTCTCTAAGTGTCCACATGTTGAACTAGATTATAACCTTCAAGGATAAGGGGGCTTTGCCTTCAAAATTCCAGCATGCTGACTGGACATAGAGATGGAACTCAAATTAATCCGCTGCTGATCAATTACTTGTCCACTGTGAAAGTTCAGACACTACCTTCATGTGTCCTGTCAACACGTTCCTATTTTTTGAAAAGCTGCATTCTTTATGTAGATATGGGAGGAAAGATGTGGAATTACATCTTGTTTGTTATTTATTGGAATTGTCTGGCCTCTGGCAATTATTTAGTCTCTTCAGGCTTCAATTGTCCTTCGCTGGAACTTAAGCTCCCAAATCTAGGTTGGGCATCCATTATATATGCTATATGTCTCTTTTTGCAGTTGTCAAATTGTCCCTCCTACTCATCGTAAGCTCCAAGGGTGTGAGGAACAGCATCTATGCCATTCTGCAGCTCAACATCTGGCATAGAGTAGATAAACAGGATGTGATATTTGCTATATCAAATGGAAATTATATGAAATATGTGCCTGCCTAGGATTATCACTCATCTCACAGTGGTTTTTAAATAAAGTAGGATTATACTTGTGAAATTGTTGGGTTTCTTCTAAAGTTCAATAGCAATTGTATTTATATATGATAGAGGTAAATACTATATAATCCTAAGTTGTGATAAAAAAGAGCTTCCAGGAACAGATGTCTAGCAGAGGGTCTTTAAGAATTCCAGTGATATTAATTTTAAAGTTCCATTTTGGGACTCAGGATCAAGGAGGAAGCTACTTATAGCCAGGGAACATTCTGATGAAGCCCTAAGAGTCCAAATTAGAGGGACAGTGTTCAGCCGATTTCTACATTGATAATAGGTATCAGTGTTTGGATCTATGAAGTATCTAGCATTCCTTAGAAACTCAGGTGAATCAAAGTTCCAGTTGGTCTTTGAAATTATCTGCACCTGGTCACCTGGGTTCTCCATCCATTAAAAGGCAGCTCTGAGCTTGATAAGATGAGAGGCCACCATCAGCATCCTCTTTGCTTTCTCCCATGGCTGGTTTGACTCTCACTCCAAGGATGTATAGTCCATCTCATCTGAGTAATAAGACCAAGTAGAACAACTTCAGAGAAACCATTCTTATCTCTTGTAAGGACTGTTTGTGAGTTTAGGTCTATTTCCTTAAAAAAAAATAAGACTGAAATTCATGAGATGCCATAAAAAATACAGAGTTTACAAACTTGGGTCATTTTCCTGCACATTCTTTTAAAAGTGATTTGTCCTTTCTTTTCTTTCAGTGAACAGATGGATAGAATCATGAGTTTCTCCCTACAATATAAAATCGTGTTTGTTTAACATTTATGAAACTTGCTCCCTGGGAACATTTATCAGACAATTTGGGAGTAAAACCAGATATATGATGACAGAGAAATATTGGGCGGCTCCCATTTTTCAATTCATGTTTATGACAAACTTATTATGAATTAAATAATAATGGCCCAGGGTAGAATTAAAAGAACATTACTGAAGGTTGAGAATGTCTCATTTCTCAAATCTTCTGTTCTCTTCCGATATTTCTAATTCAGCAGGAGTATAAAAAAGAAAGAAATGCCATGTTAAAAATTATTAGTTTTATTATCACAGTAAAAATTTTCTTAAAATGGCCTCCAATTAATCATCTTGTCAGATTCATCAACAGAGCCCATCACTTCTGTAAAATGTTTTGGCTAATTCACTAACATGTTGAGGTCTTAGTATAAACATGGCAGTCTCTAGTTTGTCTATAACTTTCTGCTTCTGTGAGTAGAGTTGTTTGCCTACCAGAAATCCATTGCTTTGATCCCAAAACTGTGTTACAGCTTGCACTTGTTATTGTAATTATGGAATTTGATTTGCCAGAATGTAGCCTAATCTTATTTGATGGCATCAAGAAAAAGAGCTGCTACTTTCAAAAGAACATAGTGGTTGGTTTTTGTAAAACTAAGTAAAAGTGAGCTAAATATTTCTATTAAATTTGGTGGGGGCAGCATAACCATAAATGCTTGAGAAGAAAATCATAAAAATCTAGAAAAATTTTGCACTGAGATTTCTTTATATGTGTCTTAATTTCTACCTCTGCTTTAAAAAAAATACTGTCAATTGTATATAATAGATTAGTTACCTGTTACTATATAACAAACTACCACAAAACATAGTGGCTTAAAACAACACAAATTTGTTAGCTCATGGTTCCTATAGGTCAAGAATCTGGGCATGAGTTACGTATACAGTTCCTGTGTTGGGGTTTGCCACTGGGCTACAAGCTTGGTGTTGACCAGGGCTGAGGTCTCATCTGAAGGCTTGACTGAGGCAGATCCACTTCCAAACTCATGTGTGTTCACTCAAAGGGACATCTTAAGCTCAGCTGCCCACAAAGAACATGGATATGTCTTATACAGAAAACAACTCCAATTTGTGAACACATACTCAAAGAAACAACTTGATCTTATTTTAAAAACGCTGGTGGAGGATAGACAGAGATTGATCTATATCTATCTATAAGTAGATAGATATAATATAGGTATAGATATAGTTAAGTGTACTATTTTAAGTATGCGTACATCATTTTATGTGGATCTCCATTTTAGCCAATCATTTAGTAATTAAATGATTATAAACCTGGATCTCTTTGGATAAAAAATGACAAGCTCATGAGATTTCCTTTAAAAATGCCCTAGGACATATTTTAGCTTTGTTCAAATATCCTTGCAGGCCAGAAAGTACAACAACAATCCCAGCTTTGCAGTAACAGTAAAATTAAAGACCAGCAAATCTCCTAATTGTCCTTCCTGACTTGAGGAAGGCCAAGCCTTTCCTCCAAACCAAGGTGCATAGGAACATTCAGCCTGTGTACCTCCCACAAGAGGAGAGGAAGCAAACAAGACCTTGTTGACTCCCATACTCTGAAATACAGCAACCATAACCAATAGCATAGCAACTCTCCCATGTGAAGTAGCTATAAAACAGGGCAGGTGGAGGGGAAGAAATGTGGAAGGAAGATACACAAATGTCTACGTTTGAATGGAGAGATGGCCAAAAGTTCCCATTTCCACAGGCCCTACTGTATTGTTCAAATTGAGTGTATAACATAGAGTACAAAATTCTGTTAACTAAATAACATGAATTTTTATATAAATAAGTGAAATATGACTTCTATAAATGTCATAGAATTTTGGGAAAAATATGTGTAATTTGTAGCTATCAACCAAGGATTTTAAAATAATTTCCCCCCAATATCAACTTTTTTTTTAATGAAAGAATTTGCCTCCAAGAAAGAACATCCAATATACTGGGTACCAGATGTCTCAGGAAATATTTCAGTCAGAGTCCATGTACCCTGAACCTGGTAGTATTGATAAGTACACTAAGAAATGTCTTTGGTTGTCATATTATATCTGAATCAATCTGATGCTACTGTTATTCACCAAACTATTCAAGTTGATTCACTTGATGAACACAAGCTTCCTTTTTCAGATTTTAGGACCCATTTCAGGATGGGTTATTTTCTGTCAATCCATCCAGAACAATGTTCCCAGAATCCCTAGTGCATTGAAGGCACAAAAAAGTGACAGTAACTCATTATTTTTCTCTCTGATCCATAGTGATCTAACCTTAGACCTACCATTCAACCCCATTTTCACTTAGCATATTGGATATGGAAATTTAATCACCTTCCTATAAATGCAATATAGTGGGTAATGGATTTTCTGAAAATATTGTGTTTATATTCAATACGACTTCCCCCTTTTTTTTTCATTTAGTTTGAAACCCATAATCAGCAAATGCCAGTGCCATGTAAGTTTGGCGAGTGAGATAACACACGGCAGGAATTCCAGACAGAAGCCAGAAATCCAGAAACCTAGCTAAGCTCTTTACCTGCCGCTGGGATTGACTGTTTGACTTTGAGATGTCATTTCAGCTTTTGTCTGTTTCTTCATCTCTGAATTGGGGCTGATCAAAACACAAGCAGACCGTGCTCACATGTGGAGATGAATAACTAACCAAAGCAGTATGAACATTGCAGTGCTGTGTGACTGCCAGGGGTCATGAAATCCTGAACCTTCTCTTTGGGCTCCTTTGGAAGACACATGGATTTGTATTCCGAGCGGGAAGAACACTTGATCCAAGAGCCTGGCTGCTGACCAGCACTTCAAATCCTTCTGAAGGACTTCTTTGTCCCCCATTAGAAATTACAATGCTGAGAGGATGAGATTTTAGGTGTTTGGAGGTGTAGGGTGTAATTTCAGCTGGGAATGGATTCATTTCTTGGTTAATAGGAAGGTAAAGAAGAAATGGGTAAGGGAAAAAGAAATGTGTTTTTTCACCTGACCTAAAAAAAGAAAATGTATGAGATCTACAGTGAGCAGAATGAATTAAAAATGTGATATGAAAGATAAGTGTTACTCACGTACCTTGAACATCTACCCTCAGATGCCTGGCATTGGAGGTCTTTGATGAACTGAACCAAACTTGCATTTCCAGCCCCACCCGCCGTCCCCCTCTGCCTATGTCTGTGTAACCACTCCAGCGCTCTTGCACTTCTGGCTGACAGTTGAAATATGCAGCAGACATTTATAACTCTGTGACTGGCTCTCTCCATTCTCTTTGAGTAGAAAACTCTTAACCTCCACTGTCGGATAAAACACAATTCAGCTCATAATTCACTCCTCCAGTGTAATTAGAAATCACCACATCTCTGATCCATCAAAGCATGTTGTCCATCCTGACAAAATGGCCATAATTATGTTGCCTGTCACTGCATGCATCTATACTTCATTGTGCATTATGATCTCCAAAACGTAGGGGATGTGCTTCAATCATTTTCGTACTCCTAAGTTTGAGCACCGTACCCAGAACCCAATACCTTCTCAATCAATATACACGGGAGGAAAAGTGAGGGAGAGACAAACTGATGGATGAGGCCCATGAAAAAAATGAATTGCATGCATTTTCTTTGCACTAACAATTCCATTTATTATTATTATGAATATGTTTTATTTTGTTTATTTGGGCATATCATGCCAGAGAAGTCATTACTCCCTCTTAGTCATTTGGATGTTTTCTGAAGCTATTTAACTGTTTCAGGTTTTGTTTCCCTCCGGTTTATTCAGTGTGTCCCTGTTTTATTTAATCATGATCTAAACTGAATTTCCTCAGTCCCATGTTGTCGGGAGTCCAATTAAGATCCACAGCAATCCGAGTTCTACTGGTTGGCTCACTCCATCTGCCTTGTTCAATCTTTGCTAGTTTTTCTAGAAATTCAAGGTGCTCATATCACGTAAATGCAAACACAAATCATTTCTTCCACCACAGTGCTTCAGGTATGCCCATCTATGCTAAACACAGGGATTTCTCCTTCTAGTTGATGGTTCCCCACTGACATCTCCTGCTAACTGCTATGAATCACCCTAGGGGCCCAGAGCACATGTGGCACACTAGGATCACTGGTGCATTAGTAGCACCCAAGGTCCACTATTCTGTGAAGTGCACTAAAGCCCCAAGAACCAGGAAGATGGGAGAAGGAAATTCCTGTCTTTGCCACTACTGATATTTGGCCTGGACCCTTCCTTGCTGTGACAGGCTGTCCTGTGCACTGCAGGATGCTCAGCAGCATCCCTGGCCTCTACCCACTGGATCCCAATATCACCACCCCCTTCCAGAATGACAGCCAAAAATGTCTTCAGACATTGCCAAATGGCATCCCAGGAAAAGCTGTGGATTAGCACCCTCTCCTGAATATTCACAAAGAACAATAATTTGATAAAGGCTCTGCAAAGTCCTGTGGTACAAAAAGAAGTCTGGTCAGCTGCATTGTCCAAATACATGGAGCCATTTATCAGAAGACAGCCCACAAAGGTAGCCTTGAACACAATAAAATCATAGAACTACTCTTTCAACCCTATTTTAAGCACATGAGACCAGCACTTGACCTAACTTAACGTACTTTTGAAAATACAGCCTGTAATCAAATGTCTATTTTTAAAACCTCTTATTATTTACTTATGAATATTAATGCATACCTAATAGGTACATTTGTAATGGAGATTATCACTCTAAAATTACTTTAATTACTCCATGATTTATTATTTATTAGCATATTTATTTGGGATATATTTATATATATGTGTGTATATATATATATATACACATATGTGTGTGCATGCAATAAATACATTATATATTTTTTCTGGCAATAGGCAGTGTCCCAATAGTAACACCCTGTTGTGCTCTTATTGTGCAGGGAATATATTATTTGGTTAATTATTAGCACACACCTCATAATGCTTTGAATTCATTCAATACTTGATAATTTTTATATATGCGATATGCTGCAAAGACCACAAGCATTAAAATTGGCTGTGCACCCAACTCTTTCTCCTTCCCTAGCAAACACAGCAGTGCTGGATAAATCACTCCAGCCTTTCAAAGTAAGAATGGTGATATTTATTCCAGAAAATTATTGTCATGCTCGTGGAGGAATAAGTAAAATTTTCTTGGCACTGAAGATGCTCATTAGAAATGGATTTATGTCCAAGATCCAACCCCACCACCTACTGATTACAGAGAAGGAATGCTCTGATATTTTTTACAAGTTCGTAGGGTTTTTTAAAAAATATTTTTTATTATAGAAGGTATACTTCCATGCTTATTGTTAAAATGCAAAAAATATATAAATGTGCAAAGAAAAAAAATACAGCTATTACTTTACTTCCCAGAGATGAATCATTGATGAGAGCTGGTGTGTTTCCTCTCCAATCTTTTTTCATTCTGTATTTCAGAGACTTTTAATGAAAACATTAGGCAATAGGATATGTTGTCTTTCCTGAGATAAATTCTGACCTCTTATCTTCTCCCAGGATTTTGAAGGATCTGCTCAGAGGCCTCTGATTTTTCTATAAAGCAGATGAGGAAGGAAAGAGGTGCTGTAGGTTTTGGCATTCATCCACATCCTAATGCAGGGGTCAGCAAACTTCTATAAAGAGCCAATAATAAGGACTGCAGGCTTTGTGGGACATATGGTCTTGGTCACAACTACTCAGCGCTGCTCTTGTAGCACAAAGTAGAATTAAATTGCAGCCATAGGCAATACATAAATGAATGGGCATTGTTGTGTTCCAATAAAACTTTATTTACAAAAGCAGGCGATGGACAGAATTTGGTTTCTGAGCTGTAATTGGCTACTTGCTATCCTATGGTGGCAAATGATGATAAGCAATGAACTAGTAATAAAGTTCCGGAAATAGAATAGCACTTGTATCTAACTGCGAAAACAGTTCCTGTTCCGTTAAAAAAAAAAAAAAGGAATACAAAAGAACATCAAGGGGAAAAAAACATCCAAGTTTATGACTGAAAAATCATTTATTAAAACTTTGTGTCAGGGAAAAATATTGCACTGATGAATACTTTTCAAATTGAAATGCTGTCACGTGCTTCACTGACTGTTGTTTTGTTCGCAGACAACCCGTTTGAGGGAGTATCGATCCTACTTTAATCCCCATGATTCAGCTTTTTCTGGCTGCTTTCCAAGTTATAACCATTTCTGTCACTACATAAATCTCTTCAATAATTTTCCCCCAAATTAAGTCCCCTCTGTCTTTTCTGATAAACCAATTTCTCTCCTACAAACTCCAGATTCGACCAGCCACACATGGCTGACAGAATCTGTTTTTTTTTTCTTTTTGGAGATGGAGTTTCGCTCTTGTAGCCCAGGCTGGAGTGCAATGGCGTGATCCCAGCTCACTGCAACCTCCACCTCCTAGGGTTCAACCGATTCTCCTGCCTCAGCCTCAGCCTCCTGAGTAGCTGGGATTACAGGCGCTCGCCACCACGCCTGGCTAATTTTTGTATTATTAGTAGAGACGGGGGTTTCACCATGTTGGTCAGGCTGGTCTTGAACTCCTGACCTCAGGTGATCCACCTGCCTCAGCCTCCCAAAGTGCTGGGATTACAGGCGTGAGCCACCGTGCCCAGCCCAGAATCTGTTTTTAAAAGGCTATTTTGTGATTAGACAATTTTCTTCAAGGATGATTTGTGAAAAAAGCCATCAACAATTATATTTTTTTTTGCAAGGAATACATTCAAGATGAAGATGGATTTCTGGTGCATTTCTTTTCTTTTTTTTTTCTTTAAGTCATCAATTTGCTAGGGATTTAATCATTGCAGAGTCTACAGACAAATGGGGTTTTAGCTCAGCAAATACTGAGCGACCACTGTAGCCAAAGTTGCTGCTCTACCAAATTCTCAGCAGCTCCCTTTTACCTATTCTGTGTGGCAACGTCTCGCTGCTGAGTGCTTTTTTCTAGCACTTTTATCAGGGGACCTGCTGTCCTTGGGTTGCTGGAGCATGGAGAAATGCCAGTAGTTAATATCACTTCTCATTCTGCATCTCCATCCTCTCACTCACCAAAGCCCCAAACTGCAGCCAACATAGTCGATGATTGAATGGGGGTAGATAGGAATGCCCAGCTCCCTTACCTCCAGGCAAAACAAACAAACAAACAAACAAACAAACAAACAACAACAAACAGAAATCCTCTAAGACATTGTATAAGCCTCAGTGATCCCCAGAGATCAGACTGAAGCTGGGACTTTGCAGGAATCACACTCTATTTGACTTTCTCCCTTTTTCTATCCAGCTTTCTCACTCCTTTGCTGGCTTCCCCACTCTGAGATCCCAAGAACCCCAGTTTAGGAGCCACCTTTTGGGACCCTGACTTAACTAAAGCCCTAACCTGTAGTAGACACTGTACTGGTTACCTGCAGCTTTTCCTCACCTCTAACTACTTATGGGTCCATGCCAGTCTAGCTAGGATGCCATAACCTACACAGAGGGCTAGGATCAATGCACCAAGCATCTGTGCTAAGAGAGAACAAAAGCGTATGCATTGATCAGGTAGGTCTATAATTATTTGTTTTTTTTTTTTTTTTTTTTTTTTTTTTTTTTTTCAGATTTTCCAGACTGGCTACAAGCCATCGCATGGGTAGAATAAAGTATTAGTCAGGGTTCTGCAGAGAAACAGAGCCAATTGGAGACTGATTTTCCAACTGGAGAGATGGAGATAGATACATAGATAGATAGATAGATAGATAGATAGATAGATAGATAGATAGATAGATAGATGATAGATAGATAGGAAGAGAGAGATTATAAGAAACTGGCTCATGAAATTGTGGAGGCTGAAAAGTCCCATGATTTGCCATCTACAACCTGAAGACCCAATAAGTCCAGTAGTATCACTCAGTCTGAATCTGAAAGCCCAAGAACTAGGGAGCTGATAGTGTAAACCCCTATCCAAGGCAGCAGAATATGAGATGTCTCAGCTCAAGCGGTAAGGCAAAAGAAAAAAGGAGAAAGATGAATTCCTCCTTCTTCTGCCTTTTGTTCTATTGAGAGCCTCAACACATTGGGTGATGCTCGCCCACATTGCAGAGGGCAAACCCTTTGCCTGTACCATCCACCGATTCAAATGCTAATCTCATTCCAAACAGCCTCACAGACACACCTGGAAATCACGTTTAACCAGATACCTGGGAATCCTCTGACCCAGCCCAGCTGACACACAAAATTAGCTGTTGCAAGTTATGTGGGTCTCTTCCAAGGCATTATAAGAATTATCTGGGCGGTTAACTGAGTGTCTTTTAACCACATAATACTTGCATCGGGTTCTGCCAAATTATTGTGATGGCAAAAAGGCTAGAGCCTACACTGATGAATACTGTCACCTCTGCTCTCAGATCAATACAGTCTGAACCTGACCCAAAATACAATTTTTATCTGTTTACCCAGCATTGATCAAGCCCTGGGAAACTGATTCAAAATGATGATACAGAATAATTTATGAAACAAAGTGTCAGCTTGCAGACTAGCCATTAAAAGAAATTGAGTTTATTTATGGGGGCTTTTGTACAGCTCAGCCCACCTCAGCTGGTTAGTTATGTACATAGGAACCAAGATGTATTATCACATGGGAACTTTAGTAGAAATAAGAGTAAAATGATTTAAGAAAGGTCCAGCTAGGCTTGGTATGAATGTCCTAAACCCTTAAACAGGAGGGGTTTGTATTGGGAATTAGCTCAAATAGTCGTTGCCTTGGAGTTCTAATTGTTTGCATAATGAAACGTGGCTGATACCAACAAGAGTTCAACAAAGGTGATTTTGTTTTACCTCTGTTCCTGTTCAGGTTGTTAAATATACTTTAGAATTAAGGTGATTATCTTTACTTTTTATTAGCAATTAAGCCTGAGCATGGTATATACATTTTATTTTCTATTCCTCAGCTATGATAACACTTCTTGCAGCCTAAATACCTGACTTGATAACTATTAGAGTTCAGAAGCAGATGACTTTACAGGAAGGGTATTTTGAAAAGATATATATAATTAATTGTACCTGAGTAAAATAGATTAAAATGTTATGACTTTGAACAGTAAAAGTTTTCTTAGCTAGACATAAAGAACACGAATCTAGTCCAGGCATGGTACAGTGTGCACCTGTAGTCACAGATACTTGGGCAGATAAGGCAGGAAATTGCTTGAGCCCAGGATACCAAGGCTGCAGTGAGCTATGACCATATGATTATGCCACTGCACACCAGCCTGACCAACAGGGTAAGACCCTGTCTCTCTCTCTCCCTCTCTCTCTCTCTCTCTCACACACACACACGGAAATGACTGATATTTTGATAGCCTTAAAAGTTATACAGTAAATTGTTTAGCCACCACTTTGACAAACAACAAAAACAAGACCAAAAATACAAGCCACCATTGTTATCAGGGGTTTTTGTGCACGTAATTGACAAATGTTTTATATCAATAATATATGTATATAAATATATATAATATGAAAAATTTTATATTCATAATATATGTATATATGTGTGTGTTAGTGTGTGTAAATTTCTATAAATCTGTTAGAGAAAAAAATGGTCAAATAATCTGAACAGGAAATTCTCAGAAAATCCAAATGACCAATAAGCATATAAAATGATATTTGACTACACTGGTAACGAGAGGAATGCAAATAAAAACAATAAGTGAGCTCTGGGAGGTGGAGGTGTGAGGATCACTTGAGGTCAGGAGTTCGAGACCAGCCTGGGCAACCTGGCGAGGTTTTTCTGTCTTTCCCAAAAAAAAAAAAAATTAAAAAATAAGTACGATATGTTATTACATCATAACAATCAGATCAGCAAACATTTAAAAGTCTTCAATTTAAATTGTCAGGTAAATTGTTTCAAACCCCATATTGGTAAGCAATACTAAATAAATATACCTGCCCTCTGAGCCAGCAATTTCATTCCTAATTATATATGTTGAAGAAGTTCTCATATTGGTGTTCAAAATGACGTGTACAGGAATGTTCCTTGAGGCATTTTCTATAACAGCAAAAAACTGGAAACAACTTAAGTTTTCATCAACAGAGAAGCAAAACCATGTGTTTTATAGCCACACAATAAAAACATGTACAGTAGAACAAATGAGTCAACTAGAGATATATTGACACACACAAAAAATCTAACAAATTGAAAGCAACAGAGAATGGCAAGTACCAGGAGGATATGCACAATATAATTGCATTTATTTACATAAATACTTTACATTATTACAGTTTTGAAATCAGGCAAAACATGTCTACATGTAGGTTCTAAATAGCTAATACATAGCAACAATTTTAAAATATGTATAAAAAATACTAAATTTATGGTCCAGATTTTGGGGGTTCACGGGGAGAAGACAGTATGGAAATAAGTGGGGAAAAGGTACCAAAAAATTCAACTGTGTCTGAAATTTTCTATTATTATTATTATTATTTTATGAGATGGAGTCTCACTCAGCCACCCAGGCTGGAGTGCAGTGGTGCTATCTTGGCTCACTGCAACCACCATCTCCCAGGTTCAAGCGATTCTCCCATCTCAGCCTTCTGAGTAGCTGGGATTACAGGCACCCACCATCATGCCTTGCTAATTTTTGTATTTTAGTAGAGACAGGGTTTCACCGTGTTGGCTAAGCCTAGCCTCAGGTGAACTGACCTCAGGTGATCCACCCGTCTCAGCCTCCCAAAGTGCTAGAATTACGGGTGTGAGCCACAGTGCCCAGCCTGACATTTTCTATTATTAAAGATTGATAGAAGATACACAGATAAATAGATGATAGGTAGATACACAGATAAACAGATAGATGATAAAATCAATAGATTGATAGCCAATAGATAGATGGATAGATAGATGATAAGATAGATAGATAGATGGATAGATAGATAGATAGATGATAGGATGGTATATTAGCCTGTTTTCATGTTGTGGATAAAGACATACCCGAGACTGGGAAGAAAAAGAGGTTTAATTGACTTACAGTTCCACATAGCTAGGGAGGCTTCAGAATCATGGTGGGAGGTGCAAGGCACTTCTTACATGGTGGTGGCAAGAGAAAATGAGGAAGATGCAAAAGCAGAAACCCCTGATACAACCATCAGATCTTGTGAGACTTATTCACTACTATGAGAACAGTATGGGAGAAACCACCCCCATGATTCAAATTATCTCCCACCAGGTCCCTCTCACAACACGTGGGAATTATGGGAGTCCAATTCAAGATGAGATTTGGGTGGGGACACAGAGCCAAACCATATCAGATAGATAGATAGATAGATAGATAGATAGATAGATAGATAGATAAGATAGATAGATAGAATGAATATATAGACACAGGTAAATTTTCATTTTTTATTTGTAATTCCTTGAGCAGAGCCATTCAATATTTGTCAGACAAGTCAAAAGGCCTAACACTATGCCAGACACTATTTATTTAGGGAAAATAATTAAGCCACTTCATTTTCTCAAGGCAAATGATGGGTCTCTAAGACCATGCATGTCTTAAGCGGAGCTCTGGATCACAGCCAATGAGCTGACCCTGGGTTTTGTTCCACTTCCGCCCAATTAGATGTGTGGTTAGTCATTAAAAATTAATTTTATCTCACTTTAAGAGGATTGTGGTTGGGAAGTTGATTGTTACACTAAAGTTAAAAATAAAATCGCAATAAAAGCAAAGCTACCATTGTCTTCTGGATTCCTGTTGGCATGGCATCTTTTCAGGAGTATAGGTTTCAGAGGGTTAGCAGTTTCACAGAATTCTACTTTTGGGAATCAATATTCATCCATGTGATTGGAGGTGTGGAGACTGTCATTGTAAGCGGGTCGCTATTCTGCTGTCTCTTTTTCTTTGCAAAGTCATTTTAAGTAACTGAAGTCTTATAGTGTTTCTATGAAAGGAAATCCAAACTTGAAGAACATTCATAACGAGAAATATGTACAAGAGAAATTTTCAAAAGAAAAGCAGCAATTAACTTGCTGCTCTGTAACACATTCTATGCAAATTATTTCCAGAATTCTTAATAAGAAGGTTAGCTAACTCTCAGATATTAAGAATAAAAATAAAATTATTTAATATTTACCATCTATGAACCTCAGCAATCATAGAATTATTAATCTGAAGTAAATATCCCAGAATTACAATAATTTGGTATTGTTGAACCCACACTTGCCTAATTTCAAACATTTCCAGAAAGATACTTCAACCCAAATAGCATGGAGCTGCAGATTATAAAGTTTACTCACAA
The DNA here is from genome assembly GCF_000001405.40 of Homo sapiens. Lineage (NCBI taxonomy): Eukaryota > Metazoa > Chordata > Mammalia > Primates > Hominidae > Homo > Homo sapiens. The sequence goes on along the minus strand of NC_000023.11, from coordinate 7,458,196 downwards.
TCACAGTCAATTCTATTAAATAAATTATGTTTCCTTTTGAGCTATTGGCCTACGACCCTCTATGTAACATAATTTGAGTGTCATGTTTTATTTAGGTAACTGACATTTTGACCGACATACACAATATTTTTGTCACTCATGAAAGTTTACATAATTTACTCTCAACTCTAAGGCTTACTGAATCATAAAGATGTGATTCATGCATAATAAATGTAACAAAATTAAAAGAAAGAAAGCAGCCTCAAGGTTATAGTTTGGTTGGAAGAAGAAAAAAGAAACAAAGAACTACTTACTCTTGTAAAGAAGACATAAATAAGAGTTTTATATCTGGTACCATATCAATACATTTTTTTTGTGGGCTAGACTTTATAATATGGGCATTGGAAAATTAGAGGTGAAATACACAAATACCCATTGCTTATGTGCATACACACATAAACACATAACTATGTGGTGTGTGTGTACACATATATTGTTTTACGGATGAAAATCACACCACTGTTCTGCTTGAATGTACCTAGCAGAGGATGCTTAAGATAATACATGAAATCAAGTCATGTTTGAGTGCCAGTGGGGCTCATGAAAGTTCTGAGCTAATTAAGAAAAAAATACATAAGGTTTATGGACATCAAAATGTCACCTTGATGGTTGATATGGCAGATCTTGAAGAATGTCATTTTTGTCTGGAGGCAATCTAGTCCTGACCCCGAAATCCTTCCCCTCCAGTGAGTCTCAGCCAGCATAGGACTGAGACAGACTTCCCTAGTAAGACTGCCCTCTTGAGACTCACAATACTGAAAGAGAACAATGGCTGCTCTCTATGGAGCTGCTGACTCCCAGTAGAAAGGGAAGAAGCATGCCCTGTTTCTCCTTACAACAAAGGTAAGTCATTCCACTCCTCATGGGGGTCAGGAAGTAAGTGAACAGCAAGAGAAGCTACACAGACTGCACCCACTATTGGAAAGACACACCAGCCATGGAGAAGTGTCCTCTCTTTTCTCGAGTTAGGAGGCAAAAATTATTTATGTGAGGACCTGAAATCCATGGCTATTCGACATCACATCTATCCATTGCACAAATATTTATTTGAGCAGCTACCATGTGCCACGTGTATATTTGCTGAGAATGTACACTCTGTGTTCATGCCCCTTGAAGTCTGTGGGTCACACTGGCATGTGCATTGGAAAAAATTTATTTGTGCCCATTGTGTATTCATACAACACCCAGAGCAATTTCAGCCCAAGAAACATAAGATTGAGGTAGCTAACCAAGATTTACATGCAGACTTTCACCATGGAACAAAGCCAAATAAAGCAGTCTTGACAAGGCTGGATGGGAGCCTCACCCTATTTAACAGGGTACCAAAACCACTATAAATTTAGAGTTACCCAGTGAGTGGGACTTATCTTCTATTGAATCAAGAAAGGAAGGCTAGAAAGAAAGAAGGAAGGAAGAAAGGGAGGGAGCAAGAGAGGAAGAGAAGGAGAAAGAAAGGGAGGGAGAAAGGAAGGGAGGGAAGGAATAGAATAACATGAAGATTTGTATGTCCACATTGCTAATGATGCCATCATACCCAAAATCAACTTCTCCAACAATTTTCATGTTGATAAGTCATGGCAAAGATTTAATAGAGACATTGAAGAAAAATACAGACAAAGGGCTTATCGTAAGTCAGAAATATTTGAAGAGCTAGTGAATGGAAAATAAAAATATTAAAATCTGATTTATAACACTGATATTACTCATTGAAGAGGTAATGTACTGAGCTTCGGATTAATCATCACCATTATTGGAATGCAGAGAGAGAACTGTGGGCTATAAAGATATCCTTGTTTTCCTTAAAGAATGATGCTGTTGAATTTTCATAAAACACTAAATTAAGAGTAACTTTTTTGTGTATCTCTGTGTATTTGCAATGAAATTTTAAAGTCAGAAGGCTCTATAAATTTTAATCTATGAGATATGCATAGCTCTTTTTGCACAAATAATTTAGTGAGGTCTTTTCTGCTTAACTTTAACTGCACAGGTAAGAATAAAGAATTTTTTTTGTCGCCTACATTAGTAGACAAATTCAAGTAAACTTCAGAGGAGCTGATTCAGGCAGTAAGTTTTTCTTCAGTTTCATAAACATCCTTCTTTGGTTTGGGGTACGACTACTTCTTTGCATTTTATGCACCAGTGTTAAAGAATAAAGTAGAAATTATAGGGAAAAAATTCAGTAACTGCATGATACTCTCTTACCTAATTGTGAATTTGGGGAATACTAATTGAAAATATGATTTAAAGTCTGGAAGCTTCGTGTTGCAGCAACTGTTTTTCCAGGATGGAACCTCTAAAATAACAGGTAAAATGTAACTATTCTTTTACTTTTTAAGTAAATCTGATCTGATGGTTAACTAAGAATCAAGTTCTTGCCCTAAAGTAGTCTTCCAAATCCTGACTACCATTAAGTCTCTCATTTAAGGGTCTCTGTGCTGAGGACTTAAGTCCAAGGTTTTGGCCTGAAAAATGGATGTGCAGTTTGAAATTCTTGCATAAAGCCAAGATTCCCAAACAATTACAACCACCATGGTCAGTTAGTGGTCAGAAACTACTCCGTCAGAGTGGCTAAGTTACAATTTCTTTACAGTGCCTCCAAATTTGTAAGTACCAAGAGGTTCCTGGTAGAAGCAAGAACAAATCCTTACCAAAAAAATCATTTTAAACAGAGTTCAAAGAACTTCTACAAATCAAGTTCCAAAGAACATGAGACTGTGTTCTTTCTCTCTCTCCACCCCGCCACACCAACACAATCATAACATACACGAGAAATCATTAGAGAATCAATTAATTTTGAAAAGTAAGGAAAAAAATAAATGCAATTTATGAAAGCAACAAAGGCTGGGCGTGGTGACTCACACCTGTAATCAGAGAACTTTGGTAGGCTGAGGCAGGCAGATCACCTGAGGTCGGGAGTTCGAGACCAGCCTGGCCAACATGGTGAAACCCTGTCTTTACTAAAAATACAAACAAATTAACTGGGTGTGGTGGCGTGCACGTGTAATCCCAGCTACTCAGGAGGCTGAGGCAGGAGAATTGCTTAAACCCAGGAGGCAGAGGTTGCAGTGAGCCGCGATCACACCACTGCACTCCAGCCTGGGCGACAGAGTGAGATGCTGTCTCAAAAACTAAAACGAAAATAAAACAAAACAAAACAAAAATAATACTGATAAAATCAACAAAAAGCATAAAATACCTAAAAATAAATTTGCAAGAACATGTATAAAATTTCTACACTGAAAGCTACAAAACTTCGCTGAGAGAAATTTGTTAAAGGCATAAATAAATGGAAATATATACCATTTTTACAGATTGGAAGACTCAGTATTACTAAGATTTCTACCGTTCCCAAACTGGTGTATAAATTGAATTCAAGCCCAATCAAAAAAACAAGCAGACTTTTGTGGAAATTGAGAAGGTTGTTCTAAAATTTTAGAAATTCAAAGGACCCAGCATAGCCGAGACATTATTAAAGAAGTTGGAAGACTTAACGTTCCACATTTTGAGACTTATAATGGTGGAAGTAAAGACACTCCTAACCCAAATGAGAACAGGAACTCTTTATTCAAAGCTTGCTATGGGAAGGGAGTCAGCCACCAATCTGTGGCCAGAACCTACATGCAGGCAGGAGAATGGTGCAGCTTTACCGTAAAAGAAAACAAGGAAAGGCTTCAGGTGTGAACACTGGAGGTTAGTGGTGTGAGAAAACTGTGGTCAGACTAAGTAAAAGTAGCATGCTTTAGGTGGTTGGCTTGCAAAACATATTTGATCTTCCCTGGTTGGATCTGATGTTGGAAGAAAAGGCAAAAACTAGGGAAACTAGCAGAAATTGACCAGATCCTGATCATTCTGCGTCAGTAGCTGCAGAGGCTGTGGTTGGACTGCTAGGCTGGTCAGAGTTCTAATTTTGTATATAATCTGGACATGGTGCATTTGATATTCACTTTCTCAATGTGACACTATAGTAATTAAGATGGTGTGGTCACGACACATGCATAGACAAACAAAACAGACTGGAGAGTCCAGAAAGAGACTCACACATGACTTAGGGCAAAAATGTCATTGCAATTTCAATGCTGGAAAGATGGTCTTTTCAATAAATAAAGCTGGAGCCGTTGATTATTTCTATTTTGAAAAGCAAGCCTTGATTCATTTCAGACTTATTAAGCTAAATGTGCCTATTAAGATAAAAGCAGAGTGCGCAAATGTGCATATAAAATAAAAGCAGAGTGCACAACTTCTAACTCTACAGGGGGAACAAATGAAATTTTAAAAGAATATTAAATCTAGGGTCCTGCACAAGGTTTTTCAGGGTTGCAATTTTTTCCTATGCACTGCTGAATGTAAAATTGATGACCAAAAAAAAAAAAAAACACTGCAGAATATCCAGGTTAATGAACTAAATTTAATTATTAGGTGCAGAAAATAACAATAGCGATTGCTAGTGGAATACAGTGGCCTGGATTTTTAGAGACAGGCAAGAAAAGGGAGTTAAGTCCATGAATAGAACCTGAGCTTGCAGATTGTAAATTTTTCTTGCTAATTATAACCTCAAAATGAGTTTCCTTTTAACTAAATGTACGCTATACAAGCATCAGGATGCTAGAGACAGCATTGGATCTTAGAGCTTAGCTCCCACATTTTAAAGGTTGAAAGTATTTGAACAAAATGACATGAGTTAATGTGATAATTACTGTGATTGGTTTCACGCTATTGTTGCCTCAAAGCTTCCCAAGGCAGGCAAGCGTATTCTAGCTCACTGCAAATGCATCTGCAGAACAGAGCCTAGCAGAGAAATATTTCAGTCTCCACTGAGCACTATGCATGGGCCACAGTCAGGCAGAAATCCTGCAAGGGTGCATTGTGCACAGGGGATATTGCTGTAAAAAAAAATAATAGTAATGATACTCTCAGAATTGGCAGGGTTCTGAAGGTTAGAAGGCAAACTAAATATTAGCCCTTTGTCAGATGAGTAGATTGCAAAAATTTTCTCCCATTCTGTAGGTTGCCTGTTCACTCTGATGGTAGTTTCTTTCGCTGTGCAGAAGCTCTTTAGTTTAATTAGATCCCATTTGTCAATTTTGGCTTTTGCTGCCATTGCTTTTGGTGTTTTAGACATGAAGTCCTTGCCCATGCCTATGTCCTGAATGGTACTGCCTAGGTTTTCTTCTAGGGTTTTTATGGTTTTAGGTCTAACATGTAAGTCTTTAATCCATCTTGAATTAATTTTTGTATAAGGTGTAGGGAAGGGATCCAGTTTCAGCTTTCTACATATGGCTAGCCAGTTTTCCCATTACCATTTATTAAATAGGGAATCCTTTCCCCATTTCTTGTTTTTGTCAGGTTTGTCAAAGATCAGATAGTTGTAGATATGTGGCATTATTTCTGAGGGCTCTGTTTTGTTCCATTGATCTATATCTCTGTTTTGGTACCAGTACCATGCTGTTTTGGTTACTGTAGCCTTGTAGTACAGTTTGAAGTCAGATAGCGTGATGCCTCCAGCTCTGTTCTTTTGGCTTAGGATTGACTTGGCAATGCGGGCTCCTTTTTTGGTTCCATATGAACTTTAAAGTAGTTTTTTCCAGTTCTGTGAAGAAAGTCATTGGTAGCTTGATGGGGATGGCACTGAATCTATAAATTACCTTGGGCAGTATGGCCATTTTCATGATATTGATTCTTCCCACCCATGAGCATGAAATGTTCTTCCATTTGTTTGTATCCTCTTTTATTTCATTGAGCAGTGGTTTGTAGTTCTCCTTGAAGATCCAGAATCTACAATGAACTCAAACAAATTTACAAGAAAAAAACAAACAACCCCATCAAAAAGTGGGCAAAGGATATCAACAGACACTTCTCAAAAGAAGACATTTATGCAGCCAACAGACACATGAAAAAATGCTCATCATCACTGGCCATCAGAGAAATGCAAATCAAAACCACAGTGAGATACCATCTCGCACCACTTAGAATGGCAATCATTAAAAAGTTAGGAAACAACAGGTGCTGGAGAGGATATGGAGAAATAGGAACACTTTTACACTGTTGGTGTGACTGTAAACTAGTTCAACCATTGTGGAAGTCAGTGTGCTGATTCCTCAGAGATCTAGAACTAGAAATACCATTTGACCCAGCCATCCCATTACTGGGTATATACCCAAAGGATTATAAATCACGCTGCTATAAAGACACATGCACAAGTATGTTTATTGTGGCACTATTCACAATAGCAAAGACTTGGAACCAACCCAAATGTCCAACAATGATAGACTGGATTAAGAAAATGTGGCACACATACACCATGGAATACTATGCAGCCATAAAAAATGATGAGTTCATGCCCTTTGTAGGGAAATGGATGAAGCTGGAAACCATCATTCTCAGCAAACTATCACAAGGACAAAAAAACCAAACACCATATGTTCTCACTCATAGGTGGGAACTGAACAATGAGAACAAACGGACACAGGAAGGGGAACATCACACACCAGGGCCTGTTGTGGGGTGGGAGGAGGGGGGAGGGATAGCATTAGGAGATAATACCTAATGTTAAATGACAAGTTAATGGGTGCAGCACACCAATATGGCACATGTATACATATATAACAAACCTGCATGTTGTGCACATGTACCCTAAAACTTAAAATATAATAAAAAAAAAAAAAGAAGGCAAATTAAGACAGCTGATTGCTTCTTTATCCAGTGCCAGATACGCGCTAGTTTCCCAGGCATCCCCTTGCTTTTAAAACTGGGATCGTTAAGGCTTCTAAACACCTAAATCTACACATGCAAAAAGACATGCACATATGCATACTTCGTAAAGTGTCTGAGAGTAGGTCACCCTTGTTCTTTAAAACCATGTCCAAGAAAAAGGATCTTGTTTGCCTCATATCTGGAACATACCTTCATTGTCCTGTGCAAGAAAGCTGAATGATAAAGAATCCAAGCCTTGCAGAAATGCAATCACTATTTAAATGAAAAGCTTAGGGGTATATTTAGGCTTCTTAGTCCAGGACTAAATCTGCTTTCACAAGGGAGTCCACCGCTAGCAACTGTGTTTGGCACAGACTCAATGGCAGGTGGAGAAATAAAAAAGCTTTATAGTGGAAAAGGGAAGGCTTCAGGTATGCCCCAAGTGGAGGTGGTTGGCATCAGGGGACCTGCCAGTGGGCTACTTAAAAGCACAGCATCTCATGTGATTATGTGGGGGAGCATATTTGTCTTTCTCTGGTTCCTCCTAAGTTGAAAGATGGGCAAATATTTGGGAAGCTGACAATCGCTAACCCAATCTTGATCATTCTAGGCAGATTCCTGCAAAGACTGGAGGGCAAAGTTCTATTGCCCTGTGTGGTCTGGCCACTGGCTTTGTGCATCTTCAGTCTTGAGTACGAAACTCTAAGTGAAGCATTACAGCATTACAGAAGAATGATATGTTTTGAAACCACCCTCACAGGATTAAGAATTCTGGATAGAAATACAGCCATAATTAAGCATTAATCAGGCTGCACTTTGACCCCCTTCCTTGTAACTGAAAGTTACATAGCAGATACTGACCATTTGCACCCCCAGTGTTCCTATAGATAGGATTTCTGACACTAGAATCATAAGGATTTGTTTAAGAATCAATTTGAATCACCATTGTTCTTATAGATAGGCTCTCTGATGTTAAAATTAGAAGGGTTTTTGTTTAAGAATTGCTTAAGACTTTTTTCAGATCTTAAATTCCAGCAAAACAGCTGACACCAACCAGTTTGAAGACACCCCCGCCCCACGCACGCACAGAGAAATGGGATCAGCATGAGAACATGGCTTCTTCATCTCCCTGATCCATGACTTCACCCTACACTCTTCCACCCGTCAATGATTTCCACACTTCCACCCACTCCAAAACCCTTATAAACCCTGGACCCAAACTCCTCGGAGAGAGGGATTTGAGGTTTCCTCTAGTCTCCTCATTTGGTAGCTCTATGATTAAACCTCTTTCTCTGCTGCAACCTGTTGTTTCCACATATTAACCTAATACATGAAAAGATGGGAGAGGATCAGCAGATGCCCTTTTACTCACTGAAACTGAAGACAGTCTCACAAGATCACACTTGATCATTCTAGGACTACAAAAAATGAGGATGTTAAACTTCAACTCTCTGAGCCTGGGCGTAAATATCTGGCTAGACCTCCCTTAAGGGCTCATATCTCCTGACTTGTGATGTTGGACTTGTGTGACAGTCACTGGAACACAAAGAGGAAGCTATGTTTTTGTGTCTCATTTGGGCAGTGAGTAGTTCTGTTTTACTCATTGGTGCCAGGCTGGGTATGCCTGGAAGGTGGAGGGAAGGAGATCCAGCCACCAAAACACCCAAGATGTTAGGCGATCCAACCACCAAGACACCCAAGGTATTAGGAGATCCAGCCACCAAAATATCTCATGACGTTAAGGTGTAGTGAGGTGTCTCCTTTGGAAGCAGAAAAGATAGGCTCATGAGTGTTGTTGTGGAAATTTAATTAAAAAATAAAATAAAATTTTCTCCCAATCCAGAAAACCTCTTCACAAAGGAAGAAGGGGAAGAAAACAATTTCATTATTGAATATGCATTAAATCAAAATGTAATGGATATCATATTCCACAATCTCTTAGAAATTGTGAAGATAGAAAGAAATCTCACTCTGTAGAACCAAGCAAATATAACCCCCTTACATATACATTCCGAAGATAAACAATAACTAGTCCTCAAGTAAGAGGACTTGACAACATTGTTTATTACACATAGTTCACCATCAGTTCACCCCATAAATGGGGTGACCATCGTGTTAGTTAATTTGTTTTGTACAAAGCAAAAATAAAGTCTGCTTACTTTTATGACACAGGTGGTTTTGCAACCAGGATCCAGGCCCTTCTGAAGTTAGGCTCCTACCTTCCTACAGAGACTGAGAGCGGGAGGTGATAACTCCCTTGATGTTTACATTTCAAAGGGATGGCTCCCAGGTCCTTAAGGAAGACACTGCTAGTTCCTAATGCTGGAAAGAGTCTTCTTGAGCTTTCAAAATGATTTACATATATTTCAAAGAGACCAGGAAAAAAGTTACAAGTTTTCTAAAGGAAATGTTCCAAATAAAAATGTAAGGGCAATTTGGGCCTGCCCTCTTAGGTCCGGTGGTCCTGGTAAGTCAACATGTATCTTACAAGGGCAGCAGTCTACTGCTGTTGCTCAAAATGCCTTCACGTTTTCCAAAGTGAATTCACTTGTGCTAAGTACTAAGACTATTTCTCAAATTTTAATTGGGTAAGAGGAAAAGAAAATATTTCTTTTAACTCTACCAACCTACATTGATGTCCTTTCCCTAAAAATCAGCCCACGCTTTGGCTCAGTAACTTGTCCCTTCTGGTGAGATGGACTGAAGCTAAGGGGATAGGATAGATGAGCAATATTTTTGTCTACCCCTTCTCCAAGCCTTTGAGAGAACCTTAAAAGAGATACATCTAACGTAGCCTGTAAGAAACATACCTCGTATGTCATAATGTTGGGATGCTACATGGATATCAATTTAGGAATTGATTTCAGAATTATTTGATAAAGGAGGAACAGGGGGAATCAAAACTTACGATTTCACTTATGATTTGATGAGCACATCATTTATACCTTTCTCGCTACCCAACATGTTATTCTCCAAACTCAGGTCCCAATAACTAACGATTTTTGCAAAAGTGGTTTTACTTACTGCCCTGTTCATGGATAGCATATGCAGTGGCCCATGAGCACAGACTTCTGGTAAACCCACAGTGCATAGGAGATCAGCGAGATTCAGAAAGAGGACAATGTAAGCATGGGACACCTACAAGTGAGTAAGCTAACAGCCAAGCGAGGCCATGCTTTCCCTTGAAACCACAACTTCCTTCAAATTCAGAAAGAAGGCACAGGCGTTCTGAGAAACATGCAAAACGAAAAAATCCTGGGTTACCCTGCATGAGCCAACTCCTTAGGATGAAAAATGATGACAGAGAATAAAAGACTAAGAAGGGAAGCCTGTAATTCCTTTTCCATTAAGTCCTTCCTTACCAGTAACTAATCATAGTGAGGTACAATGTGCACATAGAAAGAAGCAAAATAAAAACAGTTGATTTAGTTTTGTGTAGTGTTTCCACTGTTCTGGTAAGAACAAAATACATATGCATGTATGCACCATGAAACATAAATTAGGTAATTTCGGTGATTCTGTCCACAAGTTAAATGCTCTTCTATTTGCATTTAAAGCTGGTATTACGTCATATAAAGACGAATGGTAATACTCATGCTAATAATTTAAAATTTTAATTTTCCTTTTCTCAGAACAACATTAAATAGCAAATACAAAACACCATGACAAGCCAAGTGAGAGACTGCAGAAGAGAGGTAAATGCTTTATACTTATTTTTCCTTTAATGGCACTTTGGGCTGTTTTTTTGAAAAAGGGGCACTACGTTTTCATTTTATACTGGGCCCCAGAAATTAGATAGTCAACCTCATTACAATATGTACACTTTACATCCTCCACCCAAGTTTCTAGAATAATCTAGATATTATAAACCAAATTCTGCCATTCTATTCACTGGTAGCTTTTATTCACTTTGATACTCAAAAAACATCTTATACTCAAACATCCTGCAATTATGTGTGCTTTTTGGAACATTTTAGAATAAATCACTTTAACGTAAAAAGATGAGCTGACAGTCTTGCTTGGAGTAGGTCAGTTTTGTGGGAAAGCACATATCTCTTAGAACATTAATGGCCTCTATCCCTCTTCCCCATTATATAACTAGCATGCTTACTTGATGGAGTACTTGACATTTGCTATCTTCTTGCTAGGGCTTGCTGAAGATCAGCAGTTCTTAAATTTGGCTGCATGTTAAAATCACATGGGGAGTATTTTTAAAAAAAAAAAAAAAAAAAGAAAGAAAAATACCAGTCCCCAGGCTTCATCTCAGACAATGCACCTCAGACTCTATGGGAGTCTAAAATGTAACCAGGGTCAAGATTCACTCCCTAGCTATATGACAGTGCTTCTCAACTTTGCCTGAGCAAAAGAATGTCATGAAAGTCTCGGTGAAATTCTAGACTCCTTGGCTCCTCCCCCACCAAGTCAATGAGTCGTAAAGGTAGGAATTCGGTACATTTCGCAAGCACTCCAGGTTATTCTTATGATCAGGGTCATTTAGGGAGCATGACTCTAAGATGAGTTGAGAAGGAAGAGAGAAGAAAAATGATTAATAAAGCTGCCAGTGATAAAAGGCTCTGAGAATCAAGCTGTTCTCTGGTCTTCCCTCTCTAATCATACTAGCCCACCTGCATTACTTATCTATATGTGTGTAACAAATTACCATGAACTTAGTGGTTTAAACCAGCCCACATTTATTATCTCATGGTTTCTGTGGATCAGGAATCTGGGTATGGCTTGTGTAGATTTTCTGCTTCAGGGTCTCACAAGACTGCCACCAGCAATCAAAGTGTTAGCCAGTGCTGTGGTCTTATCTGTGGCTCAACCGGAGAAGGATCCACTTCCAAGCTTGCAACATTTTTGGCAGAATTCAATTCCTTGTGAAGTGAAGGACTGAAGGCCTCAGTTTCCTGCTGGCTGTTGGCCAAAGATGGCCCTCCCTTCCTTGCCATGTGGGCCTCTGAAATATGGTAGCTGATTTCTCCAGTGCCAGTGAGGGAGAGAAGCACCCAGCAATATGAAAGTTACAACCTTATGTAACACAATCACAAAGGAAGCATCACATCTCTTCTGCTATATTCCGCTGGTTAGAAGCAAGTCTCAGGTCCTGCCTATGCTCAAGAGAAGGGAATTAGGGTCTGCCTGTCACAACTCTACACAGCAGAGTACTATAGCCACAGCAACTGTCCATAAATTCTAAAGCCATAACACATGGGTTCATATATCTGGCATCCCAGCTTACCAACATTCACCTTCAACGGGCTCCTTAGCTTCATGGATCCTTAGTTTTCACATCTGTACAATGGGGATAAAATAGGATATACCTTATAGTGTCACCGTCATAGGCATTTGAATGATTACATGCAATGAGCTTGGCAAACTGGTCTACACATACTATGTAAAAATAAAAGCAAGTCTTGTAACTATTTTTATATGACACATGGTTAAACCATATTCAAGGCGCATTTGTCCAGGGTTAGTGAACCAAAATCAACGTTTTGCACACCAGTTCTATTGGAAAGTGGCAGAGCAAAGGGCAGCTTCTGTGACTCTCTTAAATGCGTGGGTATAGATACCTGGTGCATAATAAATGGCATTGTGCTTTTCTCCTGTCTTTGCTATTGGCACTCAAAATGGATTCATTTATACATTCAGGGAACATAGATTGTATAAGGCACTGTCCCATGATGACCAGGCAACCCTGCCTCCAAAGCTCTGCAATGTACTCATTTTGTGAGTACCGTAGTATAACTGCAGTAAAAGGAATAACGTAATAAGTTGTGTAAGAGACTGACAATCAAAATGCTATGGCAGTTTATAGCAAAGAGAATCACTTTGGGCTGTGGAGATAAAAGAAAATTCCATGTAGAAGGCATCTATGGACACAGCAGTAAATAAAATATATTGCTATTAGAAAGTATATTAAAAAGCCAGTCATTCAAATATCGATGGGTAAGTGCATTATTATTTTGCTCCAAGGAGTAAATTCTGCTTGTTCTGCAAAATGATATTGGGCTCTTTATGGTATTGCTCAGGGCTGGGACCTAATACCCACTGTAGTCATTCCACAGAGGTGGGATGGACCCCTCCCTCCAAACACGCACACATCCAAACTTTGCTTTAGAGGTCAAGACTGATGACATTACATGCATAAAGAATGTATGAGAAGGCTTATGACACAGTGGGGCTTTCTGGGAAGAGCAAGGAAGACTCCCAAGCTAGTACAAAGATGGCTTCAGTCACAGAGAAAGGAGATGACTCAGCTTTCATGGTGGTTAAGGTGTGAGGTTGCAGGGAGCCTTCTTGAACACAGGCTGTGGCTTGCATAGTTTCACTCCCTCAACCTCCAGGCATTCTTATTACTTACCTGGCTGTGGTGACAGAAGGGGAAGGGGAGTTGTGGGTTTGAATGCTGTTTGCGGTAAAACATCCAAAATGGATTCAGAATATTTATTGCAGTTTTTTCTTTATGCACGTGAAGTAACTGAATCACAAGGATTTATTTGTATGCCCTGGGTCACATGCCAACGCAAGAAGCCCAGAAACAAACCAAAGAAACAGGCTTCTCTCGGCCTTCCTGGGCTCCAGGTTAAGCTTGTGTGTGCTTTCTATTCAGAGTAGAAAAAGAGAATAACAAAGAGTTTTCCCTTTCATGTGACCTCTTGAAATACATTTTCAAGGATGGAAGACAATGGACTCTACCTATCATATCACGGAAGAGGATGGGTGAAGAGACTTAGAAGTTCAAGGATAAGGGCTCAGTCAGTTACAAGGCGTATATTATCATTCCCCTTGTTTGTGATAATACCCTCCAATTAAACTCAAAGATTTCATGCCAAGATTCTTTTTTAAAATGACAATTTTATGCCAGGGTTATGAATTACACATCTCCAGAGGAGACAGTTCAAGGTTTTCTATTATTAATATTACAGCATTACTATTAAATAAACAATGATCAGTATCATCCCCTCCTCTTCAGAGGGCTGGTTTTCTCACCAGACTGTGGGACATAACAGAAGTTTTCAGAGATGAGGGTCCTCCCCTGGTCCTCATAGAAGTAAATAAAAGTCAGAGACAACAGACAAGGACTTCACTATCTGGAGTGTCTCTTACCACAAGTTAGCAATGTGTGTGTGTGTGTGTGTGTGTGTGTGTGTGTGTGTGTGTGTGTGTGACAAGGTCCTGTTCTGTTGCCCAGGCTGGAGTGCAGTGGCATGATCTCAGCTCACTGCAACCTCTGCCTCCTGGGTTCAAGCAATTCTCAGGCCTCAGCCTTCTGAGTAGCTGGGACTACAGGCACGTGTCATCATGCCCGGCTATTTTTGTCATTTTAGTAGAGACGGAGTTTCATAATGTTGGCCAGGCTGGTCTCAAACTCCTGACCTCAAGTGATCTGCCCACCTCAGCCTCCCAAAGTGCTAGAATTATAGGCGTGAGACGCCATGCCCAGCCACAAGTTAGCAACATATTTTAATAGGAGATGAAATAACTTCAAGGCTCATTCTCAAAATCCATTCATCTTTTCTCAGTAACCAAATCCAGTTAGCCGACATAAGTTGTTAGAGACATCACATAACAGATGCTCTCTCTTGTAATAAAATCTCCTTTAAACATTTTGAAACGACTCTTTGAGTAAACCCCACAGGAAAAAAATAATACCAGGAAATGCTTCCACTGTCTGAGAAATCATTTTATGTACTTGTTTCTTGCTGGCTGATAAGTACGTGTGAAGTTCCATAGGCATGTATTCTGTGCTGGGCACTGGGTGAGCACCACGAAACACATCAATGAATGGCCAGAAACACAGGTAAATGCAGGGTGCTTGGAGGCATGTTAAGGTAAAGAAATGTGCACCATGCTAACTTGAGCAGAAGCAAAACTCAGACCAAATCAGGGATGAAATTCAATTCATGCTTCAATATCTAGTCCAAAGAACTTTTTTGAATTCAAGACTTCTTCAGTGTTTTCTTATTCAGTCTATGGCTGAAAGAGATGGCTCAACTTTTATGGTGGTTAGGGCATGAGTCCTACTTGAGATGATTATAAATAATGCTGCCAAAAACACTGTTTTCCATGCTGATGGTGAACAAATGCACAGATTTTTAGGATTGGAAATGTTGGCCCATAAAATATGAATACATTCTACAATACTTAAATACTGCCCAACAGTTCTCCAAAATGACCAATTTGTATTTTCACCCAACATGTATGAAATTTCCAATCATTCCACATCTTCATCAAGATTTGATGTTTGCCTTCTTCATTTTAGCAAATTCTGAAGGTTGTGTAGTGGCATCACATGGTTGTTTCAATTTGCATATCTCTGATTGCTGATAGGTTTGAGAAGCTTTGAATATGTTCATTGGTTTTCTAGTCACTTTTTAAAGGGCCTATTCCATCCCATCTTTCTATTGGGTTTTCTACAATTTTTATATTGACTTATGGGAGTTCTTCATATATTCAGTCAGTCAGTCTTTCATTGGACATATGTTGCACTTCTTCCAACTCTCTAATTGGCTGCATCACTTCTTTAATGGTGTGTATTGATGAACAGAAGTTACGCATATTTGTATTTTTGATTTTGGTATAATTTACCTTTCCCCAGTGACTGTGCCTTCCATCCGTGACCACTGAAAAGCACATATTTCAGTAATAGTCTTTATTAAATGCATCCATTGTAGTTTTCAACAAACTACATCCTGTGTACTTGTTTATGTATTTAAATCATCATACACAGAACACGAACTGCACCACAGCATGGCTGTCTTCATCATAGTAGGAGTTTAATAACTCCTGATAGCTATTTTTTTAGATGTGAAGATTTAAGCAGCACTCAATAGGTTTACTGTAAAAAAAAAAATCAGCAGGCAGTTTGCACTAAAGTCATATGATAATTTCATATCAAATGAATATCCTCAAGCTATTAGAGGCAGTTTTTGTTCAGTCAGTGACTCCCAAATCCACCTGGATTAGTCACCAGACTTACTCTTTGAGCTGCAGTCAATCTGCTTTTTTTCAGATATCTATCTGAGTTTGACTCTAGGAACTTGTAATTAGGAATATGTTATCTCTTGAGAAGCCAGACCATGGCAGTATTTCTGCTTAATCTTTTATAATCAAGGTGCTTGAACAACTAGTTGATAGGTAAACTGCCTACTTAGCATGCTAATGAATGGAAACAAAAATAAAATGTAAGTGTGGAGATATTCATGCTGATATTACCTTGTGTAGGATAAAAATAGGGCTAAGAGGCTGGGACGCGATGGCTCACGCCTGTAATCCTAGCACTTTGGGCGGCTGAGGTGGGTGGATTGCCTGAGCTCAGGAGTTCGAGACCAGCCTGGGCAACAGGGTGAAACCCCGTCTCTACTAAAATATAAAAAAGTAGCCAGGCACAGTAGCATGCACCTGTACTGTAGTCCCAGGTACTCAGGAAGCTGAGGCAGGAGAATTGCTAGAACCCAGGTAGCTGAGGTTGCAGTGAGCCGAGATCACACCACTGCACTCCAGCCTCGGTGACAGAGCGAGACTCTGTCTCAAAAAGAAAAAACAAAAAACAAACAAACAAACAAACAAAAAACAAGGATCTGGGTGGGAATGCATCATAAAGAGTTTTATGAGGATGAGAGAACCCAGATTAGAGAAATGGAGGATTAGCTATTAACTGGCCCACAAATTCCCTGGAGCAGTTGTCAAAGGGAAGTGTATCAGTCAAGGCTTAAAGCATTGGCAAAATAAGAGAGGAAGGAATGGCTGGATTCAGAGGATCATAGACGCTAGCAGCTGACAGAAGGTATAGCGTTAGAGACTTCGAGAAGAGGAGAGGTTTGCAGGATGAAAGAGGATTTTAAGGCAGTTTTATAAATTTCTAATACTCCCTAGCTTCTGATCTTGGTCTAACTTCTCCAGAACAGTGGCTGGCCTGCCCTGCCTGGATTAGTATTAACAGAGAAAAGAGTTTGGAATGGAAAATGCCAAGATTCCAGTTAAAGTCACTTTGGCTCCCAGGAATTTCCCTGTCAGTATCTCATTAACAGAATCTTTACCATCGACAAAACAGATCATGAAAATGGCATATATTTTAAAAGTTTCAAATGGATAAAGATTATGAAAAATTATATACTCTGTGGTACAGCTAAGAGATTTATCCAAAAAAAGTTTTAATTTTTTAATTGATACATAATAATCATACATATTAATGGAGTACATAGTAATGTTTTGAGACATGTATACTAATCAGATCAGGGTGATTAGCACATCCATCATTTCAAATATTGATCATTTCTTTGTCTTGGGAACATTTAGCATCCTCCTTCCAGCTATTTGAAACAACAATATATTATTGTTAACTACAGTCATCCTATACAGATAGAGAACACTAGAAACTATTCCTCTTATCTAGCTCTAATTTTGTATCATTCAACAAATCTCTCCCTATCCTTCCCTTCCCCCTTCCCTTCCCGGCATCTAGTATCCTCTGTTGTACTTTTCAAGTCTATGAGATCGGTATCTTTTTTAGCTTTCACATATGAGTGAGAACATGAAGTAGTTAACTTTCTGTTTCAGAGTTATTTCACTTAAGATAATGTGCTCCAATTCCACCCATGGAGGTGCTCATGACAAGATTTCATTGTTTTTATGGCTGAATAGTACTCTGTTGTGTGCATATAGTGCATTTTATTTATCCCTTCATCTGCTGTTGGCTATTGTGAACAGCTAATAAACACAGGGGTGTAGATGTCTCTTCCATATACTGATTTCCTTTCCTTCTATTTGGACAAATACCCAGTAGTGGGATTCCTGGATCATATAATAGTTCTGTTTGTGGTTTTTTGAGGAACCTCCATTCTGTTTTCCATAATGGCAATACTAATTTACATTCTCTCTGTGTATAAACGTTCCTTTTTCTGCACATCCTCACCAGCATTTGCTGATTTTTGTCCTTTTGATAATAGCCGTCCTAACTGGAGTGAGCTAGTACCTCATTGTGACTATGATTTGCATTCCCCTGATGATTAGTGATGTTGAACATTTTTTCACATATTTGTTGGCCATTTGTATATCTTCTTTATTTTATCTAAATAATTTTGCAAACCTCTCATGATGTTGCTAAATAAAAAACATAGTACCTCATCCTGCTTGGATCTCTGAATGAATAGAGGTAGTTGTTGGGTGTGCACACCAATTACCTGGGCATCTTATCCAAATGCAGATTCTGATGCAAGAGGTCTAGGGTGGGATGTGAGCATCTGCATTTCTAACCAGCTCCCAGGTGATGCCTAGGCTGCTGGTCCACAGACCATACTTTGTAGAGTCAGGGTCAAAATCATTTGAGGTTATCAGGTAGAGACCCAAAACAGTGGTAAAATACACTTGTATTAGTTTTCTATTGCTGCTGTAACAAAATTTCACAGTTCAGCAAGTTAAAACAATACCCATTTATTCATTTTCCATTCTGTAGGTCAGAATTCCTGGTGGCTCCATGAAGTTCTCTACTGAAAGTCTCACAATGGTGAAATCAAGGTGTCAGCTGGGCTGGGCTCTTATGTGGGGGCTCTGGGAAAAATCCATTCCAGGCTTATTAGGGTTGTTGGCACAATCTGGTTCATTGCAGTAGGACTAAGGTCCCTGTTAGTCTTTCTGGCTGTTAGTGGGGACTGCCCTCTGCTCCTAGAGTCATCTTTTAAGACCTTGCACGCAAGTAGCCAGCTACGTCTCAGAACCAGCAATGATGCACACGTTTCTTTCTTTTCTTCCGCTGCATCTCTCAAACAGACTCTTCTTAGACGTTAAAGGGATTGAGTGATTAAACTGGGCTCATTCAGATAAACCAGGATGATCTCCCTATTTTAAAGCCTGCAAATTTAATCACATTTGCAAAGTCCCTTTGGCTGTGGGATGTAATAACTGCACAGGTTCTGGAGACTGGGGCATGGAAATCTCTGGGCAACCATAATACTATGTACTGCCATGCCTGAGGGTATCATTTTGTAATTACCTATAGTCCACGTCCTTGTGCCAACAAGGGCAGGTGTGAGTTAGGTCTCTTGACCTGTCTTTGAAAGACAGCTACACCCAAACACACTCTTCTCCCTTGTCAACCCCTGCCCCCAACACAGGGTCCTTTTATAGTGTATTAGTTTGCTCTTGCTATTATAACAAAGGACCACAGACTGGGCGGCTTAAACAACAGAAATGTATTCTCTCACAGTCCTGGAGGCTGGAAGTTGGACATCAAGTTGTGGGCAGGGCTGGTTCCCCCTGAGGCCTCTCTCCTTGCCTTGTAGATGCCATCTCCTCCCTGTGTCCTCACAGGGTCATTCTTGTGTGTGTGTCTGTGTCCTCATCTCTTCTTGTGAGATGTCTAAGTCCATTTCAGGCTGCTGTAACAGAATACCATAGACTGGTGGCTTATAAACCAAAGAGATTTATTCTCTCACAGTCCTGGAAGCTGGAAGTTTGAGATCAACGTGTGGGCAGGGCTGGTTCTCCCTGAGTCCTCTCTCCTTGGCTTGTAGATGCCGTGTCCTCCTGTGACCTCACAGGATCGTTCCTGTGTGTGTGTTTGTGTCCTCATCTCCTCTTATAAAAACACCAGTCCTATTGGATCAGGGCCCGCCCTAATGACCTCATTTTAATTCAATTACCTCTTTAAAGACCCTATCTCCAAATAAGGTCACATTCTGAGGTCCTGAGAGTTAGGGCTTCAACATATAAATATTAGTCGGTGGTGAGGGTTGGGGGGTGACACAATTCAGCCCATAACACATAGGAAGGGCACTGTCACTGGTTCAGTCCCCTTCACTCCCTATGGATGCTTTTGATCAATTCTAGGGACCCGTAAAACTGCATCTAAAGCTTAGCTTCCATTCTCATTAAAGAGAGTAGCCAATGTTCATCCCCACCACACACACACACACACACACACACACACACACACACACACACACACTGCAGGTATGTATACATTTTGTTCTTGCAAATCAACCTTTTTCATGTCGGGGTCACAGAGAGGCACTTAAAGAGAACAGCTGGTCCCAGCAATAAATAAAAGTAGACTAAAACTCAGTACTTCATAATAGGTTTGCAAAAGACCTGAAATGGCTTCAATTATATAGCAGTGCACTTTTCTTGAGAAGTGGGGCAATTTGTACTTGAGTTACTCTCTGATGTCAGATTATAGGATACGCAAATCAATTAGTTGAAAGCGTTTGCAAGTATTCAAATGCAAAGTTCAACAGCAACAATCAATATGTTGCATTTTCTGTCAACAATAGATGAATTTGCATAATTACAAATGTGAATTTCAGGGTCCTATGTAACCAGGCTGATTTTGTTCTGTCCTTCCTATTAAGGGACTACTGACAAGAAAAGGTGGGTCAGCCATTTCCCTCGGAATGAAGTCATATTGGCATTATTCCATGTAGACACACACCTCAGGCCCTGAGGACTGATGTGTGAGTTTAAAGACAGATTCCAGGGTTAGGGTTTGCTAATGTTACAAGAGCTTTTGAAACCAGCCACAACTTAAGTCACTTCAGATTTCAAGCATGTTCACAGCTATCAAAATACATTTGACCTCAAAGTCTATGATCTCAAATAGACTTTATATTTTGTCTTTATTAAGGTTAAATTCCAACTGCTTAATGTACTGATTAATGTATATCTGAAAAAAAA
Source organism: Homo sapiens (assembly GCF_000001405.40). Taxonomy (NCBI): domain Eukaryota; kingdom Metazoa; phylum Chordata; class Mammalia; order Primates; family Hominidae; genus Homo; species Homo sapiens. The sequence goes on along the minus strand of NC_000023.11, from coordinate 7,437,793 downwards.
AACACCAGGTGATAATAATGTTGTTACTGCGCTATTTTGCAGAATCATGCTAGACCTTTATCAGATTCTCAGGGAAATTACTTCTATAAAAAGAAGCAGCATTCTCCTTTATAGAAACCAAGGAGGAAGGGGGAGCATGAGACATTTAGAGAGCTGACTGCTAGGACTTCGGAAAGAGAGCTTGTCTTGTGAAGCCGACCAACAAACACGTGGTATTTTAAGTAAACTAAGCAAGATGGAGGAGGTAGGTGATTATAATAAACTTTGCCTTGAAGTGAGTTGGAGTTAATATGCTGTGCCCACATTGGCTAAGTAAAAGCACTTAATAATTACTTCTAAGCATGAGCAGATCACGTGCATGCAACACAAGACAGCTTCAGAGCGCTAAAGGTGCAGGCATTTTGCATACCTGTTTGCAAGGTGTCAGGGCTCTGCCTCCTAGACTGGCCTCATGTGGTACCCACCCACACTGGCTGGAATGCAAAAGCAACACTCCAAAGAATATGCTATTGGCCATGGCCCTTGTACCCCAGTCTTCCTCTAATTCCTTATCTCCTGATTCCTCTCCTACCTTTAGGGTGACACAGAGCAGGGCCCAAGCCCCCAGAGAAATTCCTTTAAGTCAAGGAAGACACCTTTCTTGAGGATTTTTTCACTGCTCCCCTGCTCACAAAAGTCCCCTTTCAAGCCCAGGGAAGAAGTCAGGTGGAATATCACTCTCCAGAGATATCACTCTCCCAGCGGCGCTAGAGTTCCTTATGACAAGGTAGAGTTTGTATTAACTCTGAAAACTCTGAGGCCCAGCATGATGGCTCATGCCTGTAATCCCAGCACTTTGGGAGGCCGAGTTAGGAGAATCACTTGAGGCCAGGAGCTCAAGACCAGCCTAGCCAACATGGCAAAACCCCATCTACACAAAAAATAAAAACTAGCCAGATGTGGTGGCATGCATCTGTAGTCGTAGCTACTCAGGAGGCTGAGGTGGGATGATTGCCTGGGCTCAGGAGTTGGAGGCTGCAGTGAGCGATGATCGTGCCACTGAACTCCAGCCTGGGTAACAGAGCAAGACTCAATCTCTACATAAAATAAAATAAATAAGCCTCAGAAATCTGACTCCTGGCAAACTCTACTGGGGAGAGGCCTTAGTACCCTAACATCAGCAGAGTGAGTATTTGTTAGAGTAGGAATTTCTAATCTCCATCCTAGTAGAGACAAGGCCCCAGTGGGACCTGTGAATGAAGCAAAGTAAAGGGAAGATTCCAGGGCATGAAAACATGGCTTTTGAGAACCCCTGAGCTATTTAGGGACAGAACCTAAGGCACAGCCACTGGGGAGCAAAATGAAGGGGGATGATAGAGAAGACAAATTCTGCCTGCATCATAACATTGACTTTCTTTAAAGTATTATATAGGCTGTCTCTCTCTCCTAGGTTATGGAATTATTTCATTTCCATGAACAAAAATTTTAAATGACCGAAATTTTTCTGTGTAAACGTGATATGAATAACTCAAGCATTTCCAACTATTATTTCTCTTTCAAGAAGCAAATAATTTTCTTTGTGCAAAATCATATTTCCTGAAAATGAAAGCCAGGTTCATTGTCCATACTAAACAATTCTAATTCATCTCATGCCATTTTTTTTCTTTTGTTCCATTTTAATAACAATTATTTTAATTTCAAATTAGGTTGGGACAACACAGAGCTGCAAAACAAATGCTGTCAATGGGCTTTATTATCACAAAACAGAGACTTGAGCAAAAGTTGATTGCGAAATCCACAGCTTGCTTAAAAAGAGTAGCTAGAAATAGGAGCAAAGCTTATGTTGTTCATTTCTGGATGTCTTGTGCAAAAAGGTTTTATCTTACCCAAAACTGTGTAGCGTGGGCTTATTTCTATTGTGTTTGTTGTCAGAGACTTGGTCTACTAGGTTTCTTAAAATTGAAAAGAGGATTAGGCTACATTTATAATTGTACCTATAAATACAGTGCTTGAAAGGACTTTTTTCTCCCCTTGGGGAGAAAAAAAAACATTAGATTAAATGCTCTGCATAAATGCACATTTTCTTCTTTTTCTACTGAAATCCAGTCTTTCCTCTTTCTGTCATGTCTGTCTTTTAATTTTTCCCGGTGGTCATGATCCTAATTTTACCTAACTGAGTCATCACCACATATGCTGAAGTGACAGCTGTGTTTAATATTATTGGAATTTAGCCTGTCAAAATAGCTTCACTCCAAAAAGATGCCATTTCCATATATTGACTTTGGATTGTCACTTCTGAGTGCCATTTATTATTAATTGCTAGTGATATTAGGAGGGTTTATTAATGCTCAAGATGTTTCTACACTTCCCTATTGCTAAGACAAAACCAAGACTGTGCACTATTCCAAAGACTTTCACCCTACCCTACCGGGTTTGACTTAATGAAATTTATCCTAACCAAATGTTAAGCAGGGAAGGGTTTAACTACTTCAGAACTCATAATGTCAGGAGTTTTGATAACCTCCCCAGAAAAGATATTTCTAAACAGGATTTCTAGTGAGTGGGAATTCCTGGGGCCAGAGGTTTTGGAAAGGCCATTCACGCCCTCTAAATTTTAAGTTGCCAAATGTTGACTCTACTCTTATCATCAACAGCAAGCATTATTGAGTATTGCCTGACATCATATTTTTCCCCCAGAGATCTTTTTTTAGTGAGAATAAACTGGGTTGATTATAGTATCTAACCACTCAAAAATTTCATTGGCTTAAAACAACAAAGATTTATTTCTTGCTTAAGCTGGCATCCAATGTGGTTGGCAGAGAGACCTGCTCTGCCCTTATAGAAGGTCATCGTCTCAACATAAGGCATCATGGGAGGAGATGGCCAGAGAGTCCAGTAAAGGTGATTAAATACTCCAGCACATGCAAAACACATCACTTCCATTCATGTTTCATTGCGAATAGTGAGGTAGTCACCTGAACACATCTACTACTTCCAAAGGCTTGGGTATAATTATAATCCTCCCTGTACAGAAGTAGAGGAGATACAGAAGAAATTTATGATGCATACCACAAGGGAAAAGGAACCTTAAGTATGACTAAGCCATGGCGCTAAGCAAACACAGGTGCCCTGAGTCCCCTAGTTCATTTTTTAAGAATAGTCATTTATTCCTCGGAATTAATGCAACTAACTTGTAGAGATATATTGTGTTGAACAATATACAAAACTGTCATGGGTGAATATTGGCAATTTCATATGATTCAGCATAAAATTGTTGATGGAATGGTGTAAACATATCCAAAATCGACTCTATCAAATAATGACTCTTATCATGTACCTCGTTTAGGGAGGGTAGAGGGTACACCATGCTCTGGTGTAACAGCAGCAAGTTTAGAAGGGAGACACTGTAAAAAAAAAAAATAGATAGTAATCATCTCTGTTTTCAGGCTCTTTCTTTCAGCACCATGGATTTATTTATACTTGTCTTAAGAAAAGCATATCGTATGGCCCCAGGAAAGTGAGGGGGAAAAAGAAGAAGATCTAGCAGCATGTGGCTTTATGATTTTTCTTATAATCTTCCTTTTTTATTTTTGATTCATCTCCTCTTCCTCTGCCTGCATTTTGCCTCTTGGAGAGCACATGGCGTTGACTTTGTTTCCCACAGAAAACTCCATTTCACAGGATGTTTTTCCTACCCAGTTTCATGGAGACTGGCCATTGCTGTGGCTGAACCAATTATCTTACAGGACACAGATTTCGACAAGATCCTTCCAGTGGACAATTGAGCCCAGCTGGGCAGAGATTACAGGATTTGTTTCCAAAGAATAAATTGTGTCTTGACCGTCTAGTTCAATGAGATAAAATCCTCTTTCAAAAATACAGCACCAAACGTTTCGAAAACTGTTCAAATTATAATAGCAATTAAGTTTCTTTTTCTTACACCATCTAATTTCAGCATTGTCACTGAAACAAGCAAAAAATGAAATTCAAAAGAAACAGCTAGCAAAGGATGTTAAGCAACGTTTGGTTCGACTATATTCTAAATGTTAGCATTTTGAAATGAAAACATTGGCATTCAAATGCAGTCAGTTTGCATTGATCATGAGATTATGACCAGACAATGCTAATTAGATCATCCAGGTAATCCTCCAGGTATTTATAATCCTTTAGTTGAAAAAAACAGCATTTTCTCTTGTGGCTTTTGATGTGACATGTCCAAGGTGTTCTCCTGTATGTAGGGCATATGGCTGTGGTTACTGAGTAGGTACTTTTGGAGATATTAAAGAGAAACAATAACAAAGTATATGTGGAAGGAAAAATAATGCTACTGTAATTATTTTAGTTGTGCATATTCAGGAATGACAACAGATACATGGAAATGTGGACAGTAATTGGATTGCTTCTTCCAGCCTCCGCCTTCCTGAGTTTGAAGACCAATGTTCATACCTTACAGATGGATAGATGTAAATGTTTATTCTTGCTTTATTGATATAGATCATCGTTTTATGTAAGGAGTGATAACCTGTGTCAAAACTCCTTGGGTGTCATTCCTATCTGCCAGGAAGGGAAAGAAAAAGAAATATCTACTTAAAGGATTTAATGTTAGGAACCCATATGCATATTTTCCAATGCAATTTAGGCAATGACTGAGTCTACATTGTATCTGGTTTTGCAGACCAATGCCCTCTAATGACTCAGTCCAGTGGCCCTGTCTAAAATCATGTGTATTCTTGCCTTACGGTTTCTAGCATTTCTTGTTTGGTAAAAGTACAAGCCATGTACATGCTTAGACAAGAAGAAAAAACACTTATAACAGACAACTTTTCAGTTTTGCCTCCTTGAAATATTATCACTTCAAAGACTTGGCAACTTCGGAAATGTTTCTCTGACTCCCAGCCTTTCTTCAGTCAATATGTTTATGTCTTTCTGCCATGTCTGGGTTTGTTTGATTTTTTTCTTAATTGTATGCATTTCTGAGTATATATGTTCAACGATTGATGTTACTGTAAAATACCCTTTTATAAGATTAAAAATGATCTTGCTGATTGAATATGCAAATCTAAAGCAACTCAATCATCTTTTCTTAGTTCTGATCAATTTTGTTGCCCTAAGAATTTAAGATGCTTTTATTTTCCTCTTACAGTTTTTCAATGACTATGGTGAACGGATAAGACCCTGCCTTTCTTTGCAAAGTGGTATATTTCAAGAGGCAAACTTATTTCATGTTATGATTCTATATAGTCATTGTGTGGACAAAAATATGTTATTTCTAACTTTCCTCTTCTTTCTTGATAGGAAAAAATCTAGAAAATATTAATTATTTCTATAATACTTATATGACAAATATTATGTAAGTGTATTAACTATTTGACATCTGATAATTATCAATGCTTGGTTTCAAAAGCAATGATAAAAACAGGTTGGTAAGAATGAGATGTCTTACAAGATTGGTACTTGATACTATATTATTCTCAACAATGCATGAACTCAATTTTGCTATAAGAGAAAAGATGAAAAGTATGAAAAAGCTAGTTTGTTCAGGCTGCTATAACAAAATGCCATAAACTGGGAGGCTTATAAACAACAGAAATGTATTTTTCACAGTTCTGGAGGCTGGAAGTCCATGATCAGGGCATGGCAGATTCACTGTCTGGTGAGAACTCGCTTCCTGGTTCATAGACAACTCCTTCTCTCTGTGTCCTCACATGGTGGAAGGGGTGAGGGAGCTCTCTGGAGTCCTTTTATAAGGGCACTAATCCCATTCATGAGGCTCCTCCCTCATGACCTCATTACCTCCCAAAGCCCCACCTCCTAATACCATCACCCTGGGGATGAGGGTTTCAACACAGGAATTTTGGAAGGACACACACATTCAGACCATAGCAGGATCTATACATTATGATAGAAACCTGGAGCACAGAGGATTAACAGTTTTATGTTATTTTCTTTCTGAATTCATGATAATTCCAGGACTCCATGCTGGGCAGACCAATAAAAGTCATCCACTCTACAACAAACATTTTTGAATGTCTACTATGTGCTAGGCACTATTCTAGCCACTGAGAACATAAAACAAAGTCCTGCTCTCATGGATTCATATTTAATGTAGAAGATAGATAAGATAGAGGATAAATAGAAGATAAATAAACAGAAGATAGGTGGATAAGATAGATGATTGATAAATAGAAGATAGGTAGATAGGTAAGATAGATGATAGATAAATAGAAGATAGGTAGATAATAGGATAGATGATAGAGATAGATGATAGATAGATAGGATGGATAGATAGATAGATGGAACAGATAGGATGAACAGATAGATGTTAGGCAGGTAGATAGATAGATAGACAGATAGGACAGATAGACAGATGATAGGTAGATACATACATACATACATACATAAGATAGAGAGATGATAGATAGATAGATAGATAGATAGATAGATACATCAGATACGATGGATAGCTAGGTAATAGGTAGGTAGGTAGGTAGGTAGATAGGTAGGTAGATAGATAGATAGATAGGACAGATAGGATGGATAGATAGATATAGGTAGATAGATAGAACAGATAGGATGAATAGCTAGATAACAGGTACGTAGATAGGTAGATAGATGATAGATAATAAGATAGTGACAGAGGATACATAGATAGTAGATAGATGATAGAGAGATTAGAGAATGAATAATAAGGTCTTAGCTGGAATTTGGGATTGCCATTTTATACAGAGTATTTAAGGAAAGCCTCTCTAATAAGGGGATGTTTGAGAAGAGAATTGAAGAAAATAAAGACCGAGCAATGTGTCTTTCCACCTACACAGAGAAAGTGGTAAGCACAAAGTCTCCAGATGCTGTTGGCATATTTGAAGACCAAGCATGGGAAAGAAGGAGATGTGGAGGGGTTGTTTGGGCAGAACACAAACAGAAATGAAGAGTAATAGCAACCAAGAAGGAATCTTAGAAAGAAGGACTGAGAGTCTTGACACAGAGGCTTGCAAGCAAAGGAAGTGTGGTCAATACATGGTAAAACATGCTTGAGGACAATTATTTACAACTAAAAGGGTTGGGCATGGTAGCTTATGCCTGTTATCTCATTGAGAGGCTGAGGCTGGAGGATCGCTTCAGCCCAGGAGTTCAAGACCAGCTTGGGCAATATAGTGAGACCTCAACTCTACAAAAAGAATTTAAAAATTGCTGGGCATGGTGGTGCTTGCCTGTAGTACCAACTACTCGGGAGGCTGAGGTGGGAGGATTGCTTGAGCTCAGGAGGTAGAGGCTGCAGTGAGCCAAGATCGCACTACTGCACTCCAGCCTGGGCAACAGAGCGAGACCTTGTCTCAAAAAAAAAAAAAAAAAAAAGATTAAAAAGATTAGGCTCGATCGGGCCGGGCGCAATGGCTCACGCCTGTAATCCCAACACTTTGAGAAGTGAAGGTGGGCAGATCATGAGGTCAGAAGATCAAGACCATTCTGGCCAACATGGCGAAACCCCGTCTCTACTAAAATACAAAAAATTAAAATAAAAAAAAATTAGCTGGACATGGTGGCACACACCTGTAGTCCCAGCTACTCGAGAGGCTGAGGCAGGGGAATCGCTTGAACCCTGGAGGCAGAGGTTGCAGTGAGCCAGGATCATGCCACTGCACTCTAGCCTGATGACAGAGCGAGACTCTGACTCAAACAAAACAAAACAAAACAAAACAAAACAAAAAAAAACAAAAAAGGAAAGAAAGAAAGATTAGCTTGATATCAGCTTATAAAGCAGATGGTGGGTCAGTCCATAGTCTATTTAGCCATGGACTAAAACAGAATGAATGAGACTAGACGAGATAACAGCAGAATGCCTTGATCACCTCCCAGGTTTCCTCCACTGTCTTTCTCTACCCATTCACTCCACTCTCTTGCATCTTCAAAGCCCACTTTGCAGATGTTTTCCCACGGTCTACATTCAGATGGAAGCTTCTCTCATTCTCAAAAAAAAAAAGACCTCTTTCCCTGGCTTCCTCAGATGTGCCATTCCAGATCTCTAGTGGAACTCTCACACCATTCGAAAGGGAAGGAGAGTGGACCTGCCATGCCTGCCTATCTTCATATCTCACTGCCTATGAATAGCTCGCGCTCGAACGTTCTTTGTCTTAGCGCTACCTGCCAAACCAGGCTCTCACAGCTCACAGGCGACCTGCAAATCCACACATCTACTGGCCCTCTGCAGCTCTCTCTCTTTCTTTTGCTCCCCTCCACCTTCTTTATCCTTTTCTCCTTCCGTGAGGTCAACGCCAGCTGGAAACCTGGCTTCCTTCCTTTCCTCTCAAGGCTCCTTTTCTTTCTTCTCCTCTTTTACTCGCTCCACTGAAATCACATGTTCCCTCTCCTACTTCAATATGTTGTCCAGCTGTGCAGGTAACGCCTACATCTCTATTGCAAGTTCTATACCTTCTGGTGCTGACCGTATTCATGTTCTACTGCTGCTGTAACAAACCGCCATGAAATGGGCAGCTGAGAACAACACAAATTTATCATCTCATACTTGTATAGGTCAGAAATCTGGGTGGGCTCAGCAGGTTCCTCTGCTCATGGGCAGTCTCACAAGGCTAAAATTAAGGTGATAAGCAGCCTGGGTTCTTATCTCCAGGCTCTGAGGGAGAATCCGCTTCCAGGTTCATTGAGGTGGGTGCAGAACTGTGTTTGTTCCTTACAGTTCTAAGACCAAGGTCTCAGTAGGACGTCTCTGGTGCCACATCTCTTTCTCCTCAGCCAGCAAAATTCTCTGCTACTAAGGACTCCTGATTACATTGGTCCCATCCTGATAAGCCAGGAGAACCTCCCTCTTTTAAGGTCAGCTGATGATAACCTCAATGACATCTGTAGACTCCCTTGGGCCATCACATAACCATGGGAGGAACACCAAGGGCCAAAACTCATGGGGGCCAAAATTCTGCCAACCATACCGCCTTCAATATCTTTGCCTGAACTTCCAGTCTGTACCTCAAACTCAACAAGATGACAGCTTGGAAGTTAAGGAAAACGTGATCAACACATGGTAAAATGTGGTCAATTTATTAAGCAGAATAAGTTTCAAGGAGCAGCTACCCTCTTAGGACATATGAGAGAGTTTGTAGTAGACAAACAGCCTTCCCTTTCAAAATTATATGTCTTTCAATTTTCTAAATAGTTGTAACGGCATCTCCATTCTTCGTTTTTTTTGTTTGTTTGTTTGGGTTTTGTTTGTTTGTTTGTTTGTTTGTTTTTGCCCCTTCTTGTCTCTTCCTCAACTTGTAAATTTCTCAGTATCCTTAACATGGTGTGAGAGTATGAATACCAACCCTTTTCTTGCCCCTGTTCATATAGAAAATAATCACATTGTGTACCTCACTGGTGTCCATAAATATGGCTGCTCCTGGCCAGGAAGAGGGGAGCTGATCAGCCATCCTCATGGCTGCACGGATCAATATCACAGCATCACCTCTCACTGTAGGAGAGTGTCCTGATGACTTGCTCCTCAAACTGTGGTCCACGGATCAGGAGCATCAGCATAGGCAGTCTCAGGCCCACCCTTGTTTACTGAATCTAAATCCAACATAATCCCCAGCTGATATGTAAGCAAGAGATACAGAAAGAGGTCCTATGCCTGAGGTCTGGAATTTCCTTCCTCACCTTCAGGGTGTTGCAAAGAAGTTTTCCTGCCAAAAATGTAACCAACTATTCTGATTTCTTCTCTTTCTTTTCTGGGTCTGCACATCCTATCTCTCATCTCTTTAGATACACGTGTGCATTCCTGCCATCCTTGACACTCTTAACCCTTTTCCAAAATCTCACACTCTGATTTTCTCTCCATCGTCAAACACTATCTAAAGTTGATGCTTCCTGAAGGTTCTTTGAAGGCCATTGATAACATACTTAATCTTGGTGGATAATCACAGATCTGTGATGAATTCCTTCAATTCCTCAGGCATGCTCTCATTTTATTTTGTTTCTGTAATTCACATTTTTTTTTTCCAGAGACAATGTCTCACTGTTACCCAGGCTGGAGTGCAGTGGTGCTATCATGGCTCAATGCAGCCTCAAACTCCAGGCTTAACCAATCCTCCTGCCTCAGCCTCCCAAGTTGTTGGAACTACGGGTACAAGCCAGCATGCCCAGCTATTTTTTTTTTTTTTTTGTAGAGACGAAGTCTCACTATGCTGTCCAGGCTGGTCTCAAACTCCTGGGCTCAAGTGATCCTCCCACCTTGTCCTCCCAAAGTGCTGGGATTATGGGCATGAGCCACTGCACACAACCTCATGTTGTTCTTTATCAGTTTTCATATTCATTATTTCTCGATGGATTACTGCCTGGTTACAACAAATATTGTTATTGATATTTGTCATTAAATGCTCAAGGTACAATTGAGTTTGATTCCTTCTTTATTTTCATAAGGCAAGGGAGAGAACGAATTTTAATCTCAGTAATATATCTTCCAGTGGGTTATATCTGTATAGGAATGTGAACCTTAGACTTAAATAGTTTATGGGGATGAATTGCATATCATTCAACAGTCACCATTCTTTGTGTTCCATTTTCCTTGTATATTTATAAAATGAGATTTAATTGCAAATGGCTGAAATTATGATAGAAATTGTTTTCTATCAATGTCCTTTACATTATTGATTTTTAGCTGATTAGTAATCTTATTCTGGTTTTAGAAACTATTATTATTTCATAATCATGGTATCTTCCTTGCCAGGTAAGTATACAAACTAGTATTATTTCAAATCTGAAATTGCATAAATGATGCATGTCCTTATAGTGATTAATTAAATGTCATTGGTTAACATAAGAAACTTGTATTTTAATCCTATTGTTAAAGTGTATAATTGCCATATCATCTCTAAATATAGAAAGCACCAGAATCTCAGAAATCATCACTAAAGAACTTACTCATGTAACCAAACACCACCTGTTCCCCAAAAATCTATTGAAATAAACAATTAAATTTAATTAAATATAAAAAAAGAAAGCAACTATAAAAAGACAAAAAATAATAAATAAGTAAATGTACAGATTTCATTTTTATTCTGGGCCTCTCGTTCAGCTATGTTTCCCATAACTGGGGAAGACTATAATTCAATCAACAATATATATTTTATTGGAAACTATGAGAATACAAAAAAAAAATAAATAGGATGTAGAACCCACCTTAAAATCTTACAGTATAATTGTCACATTGACACATGAAAAGTTACAGAGCAGAATAAGTTTCAAAGAGCAAGTACTCTCTTAGCACTCAAGAGAGCACTCACAGCAGACAGGACTGACAAAGAAAGGCCCCCGGTGCCTTAAAGAATGAATAGAATTTGAATAAATGGGGGAGGTAGACGGGGAACTGAGGAAGAAATCTCAGTAATGGGAACATATGTCGCTTTGTAGAGGAAAGCCATATACATCAAAGTTCTCATTATGTGAGTAGCACCTAAAGATTGATTTTAATTCCAGAGAACCAAAATGGGAGGGATGTGATGGGAGGGTGGGCAGAACAGGGAAAGACCTGTCTTAAACCCACCTACTTTATAACAGCCATTCCCTTTTGCCTATAAAATGCTCATAAAGCAATGGCAAATAAGCCATGCATAATATGTAATCCACTGACATAAAACTGGAACATTTAATAATGGAATAAAGTTTAATGGAAAGATACTCATTAATTGCCATTGAATATGCTCCTCTTGGCTGCATTCATTATTTAGGATGTAGAAATTCTAGGGGAGAAATGTGGAAAATTCATGTTCTGAGTTTTCAATGAGAGCAGAAGTTTGGTGGAGAACAAATGATACTAGCTCTCTATGTTGACGTTTTACTGCAAGAGGAAAACATTCTCTTGGATCCCTGAGAGCTTTCCCCAACATCCACACTGGCATGTAAATCTACCACCTTGACTATCTTTTGCATTTTACATCTTTTCAAAAACTAATATCATTTGTCCATTTTCCAGTCCCTAGGTAGGTGGACTATCACATGATTTAGAGAGATGTGTAAAGGGCCATGGTTGTGTTGATTAGCAGTATGAAATGCTGTCATTTTCTTCCCATTGGGTTTACAGATTATTGGTTTCACGGCCTTCTGAGCGATTTAAAAAAAAATAGGGTCTCACTTGGTTGCCCAGCGTGGAGTGCAGTGGCACAACCATAGCTCACTGCAGCCTTGAACTCCTGGGCTCAAACAGTCCTCCAGCCTCAGCCTCCTGAGTAGCTGGGACTATGGGCATGCACGACCACACCCAGCTACTGAGTGATTTTTATAGCCAGAGGATCTGATACTTCTTGGCCTTTTCATATGCCTTTCCTAACATCTGCCTAATAATGGTAGAGTTGTTCATTTTTGTACATTTCTGCCTCTTTCAGTAGAGACCAAGCTTAGTGAGGTCTTTCTCAATTTTGTGCCACTCACCAGCCTAACACAGCCTCTTACACAGTTACTGTTCAGCAGGCATGTGTTGCTTGACAGGACATTCAAGGAATTATGACAGAAAATGGAAACTGTTACCAAACAAAAAGAAATGTAAAGATGTCTAACTAGAAAGATGCTAAAGGAAAATGAAAGAAAAACCACAGAACAGATAAATATTTTCCTTTTTAATTTATTTATTTATTTATTTATTTATTTTTGAGACGGAGTCTTGCTCTGTTGCCCAGGTTGGAGTGCAGTGGCGTGATCTTGGCTCACTGCAAGCTCCACCTCCCAGGTTCATGCCATTCTCCTGCCTCAGCCTCCCGAGTAGCTGAGACTACAGGTGCCCGCCACCACACCTGGCTAATTTTTTGTATTTTTAGTAGAGACGGGTTTCACCATGTTAGCCAGGATGGTCTCAATCTCCTGACCTCATGATCCACCTGCCTTGGCCTCCCAAAGTGCTGGGATTACAGGCGTGAGCCACCGCGCCTGGCCTTTAATGTATTTTTAATTAAGAAATAATAATTGTGTATACTTATGGGGTACAATGTGATGTTTTGATCTATGTATACATTATAGAAAGGTTCACTCAAGCTAATTAACTGTATTTCACAAATATGGTTTCAATATTCTTATCGTGCCTAGTAACGAAATCTGTTAGGAAGCATTGAACACATAACAACACGAGCTTTCTGTACACAGCGTTTAAGAGCTCTGCTTTTCAAGGTGGTTTTATGTGCAACCTGAAGGGCACATTGATGTGGACAGTTTCCAGTACTAGCAGTTTTATTTACTGTATTTGAAACCCACGACTCCCGCCTAATGGCTTAAAAAAAAGTAACATTAGGCTTTTGATAAAAGATTGAACTACATGAAATTCTTGTTCACAACTTGAGACAGAAAGTATGAGCACACAAACACATATACACACATACATCACAAGTATTGGAAGGAGTTGGAAGGAGATAAAATAATTACTGGATATTGAAAAAAAAAATTTTTTTTTTTTTTTTTTGAGGGAAGGTCTCCCTCTCTTGCCCTGGCTGGTGAGCAGTGACGCAATCTCTGCTTACTGCAACCTCTGCCTCCTAGGCTCAAGCAATCCTCCCACCTCAGCCTCCCGAGTGGCTGGGACTACAGGCACGTGCCAGCAGGCCCGGCTAATTTTTGTTCTTTTTTAGTAGAGATGAGGTCCCACCATGTTGCCCAGGCTGGTCTTGAACTCCTGAGCTCAAGCGAGCTTCCTGCCTCAGCCTCCCAAAGTGCTGGGATTACAGACAAGAGCCACCATGCCCAGCTGCAGAAAAATTCTAACTAAATACTTTACAATTTTTCCTTTACCAAGAATGAGTTATTTCCTTACATGGCATAACTGTTCCCTGGAGCCTGAAATAGGCTGTGAAAACTGTGACACTGTAAACTGTTCCCCACATGACTGATACTAAATTGACATTTGCAGGGAATAGAATTGAGTACTTCTAGTCTGAGAACAAGTACTTCCATACAATTCGTAAAAGGGGTCTACAGACCTGCAGATAACTTCATTCTAGGCTGGTATTGAGAACTTTTACACTTGAATAGCAATATGGAACTACAAGAAATATTTTACTTTAAAAAACAATAGCTTTATCACACTGCGGGTGGTCACACTTGCTTTCTCTCTTTTTAGGCTGACACACTATGTTTTGGTTTATGCCAGTTTACTTAACAAAAACATGCACATGCCTGCTTTTTCCCAAGACTCTCCTTAAAAAGTTTTTCCTGGAAGTGAGGATTGTCCGGGAGAGGCTATTTTTCCTGTGTCCTGTGTTCACCTGAATGATACCAACATTTCCATTGTACCTATTCATTTATTGCTTCTATAACCTATCTCTTTAGCTTTTCATTAATTCTTTATTCTTACTTTCCTGGGGCAGGGGCTTGGGGGAAACTGGATCCCTCATATCTCAGGGGATTATCCCCTTTAGAAGCAAATATCCAGTCCCTGGCATACTACAAAGACTCAAATGGCAACTATTGTTATTAGGAAATATTATGATTTTGTTTGTGATCAGACAGCTTACATGTTCTCCAAGAAAATGGGCTCTCAAACAAGCTTTATACTTTATAACTAAAAATAATCATGTATTAAGAGCAGCTAGTTCTGAAACTCACATTTTCCCCAACATCCACTTTTAGAGTTAAAGGTCAAATTATATGGGCAATCAGTCTTACATAGCAATAAATGGCCAAGTTTTTTTTCCCCACAATGAGCCCAAACAGACATAAGTTTAAAACGTTTTTCTATTATCAGATGGTGTTTAGAGCATCTTATTTTGGACTTGTGGATTTTTCCAAAGCCATTGTGTGAAAGTCACTCTATCTCTGGCTCCTATAAACTGACATAGCAAATTACTTCTACTATTTCATCGTAATTCACAGCCCAATAAGCTTGCCTAAAAATGTAACTATAACTTTCCAAATTTTCCATAACTTGCTATGATCACCAACTCTTAACACTGAGGGATAAATCATAGAGACAGAAAATTAACAAAGACATTCAGGATTTGAACTCAGCTCTGGATCAAATGGACCTGATCGATATCTACAGAATTCTCCACCCCAAAACAACAGAATATACACTCGTCTTGGTGCCACATGGCATTTACTGTAAAATTGATCACATATTTGGAAGTAAATCCCTCATCAGTAAATGCAAAAGAACTGAAATCATAACAGTCTTGTAAATTAGTTCAACCATCATGGAAGATTATGTGGCGATTCCTCAAAGATCTAGAACCAGAAATACCATTTGACCCAGCAATCCCATTACTGGGTATATACCCAAAGGAATATAAATCATTCTATTATAAAGATACATGCATATGTATGTTCATTGCAGCAATATTCACAATAGCAAAGACATGGAATCAACCCAAATACCCATCAATGATAGACTGGATAAAGAAAATGTGGTACATATATACCACGGAATACTTTGCATCCATTAAAAGGGAATGAGATGATGTCCTTTGCAGGGACACGGATGGAGCCGGAAGCCATTAATCTCAGCAAAGTAACGCAGCAACAGAAAACCAAACACTACATGTTCTCACTTAGAAGTGGAACCTGAAGAATGGGAACACATGGACATGGGGAGGGGAACAACACACCCTGGGGCATGTCAGGGGGTAGGGTGGAGGGAGGGAGAGCTTTAGGAAAAAAGCTAATGCATGCTGGGCTCAATACCTAGGTGATGGGTTGATACGTGCAGCGAGCCACCATGGCACACGTTTACCTATGTAACAAACCTGCATATGTACCCCGGAACTTAAAATAAAAATTAAAATTAATTTTCTTTAAAAAAGACTGTGGGGTGATAATAGGGAACTGAACAAACAATACAGTTCTGTTCCACTGTGTAGGTTTGATGTGCAGAAAAGAATTCTACACCCCTACGTCCTAAGATACTTTTACTAGGGCATTCCTGCATAATTATCTCTACTCAGCTTCCAATATTTTCTTCCTTTGTCTGGGAACTGATTTCTCTCTCATTTACTCTTTGAAGTTGAGAATAATTAAAAAGCCATTAGGGTTCTCTCTTCACAATGACACTACATAAATTAAATCTTGGTAGTGTTGAAAAGCAACAACGTGACCTAACCCTTCCAGAGTGTCACTTTATCTACAATTCAAATTTCATCTGTGCAAACGGGTCTCCTTCAAATGTTGTTAATTTGAAACTCAAGGATTTGGATGAAAATAATGAAAATATATTATTTATTATTAATGTGACAGCTTGTAAATAATCTTCCATATTGGAGACGTATATTAGTAGGTAAAGAATAGTATTTTCTATGGCACCTGGAAGGGGCATCTCTATTACTATTTTAGAAGTTCAGTGGTTGGTTTCCTTGCATTGCTTGGTAGAAGACAGCTTCTTAATCCTTCTACATTCTGTCAGTTGGTATCTAGACAAAGAGGATATTTACTGGTTTTCAAGTAGAAAGGATTGATGCTGGAATGAAATAAATCCAGGGTGATTAGAGTCACAGGCTACAAAGACATTGAAGAGAGTCCAAGAGAGCATTCTCATAAACACACTCTCACTCTCCCACTCTCTCTATTTAACTCAATAGCATGCACCAGTTGCTATCCCTAGCCATGAAGATTCAGAGTTGAATATATTATTTTTGCATGACTGAGTCACAGGGCCCAGTAGATACCACAGGAACAGAGATGCAATATAAGGTCAAGTGTGTAATGGGAATGGTAGCCTCAAGATTGTGCAGCGGCAATGAGAAGAGAGCCCCAGGAAGAGCAGAACTGAAGGATTAAGGAAGGCTCCCCAAAAGACTGGGCTGAGTCTTTGAGAATGAGGAGGAATTAGCAAGAGAAAAAAAAAGGCAGAAAAAGTGTCTTAGGAAAAGCAGCAGAACAGAGGTGGTAACTACTGTAGTAAATGTATCCAAGCAACTGTTGCTATGGCAAAGGTATCCAGGTAACCACTACAGCAAAGATACCCAAGTGACTATTACTATGGTAAAGGTGCCAAGGTAACTATTACTATGGTAAAGGAGCCCAGGTAACTGTTACTATGGTACAGGTACCCAAGCAACTATTTCTGTGGGAAAGGTGCCCAAGTAACTATTGCTATGGGTAAGACACCTAAGCAACGAATACTATGGTAAAAGTACCCAGGTAACTATTACTATAGTAAAGGTGCCCAAGCAACTACAACTATGGTAAAGATACCCAGGTAACTATCACTATGGGAAAGGTATCCAAGCAACTATTGCTATAGCAAAGGAACCCAGGTAACTATTACTATCGTAAAGGTACCCGGGCAACTAATACTATGGTAAAAGTACCCAGGTAACCACTACTATAATAAAGGTACCCAAGCAACTACAACTATGGTAAATATACCCAGGCAACTATTACTATGGCAAAGGTACCCAAGCAACTGTTGCTATAGAATAGGTACCCAAGCAACTACTACTATGGTAAAGGTACTTCAGATAACAATTACTATCGTAAAGGTACCCAAGCAACTATTGCTATGGGAAAGGTACCCAAGCAACTATTGCTATGGGAAAGGCGCCCAAGTAACCATTGTTATGGCAAAGGTGCCCAAGCAACTACTACTATGGTAAAGGTACCCAGATAATGGCTATAGTAAATGTACCCAAGCAACAATTACTATGGTAAAGGTACCCAAGCAACTACTACTATGGTACAGGTACCCAAGCAACTACTACTATGGTACAGGTACCCAAGTAGCCACTATAATAGAGGAACCCAAATAACCACTATAGTACAGGTACTGAAGAAACAACTACTATAGTAAAGGTACCCAAGTAACCACTATAGTAAAGGTACCCAAACAATCACTATAATAAAGGTATTGAAGTAATGACTCATATAGTAAATATACCCAAGTAACTACTAATGATACTGATGTTTGTCCTGTTCAGGTTTCAGTGAAAGGCTCTGGAAAACCAAAACACATTGCAATCCACAGAAAACAACTGGCTGTGAGAATATTGTGACTACAAACTAAGCCAGAAGGAAGGTGCTTGGTTGGGGTTGAATATCATTGTTGACATTCCTCATATACACTATGCACCTTCTAAAAGGCATGAAAAAATATGGTTTTGAAGGAGGGATGTGATATGCATAACAAAAATGTGCAAAGATTCTATATATTGAGTTTAGGTCTCAGTGATAAAATCTCCATGGGGGATTATTTCAGGTTTCAGAAACAGCTTCCATGGTGTGTTACCGCTGCTGAAGAGCTTCAGTCCCGATCACCTACTCATTAGGTCTAAATTCTTCCACCTAGCAGTCAAGACATTATAATAATAAGACCCCACAACAGCATTCTCTGCCATGAAGTTGAGCCTATTTCTGCTTACCTTTCCATGTGGGCGCACTCTAGGGTCCACCTGCATGTGTTTGCCCACATTGTTGTTTTCTCCTTGATAACATCAGAAAATCTCCCTCCTCTGAGGACCCTTCCAAGTTACTGGGGAGGATGAAAGTGCTGTGTGCCAGGTAAAATAGATACTACCATTGTCCTCCAGCCTACTGGAGGAGAGAGGTATCCAATACTTTAAAAAAGAAATATAACTTCCAATTGAGTGCTGCAAGGAAAACAAATAGGACTCTGAGAATGACAGGAGGGAACTCACTGAGATTTGGGCATGAAAGAAAGACTTTGGAAAATGAGAAGTCATTGAAAGTGGAGTCTTTGAAGGGCTTTAAACAGAATTGTAATATAATCTAATTTATTTTTTTAATCAGAATCACTCATGTCTTCAGTTTTCCAAACTAGATATTATTTCTCCAATAAAATGCTTGCTTAATTATCCTTCCTCCATACTGTCTCCTGCCTCTTTCATGTTAGAACATGTTGTGTTGTTATACATAGTAGGATTCTTGGTGAGTAAGTTCTATGCCTTCTCTTTAATACCTTAACCCGTCTCCTCAGATTACTAGTAAGTGTGGATGCCAATTGATAGAGACTACCCAGCCTGAAAACTGTTTGTCTGACTTGCCCCAGCTGTCAAATGGGGGTAAAGGGAGAGTTAGACAGAGAAAATTCTAAAGTAGGATTTCTCAACATCAGTAATACTCACATTTGGGGATGCAAGACTCTGTTATGGGGGTGTCCTAGGCATTATAGGATGTTTATCAGCATCTGTGGTGTCCATCCCTTCATGACAGGTGGGAACTCACTAGATACAAGTAACATCCCCCTTCCAGTTGTGACAAACAAGAATGTCTCCAGGAATTGCCAAATGTCCCCTTGGCAGGGGGCAGGGATGATTGACAATCATTCTTATAAAGTAATAAATATATACAACTCACTCACGAATCATGAAAAAAAACTTTTGTATGCCAAAGAATATTTAAGGTGTGCAAGATCATGTTAAAATATAAATATTCAAATTCAGAATATATTAAACTTTTCAGAAAATATTAAAAAATCAGAAGAGGTATTAGTTTTAGGAGAAAAACAGGTTTGGAAGAAACAGGTAATGAAAATATTGGTGACGAGTCTCAAAATTATATGAAAAGGGAAATGCAAATTAAATAAAAAGTATTCTTGCTTATTCTGCAATGCAAAAATAAAAATTATTCCTCAAGTTTCTTCCAGTTCTCAATGAACAGGACTTACTTTAGTAGTGGGTCACCTTCAAGTTCATAGAGCTTGCTCTCCTAAACTTGAAGGCATGAGAGAGCTAATCCTATTTATTCTACCATGAAATCCATTTTTCAAACATGGTAAGTCCGTCCCTAGATCACAAGTTCCTCCACTTTCTGTAACTTTCTTAAAGATAAACATGTTTTATACCTATAATCTTTGTCATAGGTAACAAAAGTTACACCTTTCTCTTTGAATCTGATATGATTATAGTACACTGAAAAGAAAAATAGGATTTTGTGATGATAGCATTTCCTTTCCATCTATATTCCCTTTACAGTGTAATTTCTGAGCTTGCCTTAGTTTACAGTCAGCTTTTTTCAAGTCTCTTTTGTGAAATGACATTGAAAAATATTTGTATTCTGTAATGCTGGATAAATGTTATTATGTACTTTTCAAAACCCACAGAACTATACAACACAAAGAAGAAAGCATAATGTAAACCAAGGACTTTATAGTTGATAATAATGTATCATTATCAGTTCATTGAGCATGAAAAACTGTACCACACTAATGCAAGAGATTAATAAGAGGGGAAACTGAGGAAGGCTAAAAGACAGCATATGAGAATTCTTGATGCTATGTGCTCAATTTTTCCATAAATATAAAGCTGTTGTTTAAAAAAGAGTCTGCTAAATGAAAAATACATACTGTATTTAATAAAATTCAAACATATGAATAATAAACTAAAGGTGAACAGTAATTCTGGAATGTGTATTCTCCTGTCATGTCAATCATACCCAATCCCAAGGAAGAATCTGAATAGTCCTCCTTTATCAGAAGTGGTCACAGATGGATGGGATATTATAAACCCTGGGATTCAGTGACTGCTGGGTGACCATTAGATATTGGCTTCTCATCTGAGAGACGTCTGGGGATTAGCTGAGCCTCAAAGCATCATCCAGTTAGTAAGATGTGCTGCAGGTGCGCTGTGGAGATGGTTCAACCTGAGTCCCTGCAGCTCATGACCACAGAGACAAACTGTCTCCTATGGTTACTCTGCTCCAGTGTTTCTACATCAGGAATGAGATGTACATCTTTCAGTGACTTGGCTTCTTCATTTCCCTGGTTGTAAAATGACTTGGAGGTGCCGGAAATCAAAACATTTGTCTTCTATGACCAGAATACACAGATCAACAGTAACTAGTCCCTCTAGAGAACAGTGTTCTCTAGATGTTGTGTTTCTTATATGAGTAAGAATATACCTAGCTATCCTACTAGTGGATGTTTATTCATGAGAATAAAAGTATATGTCCACACTTAGACTTGCACATGAACCTTCACAGCCACTGGATTCACAAGAGCCAAAAATGGGAAACAATACAAATGTCCACCAACAGGTGACTAGGCAGACACATTGTGGTATTTTCATTCAACGGAGTACTACTCAGTAATGAAAGATTTTCATTCAGCAAAATACTACTCAGTGACTAGTCAAATGATCCACATACGACTAAATCACAAATTTCTTATTGAGTAAAAGAAGCCAGACTCAAGAGGGGATGTACAATACAATTCCACTTATATAAAAGTGTAAAAAAAAAGTTGAAGCAAATATTTAGTGTCTGAAAGCAGGTTGTTGTCTTCATGAGCTGGGGCAGATGCTGTCATTAACAAAGAAACTTTTGGGGGTTTGGGGAATATTCACTGTCTTGTTTGTGATAGTGGTTTTATGGGTGTACACAACTCATTTTATACTTTCAATGGATGCAGCTTAATTTACACAAATCATACCTTAATAAAATTATTTTTAAAGAGCCAGAGAAGCAAATTTTACTTAGTGGAGTAGAGTTAGAAGTACTACTGACTTTTAAATACTAATTATGAGAAATAGTAACATAGAATATATAATAATAACAACTAATATGCAATAACTAGTATAGAGACAAAGAATCTAAAAAAAAGATGGAAACAAATAGATGAAAGAAAAGAAACCTCATCTATACCAAATAAATAAAAACCAAATTAAAAATATTTTGTGCTATCAGGCAAAATATATTTTATAAACGAATTATTGTTGAATAAATGAAATATATAGTGAGAAAAATATATCAAAGCCCCAAAAGATGTAAAGTAAAAACTGACAGAATTAAAAGGAGTTATAGACAAATTTGTAATTATCAAGGAAGAATTTAATATATCTTTTCCAGCCATTAAGAAAACCAAGACAAAAATTTTAGTAACAATAGAGGAGATTAGAATGATTCAATTAGCACCTTTGACTTAATGGACATATATCAATTATTGCACTACAAATGGAAAAGTACGTATTCTGTGCAGCCATGCCTAAAACATTCACTTAAATTGATGATATACTGCACCAAAACACAAGTCTTCAGATATGTCAAAAGACTGAAAACACAATGCAGATCTCTGACTTTGAAATCCCCATATGTTTGGAAATTTTTAAAAATTCTCCATTATCCACAAGTAAATGAATAAAGTAAAATGGAAGTTGGAAAATATTTTTTAAACAAATGATCTGAAAAATACATATCAAACATTTTAGGTGTATCTAGATCAGGGCCTAGGATAACAGTGTGTATTAACAAAGAAAACAAAAAACAAAATTAGTAAACTCATCACATCTTAGAAAGTTATAAAACAAAAAAAATCAAGAAGATGGTAGAAGGAAGGAAATGTAAGATAAGAGAATAATTTAATTAAATAGAAAAAATATATATTCTATAGGGAGAACTGACAAAACCAAAAGTTGATTCTTCAAAAAGTCCAATGATATTAACAAATTGGCAAGTCTGATCAATAGGTAGGGAAGGAGAGAAGGTAGAAATAACCAACATTAGCAATGAAAAACAGAGCACCATAGAATCGTACCACATTAAAAAGACAATAGTAAAAACATGAAGCCAATAAATCCCTAGAAAGATGCAACTTAAAAACTAAGGGGCTACATGGAAAGCCTCAAGTGATGTATTCATTAAGAAAATTGCATTCCCAGTCCAAATATTTCAAGAAAGAAAATGCTTGATCCACATGGTTTCATCAATGAGATCTACAAAGCATTAGGGAGAACAGAGAACGGAACATTCAATAAATCATTTTATGAGACTAACATAATCTCCATTCTAGTATCTGATAAGGCAGGATGAGAAGGAACACTTATGAGCCACTCTTTCTCAACAAATTCAAAAAGTATAAAGAAAATTTTAGCAAATACCTCCAGCAGTGTATTAAAACAATGATAATACATCCTAAGTGACTTTTGCTTAGGGACGTAAGTGCTGATTTGACATATTAGTATCATTCTGAAAACCTTTACTTATCAACTAAGTTTTCATTGTATGCATTTCCATTTTCATATGAAATTAATAACTTTATTGGATTCCTTGAATCAAAATCGTGTGAAATAAAATATACTGTTTGTTAGGAAATATTGTTTGGAAAATGAGGTTGAAAGTAGATCATGTTTGAATTAATTCAGTTAATTATTGCATGATATTTATGTCATCTTTAACAAAAATTTTTAAAGAATTTGTTTTAAAATCTTTTAAAAATCATTTTTAAAGAAAAAAATATTTTTAAAAAATTTTCCATGTTTCATTTATACAAGCATTGTAAAGGTTAATATATTTCTCTGATAACATTCTTGGTTGAGTATTTTTGTTATTTGTCTATTGAGATTAACTGTGCTGAATTGACCAACACTGCATCACAGATTCTGGGAAAATATGAAATGTAATTTAAGCTCTCTCTACTTTGCATCAAAAAAACTTGCAGTCTTCTAGGGGTTGAGAATGGGGAAAGATTTATTCTATTACCATTTTGCTCCTACCTGGAGTGTGGAATGCTTGAGGACCCAAACTTTATGGAGCCAGGTCTTCCATCAGACCCTAGTGAGCCTGGGCTTAACCCTAATATCTGCTCCTGTGCCCCTTAAGACGATCCTCCCCAAAGCTCAAGTTCTCATGATTCCATGAATGTCTTCAAAGAAATAGCGTCTGCTCCATTCTGCCTGCCTCTCTCTGAACATTGTGCCATCATGTCTTAGGGGTTATCTCCAAACTCCCTTGTCCATCCATTCTTTATCTTCTTAATGTGTGCTCCATTTTATAATTTCCCCTTAAATATTAGTCTTGTATGGAATTATTTCTGAGGTTATCTGTCCCTCAGTCATTTCCAGGATAAAATTCAATCTTCTTGCCTTTGCACACAGAGCCTGGCATGACCTGGTCTCTGCATGCTCTTTAATTAGTATGTACTGCTTTTGCCAGTTATATAGAAACAACACTACTTCTTTAAATGCTCCATAACAATATTCAAAAAATAATTTAGTTTTCTTTGCCAGAATGTTTCTCTTCTTTGTCTAGCTAACTGCAACAGCTCACCCCCCCATTGCAACAACTCACCCCCACATTGCAACAAGCTCATATTTCCTACAACTTCTCCCATTGCATTTTATTTGGCAATTTCCATATCAGACTCTCTCTGTTATAGAAACAAAGAGTCTCTTCTCCCTGAAGGAAAGAGAATATCTAATTTGGTTTAGTATTCCCACACTTTATCCCAGACATGGTACTTAGTATGCATTCATAATAGTCACAGTAATTATGAGAATGTGCTAATGGCAGGAGTAAGTCAGCAGTCGTGATAGGAAGAAGAACAGGAATAAATGTTGTGATTGACAAAATATTACTTAAAGGCATCATTTTTACAGCTCCTTTCAAGAGGCATATAGTAGAAAATAAAATTGTGTGAAATTCCCAAATGATTTAACCCTGTTCTTCCACTTGGCATTCTCCGCCATTGGACTCAGAGAGTGAAGCACCATTATCCAGTGAACAGGAAGCTTAACTGCCTAGTTTTCCACAAAATGGAGCTAAATCTCCTGTGTTATGGAATTCTTACCTAAGGAAATAGAAGGAAATTTTGCATCAACACTATAAAAGGGCTTTGGACATGGCCAACTCTAAGGTTAGTCTACAACACAACTAGGAACTTGTCATTTCCCGAACACAGTCCTCTTTAAAGAAGGACGATTACATGACTCTAGAAGAAAAAGTAAGGCACATCCTCAGAAAACAGGGCAGTGTGTTTGACTTTAAAGCAATCATAAAAGGGTTTTTGAATGTTGGAAAAAAAAAATAAAAGCATTGTAATTTCAGACTGCCCAGAAACCATGCGGCTGAATAGGTTTGCAGATCTGTGGCTCAGATTTCAAGGTTATCGCTCCAGGCAGTGACAGTCTGTGTTTTGTAAAATTGACATGGAAGCATATTAAAAAAATTTTTTTTCATCTCTTTGCTGCCATTGTGTTTTGAAGGTCAGGAATGCATGTAGGGTCTATTCACTGACAGCAGATGTAACAGGAGTGTGGGCAACCTACTTAAGTTTTTCTACAGGCTGTGATTCTAAAGTTGGAAGTCAGAAGGCATTACATGCATAGATAAGTGTGTGCTAAGTAGTTAGCATCCTCCCACAGTGGTTGGACCTACGTATGCCAAAAGGTGGAAGGCAGTAGATGGATTTTGGGCAAATTGCAAAGGTGAAGACTTCCATTCTTTGCACTTTTCCTATCTTGCTGTAAAACCTCAATCAATTCACTTAATTTGCTGGTCCTAATTTTGACAGTTAATGAATCAGAGTAGGCATCTATGGAAGTCAGCCTTCTAAGATGGCTTCCAGTGATCCCCACCTCCTGATATTCATAATCTCTTGTGATACCCTCCCCTCAGGTATGGGCTGGGACCTAATGATTCACTTCTATAAGAATATTGTGAAAGTATAGGAAAGACATGGAATCAACCCAAATGCCCATCAAAGATAGACTGGATAAAGAAAATGTGCTACATATACACCATGGAAGCAGCCATAAAAAAAGAATGAGATTATGTCCTTTGCAGGGACATGGATGGAGCTGAAGGCCATTATCCTTAGCAAACTAATGCAGAAAAAGAAAGCAAAATATCTTATGTTCTCACTTATAAATGGGAGCTAAATGAAGAGAACACTTGGATACATAGAGGGGAACAACACACACTGGGGCCTATTGGAGGAGGGAGGAACGAGGGAGATGATAAGGAAAAATAGCAAATAGGTATTAGGCTTAATACCTAGGTGATGAAATAATCTGTACAACAAACCCCCATGACACATGTTTACCTATGTAACAAACCTGCATACCCTGTACATGTACCCCTGAACTTAAAAGTCTTTTAAAAAAAGAATATTGTGAAAGTAATGGATGTTGCTTCATCATGAGGTTACAAAACACTGTGGCTTCTATTTTGCTAGTAGACTTTCTTGGTGGCTTTGATGATACAGAGGCCATGTTGCAGACACCCAACTTACATATTGGAGTGCTACATGTGACAGAACTGAGGGTGACCTCCAGTCAAGAGTGCACAACGAACTGAGTCCTTCAGTCAAAGAGCTTGCAAGAAGCTGAATCCTACCAATAAGATCAACTGAGTGAGCTTGAAAGAAGATCCATCCCCAGTCAAGTCTTGAGATGAGAATGCAGCCCTAGCCAACACCTTGATTGCAGCCTTCTGAGAGATGCTGAGCT
The DNA here is from genome assembly GCF_000001405.40 of Homo sapiens. Classification (NCBI taxonomy): domain Eukaryota; kingdom Metazoa; phylum Chordata; class Mammalia; order Primates; family Hominidae; genus Homo; species Homo sapiens. The sequence goes on along the minus strand of NC_000023.11, from coordinate 7,411,676 downwards.
GGAGGGTCCAGTTAAGCCATGACTGGGCTCCTGATCCACAGAAACTGTGAGATAATAAATGTGTGTTTCTTTAAGCCACTAATTTTTTAATTAAAAAAATCTAGACTGCCATATCCAGTACACTGATAGTTACCTACTAAGTCTTATTTTTTTTCAACGGATCTTTCAACCTGGAAATAAAAGTAGAAATAATAACATGATCTCAGAAAAGGGTTTATATATCTAAGGCAAGATAACATAATCTGCTGCATCAACAACCTAAATAATGTACCATATTTTTCAGTATTTATTATGGGTAATACACGTATAGAGCCTGCAACATAATTTTGATGAAAGTCCTTCTATTCCCAAACTTATAGACATGCTTTAAGTATGGGGGCAAAAATAAAAGTTTTTTAAATTCCTTTCTAGAAAATTATAAAATCCACCTGAAGTCACAAAATCTGTAACTATACAAGCCCAGCATGTATTATCCAATAGTGATAATTCAGAAGGCAAAATTCATAACATGCCAAGTCATTACCAAATATTCTACGAAGATCTAACAACTGAAGTAATTTGCCCTCACTTTTCCTTCTAGATGAGAAAATGCCTTGCAAAATTGGAATCTGCTTGACTGTTACTTTATAATCATTTGTTGCTTATTTTTGTTGGTTTATGTTGTTTCTACTTCTCATAGAGGTTTTTTTAATTTAAAAAATTTAATGTGATACTCTACTAATACTTCATGGTAGTTGCTGGGTATTATCATTTTCAGTACGATGTAAACAATAATGAAAGTCATAAAAAATTTCCAAAGTCACATGACTGTAGAGTGGTCACTTGCATTCCAATGTCTAATTGTAGGGCTCCATCCAAAAATCCCCCTTTCAAATCCAGTATATTGGATATCACTCAGTCTTCATGGCATGCTTTCACGCGTAACTACTATGCTCTATATTATTCTGCCGTTTTCTTCAATTAAAATCACTAGCTCCAAAAATGCTGTGCTCTCAAACTTTTCCTTCTTGATTTCTTTCCCTTTGGTGAAACATTGATGTTCTTAACCAAGACTGAAGAATACCCATTGTATTAGCCCTCTTTCACTCTGCTATGAAGACATACCTGAGACTGAGTAATTTATAAATAAAAGAGGTTTAATTGACTCTCAGTTCCTCATGGCAAGGGAGGCCTCAGGAAACTTACAATCATTGCGGAAGGTGAAACAGGCACATCACATGGCAGCAGGTGAGAGAAGTGAGTGCTGAGCAGAGGGGGAAGCCCCTTATAAAACCATCAGCTCTCATGAAAACTCACTTGTTATTATGAGAACAGCATGAGGGTAACCGCCCCACCTGGTCCCTCCCATGACACATGGGAATTACGGAAACTACAGTTCATGATGAGATTTGGGTGGGGACACAGCCAAACCATATCACCCATGTTGTTTGAGAGGAGGCTAAGATACTCTATTAATTAAAACAGTCTTTCACCTCTTCTCTAGAAACATGACGTCTGATCTAAGTTTTCAGCTTGCTCCCTAGTTGTCTGTGTCCTTGATGTGTTGGTTTCACTATTTGCAAACTGTCTGTCTGTCTCACACATACGCCACGCAAAGCTAAGAAATGGGATCAAGAAGCAGATGGGAGCACATGTGGCCGTGTTCCCTCTTGCAACAAATCCAATAGAATGCCAGAAACTATATTCAAAAAGCAAAACACTCCTTCCTTCCAGAAACCAGCATAGCATGAAAGATAAGAAAGAATATCATCAACAGACCAGGAATTTCAACGGATCCCAGAAAGATAGAAAGCAAACACACCTACAAGGAAGAGAACACACCTATGGTGTTGGAGTGATTCAAAGTTACTCCAAGAGGCAACAAATAGAAGGAATTAACTGTGGAGAGGCAGTCAAACCTATAAAGCTTTATCGACGTTTTTAAAAGAAGACTGATACGGAGAAGCATAATATGTTTCCAGACTTAATCTATATAGTCAGTGCAATCACAATTGGAATTCCAAAAGGATTTTTTATGAAGGTGTACAGGCTGATTCTAAAATTCTTATCTAAATGAGATCCTGTCATTTGCAACAACATGGATAGAAATGGAGATTGTTATGTTAAATGAAAGAAGCCAGGCACAGAAAGACAAGCATGGCATGTTCTCATTTATTTGTGGGATTTAAAAATCAAAATAATTTAACTCATGGAGACAGAGAGTAGATGGATGGTTACCAGTGGCCGGGAAGGGTAGTGGTGGGAGGGGAAGTGGGGATCATTAATGGGTATACAAATATAGAAAGAATGAATAAGATAGCACAACAGGGTGACTACAGTCAATAATAACTTAATTGTACATTTAAAAATAACTGAAAGAGTACATATAGTTTGTAATACAAAGGGTAAGTGTTTGAGGTGACAGATACCCCATTCTCCATGATGTGATTATTAGTATCTGGTATTTGATAACACAAAAGGGTGACTATAGTCAAAATAATTTAATTGTACATTTTTAAATAACTAAAAGGGTATAACTGGATTTTGTAGCACAAAGGATAAATGCTTGAGGGGATGGATACCCCAATTTCCATGATGTGATTTTTACACATCGCATGCCTATATCAAAACATATTATGTACTCCATAAATATATATCCCTACTATGTACCCACGAAAATTAAAAAAGAATCTTATCTATTAAAAATATGTGAGAATAGAGAAATAGTTTTGAAAAGATGAACAATTATGGTGGAAATTTTTCTTCTGAGATATCAAAACTATCATGAGTCTGTATTGAGTATGAACTCGATGCAGGGGAAAAACAATCAGTGGCTAAGTAGTATTTTCTAGAAATTTAAGGTGACCTTACCACAAATTCCAGTTCTTTTCCACCATATGCAGGCCATGAGAAACTATCACATTTTTTCCTTTAGTTATGCTAACCCAACTGCACATCAACAATGGGATAAAGAAAATAAGAGCAATTTCTGGTTACCATAAAGAACATTTCTAAATATTACATCAACAATGGGATAAAGAAAATAAGAGCAATTTCTGGTTACCATAAAGAACATTTCTAAATATTACTCTGATATGTAAAGTATAAAATAGACAGAAAAAATAACATTCAATTAAGGCGGTACTATTACTTATTATGTAAAAACTTTAAATATTTTTTACTGTCAGAATATTAAAAATATATATTTCCAAAATCAGTGTGATATTTCCTTTAAAAAGATAGTACTGTATTTTACTAATAAGCAGAACATTACTAGCAGTCACTTTCCCACTTTTAAAAATGTTGTACCTTTTCAGTTAATTAACGTAATTAATTAATTAGAGAAAGCATCTTGCTCTGTTGCTCAGGCTGGAGTGCAGTGGTGTGATCACAGCTCACTGCAGCCTCAAACTTAGGCTCAAGCAATCCTCCCACTTCAGCCACCCAAGTAGCTAGGTCTAGAGGTGCAGGTCAGCATGCCCAGCTAGTCTTTTTATTTTTTGTAGAGACTGAGGTCTTGCTATGTTGCCCAGGCTGGTCTCCACCTCCTGACTTCAAGCAATCCTCCCACCTCAGCCTTCCAAAGTGCTGGGATTACAGGTGTGAGCCACCATGCCTGGCCCCTTTTCAATTTAAATTTATCGTGCTTTAAAAGTTTTTAATTACCTGGTAAGCATGAGGTATAAGTATGTTGGAAACATTTAATATAACATGACTGAGGATTACACAAATACAAATACCCTGCAAAGCAAATCAGACCCTTGAACATAATGACGCAAAATAATCCTGAAATCAAACCATGAATATTTAGCACGTGTTGCATCTGTTTTCTGAAATTATGTACCATAATGTAGTCACCTCCAAATTATTAATAATAAGCAGAAACATTTTTTAACAAATCACTCCCAAGAAAACATGAACTATTGCTTCTGGAAGCCTTGTTCAAAGGATTACTGGTAAATAATATGCATTTGTTATTTCAAGACTTATTGAAGACCCACACAACAAGCTTACAGTCTCCAAAGAGAAACAGATGTATGAACAATTCACTACAACACAAGGCCATGCATTCTACACCAAGGAAATAGCAAGAAAAGAATCAATTTCATGGGTTTGATGACATGCAATGCAGCCACGGCAGGAGAGGAAGAAGGAGGGAGTTAGAAGAAAGGAAGGAGACATCAACAATGAGTCCAAGGTCTCCCACTTGGTGACTGGGCATATGGACAGAAACATTCAAAGCCGTGGCAATGATGATATTCACAGAGGGGTTGAGATGATTGAGCATGGGTTCTAGAGGAAGCAGAAAATCAAGAGGCACATAGGGTATTGGTGGTGTGAAGTTCAGAGATGAGTCGGGGGCTCCCAGGAGAATCTCAAAGAGTCGTGGACAAACTTAATGGACATGAGGATCTGATGGAGCGGAGATAGTGGATGATGTCCCCACGAGTAAGATCTACATTTCTGGAGAGCTCACCTACTGAATTTTCAGATTATCAAGGTAGGGGACCATATGCTGTTTATCTGTATCTTCAATACCTAGCAAAATGTCTGCTCCACGCCAATTACTGATGAATATTCCTGACCTAGTCACATCTCCACCTGCTGCTGACCTCAGCAACATTGCTGTGGATACAACATGGATTGCAGCATCCTCTAGAGTTTCTATGGGTCTCAAGTTGTCACGAACAGTTAAAGTCAGATGCCAGGTGATAGGGTTTGGCTCTGTGTCCCCACTCAAATCTCATGTTAAATTGTAATCCCCAATGTTGGAGGTGGGGCCAACATTGTAGTGGTAGGTGATTGGATGATGGGGGTGGTTTCTAATGGTTTAGCACCATCCCCCTAATGCTGTCTCGTGATAGAGTTCTCATGAGATCTGGTTGTTTGAAAGTGTGTGGCACCTCCTTCCTCACTCTCTTTTCCTCTTGCTCCCACCATGCAAGACATGCTTGCTTCCCCTTCACCTTCTGCCATGATTGTAAGTTTCCTGAGGCCTCCCCAGAAGCAGAAGCCTGTACAGCCCGCAGAACCATGAGCCAGTTAAACCTCTTTTTATTATAAATTATCCAGTCTCAGGTATGTCTTTATAGCAATGTGAGAATGAACTGATAGAGCAGGGTTGCAGATTTTTTACATTTATACTTAGATTATGTTGACAAAACCATATTAGCTTTGCTACATAAGTAGAGGAGTAAGGTGTTGATATTTAATACAATATATTGATGGTAAACTAGTTGAATCTTTATTTTCCTTTATTTGAAACAGAAGTCATTGGGGGCAACAAATTTTATTAATAGGTTAATATAGTATAAGAGACATTTCATGGTAGGGGAAATATATTTTCATGGACCAGACAGATTTTGAGTAAAGAACTGGATGTGTCAGGATTATGAAAAACACTTTCATTTGTTCATTTTGTTTTTTCTTTGGACAAAATAGCTTAAAAACTTGTGATTTCTAATATCATATTATAACAACAGCTGAGTTTGGAGGGCATGGTGAGGTGGTATTGTGGGAGAGACAGGAAAGGTAGACTTCTCAGACCTTAAGACAGAGCTCAAGTTCACTTACTGGACGCCTATCATCTCTACTTCCCAGAGTAACTTGACAGTGAAACCTTTTTCTTCTAGAAATGAGCACAGCATGGCATATTCTAGATAGCTTAAATTTCTGGATAACCAAAGATTTAGTAAATATATATATATTTTAAAAATGTGTTTCTGGTCATATGACAAGCATTGTAAAACTTGATAAATCCATTTTTCTACCTTGTTTTCTGTTTTTGTTTTTTGCCAGGGATGGTCCTTCTTGCTGGAGAAAGACAATTTCAGGTAACCATGGTTTACATGAGGTTAGAAATTTGGAAAGATCTCAGAAGCTGCATGGCCTAGCACCACACTGAAGTGAAATGCCTTGGGTCACAGGTTAGGATTCTCCAGAAATTCTAGTTTTGGGGTCATCTGCCATGCTCTGTTGCTTGCTCTCTCTCTCTTTCTTTCTCTCTCTCTTTCTGTCCTTTCCTCTCTCCTTCTCTCTCTCTTTTTCTCCCTCCCTCCTTCTTTGTCTCTGTCTGCCTCTCCCTTCCTCCCTCCATCCCTCCCTCTCTCTCTTTTTCTCTCCCTCCCTCCCTTTGCCTTTCATTCTATTTTAAACAATTATGGATCATAAAATGGTGATTTTCTTAATTCCATCATTCCTTCTACATTTTTTTCTTGATTTTCAGAAAATAATTTCCTTCCCCCTCTTTATTTATTCACATATCTAAGCTTATCAGCCTAGACTCATGGGCTCTTATTTTAGTCAATGAGTTATAATCCCTTCCTGTCATTACTTATTTTGGTGCTCAACTCATGCAGGATTGGCTGATAGGAGTGCCTTCACACCGGCTCCTGTGTCCTTTGTTATTTCCCTGTCGTTATTTGGGTACTTGTTACATTCTGGAATGGCAAGGTGTTGAAAATCATCTTGTGCATTTTCTGTTCCCATAGTGAATGAGACATTTCTCAGGAGCTATATCTTAAAGCACCTTAGGACAAATTACTTATTCATTACAAAATGAAAATTCATTCCTTTACACTGGAGAAATCTGTCAGATGATGCCTTAGCCAAGGGATCCAGTTTTACATCACCAGTAAGGGGACAAATCGACATCACATGTCTCCTGATGCAGCACACTGAGAGGGACATAGCTACAATTCAAAGTATCAAAATGTCAAAGTCATAAAAGAGAAAGGGAGTCGGAGAAGCTTGTCTACATTAAAGAAGACTAAGAAGCCATGGCAACTAGATACAATGCATGAACAAGGTTTGGGTGCTGGAATGGAGAAGGGATTGGAGAAGATTTAAAAGACATGATGGAGACAACTGACAAAATTTGAATGTAAATTGTGGATTAGATAATGACATTCTAGGAATGTTGAATGTCCTGATTTTGATATTTGCACTGTGGTTAGGAAAGAAAGGGTCTAGTTCTTAGGAAATATACTAGAAGTATTTACAGCTAATGGGGCATAATGTCTACAACTTGGTCCCAAATGGTTCAGAAAAAAAGTGTGTAAATACACACACACACACACACACACACACACGCGGAGGGGAGATAGTCAAAAAAGCTTGGTCAAAATGTTATGACTGGTAAATCTAATTAAATTTTTCACAGGACAGGAGTTTTTTGTTTTGTTTTGTTTTGTTTTACTAGTCTTGCACCTTTTCTGTTGATGTGAGGTTGTATTAGGAGAAAAAATGACCAGACAAAATCCCTCAGAAGATGGTTACAGACAAAGCAAGCTCTCTGTGGTTTCTTGGTGAAGTACCTTCCATTGCTTGCTTGCCCCAGGGTGCTTTTAAAGCTATGGTCAAGCTACTGGACATCAATTACCCACAGCTTCTTCTGCATTTCTGCCTGAAGTCCTCAAAGGCATCTGCAGACCAGGCAGGAGCTCAGCTGAATGGATGAGAGTATCATCATTTCAGCAGAGGTTTTTTTTTTGTCAAACCTCTGAATCCACAAATAATTTTTTCTTTACTAAATGACTTGTATGGTATGCCCAAGCTATATAATTTTGTTAATATTCTGTTTTCCCCCAAAACAGATGTGGTTTCTAATATAAAGAGGAATGGACTCAAAGTCACTAGAAATGGGTTTAGTTCCAGTTTTCTACCCACTTCATGAGGTTGAATCACTTTTTTAATTGCTATAGACTTTTTTTTTTAAGGCCGGGTGTGGTGGCTCATACCTGTAATCCCAGCACTTTGGGAGGCCGAGGTGGGAGGATCTCCTGAGGTCGGGAGTTCAAGACCAGATTGGCCAACATGGAGAAACCCCGTCTCTACTAAAAATACAAAACTAGCCAGGCGTGGTGGTGCATGCCTGTAACCCCAGCTACTCAGGAGGCTGAGGCAGGAGAACTGCTTGAACCTGGGAGGCGGAGGTTGCAGTGAGCTGAGATGGTGCCATTGCACTCCAGCCTGGGCAACAAGAGTGAAACTCCATCTCAAAAAAAAAAAAAAAAAAAATTTTTTTTTTTAAAGCAAGACCTGATTGTGAAAATCAAAATGCATCTATGTGAAAATCCTTTGGCAATAGTAAAACCCTACACAAGTATAAAGTTTTGGTATTTTGAATACATTTGTAATTGTTACACATCTTCAGCTAGAGTCCCACTCACATGATTTGCTCCATCTCAATTAATAGCAACCAGCCCCTCCCATGATAGTTAATTTATTATGCACACAGAATATAATTGCATTTTTGATGTTTGGATGGTTTTGAAAATCACCAAAAGGCCATTGTAATCTTGAGCACATTTTGTGTGCAGTGCACTTCATCAGAGGTTTGATGGGATCCATATAAACTGATCATTTATGTCCCTTTAGGGGGAGAAAACCCCTCATCACACTCAATGTTCAGTCCATTGAATGCATTAGCAATGACTAGTTATTAATCTTATAACCTTTTCTAATTAACAGAATAAACTGTAAAATGAAGACAAATTGAATGTATCCAAGGGTGAAACACATTCAAGCACTTATCGCAAACTTACCCTGAAAAAGTAATCTATAAATATTTCACGACAGAGGGAAGCTGGTCTGTACTTATTTATAGGAAAAACGCAAAAATGCAAACTAACTCCTTTGTCATTTGTTTCTCTGTGTCTTCTTTCATGATGCCCGGAAAATTGTTAGGGATAAGTACTGTAAACATTGTCATTATTGTTATTTATTTTATATAGCACCCCTAATAAGTATCCCAGAGCTGCAGAATAAATAGCAAACCACAGAGAAATAACAAGCAACAATAAACAAATTTGTAGCAGCAAAACACTTACCCACAGGAAAAAAACATAGACAAAGAGTTGAAAAGGCAAAGGAGACAAGAATCATAAAAATGAACTGGATTAAATGCTATGGCCATCAGTGCTGAATGCAGTATTTATATATGTAGAACTACAGCAGAATAGCAAAGGGATTTTTTTTTTTTTTTTGCTTTTTCTAAAAATAATGTTTGAGAAACAGTTTATTAAGTCAAAATGTAGTGTGGAGTTTCTCAGCCTTTACTAACATTGGCTCTGCTGGCATTTGGGGCCAGATAATTCCTTGCTGAGGGGGTTTGGAGGGGTGATGTGCATTGTGGGATATTTAGTAGCATCTCTGGTCTCTACCCATTAGTGGACAGCAGCAGCCCTGCCCCCCAGGTATGACAACCAGAAATGTCTTCAGACTTTCCAAATGTCTCCTGGCCAGTGGTAGAGAGGTGGGGCCAAACTGCCACTGGTTGAGAACCACTGATGTAGTGCAAACTAACAGGGAAGAATTTGTTATAATGTGGAATAGTTTCCAGAATGAGGCTTTCTGGCTTCATGGCTTAATTAATAGGCTTCCAAGGGCTTAACAACCCCAGTTTGATAATACAGGTTCATCAGAGATCACGGTGCTTAGGTCAAACCTACCTGGGTTTAAGATACCTTATTAACTGAATGACCTTGAGGCAGTCAAGACACTTGTGACCACCACTTCCCTACCTGTAAAGTAAGAATAAAAATTAATGATTTCCAAAGATCACTAAGGGATGTCTTTTTAAAAAATTTATTTTATTTTATTTTAGGTTCAGGGGTACATGTGCAGGTTTATCATATACATAAATTGCATGTCATGGGGGTTTGGTGTACAGATTATTTCATCACCCAGCTGATAGGCATAGTACCCAATAAGTAGTTTTCGATCCTCACTCTCCTCCCAATCTCCCCCATCGTGTAGTCCCCAGTGTCTATTGTTTCCATCTTTGTGTCCATGTGTACTCAATGTTGAGCTCCCATTTACACGTGAGAACATGCAGGATTTGGTTTTCTGTTCCTGTATTAGTTTGCTTAGGAAAATAGCCTCCAGCTCCATCCATGTTGTTGCAAAGGACAAGGTCTCATTCTTCTTATTGGCTGCATAGTATTCCATGGTGTATATGTACCACATTTTCTTTATCCAATCTGCTCTTCGTGGGCATTTACACTGAATTCATGTCTTTGCTACTGTGAATAGTGCTGTGATGAGCATAGGCATGCATGTATCTTTATGACAGAACTATTTATATTCCTTTGGATATATACTCAGTAACAGGATTGCTGGGTTGAATGAAAGTTCTGTTTTAAGTTCTTTGAGAAATCACCAAACTGCTTCTCTTTGCATGTGAAAGTCCCTAACCCAGTGGCTGGTGCATAAATAGGAGACTCTGAAAAATTGTGGACTTAATGCCTTCAAGTGCAGCCAAAATCACGTCTCAGAAGATGAAGAGAATAGAAGCAAGTATCAGTTTAATCATTCTAGATTACAGGCTGAAGAACCAAAAACAGGAAATGGCTTTGTGTGCCCTGTTACTAAAAGCCACTAAATCACTGGATTGAAAACCAGACTTTGTTTTTTTAAGTCTGGTGGTTGCTGTATTGGAAATATCTAGAAAAGTGAAATCTTTATGATCGGGCAATTGGATGGACAGTAAATGTCCCAAAGGTTCACATACAGTTCAAAGCAGGCCAGGGCTGTTTAGAATAGAATCTGTTATTTTGTTGACATTGCTCAGAGAGAATGATGGTGAGAAGTAAAATGCTAGAATTGTCATCTACGTTGGATTTATCTTTAATCAGGACACAACTTCACGTGATATTAATGGAAAGATCCACTACCCATCTTCTTTTCCCACCGGAGATTTTGGAGGATTCTCCTAAGTGTCTATGGAGAAAGGTCTTAGGACAGTATTCATCGAAATGAATCTAAATGTATTGCAAATGTAAACTGCTGACTGGATAACCAGGTTCAGCTCAAAGTGGACAGGAGCAGTGGTTGATTTTCCGTCTGTGGTGGGAACCTCTAGGGTGGCCCCCAGGATTTTCACCCTCTAGTATCCATGCCTTTGTGTGGTTTTCTCCTTGGAATGTGGGAAGGACCTATGACCTTCTAACCTATAGAATATGGCAAAGAGAATGGGATATTACTCCCATGGTTATGTTTCATGGCAAAAGTAAAGTGGTTTTGCAGAAATAATTGAGGTTCTCATAATCAAAAGGGATATTATCTTGGATAAGCCTGATGTAATCAGGTACACCTTTTTTTTTCTTTTCCTTTTTTTCTTTTCTTTCTTTTTCTTTCTTTCTTTTTTTTTTTTTTTTTGAAACAGAGTCTCACTTTGCTGCCCAGGCTGGAGTGCAGTTGCGTGCATTTTGGCTCACAGCAACCCCCACCTCCAGGGTTCAAGCTATTCTCCTGCCTCAGTCTTCCAAGATGCTGGGATTACAGGTGCGTGCCACCACGCCCAGCTAATTTTTGTATTTTTAGTAGAGACAGGGTTTCACCATGTCGGCCAGGCTGGTCTCAAACTCCTGACCTTAGGTGATACACCTCAGCCTCCCAAAGTGCTGGGATTACAGGCGTGAGCCACCAAACCTGACCTAGATGTACCTTTAAAGGAAGACCTGGCCAGGCATGGTGGATCACATCTTTAATCCCAGCACTTTGGGAGGTAGAGGCAGGTGGGTGGATTGCTTGAGCCTAGGAGTTTCCGACCAGCCTGGGCAACATGGCGAAACTCCATCTCTACAAAAAATACAAAAATTAGCCAGGTTTGGTGGTGCACACCTGCAGTCCCAGTTACTCAGGAGGCTGAGGCAGGAGGATCACTTGAGCCCAGGAAGTCAAGGCTGCAGTGAGCTGTGGTTGTGTCACTGCACTCCAGCCTTGTCAACAGAGTGAGAACCTGTCTGAAAAATAAATACAGTAAAATAAGGACCTAGAACTACCCTGAAGTCAGAATCTCCAAGCAGCAGAATCTTCTCTTTGACTCTCCCTCCTCCTTTCTCTCTTTCTCTCTGACTCTCTTCTCAGTTTCTGGATTTGAAGGCGCAAGTTGCCTTGAATTTTGTAGCCACCAGAAAATGGTTTCTGCCAACAACTCAATGGAGCTTGAAAGCAGATACTTCCCCAGCCAAGTCTTCAGATGAGAGCACAGCTTAATGACACCTTGATTGAAGCCCTGAGATATTCTGAGCATATGACCCAGGTAAGTTGCACCCAGATTCCTGACCCATGGAAATGGTGAGAAAAATGGGTGTTGATTTAAGCCGCTAAGTTTGTGGTTATCTGTTGCGCAACAAGAGATAATAATACACCACCCATCCCCACTACTCCTTCACAAACACTCTTTCCTAAGGAATCAGAGGCTTCAATATCTACTCTGGCATGCTACATATTCAAAGACCTTAACTTATAGTCAAGTTCAGTAGCTAAAACTGGGCTGATACATAGGTTCATAAAGAATGGAAACATTTATCTTTGCTATGCTAATGACGAGAAAATGTGTAAATCCCACCTCTTCTTCTAAATATTAATTCAGAGCATTTATTAGGCTTCTCAACCAAGAAAAGGAGAGTCGTACAGTTTTGAGTGCCTTGATTATTAAGGCTACATTTACAATATGTCTGTTGATGGAAAGGAAAATCCATTCAATAGCACGAATATAGGTGGAATTCTTTCACATACAACATGAAGGGCTAACCAAGCCTCTCATTCCCACAGAAACTTCCTCATCTAATATTTTCTGCATTTTACTCCTTCAGATAAAATCTCTTATAGAACTTAAGGTGAGCTTTTAATATGGAGTCTATGCTTTATCTTTATATTCTGTCTTATGCTTAAAGACAACTGGAGAATATCAAAGCTGCAGTCTCTAAGGCATTTCTCACCATTGGTGGAGCCTCAAAAACTATTGGACAAAATATTATTAAATACACACAAAAACTATGTACAGTGCTCTTGGATGCATCAATTTGGGGATGGATGGCTGGTTCTATTGATGCCTGATTGCATTTGACACTCTATTTTCTGCATTTCAAGAGGTTTTCTCCAGTGCTATTGCTAGGTTTTTTAATATACCTGACTTCGAGGGAAAGGCAGATATTTCCAGAAATGGGTAGAGGATTAAGGGAGGAATAAATTCAGAGTGAACTATTGTGTTCTGAAACTGCCCTGGGAGACTCACTGCACCAGAGATAGTCTCCTGTCAATGAACTAGGGCTACATATTTGAGTTCTCGGTAAAGACACATTTTTGCAGGTTCTTCCATGGGCCAACAGAACAAACCCAAAGTATTTCAAAGGAGATCCCTGAATTGAGCTTCAGTTCAGACCCAGAAGGCAGCACTGCTACTCTCTTGTCCCCCACGCTATTATGAGTGACCTTTCTGCAGTCATTCCAGCACCCAAACTGATATCTAATATCATGGGCTATTATGAAATGATCAGAAGAGAACTTTTATCTCCAGCAGAAGGGCCACAATCAATGATAATCCTCTATGATGAACAGCAATACAGTGGTGGTCATGGTGGTGTTTGAAAACCAGGGAAATAATGTGCTGGGATTTCCCTGCAGTTGCTGGGAGAAATTGAATAATTTCTTCTATTTCATTTGTGTAAAATTTTAAAGTGAAATGTTCTGAACTAAATAGCAAACCTAAATACAGAAGTAGTATGTTTGCTATACTTATATGGCCAGACATACAACTTAGTATCATAAATTGGAATTAATGGTAAATTTTTAGTGTGAACCATCTACGCAAATAAAAAACATTTATAGTTAAAAGACTTATTACTATACATACGGTATCAAGACTGTTACTATGCATTTGATATGTGTTCATTTAAAGTGAGTGATGCTAGGTTAGATGTGGTGGCTGACACCTGTAATCCCAGCACTTTGGGAGGCCAAGGCAGGAGGATTTCTTCAGGCCAGGAGTTCAAAACCAGCCTGAGCAACATAGTGAGACCCCATCTCTACAGAAGATAGAAAAAATTATCCAGGTGTGGTGGTGCATACCTGTGGTCCCAGCTACTTGGGAGGCAGATGTAGGAGGATCACTTGAGCCCAGGAGTTGGAGGCTGCAGTGGGCCATGATTACACCACCGTACTCCAGTGGGGGACAGAGAGAGACCATGTCTCTTAAAAAATAAAAAATAATAAATAATAGAGTGAGGAGTTGCTGACTATGTTCATGTTCAAAACCATACTTGGCTGGGTGCGATGGCTCATACCTGTAATCCCAGTGCTTTGGGAGGCCGAGGTGGGTGGACTTGAGGTCAGGAGTTTGTGACCAGCCTGGCCAACATGGTGAAACCCCGTCTCTACTAAAAATACAAAAAATTAGCCGAGCGTGGTGGTGGGTGCCTGTAATCCCAGCTACTCAGGAGGCTGAGACAGGAGAATTGTTTGAACCTAGGAGGTGGAGGCTGCAGTGAGCAGAGATCACGCCATTGCACTCCAGCCTGGGTGAAAGAGTGAGATTCAAAAAACAAAAACAAAAACAAAACCATACTTACAGAGCATGAACCTGATGCGTAACCTTAAAACACAGCTCAGTAAAATGATTCTGTGGCCAGACCTCAACATTTACTGGTGCTTTCATATTACAAAGCCTTTTATTCAATTAACTAAATTATTTAATTCTTAAAGTTTTGTTTGATAAGTTATAATTGTATATATTTATGGAGTATAATGTGATGTTTTGATATATGTTTATAATACGGAATAATTAAATCAAGTGCATTAACCTATCCATCACCTCAAATACTTATTTTTTTGTGGTGAGACCATCTGACATTTACTCTCTTAGCAATTTTGAAATATATAACACTTTATTATTAACTATAGTCACCCTACTGTGCAACAGATATCATACACTTATCTGCACAAAGCTGTTTCAAGTAGCACATTTTATCCTGAAAGGCTGGCATTCACAAACCCACATTCTGTGAATCGTTCAGGAATTCATCACCTCGAAAGTGTGTCTGCCTATAGGGCATACTAGGAAAAAAAAGTCCTAAAGAGAAACAAAGGGCATGTTCAAATTAGGATTATCCGTAAAAGGATTGTGTTGTTTTAATTTATTAAGTAGAAATGTGTGTAGGGAGGTCATAAACCATGCAGGAAGTCTTGGTGAGGGTCAGGCTCCTGACATCTGGAAGGAAAGCAGTTTGCCTCTAGCAGCCACCTCAAGAAGACACCAGGTGTCTTCTCTGTTGAGGTCATCCCAGCCCTAGATGTCCTCACAGGGAGCACGCTGGGGGAAGAGGCACCTATCTTTATTCTCCACCCTTCCTTGGATTTCCCATCAGTGATACCATCCCCATAAACTTTACAAAAATAATCAAAGAAAAACGGGGGGGGGGTAGAAACAAAAATAAAGCAAGCTTGCAGCATATTCAGCATTAATCTCTAGGTTAGCTCACTCTCTGACCTGTTTCCTCATAGTGGTTTGGCATCTATTGTCCGAGTCTAGATTATAGCTCCCCATAACTGCTCTATAGATAACAACTTAAGCATCGTGAAAAGTTAAGTTTTCCTTTAAGATATTCTTTCAGGACCTGCATACCAAAAAAATGACTGATGCCAGCTGGTCTAAAGGACCCTGCAAGGAGTTGACTTCCCAAAGAATGCAGTTGCCACATCCTGATGATTTCAACCCCCTTACGCTGAACAATGACCCCAATGTTCTAGCCCCTTGCCCTCCACAATCCCCTTAAAAGCTTCAGCCAAGATCTCTTTGGGGAGATGGATTTGAAGGTCCCCTCCCATCTCTTCACTTAGCACCCTGTGATTATTAAACTCTTTCCTTGTTGCAAACCCTGCTGCTTTGGTGTTTTGGTATGTTACTGTGTAATGGGTATATAAACCTATTGTTCCTATAACAACAGGGCTTATCATTGCCCACACCACAGGAGACATGGGATCCACTGACATAGCCCACATTGGTCATCCTCCCAGGGCACAAAGCAAGAAGAAGAAGGAGGAAGGTCAATGGAAGCTCTAGAGAAGCAAGAGAATGATTAGGGATCATAAGGAGACCTCTACACCTGCATTAGAGAACAATGGCATGGCAATGTATACTCCCTCCTGGAGCTGCCAGATTATTCCTCACCATCAACGGAGCTCACAGTATTAGAATTCATGGATGTATCATAATCATCATGACCACCACTGGGTAGTGCCTATCACTACCACCAGGCACCGTGCAAATCATTCCTCATGAACCATCTCATTCTGATCCTCACAACAAGTCAATGAGAGAGGTATCATTCCATCTGCCCTGTTTCAGAGATGAGAACAAAGAATCCTAGAGAACAGTTAAAGAACCTTCCAACATTGCAAGGACAGCAAAGGAAAGATCTCATATGGAAGTTTAGACGGCCTGAGTCCAAAACCAAAACATGTATTGTTACTTGGAATAGTAAGTAGGCATTCACATCACTGGGAGTGTGGTGGGGGTAGGGGGCAGTTCAGGATGCATAGTGAAAGACCAGCAGGAGAACTATATATATGAAGAAGATTAATCTAAGCTCTTTTCTAGCTCATGATCATAGCCATTGCTCAACTTTGCTAGTAGAAAAGTGAAGGGGAGAGGCCGCTGCATGCAGCCTCCAGATGGGTCTCTCTCCTCCTATGGTGAGAGTATTAGAGCAAGCAACATAGGGTGTTAAAGTTTCCTCTCTACTGCTAGACACACAGCTTCTGGCAAGACGAAGCCTGGTGCATTCATGAGGCACCCTACCACTGTATCTCACAGACCCTGCCCAAAGAGGACACGCTGCCTCCTCCAGCACTAAATACATTTATTCTCCATTTTCACCCTGGTTTTCCAACTCTGGGAGCCTTGTCCTCTGCAGCCAAACAAAAATCCTCTGAGATGTTAGCACATCCATCGGATACTTCTTATTTCTCATGGAGATACTTCCCTCTTAAATTCGAAAACTACAACATTGACAGAAAGACTGCACATCATAGGACTGGATAATAAAAATAAAAAGCAAGACCAATCACAGCATATATTCAAAGATGGTTGGATGCAAGATTAAAAACCATATTCCACTGTTGTTCTCTCATCACAAAATGTCATTGTGATTTGTTAAACTCTACTGACTCTTGTCCTCTGAACTGCTTTGCTCAAAACAGCTTTGCCTTTCTAACTCTCCCTTACTAACAGATCAGCTCAAACTTCATCCTACTACAGTAAAATACATCAACCCAACACTTTATTTTCCACTGGGCTTTTCTAGAACGGAATATTTTATCACATTTATTTCCTGGACACTTTCTTGCCCATAAGTTCTTAGCACTCATACTAGGATATTATCCAACATAAATACCCTCACCCCAATTCTGACTTCTACTTTGCTGTCTCCATGAAACTCCTACTAACAATCTAGGGCCCTTATAGGCACTTAATACACCTTGAAGAACATCTCTTCCTATTGCCTTTCTTTTCATGTTGGATCTCTGAGTTGCACTTGATATTATTCTATGTTGTCCTAATTAGTCCTTCTCTTGTCATTATTCAATCAAAGAATACATGACATTTTTAGTACTGTTATCTCGGAAAGTTCAGGTTTGAGGCCAGGTGCAGGAGCTCACACCTGTAAACTCAGTACTTTGGGAGGCCAGGTGGGAGGACTGCTTGACCCAAAAGTTCGAGACCAGCCTGGGCAACACGGTGAAACCCCATCTCTACAAAAAATTTAAAAAATTAGCTGTGCGTGGTGCTGTGCACCTGTACGTCCAGCTAATTAGGAGGCTGAGGTGGGAGGATTGCGTGAGCCCAGGAATTTGAGGCCGCCGTGAGCTGTGATCATGCCACTGCACTCCAGCCTGAGTGACAGAGTGGAACCTTGTCTCAAAAAGAAAAAAAGAAAGTTCAGGTTTGAGGTCTTTAAGTCTTTAACTCTAAATCATATTGATAGAACATGTGAGCAAATGAAAACCAGCTGAACTCATTTCATCATGTGGCTACCTGCTGATGTTTTTAAAACAGTCACTCGTTTCCTACCTTAATTGTCTTTGTGGACAATTACAAACAGTGAAATAATACAAATGTTAGCACTTATTCAAACTCAGGCCTGAACAAAATTTTTTTGTGGGCTTGGAAAATAGGAATTCTGTTAGATCAAAACTCACTCATCTCTTTAGGGCTGTAAAGTGAATTAAAGATAAGACTGTCTGGATTTTAGGGTTTGATTTATGCCCCATGATCAAGAAGGCTGAACCTCAGTCATTGTGTGTCTACTATTTCTTTTCTATCAGAAGCCCTAGTTTCAAATCAAGAATCGACTCTAATACACCTTTTTGTATATGCAGGTTCATGCAGGGTTGAAGTTAAGGGGAAAGAAATCCCGACAACTTTACATTAAAATTGGAACACAGTTGGATCTCCTCATTTCATAGAAATCTAAAGAACCTGTGATGTTTTCACAGTCAACCACTGCCCCACCCGCCCACCAAAAGCGAACTGTGTATGTATCACTTTTAAAAAGGAAAAAAAAAGTAAAAGAAAAAACCTGCAGTATATAATCCATGTTTTCTGGTGAATCCTTGAAGGTTATCCGTTTGATAGTGGGTTTTTATCCAACTCAGAAAATGTCATAATTATTGATGATCTAATACAGTCATTTTTCATCACGGACATTGCAGAAAGATAAGAAAATACATGCTGTGGTCAAACATAGCTTACAAAAAAAGAAAACACATGCTGTCTTGTGAGCTAATGTCTTTTATGTTTCTGTGGAAAGAACTGATCGGTTTCTCTGGGAAAAGAGGAAGGGAAAGGTTGGCAAGGCAAAGGTTAACAGACTCAATGTAAAGAACTGATGTGTTATAGACTGTTTCCTCCTATATATTTTGAAAACTCATTGAGAGGCTTTTCTGATATCCATACTTCTGTGAAAAAAATAATGTGCACATCTGTATTTCCCCAGAATGAAGATGACAGGTGGTGGATCTTCCTTGTAATATGTGAGCTGATGATTTTGCCCTTAGGGTGGGAAAAGCAATATGAATCATTTTACCTGGGCACTGTACCAATGAGAGGCACAAGGTCAAGTGAAGGTTCAATTCAAAGGGTGAGGCTATCTTCAACATTTTAAATACCTTAAACACCACTCTGCTAAGTTTCTCAGGTAAGAAATGTGAATCAGTATACAGCTTTTAATGCTCTTGAGCTACCAAGGGTGTTTATTATGCCAAGTGAAGACACTCAGAAAAGAAAAGAAAAAAAAAAAGAATTTGAGAAGACAATGTGTGCCCCTCTAGATTAGCTCACTGTATCAGTTTCCTCTTGCTGCTGTAACAAATTATCAAAAACATGGGCTTGAAACAACACACACGTACTGCTTACTGTTCTGGCAGTCATAAGTCTGAAATGGGTTTCAAAGAGCTAAAACTTTCTCTTTCAATTATAGGGACCTTGTGACTATATTAAGCCCACCTGAATAATTCGACATCCTCTTTACATCTCAAGTTCCTTGACTTCATCACATCTGCAGAGTTACAGTCCCTTTGGTCATGTAAAGGAATATATTCAAAGATTCTAGGTATTAAAACATGGACATCTTCAGGGTGGGTAGAAGAATTATTCTGCCCACCACACTTGGCTTAATGGGAATTTCCAAAGTTTTCATCTAAGATTTTGAGAGGACACTTTCTTCACTTGAATAATACAGTGAATTTCCTCTTGCCATGGCCTGGCCTTCTATTTGCAATTCTTCCCTTTGTGAATTTCCAACTATTTTTTTCTTCTATTCTTCTCTTTCCCTTTCATGATTCCTGGCTTCTTGAGCCCCATACTGAGGGTCAAATCTCTCTTCCACTAACCTTTTCTGGTCATACCTTAAGTTATATTTTTCTCCAAGAATTCCCTTTTAACATGTTATAACAACTGTCTCTAATTGCTGCCATTTAGTTGCAAGGCAGATTTTTATTATCAGACTTGAGGATATCAGCCCTATTGGCGTCAACTTTTCATTCCCAGCCCTCTGAGCCTAGCTGATTATACATGAGAGTTGCTCATTCAATCATTCATTCATTCACTCACTCAACAAATATTTATTGAGTGAACATCTTGTGCTAGACGCTGTTCTAGGTGCCCAAAGAAGTGGATGCATTAGTGAATGAATAAGTGAATTAATTCTCTAGTATTCTAATAGAAATAAGTTGTCAGCATAAAGTCTTCTTGGCTTAATTTGGAGCCCTCTCTCTAGAACAGTTTATTATTTGAAGGGAATTAGTCCTATGAATATCCTAATCTGAAAAATGAGAAAACTGCTTCTACCACTAGGAAAAGATTATATAGTCTGTGTTAATTTATAAATACGTAGCTCAACACAAGTGCTTAAGGAATGTTAGATGTCATTATTGTCATAAGAACAGGTTAGAGGAAAAATTTGTTAGAGTCATGCCTGTTTGTTTCACCAACAATATGTAAGCTACATGCCATGTGGGGAATCCATTTCGTTTTGCAATACTCTGGAATGACAGCAAAGCAATGTCAATATACTACCTTAGTAAAAATTGTGGAATATATATATGTACACACAAATATATATGTACACACACAAATACACATATATGTATGTGTATATACACCTTCCCCATTATAAGAAACATGTTTTCTCTTATCAGCACTTGGATTTATTTCATTTGTCAAGCTCTTACTCAGTGGAAATTCCATGGAGAATTGTGCTTATTTTTGAACCGCCTGTCCAAAGCCATTGGGAAAATGTGAACAAACAAATCCCCAATTGGCTTGTAGCACATTTATTGTATTTGTAAACATGTTGATTTATTCCAGACTCTTGTGAGAGGGCCTGGAAAAAAATTGTCTCTATTTTTAACTGAGAAAACAAATTTTACTTCCATTAGAACACAGACTTTACATGCGTAATTCCAATAGATGTTACAGACTCTCTGTACGCTCAAGATAATAGAAGGATTAAATGCAATGAAATTATACATGAGAAATATAAAATACAGGAAAAAGAATGTCTTGATCTATTCTTCACCTCCTATGGCATTGTCTTTCCCCTAACTTCTTGCTTTTCTTCTTTCCTCCTGATTTTTTATCAGCAAAAGATAGAACCCCTATTCATAACGAGTAATTTCTCTCTTCCTAGGCTTTGTCAACACCCTCACACTCATGTTTGAGGAATTTTCTCAATAGCATGCCTTCTCATATTATTTTAGAAAGGCTTCTGGATTCCCCCTATGGGAAAACAAAAAGCAAAAACAGTCAAGTGCTTGAAATTGATTAGCTCAACCAGATGTACTTTTTCATTCCATTACTGTCCCTACCATCCACGTCACTTTGGAGGCTAGAAAATGTAGATTCCTATGTGCATAACTTAAAGAGTGAGCCAAAAATAAAGTAGAAATCTCTTTTTTTAGTACTTTTTTTTTTTAAATTGATGAACAGGCTTGAGATTATCTGAAGTTGGAGGGGATTATATAGGGAGTAGGAAAAAGAAATGCAGGGTCCCATAAGAAATAATTCTTAGTTGCAGAATAGAACTATAGTTTTCCATCTCTGAATTGCTATCCATGGAGAAGAGGCCCCCAGCTGAGAGACTGCAAGTAGCTTCCTTACTTCCTATCTCCCACTAAGAAGTTATGCTTCAGAAATATCTAGCATGACTAAGATTGCTCTTCTCCTGGGCCTTATTTTATATTAAAAATCTCCTCTGGCTCTGACTTTTCTACTTTAGCAGTACCTAGCACTTCCTCAGATAAGGACGGGAAATTTAGGAGTTTACAGAGTAGCCATAAGGATCCCATGCACATTTACGCTGATAAGAATCTAAAAACAAGGTACAGGCAGCATGCATAGCTACAGCATCAAGCTTTAGTAGCAACTTCATGGACTGACAGGGTTAAAGAGAATGAAAATGGAGAGGATTAGGAAATGCCCTCACACTCCACAGTTGACCTTTATCATAGTGGCTGTTATAGCAGATGGATTTATGAAGTCTATCAAATGGCATATTTTTCATGAGCCGTGTATAACATTTCAATAGAGTATGTTGAAAAACAAGATATCCCCTGACATCTGAGAGGCTCAGAATATCAAGAGGACTGGAATTCAGCAATGTTGACTTTTGCAACAAAATGTGTCCGGCTGTGATTGCAGATGTTCTTTGGTTTCTGGTTGAAGCTAGGATGCCTTGAAGTGTGCAAAACAATGAAGAAATGAAATTAGAAAATGTGTTTCAAAGCTAACCAGTGATTATGTCTCAGTGGACTGGGTTGAGGCAAAAGTTTAGGGCTGGGTATACAGTAGTTGAATCAATTTGGTTCCCAGTAAACAATACCAGATAAAAATACCTCTGTAAGCTATTTCTCTCTGTATCTCTCTCTCTCTGTCTCCTCCTGCTCCTTTCTCCTCTCCATTCACTCTCAAACATTTCTCTTTGGGTCTTTCTCTTTACCCACTCATTAGATTATACCTTTTGAATTCCAACTCCCAGATCCTACTATGACACATGCATTTTTTCCCCTCTGAGCAAAAGTGAATTCTACTGGTAGAAATTGCATTTTACTCATGCATATGAGCAAAACTGCCACAGCATTAAAGGACAGGGCAGTAGATGGATTTTTCCCCACACATGTCAAACTTTTCAATCATGCAACTCTAATCACCATTCCTTTGGCATGTTCACACTATTTTCTCCTTTGTTAATTCTTCAGCCATTAAGCAGCTACAAGTGATGAAGTCAAAAGCCCTTCACTCTAATCATCCAGAGTCATACGAATCAACATGATTTTCCACTGACCTTGAAAACCATGAATATTAGGGAGACTAATGTTGAAATAAACACTGAAAAAAAAAACACAGAAATTATGCAGTCCAATTTGCATGTAAACCTCTGGATTTCAGCACCTGTACTGTATAAGACACTTTGAGCCTAGACATGCAGCTGAGGTCAGGGGTCATGGGGCAGCTGAGAATAGGTTGTTACAGGTAAGCCTCCAGAAGGAAAGGAAAAATCAGCATTTACTGAGAGTGTACCATGCCCTAGGCACTTTGTCATGCCATATTTACTCTCCTATGAATTCTGTCATGTAGGCAGGTGAAAATTATTCAGATTTTGTAGGTGAGGAAGGTGAAATTTTAACAGATGGAGTAATTTTCCCAGGGTCACACAGCTAGTGTATGACCAACTAGGAATCTGAACCAAAGATTCCAAAGCTCAGTCTCTTTTATGCCACTTTTGCTCTCTTAAGCATTTTTAGGGTTCAGGAGCCCTTCCTAAGCCAATGTGGGTAAGTCAGTGGACACATGTCTTGGGGTACAATGGTAGTGCTGGAGGGAGGTGTGTATATGAGTGCATGGTGTTACACCCTCTATCTTCCTCCCACAACTACTGATAACCTACCTTCCTAGTACCTACCCTGCTAAAAGAGCAGAGAACTGGAGTGGGAATATTCTAGCCCAGCAGGAAGGCAGGAACTAGGAGGCAAAGTGAGGATCAAGGCAACACCAGGATCAGAGCAGAGTGAGGAATGAGGCCCAATGTAGAAACAAACTAGGATCTCCAGAGCTAGCAGACCCACACTGCTCTTCTCTTTCCTTCCAGAACTTGATGGGCGATAGTTGGTGGGGTATATTTCATTCCTCTCCTAGGTTGACAAACCCTGGAGTGGCTGAATAACAACATGATCCCAAGAACAAAGGGCTGGAAGGGCCTAGATAAAGACTGGAATTTGGGGTGAGGACTTGAGCACACCATAAGCTATAAAGAGATTCTGCCCATTGTCTTCAAGGATGAGATTGGCAATTTCTGATATTTATTTATTTATTTATTTATTTATTTATTTATTTATTTATTTGACAGAGTCTTGCTCTGTCTCCCACGCTGGACTGGACTGCAGTGGTGTGATCATGGCTCACTGCAAACTCCGGCTCCTGGGCTCAAACTATTCTCCTGCCTCAGCATCCCCAGTAGCTGAGACAGCAGGTGTGCGCCACCATGCCTGGCTAATTTTTATTTATTTATTTTGTGTGTGTGTGTGTAGAGATGAGGTCTCACCATGTTGCCCAGGCTGGTCTTGAACTCCTGAGCTCAAGTGATCCCCCCACCTCGGCCTCCCAAATGCTGGGATTACAGGCTTGAGCAACCGCACTCGGCCTGCAACTTCTGTTCTTTAGAGTTTATTCACACTCTCAAATCATGCCACCCTTTAGGGTATTACAGTTTATAACTGCTACTTTTCCTAATTATAAACATATAAAACTGGCTTATTTTAATAACTAGTAGTAGATGGGAAATTGGTGATTCAATAAAAAATACACACATATTCATATATAAAGCTGACAATAGATCTGAAACAGTAAACCAAAATATGTTTTCTTCTCCCTAGTTCATGAAACTCTGCCCACTGAACCCATTGAACCAGGAGAGCTGATTCCTTCAGAAGGAGGCACACATGCCTAGAATAAAGATCTCATTGCTGCATTTTGGGTTTGCAAAGTGGATGTGTCTCAATCTTCAGAGATGGTCTCGTTTTGCACGCAAGGTATTGACAGCAAAAGAAAAGGCTTTCTAAGTCCATAACATTTTTCTTGATAAACCAAAGTAAAACCTGGAAGTACAATCCTGGCATTTTGCTGTAAGCAATTAAAGAAGCACAGAAGTTAACATATAAAGAAAGTCCTCAAGAGACATAAAGGTGAAATAAGTTATTTGATATTGGAAGGATGAACTAAAGATGAGAAGAGGGAGAGGAAAAGCCAGGCAGTTGACATGAAGGGTGGGTTAAGTTCTTTAAGCTGAGAACCTCAAAGAGAAGGAGAGAAACTCCTGAAGTCTAGGCAGAGGAATCCAAGTAGAGAGTATTAGTGGCATCCCTTGCCTAGGCAAAGAAACATCTCCTGAGAAATACTTTTAGGGAAATCTCCCAAACAGCTACCCCTCTGACTCTCCCGTAAACTCTACACTCACTTGATGTGAGAGCCAGTAGTTCCTCCCTAGAAGACAGCTGGAGACAGTGTTTGGCATGCCTTTCTTTCAGATGGGGAGTGAAATTACTCCATATTGGAGGACTGCAAACTGGGGTGCCCAAAACAAGAGACCAATGGAAAGAAGAGTCGAAATCTATGAGCAACAGGACCAGCGAAGCCAAGATGGGGATCCCTTTCATTCAGAGAACTGTCCCTGAGCTATGCCAGCTGCAGGTGCTTCAGCAGGGCAAAGAGAAAGACAGAGAAAAAAGGCACCTCGCTACACAGGTCACACTCTCACATGCACAAACATTGAAAGGCTTCTCCTGAACCCAGACACTATTTTATGATGAGGATGGGAAGCAGCGTTTGAGATGGAGTGGAGGAGGACTCTAACCTGATGAAGATTGAATTCTGAATTGACTGAATATTTACCCAAAATATAAGATCGGAAGAGACTGTTATCCTGACTGGCAAGTTGAAGCTTGAGCTTTTCTGCCTGCCCCCATCAGCAGAGGAAATAGAGGTTTTGACAATAATATGAAGCAACACAAACAATAATGCAAGTTCATTGTTTCTTCATGCACCTATAATGCAGTGTGAAATACTTTGTCATATGTTTATTTTTTGGCCTGGAAGTCTGTGGCTATTGCAACGAGCTTTCTTTTTGCTTTTGGGTATTTGTTTTTTGTTTTGTAAATTCATTCAACAGACTGAATCCTGAGCCAAAGAGAATCACAGAATCATGACACTTACTCAGATGACTGACAAACCTACCCTAGTTTTCTATTCTGCTTGGATTATTTCCATGAATTTCCCACCAGTTGATTTTCATGTAAATGCATCTACCAACTTTACACAAATGTGTAGCAGTCATTTTTTTAAGTCTAGTTGTACACATGTTTGATGGTTCACAGCTGCAACAAGATGTATATGCTGACAGCTCCATGCAAAAACACTTAAAGTATCCAATTAGATTCCAGTTTTCCCAAGAGACCAAGCTGGGTTTTTGAAGTTGGCACATAGGGACAGCCTATGCTGGTATGTCCATCGCCACTAGGAAGATTTGTGAAAGCTACAGCCTTTCCATGTCATCGGCCATGCATCTATCCATATAATATGTGAAAAGTGTTAATTACCATGTGTAAATCTACATGACTGACTCAGTAATAATATTAATAATAATTGACATTCAGATAGAATTACCAACATGCAGATTATATTTTTAAATTAATCTGCATAAGTGCTAATGTGGGAAGAATATGTTGGTTTCAAGATGGTCCCCTTGACACGCAACTTGTTTCTCCTTGGCAATAAACCATTGGAACTTTGGGCACTATGAAGTATTTTGATTTACATGAGCACACAACAGTGTAGAAGAAGAATCCGATCCTGTCATGTGATGCATTCCAAACTCTGCATGTAGAATTTCTGGATGACCACAGAGGTTATCCCAAATGATACTCATAATATGTAGTCCTTAGAAAATACAGGACATTGCTCTAAGCACCTTACATGTAGTAATCATACCTACTAATTCCAAGGTCATTGCCAATTGTAGGTTTTGTGATGACACAGCAATACAGCCTTGCCTATGAATAAGTCACTTACGTGCAATAAGCTCTCAAAACATTCTGAGACTATTTAGTTGTCCGTGGTTGTGTTTATTTCAGTACAGAATGACAAGGTCAAAAAATTCTAACAGTTCTCTTCATTTCAGACATATTTATTCAGCATCTATGAAATAATTACTACGTGGAACAGCTACATGCTGCCAATTAGTATGAAGGATTTGCTTTCTCTCTGCCTTAACTACTTTGGCAACGTGACTGAACTGACCAACTATTTCCCCATTAGCAGGCAGATCCTGAATCTCACCTGACTTACTACACTTCTGAGGGACTTGAGAGCCTGGGATATGAAAAATCCATTGTCATGAAAAGACCTATCAAAGGACAGATTGATAAGAAGAAAAAAAAAGCCAGGCTCATTAACAGGAAAAAGAGTGCAATCATTTTCTTAAAATTAGATTACTGAGTTTAACTATTTGACACATATTTATTCCAATTAATTTCAATTAGGAAAAACAAGTGTAAATGGATGCGCAGACATAAAGTTACGAGGCAGCTTGACTGAGATCATTAGACACGATATTCATGTGTAACTATTAGTATAGCTAGTAGGTGGTGAATCATTCCTTCTCAACAGTCACTTCTGTTTGCTGGAAGTCATGGTATGGCACTCCTAAAATTAAGTATGTCATTAAGGATTCTAATCAATCTTGACATGCATATGGCTTTTTTTTTTGTTAAGAAAATTAATAATGCACAAGAGCCACAGAAAGTAACTAAGGCATTCTTGTCTTCCTCTCTTTCAACTCCTCTCAGAATGCTGCACACAAAGGAAAGGCAAGAACGGGCCAATGATTTTGAAGCAGGTCTTGGTAGTGAATATTCAAGGTAGACTCTCTGGAGGATCACCACGTCATAGCACATTTATCCTGGAACCTGAGATCTGTTGCTAGTGTTGCAAATGAAAGAATTATGATAGTCATGTTAGCAAACCTCACTTTCTCTGAGGGTTCCAGACATGTAGGCTATGAAGAACCATCAACAAGGAAACCAGACATGGAGCACCTTTATCCAGAAAGAGTTTATCAAGAAAAGGTGATCATCACAAACCTGAAGCTCAGGCTTAAGACCCCTGAGAGTCGGGGAGATGTTTCAAGGGATTCTGGAGAACATATCTATTTTTATCATCATACTGAGATGTCACTGGCCTTTTTTACCTTGCTAACAATTGCACTGATGGTGCACAAGCAACAGGCAAGACTGCTGGCATGTTAGACTTGATCAAGGCAGTGACCTCACACTGTACAACTACTTATTCATCTTTTACCATGACATGGTGAGCAAACAAAGTGAGGGTAAAAGCTGGTTTGTTAGTGGTAAATGAAATGCCTTGGAGAATGTGTTTTGTAGGAGGTAAATTATGAGGATAATTGCATTATTTTTAAATAGTTTTCTCAGACATCAGTGAAATGGGAAAATGGCTATGTGATAACACAGAATAGCCCTTATGAAAACAACAGTTGGCCGGGCATGGTGGCTTCTGCCTGTAATCCCAGCACTTTGGGAGGCCAAGGCAGAGGGATCGCTTGAGCTCAGGAGTTTGAGACCAGCCTGGGCAACACAGTAGGACCCCATCTCTACAAAAAAAAAAAATTAAAAAATTAGCCAGGCCTGGTGGTGCACACTTGTGGTCCTAGCCACTTGGCAGGCTGAGGTGGGAGAATCGCTTGAGTCTGAGAGGTTGAGGCTGCAGTGAGCTGTGATCACACCACTGTGCTCCAGCCTAGGCAATAAAGAGAGACCCTGTCTCAAAATAAATGAATAAATAAAATAAAATAAAATAAAAACAATAGTTATGCTTATTATCTGCTGTGTGCAAAGTGTTCCATATATATGATTTTCAACTTTTACAACAATTTTGAGATGTTTTTATTCCCAGTTCACAGAAAAGTGAACCGAGGCTCAGAGGAAAGTGAAGGAATCCCCCATTATCATTGCCACATCCTTGTTAGTAGAACCTAAAGCTCTCCCATCTCTGTCAGGCTGTGAAGACATACAAGTTGGTGCTTCATCATGGAAAGCCACGCTGGTACAATCTGGGAAATCAGGTCTTGGGCAGATGTAAAGTGATAACACCTGGGATAGAAAATTGTCCATAATCAAAGCATTTATACAAATTTCTAACCCACATTGTGCCAAACAAGCTTTAAGATGGAAATGCTGCTGGGCCATGAGCACTGAGAATCACCTCTACACGTTAAGCTATTTCCCCTATGCAAACTGGATTGATTAAGAGCAATTATAGAACACTTGCTTTTAAGAGTTAGGTTGTTATTTAATCACTTTTCATTTTAACCACTATTTCTCTCTCTCTCTATCTCGAACTGCTTTAATTTATAATTGCTAATGTTGCCTCTGTTATATGTTTCAATGAGCTTTTCAAGGTGTGTTTTAGTAGAACAGAATTGAAAGATTGTGTCAATTTGCTTTTATTTTCAATTCGCTATTTTGCTATTACAGAAACAAAGACAGCTGCATTCTCTATGGGGTTTATACACTAAACTGTACCTTTATTTTCTCCATCGTTTGATTACATGACACATATTTCTTTATTTTTATTTAACAAAGATCTTTAAAGTGTTGAATATTTCAAAGGGTGGCATAACTAATTAGGAAAGGCACAAAATCCTCAAAGAGGTATTGGGTCTCATTGAACAGACAGACATTCACCAAACTACAATCAAAAGAATAAATTCAAGTCAACCAATCAAAACCAAAAACAAATAACAAAACAGGAAGCTCTGAGGATCTAATTTTGGCTCATATAGAAGTAGCCAGTATTAAGTTTCCTCCTAAGTTGAGAAGTTTTGCTTCATTCTGGTATCTAGAGAAGTGATTGGAGAGGAAGACAATGTTTAGCTAAATTGTAGCTGAGGATAGGGAGTACAGTGGAGTTGTGAGTTAAGTAGATCTTGATGTTTGTAATCTCCTCTTGGAGGGTCACTTGAACATGCTGCTTGCTATAGTGCAGTGCAGTGAATGGCAACGTTGTACATCAGACCCCTGGGAGTTGGGGAGATATTTTAAGGGATACTGGAGAACACATCTATTTTCATCATAATACTGAGATGTCACTGGCTTCTTTTTACCTTGCTAACAATTGCACTGGTGGTGCACAAGCAACAGGAAAGACGGCTGGCATGTTAGACCTGATCGAGGCAGTGATCCCACATGGTACTACTACTTATTCATCACCACCATGCGGTTGCAGTCAAGGGATGCTAGTTTCACATAAAAAATTTTGATTTTCTTAACCACCTCCAGAATACATGTCTTTTTAATATTCTGCATGATGAGATGGGAAGTACACAGAAAGCTCTCCTGCTATACAATGAAGCTAGATGTTGTCTCCAGGAAAAGAACACGTTCCACTATTTCAGTGGTGATGTGAAATAGTAGCTACCACTTATATTTCAAAGACTAACAGTCAATCTATGGAAATTCAGACTTGGCTATTTGGCAGACATTTTTTGAAGCACGAACAAAGTGAGCCTTTCACTTCATGGAAAACAACTGACAGTATTTGCTGTTGAGGATATGATTCAAGATTTCAAGAAAAAATAAAAAAATAGAAATCTTACATCTGATGCCAGGAGCTTGATGACCTCCCAACACTTAAATTCTTCCCTAATCAAATGAGTGGTGCTATCAATAAATGTGAATTTTTTTATCTTGTATAATGAAATGTATGAATATTTGCAAGTCATGCATAACTTAGTAAACCAATATTTTTCCAAAATCTTGCATGGGTCAAATATGCATGCTAAATGTAAGATAAAACAATGGGTTTTAACGTTACAAAGGACAGAAAGGTTTTTGATATGGGTTCCAATTACACTTTTTAATGAACCTTTAAGAAACTATCCGTGTTGAGTTTTGGTATAGTATTAAAGAAGAATATCCACAATTATCTAATTATCTTTTTCAAACTATATCTCTGCGAGAGGACAGATTTTCTTCATACACACAAATTAAAACAATATATTGCAAGATATTGAGTACATCGGCTGATATGGGGATCCAGCTTTCTATTACTGAAATCAGACATTGAAAAGATTTTCAAAAACATAGAATATTCTGTATCTCACAATTTTTTTTTGCTTTGGGAAATATAGTTATTTTTAATAAACCTGTTTTTATGTTAACCTGAAATAAGATTATTATGCCTTTTAAATAAATTCATAAACATTGTTAAATTTCTCAGTTTTAACATCTAATTTGGTAAACATCAATAGACATAACCCACCTAAGTAAAATCTCTGTGAGGTCCTCAATAATTTTTTTTTATTATTATACTTTAAGTTTTAGGGTACATGTGCACAACGTGCAGGTTTGTTACATATGTACACATGTGCCATGTTGGTGTGCTGCACCAATTAACTCGTCATTTACATTAGGTATATCTCCTAATGCTATCCCTCCCCCCGCCCCCCACCCCACAACAGTCCCCGGGGTGTGATGTTCCCCTTCCTGTGTCCAAGTGTTCATGTCCTTTATAGGGACATGGATGAAGCTGGTCCTCAATAATTTTTAAGATGGAAAAGAAGTCCTAAGACCAAACCATTTAAGAACCACCATTCTAGAAACGTATTCATTTCTGCACACAGGAATATGTTATGCTTTTATATGTTCAGAAGTGGGCAGACAGGGTTGTTAACCATTGGGGCATTACTTGATCATTTATGTCAAGACTACTAACTTTAGCCTTGAGGAGGAGCTTTTATAAATAAAGGATTCCATTCATCTTCTCTCATCTCCTAAATCACTTTCCTCAAAATATCAGCCCCTCCATCTAATTTCTTGGTCACAATCCCAACAAACTCTATGATCAGCTGCTTTCATTCTCTCCTCCTAATGCACATGTTTTTCCATCTACTGAATGATTTAATCTGCTTATGTATCTGTGTCTCTGCATGGGTGCATATGACAAGCTGATGCTCACATGGCCTCCAATGGTTCTGCCTCCTGATAACCCACACCCTGTGTAATCCCTTCCCTTCTGTGTGGCTCGCTTAGTAACCTGCTTCTAACTAATAGAATACTACAAACGTGATGGTGTATCTATTTCATCATTAGGTTACACAACATCTAACTCCTGCCTTGCTTTCAGATCTTCTTGCCATCTCAACTTTCACACTCGGTGGATACAATCTGCTATGCTGGAGCTGACCATGTGATAACAAACTAAGGGAGACTTCTCCAAATAGCTGAGAAGGAACTGGATCTGCCAACAACCACATTAGCTTAGAGGCAACTCCTTCCTCACCCAAACTTTCAGGTAGGACCCCAGCCCTGGCTTACACCTTGTCTGTAGCTTTGTGGAAGACCTTGAAACAGAAGATCCAATCAAGCCACCCCTAGATTCCTAACATATAGTAACTGTAAAGTA
Source organism: Homo sapiens (assembly GCF_000001405.40). Classification (NCBI taxonomy): domain Eukaryota; kingdom Metazoa; phylum Chordata; class Mammalia; order Primates; family Hominidae; genus Homo; species Homo sapiens. Next base: position 7,379,881 of record NC_000023.11, on the reverse strand, counting down.
ATAAATATGTGCTATTTTAATCCCCTAAGTTTGTGGCATTTTGTTATGTGTCAATATGCAATTAATACAGTTGAGTATGTGGGGGTATTTATTCCTCTATATACATCAGTGTGCCTTGATGTAACACAAACGAAAGTTCACCTATCATGTTTAACTCTACCTGATGTCTTCAAATTGCTTCTCATCTAAAGATAACAATGCTTCAGACATAGCAAAAGCTTAATAAACATTCAGCAAATTATTACGGAACATACTCAGTTTACTTGACAAAAACACATAAGGCACTGTGAGATTCTGCATAGGAATGTCAAGGTGATTAGGGTATGTTTTCTGAGTTCATGTAATTTATTATTGATAATAGGAGACATATTTGTAAATAAGTTCCTATAATAAAATACTGCACAATTGTCAGAGGACATTAACAAGTACAAGGTTAGGGTAATACCCCGAAGGACGCAACTAAGTGAAAATCACTTTACAGAGATAGAGTTTATATTCTGAGAAATTACTGCACTTTTGTGGTAGGCAAAATGCCCTCCCCACTCTCCACCTCAATAATGTCCACACTCTAATACCTGGAACTTACAAATATGTGAAGTTGTATAACAATTACATTTGCAGATGGATTTAAGTTTACAGAGTTTAAGAGATGGACATAATCCTGAATTATCCCAGTGAACCTAATCTAGTCACATGCACCCTAAAAAGTGAGGAAATTTCTCCAGTCGGAGAGGAAGACGTGGTAGAAGGAATTGTCAGAGAGAGATTCCAAGCATGGGAAAGACTCAATGCACTGTTGCTGGTTTGGAAATGCAGGAGGCACCATGATAAGGAACGCAGGTAGCCAGGAGGAGCTGAGAATGGCTCCTGGCTGACAGCCAATCAGGAAAGGGGGACCTCAGTTCGACAGCTGAATCTTCCAACTACCTGAGTAAGCTGGAAAGTGGGCTCTCCTCAGAGTCTCCCTATAAGAGGTCAGGCCACTGACCACCTTGATTCCAGCCATCTGAGAGATTCCAGCAGAGAAACAAGCCAAGCTCACCTCAACTCCTGACCTATATAACTGTGAGATAATAAAGGTGTGATGTTTTAAGCTGCTACATTTGTGGTATTTTGTTATGGCACCCACAGAAAACTAATACAGACTTCAGTAGAGGGGAAGGAAGAAAGGTCATACCAGACAGCAGGATCTGCTAACATGAGCCAAGATAGATGGCCACAAACAAAAAGAGGAAATGGCAAGTTATCTGATACAGCCAGCGCTTAAGAAACACAGAGAGAAGAGCCAATGGAGACAGAAAAGATAAGGTCGAAGAATGAGTGTCGTGAAAGATAGTTCTTGCATTTGTCTGTAGAACAGATTAGCATGAGCAGGAAGCTGCAGGAAGAATGATCAGTCAGAAATAATATAGATCAGATATGATAAGACCCTGAACTAAGAGACTGCCATTTGGAATCAATAAAAGTTTACAAGTTCAAGAGATATTCCTAAAGTGGAATCAACATAACTCGATACAAATTGAATGAAACGTTGAGAAAGAAACAAAAGGTGACTTCCACATTTTGGGGCCAAATGAATTGAAAGATGGTAATACAATGAACCAAAAGAAAGGGTACAACTGTATCTGTTTTTCCTCCCTCAGGGAAAGGGGAAGTTGATTCATTTTGTTTGGAATGTGTTGAGTTTAAGTGTCTAGCAAGGAATTTATAATACTGAGGGAAATTCTAGGTAAAGGTGGAAACTAGTGGAGGGGAAGGAACTGGAAGTCATTTTTATGAAAATATTTACAACCAGGAGTAAGTATAAACTCAGGGGAGACACAGGTCAAAGGAGAAATCCCTACACTTAATATAAAGGCAGCAAGAATAGGATAATGGAGAAATAGTGGGGAAACAGATAATTCATCAAAGGAAAATGAATGATCTAATGAGATAAGAAGAGAACTTGGAATGTATAGTGTCTTAGACCCAACAAGGAAGACTGATCCACTACTGGGTATCTGCCCAAAGGAAAACAAATCATTTTATAAAAAAGACACCTGTGCACACATGTTTATTGCAACACTATTGACACTAGCAAAGTCATGGAATCAACCTAAGGGTCCATCAGTGGTGGCTTGATTAAAGAAAACATGGTACATATACATCAGGGAATACTATGCAGCCATAAAAAAGAATGAATCATATTCTTTGCAGCAACATGAATGCAGATGGAGGTCATTATTCTAAGTGAATTAATGCAGAAACAGAAAGTCAAATATCACTTGTTCTCAGTTAGCAGTGGGAGCTAAACCATGGGTACATATGGACATAAAAATGGCAACAACTGACACTGGGGACCCCAAAAGGGGGACAAGGGCTGAAAATGATCTATTGGTTACTATGTTCACTATTTGGGTGATGGGTTCAATAGAAGTCTAAACCCCAGCACCACAAAATAACCCCATGTAACAAATCTTCATATGTACCACCTAAATCTAAAAAACTTCTTAAAAGGGGGGACATGGAAGAAAGAAGCATTGGTTAGCAGTGTCAAATAGCACTGAGCATTCCATTAGAATGAACGTGAAAAGAGGTCACTCGAGTAGGCAACTACTTGGAAAGAAGAGCTCTAAATGGACAACTGTATGAGAGGGGATGTTCCATGGTTGAAGGGCGAGCTGGATAGGTAGAAGTAAAATCAATGGCATGCACTACTGTGTTATGATGTGGCAAAGGCTTGAATGCAACCAAGAATGTGATGAAGCATTAGTGTATCAGGGAAGGAGGGTCAAAGAAAATCTTCCTAAGAAGACGGACACAGGGTGGGAGGGGATGGTGGAGAGGAAAGGGCTGATGTTACAAAAGAAAATTCCAGATGGAAAAAGTTCCTAGAGAGAGGACAGTGGATGAGTTCAAGAGTTTGAGAGCCCAGCACAACAGGTGAGACTTGCAAAAAAAGTCTGCTGAGACAGAAATAAATGGCCAGGGGCAGTGACTCATACCTGTAATCCTAACACTCTGGAAGGCCAAGGTGGGAGAATTACTTGAGCTCAGGGGTTCAAGACCAGTCTGGGCAACATAGTGAAACCTTGTCTCTACTGAAAGTCGGAAAAATTAGCTGGGTGTAGTGGTGCATGCCTGTAGTCCCGGCTACTTGGGCTACTGAAGTGGGAGCATTACTTGAGCACAGGAGGTTGAGGCTGCAGTGAGCTATGACTGCACCATTGCACTCCAGCCTGGGTGACAGAGTGAGACCTTGTCTCAAAAACAAACAAACAAACAAACAAACAAAACAACAAAGAAATAAAATAAAACATAATGACATGGATAATATTTGAGTTGACAGGTAGAAAACCTGAAAATGGGTTAGCCAAGGGAATTCCATGTTCTTAATCAAGTAAGAGTCCAGAGAGAGGGATGGTGTAAAGCACTAGAAACTCAAAAACAGTGAACACGGTATGAACAGCTGCCATGTGGAATAGAATACGACATGCATTATGGATGAAAAGACCATCTGAGGATGGGCTAAGGATGCTTGTGATGGCAACAGAGACCTGTCTGGAGTGGCCACTGCCATGATGCCGGCTGTGGTGGGGGAGACGTGGCCAGAGCTGTTCACTCCATGGAGCCAGTGGGAGCTGGGAACAGGCGGGAGCCCCACCCCCTTCTGAGTTAGAGGGGTGGAGCCCCACCCTCACAGGCACAGATGCAGCCACCCAGCCATGGCTGCAGACCTGGGCATCCCTGTGCTCTTGGGGACTGGTGTACTAGTCCGTTTTCATGCTGCTGATAAAGACATACCTGAGACTGGGTAATTTATACAGGAAAAAGGGTTTAATGGACTTATGGTTCCACGTGGTTGAGGAGGCCTCACAATTATAGCAGAAGGCAAGGAGGAGCAAGTCACATCTTACATGAATGGTAGCAGGCAAAGAGAGCTTGTTCAGGGAAACTTCCATTTTTAAAACCATCAGATCTTGTGAGACTCATTCACTATCAAGAGAACAGTGCAGGGAAGACCTGTCCCCATAATTCAATTACTTCCCACAGTGTTCCTCCCATGACATGTGGGAATTGTGGGAGTTACCATTCAAGATAAGATTTGGGTGGCGACACAGGCAAACCATATCAGCTGGGAAGCTCCCCTCCCTCCACAGGCTCAGAAGTGCCTTCTCCAACTGCCTGGCCTCTCCCCACTCCCAGTATCCAGTCTGATTTTGCAGCAAAGTTGAGGTCAAGCCCAGATGCTGTCACGATTCACCTGGGTGTGTGTGTGCTTGAGGCAGCACTGACACACCAGCCTCCTGCTGCCTCAGCCCCCTCTGGGCTTTAGGCACTGATGACCACAGGAGGGAGGCCAAGGAGTGGGGCTGAGGGCAGCTCTGTGTGGGCCTGCAGGTTCCCCTTGGCGTAAACAGTCTGGGTGCCATGGGCACTATGGATGACAGGTCGATGACAGCAGGAGGCAGACAGGCTTCTGGGTGGAAAGGGGTGGGTCACTGGTGAGGCCTTACCTTCAAGCCAGGGATGACCTGAGGCCAGGCTGTCAGTTCCACAGACCACAGTGAGAACTAATGTTGCTTTTCCTTGGCCTGGCCATGGCCGCCCACGGACCAATCAGCAGGCACTTCCTCCCCTCTGAAGCCCATAAAAACCCCGGACTCAGCCAGATTCGGGCAGATGAAGGCATGACCTGCCTGTGGATAGGAGCTACCCATTCTGGGTTTCCTCTCCACTGAGGGCTGCACAGATGTCAGGATGACTTGCCTGTGGATAGGGGCTACCCACTCCAGGTCTCTTCTCCACTGAGGGCTGCACAGACATTGGGGTGACCTGTCTGTGGAGGGGAGCTACCCACTGCAGGTCTCCTCTCCACTGAGGGCTGCATAGACATTTAGATGACCTGCCTGTGGAAAGGAGCTACCCATTTTGGGTCTCCTGAGAACTGTTCTGCCACTCAATGAAGCTCCTCTCTGCCTTGCTCACCCTCCAGTTGTCTGTGTACCTCATTCTTCCTGGAGACGAGACAAAAACTTGAGACCCACTGAATAACAGCACTAAAAGAGCTGTAACACAAACAGGGCTGAAACATGCACCTCCGCTCACAACGGTGCAGATGACGAGAAGAAGAGAAGAGCTGCTTCCCTTTTGGGAGCCCAGACCCAGGGGCTCTCAGAGCCAGGGCTGTGACACCCTCTTTGGGATTCTGCAGTTCCTGGCATCTCCAAGCTTCAGGACACCACCACGTTTCCCTTGTCCAGATGGGAGTGCCCACAGCAGAAGCTGTGTGCAGTACATCTTGTCCAGCCACAGCCTGGCATGGAGCTGGCACCTGTGTTGGCACCTGGAGCTGCCTGACCCACTGCAACAGCCAGCATGCCTAGCTGCATGCAGTGGCTGGACCCCATGCTCGCTCACCTACACACCCCTTGCCACTCCGCACCTGACTTGCACTTGGCGAGTATGAGATCTGGGCTGGTAGTGCAAGCCAAGCACAACCTGCCAGGCCAAGTGGGTGAAATGAGCCCAGCAGGTGCAAGAAATACCCAGGCAGAAGGCGTCACTGGCCAGAGAGGTTTCTGGCTGGTGAAGCAACACTCCAAGGATTCCATGACACTTGAATAGGTGGATGACCAATGAATGTTGAAAAATGAGTGTTAGGCATACATTACAGATACTGCAAACACTTTTACATATGTGTGTGTATTCATTATATTACAGTATGACCCTCCAAAGTGACAAGTGTCCATATGTCCATATTACAGAAGAGAAACTGCGCAAAAAATCGCAAAACTGGCAGCCATGGAATTTTTAACTTTTTTCATGTATATTTTTAGAAACAGGGTCTTGCTTTGTCACCCAGGCTGTAGTGCAGCGGTGCAATCCTAGCTCACTGCAGGCTTGAACTCCTGGCCTCAAGTAATCCTCCCACCTTGGCCTCCCAAAGTGCTAGATTACAGGTATGTGCCACTGCATCCAGCCCAGACTTGGAGTTTTAAATGTAGGTTTGTCAAGCTTCAAGGACTATGTTCTCTGCCTCACTGTGAGACCAGAGGGTGGGGGAGATCTTGCCCAGGGAAGGAAGACTTGGAGAAGTATGAGGGTAAGAATGTGAGTGAGGCTTTGGCCCCTGGTACTCACAGGAGTGAGTTCTGCTCTGACCTTTTACTCTTCTTCTTTCACTCAACTCATTCAGACCTACTCCTGGTCCAGTTACAGTCTATTGAGCAATTTTCCTTGGTCACTTAATACTGTTCCTTACATTATTGTTGTAATTGTTGTCATCATTATTGTTCCCTCATATGCACAGCTTTCTCTTTTTTTTCCCTCTAGATCCACCCTCTCTTCAGGAATATCCAATAGCAGTCATCAATTGAATTAACTGAAATCCTGGATTGGGATCCACTTACATTTTAATGTACTGTCAGTCCAATGGCTGTTGCAGGACAGCTGAGAACCTTATATTATAAATAAACCAACTAACACATAAAATACATCCGGTACAGAATTCACATTTCCTTCAGTAAAACATATAACTTAACTCTTCCACGTGAATCTCTGATGTGTCACACAATATAGAGGCTGAGGGTGTGGCATCTGAGTCACACTGAAGAATGTGCCTTTCCTAGCCTCATTTTCCACATTTTAAAATGTAGCTAAAATACCTAATAATGCCCTTTGATAAATAACAGAGTCAATATCCATAAAGTTTTTAGAATATGGTCGGGTACCTAGTAAACAGTCAGTGCATATTAGCTAATTTTTGTGTAAAGTGAGACTGTTGTTGTTTTTCTTGTGAAATCAGATACTCTCTTGAGGAAACCCAAGTTGGGCAAGAAGTGCACGTTTTTATGAGACATCATGGAAACGTCAGGAAATCCAGAGAAAGGAAACCAGAAACAACCTAGCACCCAAGGAACTAGAAATGAAGCCGTATCTTTGCAGAATCACAATGTTTCGGTTTTCACTCTCCCAGACATGTGACTGACTCCATTTCTGAAGTTCCCAATTTCAAACTGCTGGCAAGAAATTGGACTGGCCCAGCTCCTGCATTCACAGCAAATCCCACAGGCCATAAACATCTTAGCAGCCTGTACATGTATCCATTATCTAATCCTATTCCAAGCTTCTCGTCACCTCATTCAGAAGTGAATGTAGCTTCTGAATAGGGGCTTTGACAGGGGTCATTCTAGAAAAGTTCTAGGTAGAGTCATTACCTTGAAATACATCTAGTGCAAGCTGCCAAGCATGAAATTTATAGCACCTCCACTTTCTGTTCTGCCATCATTTCTTTGATGGTAGAGCATTTTATACAGTGCCTCAGAGTAAATAAGGAGGAAGGAGGAAAAGCCGTCTTTCCTCTGAGATATATTGGTTGGTTTAGATGTCATATCTCAAGACAGCAACCAGTTTATTGCATTTGCTACTCCTCCAATTCATTTATAGTCCTAATGCGACTTACATTTGCCTTGTGACATGATGCTGGAGGCACTTCAAAGACAGTCTGTGCAAAGGAAGGAGGCAGGAATAGGGGAGAAACAGGGATGAGCCCCTCTGGAGAAGGGTCCTATCATCCTTATTCACCCAGGAAGAGACATGATCCCTTTGCAAAAAGGATGCTTTCAATTCTGGAAGGGAAACTCCACACATATTCATTACTTTCCCTGTTTGAATTACAGGAGCATAAATTGGGGAAACATAAGGAAGCATTTCTGCAGTTTTATGGAACATCGTATGAAGTTACATATTTTTTCCCTTCGAGTAAAATAGTTTTGGGTATCCCTTGTCTGGGCAGTGATATCTTGAGTGACTCATTTTAATTACAAAACACCTTACTTTTTTTTTTTTTTTTTTGAGACAGGGTCTCACTCTGTTGCCCAAGCTGGAGTGCAGTGGCACCATCATGGCTTACTGCAGCCTGAAACTCCTAGGCTCAACTGATCCTTCTTCCTCAGCCTCCCAAGTAGTTGGAATTACAGGTATGCACCACCAAGACCAGCTATATAATTTGTTTTATTTTTTGCAGAGACAAGGTCTTGCTGTGTTGCTGGTCTCAAACTCCTGGGCTCAAGCGATCCTTCCACCTTGGCCTCCAAAAGTGCTGGGATTACAGGGGTGAGCCACCATGCCTTTTATGTATGTCACCTTTCACCCAGCTGATCCATATGGGTTCTGTAGACACCAGAGGTGCAACAAAGAAACAGCTCCAATGTTTAATTTCTGAGAAATATTTTAGCCCCCTTCTTAAAACCTTACAATGCTAGTCTCTTGAACCACAGCTCTCATTTTCAGCCCTCATAATTAACACATACAAAGGCATACTCACATACACAGACACATAAACACACACAAATTCAGACACACACACATAGACACAAGAACATTAAAGAAACTGCAATTGCTAAACTGTAGAATAATATTTCACCCTGTCTTCCTCATCTCCCCTACCACCTTCTGCCTAGAATTTCTTCCCTACATTACCCACCCACTAAACACTAATACCCTCAAGTATCATAGGTTTTTCTCAGTTGTTAATTGAGAAAACTGTCACTCCCTCATGGATATAGTATAAGAATAAAATGATGTAATGTAAGCAAGACTGATGACATACTAGAATGTAAATAAGCCATTACAATAGATATTGGCTTAACACTGGCAGCCTTTACTACCTGCAGTGTTAAGCCAACATCTATTCTGCATTTCTTTCACAATTATAGAACTTTTTTATTTGCGCATGCAGCTAGTCTGCTAAAGACTACATTTCCCAGCCTCCTCTGTGGCTTGGTCGTGTGACTACATTTTAGCCAATGAGATATTTTATTTTGTATATCTTATTTTATTTTTTAGAAACAGAGTTTTGCTCTGTTGCCTAACACTCAGTGCAGTGGTGTGATTATAGGTCACTGAAGCCTCAAACTCCTATGCTCAAGTGATCCTCCCACCTCAGGCTCCTGAGTAGCTAGGACCATGGACACGTGCCACCAACCTGGCTAACTTTTGAATATTTTCGTAGGGACAGAGTCTTACTCTGTTGCCCATGCTGGTAACCAATTAGATGTTTTAAAAAGTTGAAATCATCTCATTTCCCAATTAGGACTTCCCTGAAAGAGCAGAAGAGAATTGGTCACATGGAGCAAGAACACTGGGGAGGTCATGGTGATGTTTTAGGTCAGAATAGGGCTAGGGTGAGGTAGTACATTGTTCAGCAAATATTTGCCTCTGTTTCTGGGGTAGGCAGAATTTTCACCATCATGACTTTCACTTCCTGGTGCTGCTCCTGTGGTTTAAGTAGGTTACATAGCAAAAGGGATTTTGCAGATGTAATTAAGGTTACTAATCAGTTGAATGTATCTTCCAAGTTATAATAACTTAAGTTGAATAACTTAAGCTGAATTAGTTGAACTTATCTTCTGACTGAATAAGATTACTCAAGCTCACTTAATAAGCTTCCTACTCAATTGGAGATTATCCTGGATTACCTGGTGGATTCAGTGTAATAACATGAGCTCTTAGAAGTAAGAAAAAGACAGAGGATACTATCAGAGAGATTTGAAGTGTGAGAAGGACTTGACCTTCCATTGCTGTTTTAAAGATGGAATAACCTGGTTGGGTGTGGTGGCTAATGCTTGTAATCCCAGCACTTTGGGAGGCTGAGGATTGCTTGAGCCCAAGAGTTTGAGACCAGCCTGGGCAACATGGAGAAACCCCATTTCTACAAAAAATGCAAAAGAAAAAAAAATCAGCCTGGTGTGGTGGTGAACACCTGTAGTCCCAGCTACTCGGGAGGCTGAGGTGGGAGGATCACCTGAGCCTGGGGAGGACAAGGCTGCAGTGAGCCGTGGTCACACCACTGGACTCCAGCCTGGGTGACAGAGTGAGATCCTGTCCCAAAAAAAATAAAAAAATTAAGATGGAGGAACCCATGTGGACAGTGTGAGAAGTAAAATAATTCTGCCAATAATCATTGATCTTGGCAGAGAACCTTCAGCTCCAGGTGAGACCAGAAGTCCTAGATGATACATAAATTTCATTCTGGTAAGAACTGGAGCAGAGATCCCAGTTAAGCTCCTCTGCATTTCTGGCTTACGGAACTGAGATAATAAATGGGTATTGTTTTAGACTGCTAAGTTTGTGGCAATTCATTACACAGCAATAAAAATCTAAGTAGTACAGTCTCCCTCAAGCTCCATGAGAGTATACTTCACTGACACATGGTCTGACCAAATAAATGTAGACAGAAATGACACTTACAGGCTTAAATCTGAAAAGGAGCTTGTGTTTCTTCTTGCCCTCTGGGTGCTCTGTCCTCTGCCTCCAAGCTTGGCCCTGAATGTAACACATGGAGTAAAGCCACAATAGATGACTCCCAGAAAAAAATGAGTATGAGAAGAAATATGTATTTTTATGCATTGAGTTAGAGGCTACCTTATTATGTAGCATTATTGTGGAAATAGCTGACTGACACATGGACATGTTCAAGCCAAAGCCTGCGGGACCTCAGCCAGAGTTGATATACTCCTTTGAAGGTCTATGCCCGTGGTCCTCCTGTCCACAGTATTCAACAGAAGAAAGCACTAGCATCAAAGAGGTTAAGACCAAAGACCACCAATAACTGCCTCCAAATCAAGAAACGACAACAGAATGAAAATAAACCCATGCAAGTAAAGGTTAGTTCTGAAACACATCCATCGAACTCCATATATTCAGAAATACTTTTAAAACTAAATACTAATGTGTGTAAATGCTTACATAAATTAATCACATGACATATGACTAAGAAATTTGACTGCATTTTGAGTCACCAAAATGATCAAGTTCTTTCATTTAAGAATCTATATAGAGTTGAGTTCCTCTGTCACATGTCTGGTGGTTCAGTAAGTCAATAACAACCAGTTATTTAATTCATGATGCCAGCATCAATAAGTTAGCTCACATTCATTCTAATTCACCTTGGAAAATTTACACCTTCTTCAGAACATCAAGCCTTGTGAAAACTGTTTGCAAAATGCCAAACAGCTCAGACAATAAGGGAATAATTAACCAATCAATTTGAATGACGCATAAGAGCAAACACACACAAATTATTTTGTCCTTTTTAAGGCTTTACTTATAAAGCTAAAGTTTATTTATCACTGACAAACCACCAAGTATCTGATGTCTTGGATAACTGAAAGCTATGTTATATATCTTTTGGAATATGTAATTTTAATTAGGCCAAGGCCCTATTCCTGTGATTATCCTCATAGATGGGTTAAAGTTATTTTAAGCCTGTACTATCTGCAAAAAAAAAAAAAAAAATCAGATTTTGCCTTGTGGCTCCAGTATATTTATTCCTAGAACTAGCTATGTCTGCATTTTCATTTTTTTATTGTTAAAAATCTATCTTTCCAAATATACCAATGTATCACTTGAGGTCTAGAACCTGTGGAAAGCCTGGAATCTGCGAACACAGGAAATTCCATCAGCTATTTTGTTTATTTCAGGGTAGCCTAAAGAAAGATAAGACATCGTCCTATAAAAAAGAAGTGGATACAAATGTTGATGACATCAAAACAGTCACTTATAAAGTGAGATTTTTAGGTCAATGAAAAATTACACAAATGTATTGGATATATACATTTAGACCATGATGATTCTTATGGAATAATTTCTTGTAAGGTAGTCATTTTTATGCAGGCAATTCAGACTCCACTGAATGGCAGCTGAGCTCAGTAATGGTGTCTAGAGTGATTTGCACCTCAGATAAGAGAGAGTCCAAAAATACATGCTTCTTTGAAAGGTTATGTTAGCTACTCAATTTTTAAATAATTTTATCTAGATTGCTTTGCAAAAGTCATTGCATCTTAGGTAAGAGACATAAAGAGTTTCAGATAAATGCCCATGTAGAAATGGGGACAAGAGAGTTACAGGAGCTAGTGAGAATGAGAATGAATACAGGGGATTAATTTCCATTCAAAGGGACAAGTTTAACTATGAATAGTGGGGCAAATTCTCAGCCAAGTTTAAACTATAAAGCCATACTGGAGGAGACAAGTAAAGTTTGGATTGAAAGTTTGAGAATAAGGTTAATTATTCAGAGCCAGGTTGAGAAAGAGCCCCCAAAAAAGAGTGGCCAGAAATCTGTGCACTTGAGGCTGTCAGTTAGAGCTGGGATAAGCTGGTGTATTAGTCTGTTTTCATGCTGCTGATAAAGACATACCCTGAGACTGGAAAGAAAGAGGTTTAATGGACTTATAGTTCCACATGGCTGGGGAGGCCTCACAATCATGGCAGAAGGCAAGGAGGAGCAAGTCACATCTTACATGGATGGTGGCAGGCAAAAAGAGAGAGTTTGCACAGAGAAACTCCCGTTTTTAAAAACATCAGATCTCATGAGACTTATCCACTATCACGAAAACAGCATGGGAAAAACCCACCTCCATGATTCAATTATCTCCCACCAGTTTCCTCCCATGACACATGGGAATTGTGGGAGTTACAATGCAAGATGAGATTTGGGTGGGGACACAGCCAACCCATATAATTCCACCTCTGGCCCCTCCAAATCTCATGTCCTTACATTTCGAATCCAATCATGACCTCCCAACAGTCCCCCAAAGTCTCTACTCATTTCAGCATTACCTCAAAAGTCCACAGTCCAAAGTCTCACTGAGACAAGGCAAGTCCCTTCCACCTATGAGCCTGTAAAATCAAAAGCAAGTTAGTTACTTTCTAGATACAATGGGGTATAGGTATTGGGTAAATACAGCCATTCCAAATGGGAGAAATTGACCAAAACAAAGGGGCTATAGGCTCCATGCAAGTCCAAAATCCAGTGGGGCAGTCAAATCCTAAAGCTCCAAAATGATCTCCTTTGACTCTGTGTTTCACATCCAGGTCATGCTGATGCAAGTGGTAGGTTCCCATAGTCTTAGGAAGCTCTGCACCTGTGGCTTTGCAGGGTACAGCCTCTCTCCCAGCTGCTTTCACAGGCTGGCATTGTCTGCGGCTTTTCCAGGTGCATGGTGCAAGCTGTCAGTGGATCTACCATTCTGGGGTCTGGAGGACAGTGGCCCTCTTTTCATAGCTCCGCCAGGCAGTGTTTCAGTAGGGACTCTGTGTGGGGGCTCTGACCCCATGTTTGCCTTCCACACTGCCCTAGAAGAGGTTCTCCATGAGGGCACCACTTCTACAGCAAACTTCTGCCTGGGCATCCATGAGTTTCCATACATCTTCTGATATTTAGGCAGATGTTCCCAAACCTCAATTCTTGACTTCTGTGCACTCGCAGGCTCAATACCATGTGGAAGCTACCAAGGCTTGGGGCTTCCACCCTCTGAAGCCATGGCCAGAGCTCTAGGTTAGGCCTTTTCAGCCATGGCTGGAGCAGCTGGGACACAGGGCACCAAGTCCCTAGGCTGCATACCACATGGGAACCCTGGGCTTGGCCCATGAAACCACTATTTCCTCCTAGGCCTTCAGGCCTGGGATGGGAGGGGTTGCCGTGAAGACCTCTGACATGCCCTGGAGATATTTTTCCCATTGTCTTGGGGATTAACAATCGGATCCTCATTACTTATGCAAATTTCTGCAGCTGGCTTGAATTTCTCCTCAGAAAATGGGATTTTCTTTTCTATCACATTGTCAGGCTGCAAATTTTCTGAACATTTACACTCTGCTTCCCTTATAAAATGGAATGCCTTTAACAGCACCCAAGTCACATCTTGAATGCTTTGCTGCTTAGAAATTTCTTCTGCCAGATATCCTAAATCATCTCTCTCAAATTCAAAGTTCCACAAATCTCCAGGGCAGGGGAAAAATGCCACCAGTCTCTTTGCTAAAACATCACAAGAGTCACCTTTGCTCCAGTTCCCAACGAGTTCCTCTTCTCCATCTGAGACCATCTCAGCCTGGATTTCATTGTCTATGTCATTATCAGCATTTTGGTCAAAGTCATTCAACAAGTCTCTAGGGAGTTCCACACTCTCCCATATTTTCCTGTCTTCTTCCAACCCCTCTAAACTGTTGCAACCTCTGCCTGTTACCCAGTTCCAAAGTTGCTTCCACATTTTTGGATTTCTTTTTAGCAGCACCCCACTCTACTGGTACCAATTTATTGTATTAGTTTGTTTTCATGCTGCTGATAAAGACATACCCGAGACTGGGCAATTTACAAAAGGAAGACGTTTATTGGACTTACAGTTCCATGTGGCTGGAAAGGCCTCACAATCATGTTGGAAGATGAAAGGCAAGAAGGAGCAAGTTACATCTTACATGGATGGTGGCAAGCAAAGAGAGAGAGAGCTTGTACAGGGAAACTCCCATTTTTAAAACCATCAGATCTCATGAGACTTATTCACTATCATGAGAACAGCATGGGAAATACCTGTCCCCGTGATTCAATTACCTCCCACCAGGTTTCTCCCAGGACACGTGGGAATTGTGGGAGTTACAATTCAAGATGAGATTTGGGTGGGGACACAGCTATGAGCTGGATAGAATAGAGTTGGCCAGAGATTCCGAGCAAAGGAAGGATTTGGAGGAGCAGATGGCTATAGTACACAAGTCCAGGGAGCACTGTTCATATTGCATTAAACGGTGGGCCCCATAGTGGAGTATTGTTCACATGGGCAAAGTGAAATAGGCTCATTGGACTTGGGGTGGCATTCTGTTGGGGTTCAGGTTCAAGTCAGATACAAAATGCACATTCTGGATAGAAGAGTACACTCTATATCTTAGAACCGAGGAAAAGCTGAATGAGTCCACCTAGGTGGCCAGCTTACAGTTCAAGTGTCACCACTCGGTGTGTATGCTTATTATGAGTTAAAACCTTATTTTTTATGTATGTAAGAGTTAATACTACTTTTAGAGCAATTGTACATTCATAGCAAAACTGTGTGAAAGGTATAGACATTTCCTCTATATCCCTTCCCCAACTCATGCACAGCCTCCCCCATCATCAACTTCATTCACCAGAGCAGTGCATTTGTTACAACTGATGAACCTACATCAACACATCATCATCACCACCATCTACATTAGGGTTCACTCTGGGTGTTGTACATTCTATGGGTTTGGACAAATGTATAATGACATGGATCCACCATTATATAATGTTACACAGGGTAGGTTCACTGTGTTCTACCCTAAAAATCTTCTGTGCTCCACCTATTCACCCCTCCTTCTTCCCCCTGGCAACCACTGATTTGTTTTTTACTGTTCTCATAGTTTTCCCTTTTCCAGAATGTCCCATAGTTGAAATCATACAGTATGAGCCTTTTGAGACTGGCTTCTTTCACTTAGTGATATGCATTTAAGTTTCCTCCATGCCTTCTTGTAGCCTGACAATTCATTTCTTTTAGGTGCTGAATAATAGTTGTCTGGATGTACCACGCATCTACTCATCCACTCATTTACTGAAGGACATCTTCATTGCTTCCAATTCACAATTGTGAATAAGGTTGCTATAAAAATCCGTGGCCAGGTTTTTGCATGGAAATAAGTCTTCAACTCCTTTGGGACAACTCCGTTTTTAAGTTGCCTTTACAACCTTGGGCAGAGGAGGAAAAATGACAGTGGGTGCTGGTCTGGACTAAATGTTACAGAGATTGAGGGGGACATAACCTTCACTGTGCCCAGAGAAGATGAAAGATTCCTGCTAAGGTGTCTGGCACCATGCTGTGCACTTTGGATACAAACATGAATAGAAATTGGTCCCTTTCTGAATGAGTTGGCAGTTTAAAACACACCTAGTTGAAATCATCTGTTACAAAAGATATAACAGCAGCACTAATGGGTTCCAAGGTGGAAGTGAGTTTTATACAGAGGAGACGATGGAGCTGAGACCTCTAAGATAAACTGTGGTTCATAATTTTGGGACTGTAACTAAGGTGCATAGAGAAGGGAGCATTCAAAGCAGGAAGAGTAGCTGGAATACAGACATGGGAATTTGTCCAACAAGGCGAACTAAAGAAAGTGCCATCAACACTCCAGGAATCCATCCTAAAGATGGCATAGAAGTTGGACAATTTTGCAATGATGACACTCTAGAGAGTCCATTTTGAATAACTGATGGCAAAAGAAATTTACTTTTTAAAATTAATTAATTAATTTTTTTAGAGACAGGGTCTTAATTTGTTGCCCAGGCTGGAGTGCAGTGGCACAATCTCAGCTCACTGCAACCTCAACCTCCTGGACTCAAGTGATCCTCCTGCCTCAGCCTCCTGAATAGCTGGAACTACAGGTACACATAAGCACACCAGGCTAATTTTTCTTTCTTTTTTTTTTTTTTTCTTTTTTTGAGATGTAGTCTTGCTCTGTCACCCAGGCTGGAGTGCAGTGGTGCAATCTCAGCTCACTGCAACCTCCATCTCCCAAGCAGCTGGGATTAGAGGTGCCTGCCACATTTTTGTACTTTTAGTAGATATGGGGTTTCACCATGTTGCCCAGGCTGGTCTCGAACTCCTGGGCTCAAGCCATCTGCCTGCCTCAGCCCCCCAAAGTTTTGGGATTACAGGTATGAGCCACCATGCCCAGCCTACTGTATCTTTTTTAATTGAAATGGTGGATTTCATTTTTTAAAAAATCAGATACAATTCACATCCCATAATACTTAGCATCTTAACCTGGACAATTCAGTGGTTTTTCTATCATAAAATTGTGCAACCAGCACCAACACCTAATTTCAGAATATTATCATCCCTGGAAAAAGAAACCCTCTACCCATGAGAGGTTGCTCCTTATCCCTCCTCCCTCCAGCTTCTGGCAAAGGCTATCTCTCCTTTCTGTTTCTATGGGTTTGCCTGTTCTGGACATTTCATATAAATGGGTCCTAGATGTTGTGTTTCCTTGTATCAGGCTCTTTTACTGAGCATTATTTTCCACATTTATCCATGTATTATACGTATCAGGGCTTCACTCCCTCAGAGAAAATATTTCTTTGTACTAGGCAACTCCATATCAGGTCAAACACAGATAAATACACCAGCATTAGGAATGAAGATTTCCTGGAGCTCCAGCCACACTCCGCTCCCTCTGCTCCCTGCTAGAGAACCCACGGGCTGCTGTTTTTCCAGCCACCATTCAGTTGGAGAATACAGGCTTGCACTAGGGTAAGCTCAAGGTAAGCTCAAATGCCAACGAGCACACTCTTCTTACTGAGATCCCACCGTTGTTCCCAGGGGATGTAATAAGTCTTTCGCTAATTTCCAGAGTTCTGTAAAAGTTATTTCTGACAACTTTCTCTAGCTTTATTATTGATTTCACAGAGAAGAGAGTTTTCGGAAGTCCTAATTTGCTATGTCAACTTCATCTCCTTTTGATAAGACTTTAACTTTATGAAGTAGATTGTAAAACTGGCCACAGAATCTTCCCTCCTTTGTATGCATGTTCTTTTTTGTTTTTTCTTTTGTTTTGTTTTGTTTTGTAATGTGCCTTTGCAGCTACTCCCTTTAAGAGTTCTCTTTATATCTACCCTTGCAGCTGGGCTTAGCCAGGTGACTTGTTTGGGCTCTAGAGCAAGCAGACACAAGCATAGATTTGCAAGGTATCTGCACACTGGGCTGGTCCTCTCTTGCTGATCTTGTAACCACTAGAATTATAGCCTTGAGGACTGGCTGGGCTAGCCTGCTGGAGAATGAGAGAACCACATGCAGAGAGGCCCCAGGCGTTCCTGCCTTTCCAGATGAGGCCGTCATAAACCAGGTAGCCCAGTTGTTCATCAACCAATGTCAGATATTGAAGCAGGCCCAGCCAAAGTCATCTAAGAAAAACCACTCAGCTGAACCAAAATGTCAACCCACAAGACCAGCAGTTAAATATGTGGGTATAGCATTAGACCACTAAGTTTTGAGATGGTTTGACACACAGAAGATACCAATATAGTTTATGTCTTTATTAAATTTAACTCCTTTACTATTTACCTTTATGAAAATATATATACTTTGAAGAAACACATTGTCATAGCAATTTATGCAGTATATCATGAAACATTAAAATCCTTATTTTCTGTTCATGGATGACAATCCAAAATTTTAAAATATCATGACCATGATTGTGTTTGAAGATAGATAAAATGGTGACAATTATTGACGCTTGGGAATAAAGTTGTGGGGATTCAATATTACATTCTTTCTACTTTTGTGTTTGTTTGAAATTTTCCACAATAAAATATTTTTCTTAAAAATATGCCCAGCAATTACAATGCACTTTCTATCTTGTACTCTATTTGAAAGCACATAGATGAGTTTAGGTTTTAAAATTTAAATTTTCATGTGAGTCTCTCTCAAAAAACATGCCTTAGATTATTTTATTCTAAGTTTTCATTCCAAATTACTGAGGCTTCAATGGGCAGATTGAAAGCATTTTCCTTTCAGCATGAGCACAATGCAATTCCATGCAAATTATAAATAAATGATCTACACTATTATCAAATTTAATATAAAAATGCAAAATGCAAAGAGTCTCCTGTAGCGGTTCATGTCATATTTTAGCTGTCTTGCAAATAGCTTTAGCATATTTGATGAAGCTGTCTTGCTTTTGTAACATCTAAGGTATTGGCAACTAAAATGGACCACAAAGTAATCAGAGAACTGAGTTCCATGCTGAAAAGAACTCTGTTCTTCTGCCAAGATAAAAGAAAATCTAGGGCAATGTTATTAACTCCCTAAATTGGCAAATCCATATTTTATGGTTCAGAAAAATATTAATTGACCAAGCAGGAAATAGCCTAGAGTACTATTTCAATTTGTATTTATCCTTACACACTACAGTTAAACAGGAGGAAAGATACATCACATGAGTGTTAATATGGTCCTGCTGAAAACATTTTGTAATTGGGTAATCCTCTCTTATTGGCATAATTAAAATGTGTTATGTAAGATAATTGCATTTAATCACAATAATGCCTTAAAATTCAGCCACCTCTGTCTTCACCATCTACCCTTCTCAGACACTAGAGTGACTTTTGTTATGGAACTGAATTATTTTGTGTTGAAACTTAATCCTCAAAATTGGTGACATAGGGCAATGTGAATTTGCAAAGTCTAATCCTTTTCCCTCCATTGTATGCACACTTCTGTGGTTATAGTGTAAAAGGGCGACATTGGAAGCTTAGCCACAGAGGTTAGTCTCTTGATATACAACAGAAGGAAAGAGGACAGATCTAACTCCAGGCTTCTTATTAAAGGTTTCAAAATGGATGGGCAGTACTAAGTGTCTTCAGCACTCACAGAGTGCACATTAACATAGCTGCCTGGGCTGAAGCAAAAATAGATTTGTCATTGCCATTATATTCCAGAAAGGGCATCAAGTCATCTAGCTGTTAGGGACACTGCTCATTGCCAAATCTCACTGAAAGATAATCCAAGAGCATTGTCATTTTCTAGAATAAATCTCTGCATCTCCAAAAGGGATTTCTCTTATTTTTAGAAAACTTCTGTGGAGCAGAGAGGTGCCGAGATGAACTTTTGCAGAGAAATATTTATTTTTATGCCATGGTAAGTGATGAGCTGATATTAGATCTCTGCACATTTTAGACACACAAGACAGTGAGGGGTAAGGATCTGAAATTCTGGTTCTTTTCTCTGCCCTGGAGCTTAAATAGTGGTTAGGATGGAATCATTCATCAAGCACTTTCTTATGCATTATCTAAGATAGTTGAAGATAGACTATTACAGGGTAATTGTCACCCTGAGACTGATAGCATGTTGGTTCTCTCACCCTCTATTTTATCTTTAAGATAACTGCATCATAAACAGACGTGGGATGACTAAGGTTTGCCTACGTGTCTCCTACTAATCTTTCTCTTGCCTTTCCATTCCCTTCTCCCATTTTGACACAGAAGTCCTTGTCTCATTTGGGGCTGGTAGCTCTCTTCTAAGTGTCATCACTGTTGAATTTAATGAACTTTACACAAAAGGAGCCATTATAACCCTGGAAAAGGTTTAACATTGCTTTGTTGTGATGGAAATAATACAATAAAATTTTAAATATGCTTCCTCACACAAGTTACCCTTTAAAGCATTGTCATGGAAAATAATAGCACTATATAATTTTTTAAACACCAGAATTCACTCAGCATGACTGGGATGAATAAAAGGCGAACAATTTAAATGAGAAAGGGTCAAAAGACCATTTACTTGCATTCAAAGCACTAATAAGTAGGATGCACACGAATATTATTGTTCCTACTAGATATTATTTTCATTTTAAAAGGATTGTCAAAAAATTTAACATACAATTAAGTAGGATTAAATATTTTAAACACATTTAAAGTGACATTAAAATGCAGGGCTTGCTATAGTTGTTGAAACATAGGGATCTGAAGTTGTACAATCCTTCAATTTCCGTGTGGCATAAGATGTTACCAAATGAAGTGCCATTCACCTCCCTAAGATTCACTCAGTAAAAGTTAGTAGATGTGTATATTTCTGAAGATACAGTGAGTCTCAACATTAGTTTTGTTTTGTTTTTACCTGGCCCAAAGCCATTCTCATTTTTCCTTTCCTCCAACTATCTGAATTATTTTTCCAAGTCTGATTAAGCCTCGGATATTCCATGGTCCAAAATATCCCAGGATCCTTTAGCTATAAACTCCCTGAGGGATAAAAATGGGAAATGAAATATTTTGCAAAATGTAATACTCATTCCTTTGCAGAAACAGAATGGTAATATAAGTTGCTCAGGATGAATGTATCTAGGCTGCAGGAAAAATATCCAAATCTCAGTGGCTTCAGCAACAAAGCTTTCTTTCTTGTTCACACTGTGTATTACTCCTAAGTTATCTGGACTCTGTTTGGTGTCATCTTAACTCTGAGACCACCCGGAGGGAGCAGCCTCTGTGTGGGATGTTGAGAAAGTGCTGGTGACAGATGCTGTAGCGCTGAAGTAGCCTGTGACATGTCTCCTCACGGCTCACGAAGGGCCAGAGTGCAGTCCTACCATTTGTCTGAGCAGCATAGTAAGCTGAAAACCTTTAGCAGACAGTGTGGTGATGCCCAGGGAACAGTGAACCAACAGATAACCACAAAACTATGTGCCGTTTTTTCCCTCAACGCAATACATCAACTCTTGGTGAATTTTAGCTCTATTTTAATGATCTGTACGCTTGGATTACCCTTTTCACTCCAGAATGTCTCATGTCAATACATTAGTTCATAGATTCATCCATGGGTTTTACAAACCGTACTCCTGTGTCCCTTGCTAGAAAAATCAAGGTAGTCAGTTGTGTCCATTACTTACATATCCATCTATTTTTGCAACATCACTATCTAATGGATATTGCTACATATGGTGGCACAGGTTGTGCACTGCACAAATTTAGAAAATGTTCTTCCCACTGCGGATTATGTTAATGCTGCCTCCTGGAGTTGTGCAGTACACAGCATGCACAGTCATATATGAAGGTCATGAATCTATCCATTTCTTTTTTTATTAACCAAAAAAGCATTCCATAAATCTAAGCATAAAGCAATGTATGTACTGTTTTTTTGTGCCTGGATCCTCATATGTAAGAGGACAATAATAACAGCTATCTAACAGATGTACAGTGAAGATTAAATAGACGAATCCACTGAAGCACTTAGAACCATGTCTGGGATCCATGAGACTCATCAACCACCATCCATATCCCTGCCTGTAACACCTGCATGTGGACCCAGACACTGCCCTCTTCTTCCCTTCAGTGCAATGGGATGTGCTACAGAGCTCACTTTGTCTCTGCCCCTGATGTGACAATGTGAACAGCTCTCCCTGATACAAGCTCTAATGGATGGCCTGTCTGATCCGGCTTTCTCTTAGTAGTTACTGACCCGATGCATTTCCCTTGTCTGATAAAATGCCACCAGTGCCACCAGTGCCCTTTCCTGAATTATTTCAAGCTCTGACTTTCCCCAGCCTTTTCCTATAGTACTTGTCACCTTCATGCACATCAGTCCGAGAGGCACTAGACAAGGGTACTTTCAAACCTTGCTGCAGAATGCCTTCAGATTTTAACACAGAGCCTACACTTTGCATTAACAGCATAGTTTACAACCTGACTTTGAAAGAAAAGCACAAGATGCAAGAATCTCATGAACTAATTAGAAATATTAAACACGAGTTGCATGGTATTATTTCAAAGGTTGATGAAATAGCGTGGCTTTAAATATTATGTCATTGTTTGATATTTTGCTAAGACTAAGATCTGATCAACAGAACTAAAATATTGCATCTACTAGAGTACTACACAGGCACTATTTTAAAAAGTATTTCAAAAGTGACAAAGTTTATAGGGAATTCAAATAATATATTATAAAAACATATTCATTGGAAAATTCAAAATTTTCAAATGCCATTAAAAACAACATCATCTTTCCATATGTGTAATATATTTTGAAATCTATTATCCTCATAGAATCCAGTGAAACAAAATACAATATTTCAAAAGAACCTCAATATTTAGTAATAGTCGTAATAATTATGTTTGTTGCTCAGATTAATCAACTCTGCATTTTCACTCATTTATACTAGAATTGCAGAATCACTTATAATCAATCCTGGGCCACAATTAATTGATGGTAGACTCCACTATATTTTTATCTTTAAGTTTATCTGACTTCCACCTTCACACAGCTGATAGCCTTTAAAGAATTAATGCACAGGACTTCTATTTAAAACAGTACCAGTAAATCAAAGCATCTTTTTGAAATCCAAAGAACTATCATCTTTTTGAAATCCAAAGAACTATCATAAAATGTTTGCAGCTTGCACTGTGCACCTGGAAAAGCCGCAGACACTCCACACCAGCCCATGAAAGCAGCCAGGAGGGAGGCTGTACCCTGCAAAGCCACAGGGGCAGAGCTGCCCAAGGTCATGGGAGCCCACCTCTTGCATCAGCATAACCTGGATGTGAGACATGGAGTCAAAGGAGATGATTTTGGGGCTTTAAGATTTAATGACTGCCCTATTGGATTTCGGACTTGTATGGGGCCGGTAACCCCTTTGTTTTGACCAATTTATCCCATTTGGAATGGGTGTGTATTTACCCAATGTCTGTATCCCCATTGTATGTAGGAAGTAACTAACTTGCTTTTGATTTCACAGGCTCATAGGCAGAAGGAACTCACCTTGTCTCAGATGAGACTTTGGACGTGGACTTTTGAGTTAATGCTGGAATGAGTTAGACTGTTGGGAAAGCATGATTGTGTTTTGAAATGTGAGGACGTGAGATTTGGGAGAGGCCAGAGGCAGAATGATATGGTTTGGCTGTGTCCCCACTGAAATCTCATCTTGAATTGTAGTTCCCATAATCACCACATGTCATGGGAGGGACCCAGTGAAAGGTAACTGAATCATGGGGGGTGGTTACCTCCATGCTGTTCTTGTGATAGTGAGTTCTTATGAGATCTGATGGTTTTATAAGGGACTTTTCCTCCCCTTTGCTCTGCACTGCTTCTTGCTGCCACCATGTGAAGAAGGACGTTTTTGCTTCCCCTTCCATCATGATTGTAAGTTTCCTGAGGCCTCCCCAGCTCTGTGGAACTGTGAGTCAACTAAACGTCTTTTCTTTATAAATTACCCAGTCTTGAGTATGTCTTTATTAGCAGCATGACAACGGACTAATATATTACCATTCATCCCTTAGGCCCTCCTCTGAGCTCTTATCTCAATTTTCTGTATTCAATGACAACAAGCAGAGTACCCATAGAGCAGCAGTTCCCAAACTTTTTGGCACCAGGGACTAAAAGACAATTTTTCCACAAACTGGGGGTGGCGGATGGTTTCGGATGATTCAAATACATTACATTCATTGTACACTTTATTCCTATTATTATTACATTCTAATATATAATAAAATAATTATACAACTCACCATAATGTAGGATCAGTGAGAGCCCTGAGCTAGTTTTCCTGCAACTAGACAGTTCCATCTGGGGGTAACAGGAGACAGAGACAGATCATCAGGCATAAGATTCTCATAAGGAGCGCACAACCTAGATCCCTCGCATGTGCAGTTTACAATAGGGTTCTTGCTCTTATGAGAATCTAATGTGGCTGCTCATCTGACAGGAGGTGGTGCTCAGGTGGTAACGTGAGTAATGGAGAGAGGCCGTAAATATAGATGAAGCTTTGCTCACTTGCCCTCCGCTCACTTCCTGCTTTGTGTCTCAGTTCCTAACAGGCCATGGACTGGTAGTGGTCTGTGGCCTGGGGGTGGGGACTCTCACCATAGAGGATTATGCAGGAAACTTATGGCCAGGCCCGAGTGGCTCATATGGTGCCAACATTACTATAAGGGAAACAGGAAAATATCATCTTGCTCAGCACTCACTGAGATGAATCTGTATATTTGAACCATGAGATAGTTTCTATTCCAAATGTAGCAACCATTGGGCCCTGCGCACTGGAGAATATGCATATCTTTGTAAATATGGTACTTTGTGTATTTATTTTTGCACCCATTGTTAAATTAGTATAAATATTGACAAGCAATTCAAAGTACCTATTTCTAAAAATATGTTCATTAACAATTTTACCTTTAGAAAAACACTACAATCCCCATGTATAATTTAGTTTCAAACCTTAGATACTCATATACTCAGTGAAGCAAATTTTATAGCCCAGACCTCAATATAAAAGTGACTGTGTTTGCTTATTGTGTAAAGTGTATGTAAGAAATTATACAATTTGCTACTTTGAAGATGTGATGTGTTTGCCAGGTAAGATAAACTTACCATGGCCAGGTGCAGTGGCTCACACCTGTAATTCCAGCACTTTGGGAGGCCAGGGTGGGTGGATCACCTGAGGTCAGGAGTTTGAGACCAGCCTGGCCAACATGATGAAACCCCATTTCTACTAAAAAATACAAAAATTAGCCAGGTGTGGTGGTGCACACCTATAGTCCCAGTGACTTGGGAGGCTGAAGTGGGAGAATCGCTTGAACCCAGAAGGTGGAGTTTGCAGTGAGCCAAGATTGCACCACTGCACTCCAGCCTGGGCGACAGAGTGAGACTCTGTGAAAAAAAAAAAAAAAAAAAAAAAAAGATACACTTACCAAAAAATCCTTTAGAGGATTTGAACTTAATGAGTAGAACCACTCTCAGATGAACCCCCAGATTTGAGGGTCTCCTATATGGAAGGCCCATGAAGTTCTTAGAAAACTGATACATAGTTACATGGCAATGTTTCCTTTCCAGAAAGACATGGGTAGTTTTTAAGCTGCTTGCATTCTAACAAGGAAAGCTGATGTTTCCTTCATTGGAAAGGCTCCCATTAAAATAATACTCAACAAAGTAAAATATTGGTGTATTACAATTACTTTATTCAGATCTATTACACAAAGAGATGGTATTAAGCAACACTGGCTTGAGTGATATCTTGCAACACAGAACAGGTTCACGATGTCGGAAAACCAAGAATGCTCAGGGCCTCAGAAAGCTGAGCTCTAAAGACCCTGCACAGTCATGCTGTCCCAATAGGTTTCATGTTGTCATGAATGATGTCAAAGAAAAAAATTTTTCAATGCTACCTATTAAAGCACAGTAAGACTTTATTTAGGACCATCATGACAGGTACGGGGACCACAGCAATGGGGACTTGTAGTAGGGGAGAGAGACTGGACTCAGCTCTGAATACACCATGGAAAACTGGGGATTTATAGACAGGGAACAGGGTCAGGGGCAGTGGATGGAAGATTACCAAGAGGAAATATCAGGGAGCATTCATCTAAACCGACCTAACAGGATTCTAGCTGAAGGCAGGCCAGTTGACCAGACATCACCTGGGGGATGGTGGAGGCTGAGGAGCCTGATCAGATACTGAGGTTGAACAGATATGGGGGGGTTAGGTGTTCTTGCTAAACTGACCTAATAGACTTCTTGCCAAAACTAGATTTTACAAGGAAGTGCCCAGATTGGGCCTGGGAGAAGGTTGAGGAGCTTGGCTAAAGTTTGGCCAAGTGGAGAATCTTTGTCCATGAAGCCTCAGATGGATGTGAGGTCCGTAGAGGTCAGACAGCTATGATTTAAGAGGTTTTGAGCATTTGCATCACACATCCCATTCTCTAGGCATTAAAGAGAAGGCAACAAGGCTTTAGCTTTTAGAAGTATCCATGTAATCAACACCTTTCCTCCCGGGCATGTCGGCTCCCTATGGCCACGCACTCTCCAGCAGCCTCTTTATGGACACTTTTTGTCATTTTAAGAGAATAGCTCGATCGAATGAGAGCCGATCCTAGTCCCAATACCATGCCCTTCTCACTCCAATTTCTTACTGTTTCGGGGTTTGTTCTGATACTAGTTTGGTTTTCCAAAGGAATCCAGTTGAAACAAAGAGAAGAGAGAATAATACTTTTCAAATCAAATTTCTGCCCCAGGTATTTGTAGAGCAAAGCAGCTGCTTCACCAGGGTAGGATACCTTCCCCAGGGCCCAGTAAGACTTTCATGGGCCACAAAGGCAAAACATATTAAATATATTTTAATATATAAATATATAAAGTAAAAACATATTAACATACTATTTTATGACTATGTTGGTGCAAATACCAATATGATTTTCAATCCCCAATGTTCATTTCCTTTTCTTCTGATTATAAAATAAAACATTTTTGTAGGCCCCTTAAAAGGCCTTAGAGAGTGTGCCTTATGGGTAATAATCGGGCCTTTTCCCACTCTCGGATCATGGAGGTCGGAGCTATTTTATGTCTTATTCTTCTCTGCATTTCTCAGCCTCTCTCTTGAGCTAAGAAAGTTGACGAATCTTTGCAGAACTGGAACTTGTATTCCCCATTGCTTGACATCAAGTTGGAAATGTAGTAAACATTCCCCACATTGTTGAATTGAGTCACGATAGAAAGCAGGGTATTAGCGCACAGCATTTTTAATTGCCAAGGAAAATTTTATTTTAGCTTTGCATTAACATATTCTAAATAATCCTTTCACTTAATGCAATCAGATTCCTGTGACAAGCCAAATACTTGTTTTTTTGTGTGTGTGTGTTTCCCCTTCACTTTTCATTGTATGCCCTTCAGAAAAATCTGAGAAGTGGGCTTCCATTTTTGAAAAACAGGACTTCCTTAGTACCATAGATACGTAGATTGCAATTTTGCTTTTCCTGCAGCATTACTGACCTTGTGAAATGATGCCTATGTATACGTCATTAATCTATTTGCTTAACTTTTAATATCTAGTAATGCTAGAAATACAAGAATTTTTTAAAAGAATTTGCTTAAAGCTTCAAAACTCACTAAGGTTTGGATATGCAACTCCACAGGTAATATGAATGAGATGCTTTGTAAACAAGCAGCCATGCCTTACAGCCTGCAACAAACAAGCAAACAAACAACAAAACTATGCCTTAAAGAAGGTTTGTGAGGTTTCTCCTGGACAAAGGAATTCCAATTTCCTGTTTTACATTCAAATCAAAACTTTCAGATGGTAAATGGTTTGAAATTTAAGATGACTACA
The DNA here is from genome assembly GCF_000001405.40 of Homo sapiens. Classification (NCBI taxonomy): domain Eukaryota; kingdom Metazoa; phylum Chordata; class Mammalia; order Primates; family Hominidae; genus Homo; species Homo sapiens. Next base: position 7,352,476 of record NC_000023.11, on the reverse strand, counting down.
GTTACCACAAATCGACCTGATTTCCAAATGTCCTGAAATGTGATCTCAATTATTTTGAGGCACTTTTAAACTCAATGTATTTGCATCTAGAGATATACTTCATCCTTCATTTGCTATTGACATTTTACAGGTTAAATAACTGGTTCTAGACACAAATAGGCATTCATATAATCTATAAAGGCTCTTCAAGTTATTTAATCCTGCAGCATTTCCACATCATCAAGTGTTTTCAGAAAGTCTTACTTGCATTGAATATGTTAGACTTTGAGTAAACATTGTCATCTTATAGGATAAATTTATAATAGTGCCTTTAAATAGTTTCCACATGACAGCATCAGTAGCAATCCTAACACATCATCAGTAAGCTAGTACCCTCTCTAAGAATGTTTTCTAAAGCAAGAATACAGATTATCCCACAATTTCTGGAACGAGAAATCCAAGTTAAAAGGAAGAATCTTGTATGCTTTTCAGCTTTCAACAACTCTGGAGGTAGGGGGTAGGAATCACTTCTTTCTTCTCTTTCTTTTTTTTTTTTTTTTTTAGAAAGAGAAGCAAAATTAACGTTTGAAATAGAAGAACTTAAAGGGCAACTGGGGAAATGCTGTCAAATCCTCCCAGCCCAATAGTATGCCCCTCTTGCTCCAACTTCCCAGGGTTGTGGGTAGGGATAGAGAAATTATAGCCAACTTTCAGAAAGCCCAAGTCATGGCTAACATTCTCTGCAAACCGCTGTGTGGGTTACATTACAGGTGTCCCATTCATGGGCACTGTCTTGGAATTGAGCAAACTCTGGGCAAATAGAAGGTGGTCAGACAAGTCCACAAAAGAGATAAATGCATAAGCAGGTGGATGGCAGCTTCTCTCGATTTTGCCATAAAGGAATCCAATCACATTGTTGGGGAAAGTCTTATATCTGAAGAAATGATTGCACTTTACATTCCATAGGAGGCTTTCCTCAGGATGGGCTGGTGGTTTAGACTTTGAAACTATCTCCAGCTGTGCCACTACGAGGCCCTCTCCTAGGCGATCAGTTGCGCATTTTCCCTGATTTACAGGGGCTTGGGGGAAATGGGATGAAAACAAAATCATGCATCTCATTGTGGATTGGAAGCACAGAAATTTCTCAGTCACAAAACTTGCATACATGACTGTTCTCTGATGACTAACTAGAACTAAAGGAAATTATGCTTATGTGTATAGATCATGGATTGCTTGTGAGTGATTTTTGTTCCCCTCCAAATATCAGAGACTTTCTAGGCCAATGATTCTGAATTACACTGGAAGAGATTCCATGAACCACAGCATCTCCACAGTGGGCTTTTAATTCAGAACTTCCATTCCCCAAAGAAAACAGTGGAATCCAAGAATTATACTACAAATTATGGAATGGAAAGCAGTTCAGGAGAGATTTGCCTTGGGATTATTATTACTGTAAAATTTTGCAAAAAATCATTGTGCAAAGAAATCTATTTGTGAGCTTCTACTGTATTTACTTAAATAGTGTTAAGCTTCTAGGTCCCTATTTTAGACATCTTAACCCTTTTGAGGAAAGAATATACTGTATGTGTGTGTGTGTATGTATGCATAACTATATATATGATGAAGAGCAAGCATTTGATATGTGTTTTAACTAATACCAGTAATAATGACTTGCCTTCCAATAACCAAAGTGGAACTTACCATCATCTATTATTCCTAAAGAAGATCTTTCATTCACCTTAAAGTTACTTATGTTTAGACGACTAAACTCTTTTTTATGTGATTGCCTTTTTATTATGCTGGTTATTGCATCACTGCAGATTATAGAGTAAATGGTAACTTATACTGTTGACATAGGTATTTGCTGAGGGGTGAGTTAAGGTACCTCCTGCACCTTTCTGTTTTAAGATTGCCTTCTGCACCTTTTTGTCATCTGCTTGCACTGGTGTGCCTTGTGAATGCCCCTCTATTCATTCTATTTCCATGAGTCCAAGACTCTGGCCACAGAAGGCATAAACCTACCATCTTCCTGTCTGTATACTACAGACCTTATCCCCCTCACCCCTCCAGTTGAGTAGCTGTTGAGCTCTGGCCCAAGCCTTCAGGTGATAAAATGGAGAATCAGTCCAAATCCAAGGTGTAGATGGAGTTATGTTTCCCCAGTGCCACTCTCAGGCGTGTTTGTAGTGAAGATGGTGAGCTTTGCCACATGCGTCTGTCTGGTCCCCAGGCGCTGCTAGCGGCTCAGTCTCTTATCCTGTTTTTCTCTATCACACTGGCAAGACAGGCCGGTGGAAGGACAGCACAGCTGAAGCCAGGGCTTCCAAAGAAAGTTGTTCCATGAAAACTGATCGGGCACCTCTGGCAGGGTCTGGGTGTGTCTGTCCGCAGCTTCCTGCATGACTTTGAGGATTTCATAAAACCGGGGCTCGGATGCTGGAGTTAGTGGGTTTCTCTCTCTGGGATCTTTGGAAATATCAAAGAGTAAAGGTGGGTCGTGATGGGTGACATAACTCCCGAAACAGAAGCACACGTGTGTGGCAAAGCATCCGTTGGAACCCACGGGGTTGAAGTTGGGGGTGAAGAAAAAGGCCTTCCAGATGGATGTGCCTGTGGTTTAAAAGGATGGAAACGGCATTAGGTATGAAGCATCCTTGTATGTACCACAAATGAAAAAGTGATGCGGAAATTATGCTGCCATGTGCTTTAAGAAGGTGAAGATATCATAAGGCTGCAGACACAATGTTAATATGTACAGGAAAGATTATGAAGCCACACATAGACGCCCACACACACAGCCAGCAGGAACAGCGTCAAACTTGGTAGGACCATAGTTAACAGTTTATTTTCTCAGTTTCCAGAAAGTCCAAAAAATGTCGAATCAAGAATTAAATGAACTTTGGGAGGCCGAGACAGATAGACCACTTGAGGTCAGGAGTTCGAGACCAGCCTGGCCAACATGGCGAAACCCCGTCTCTGCTAAAAAATACAAAAATTAGCCAGGTGTTGTGGCAGGTCCCTGTAATCCCAGCTACTCAGGAAGCTGAGGCAAAAGAATCACTTGAACCTGGGAGGTGGTGGTTGCAGTGAGCTGAGATTGTGCCACTGCACTCCAGCCTGGGCGACAGAATGAGACTCTGTCTCAAAAAAAAAAAAAAAAAAAAAAAAAAAAAAAAAAAAAGGAATTAAATGAGGGCCGAGTGCAGCGGCTCATGCTTGTAATATCAGCACTTTGGGAGGCCGAGGTGGAAGAATCACTTGAGCCTTGAGCCTAGGTAGGGGTTTGAGACCAGCCTGGGCAACACAGTTAAAGCCCATCTCTATAAGAAATTAAAAAAAAAAAAAAAAAAAAGCTGGGTGTGGTGGCACGTGTCTGTAGTCCCAGCTACTCCAGAGGCTAAGGCAGGAGGATTGTGTGAACCTAGGCAGTTGAAACCGCAGTGAGCTATGATCATGCCACTGCACTCCAGCCTGGGTGGCAGAGCAAGACCCCGTCTCAAAAAAACAAAACAAAACAAAAAACAAACCCACAAAAATAAACAAAAATAAAAAAGAATTAAATGAGGCTAGAAGTGATGGTGAGGAGGGATTACAAATGGGGAATGGAAATGATCTTTTGGCGATGAAGGAGATGTTCTGAAAGTAGACTGCTCAACTCTATACATTTTCTAAAAATCTTTAAATTAGAATATAATGGCATGCAACGTATACCTTTAAAAGCTGCTAGGAATTCCAAATTAGGGGAATTCATCAACACCAGAATAGGATGGTTAGTTTTTAAAATGTAAGTTCTGTATTTCAATAAACTCCAAAATATTGAAATTGCTAGGAAAAACTAATTCACAAACAAATGAATAATTATGAAATAATTGATTCATTTCCTACTTATCGGACAATGTTATCATTTTCTGAGGAGCTGACTGCTCTCAAACACCTTCTAAGAGAGGCCTAAACATGTTTCATGGGTAGGCAAAATGTAGCAGATAAAAACAGAGAATTAAAATGCATGAACCGACTAGAATCAGGTGCAGAACGTGAATGCCCTTACAGCTTTTACATAAAACCAAAGAGGCATTCCTCCTAGGAAGCCCTCCACCCCTGTGTAAGTCATCCCGATCATTTGTGCATATAATGGCATGTGTGACTTTTGTAATTATAGGCATTTCATGATCAACTGATCAAAATGCAAAACTGATTAATGCAATCGGTTTAAACCAACAGTCACTAGGGCATGTGTTGTCCCCAAATCGCCCCTAACCTTGGACAAGGTTAGTGATGGTAAAAGTCAGCCTCTTTGTGTATGTGGGTTTTTTTTAAAGCTGAGAAAGACAGGGAAAGCGAGGTGAATACGTTTAGATTAATATATTAAAGAAGATTCATAATGAGACGACTGCAGTCTGTGGCATAGCTGATTCTGCGAGAGCAGGACATGACATCTGTGCACTTTACATGGGCTCAGTGCACCTGCTTCAGAAAGATAAGGTCAAGCTGACACACAGACACGCCAGGCTGCAGGAAGAATTCCAGGACTTGGTTACCATCTCCAGCAGGGTTTAAAAAGGCAGCAAGTAACCTTAAGATGCTTCCCATCCACTCGTCTCATCCCACACTTTCTTCCAGGGTATGAGAAATTTCCTTCAGAAGCCTTTTTGGAGACAGGCTGACAGAGCCTGCCATTTGCAGCCACTTAGAATCCTTCATCAGGGTCAGCCGAGAGAGAAAGTGGGTACACAGAGAAGCGAGCCAGGAAGCCTCTCTTGCTCATGCTCCCAATGATGCAAATCTAGAGGGCGTTTTGAACTTGACATTCGAGTCAAGCCTCTTTGTGTTTAAAACCCCAGGAGAATACAGGCTCCTGGAATAAATTCATGTAAAGAGCCTGTATTTTCCACTTGCTTTTGAAAGCCACTCAAATGATCCTGTCATTACTACTAGAGCACAATCCTCCTCAGGTGTGAGCTGGAAGATCAGATTGACATCAGGCCCAGTCAAGAGATGCAGGCACCCCGGCCTGGGAATGGCAGTGGTGTTGCTGGGTAGTTCAGACAAGTGTAGAACTAAGAATTAATTATTCTAAAGAATTATTTAGCATGCTCTGGGGTTGCTTGCCTTTTTATCCTTTCATTTGGATTTTTAAAAACTTTTCATAAAAAGGTAGATTGCTTAGTCTCTGTGCTGTTTCTCTGGACCACTTTAGATTTACTGAAAAGAGAGAACTAGAACTGCACTTTTTATTGTACAGTGGCTCACAAGGTAACAACCCCGACTTTGGAAGCTTGTTCTATTATTCACCAGGAACCCAGCAACTGACATCTCCAAAGGTGTCATTTCAAAGATAAATAGCACAGCTCAGTCACTAGATAAAACAGAAGGCACCTGGCAGAGTCATCTTCTTTTGTTTAATTTATATTTTCGATTTGTATTTTCTAGAGACAGGGTCTTGCATTATCACTCAGGCTGGAGTGCAGTGGTATGATCATAGCTCACTATAGTCTTGAACTCCTGGGCTCAAGCAATCCTCCTGCCTCAGCCTCCTAAGTAGCTGGGACCACAGGTGTATGCCACCAGGCCCAGCTATATTTTAAATTTTTTTGTAGAAATGGGGTGTCTCCATGTTGCCCAGGCTGGTCTCGAACTCCTGGGCTCAAGCAATCCTCCTGCCTTGGCCTCCCAAAGCACTGGGATTACAGGTGTGAGCCACCATGCCCAGCATCATCTTATATTTTTCATAGGTATATTTAGTCCTGTATTCCAAAATTATCTTGATAACATACTTCATCCTGAGTATCCTCATATACTAGAAAAATGTTAAATTTTTAAAAAATGTTTATTCACTACTGTATTTTAAAAATTATCATCAACTGCTCTGATAAAAGACTGTTTCTCCCTCACCACTGAAAACGATAAGTATTTTGACCAAACTGGGAACTTAGACTCATTTATAACTGAGATCCAATGACCTGGAAAAGGAATGATTAAATTTGGTATAAAGAATGCAGGGAAATTAAAGTGGACAGTTTTTTTTTTTTTTTTTTTTTTACTTGTTTAAGTAGTCTAAGTAGTGGTGAGGACAATAATTCTACTGAGATTTTAAAAATCCTCCCCCAAATTAAGAAAACGAATTGTCACAAGTGATGGTCAAAGATATCAATGACATATGATATAGCACTGTTATGTCACTGTGCTAGAACAAAATGCTTAGGAAATCATCACCCATCTGGTGAAACATATTTTTATATAAAATCACCACTAAACAATGTGACTCAACTCATGAGAGAAGAAAGTTTATTGTCATTTGACAAAAAGGCAAATAGAATTGAAGTGAGAAAAAGTTGATGCCTAAGCCAGAAACTGATTCAACATCCTCCACATAGGATCCTAAAACAGCTATCTTATTAAAAATAAACTAAGCTGTGAACAAAGAGAAATAAAGAGGTATCTGGGTTCCCTGGGATTGCCTGGGGACCACAGGGGCTTCTGACCCTGGAACAGAAGAGACGTTGTGATTTCTATTACTTCGTATTACAGCGACTCAGCCACAGGAAGTGGGAGCCCTGGCAAGGAAGCCCCGAAAATGAGCATATGTGCTCCCCAAGAACAAAAATAGAGAGGGCGCAAACCAGAACTTTCGTTATGTACTAAAATATTTTTTAAAATCAATATTAGTATCTAGCACAAGCTCCCTCTTAACGTCTTGGAGTCGGGTTGTGGCAGGCCAGGTCTCACTAACGCAGGCCTCCATGACATCTGTTTCGGCACTGACCGAGTGGTGAAGTTACTATTAAAAGCTGAAAGAGCCAGTGTCCTCATACAAAGGCTGGAATGGAACAAAAGCCCATCAGGAGTTTTGCCCAGGCCTCTCCTGGGCCTTGAAGCATGACATGATAACGAAGGATTCTTAACAGGACTCGTTTAGGATTAAACAAGTTTTACTGGGGGTCTGAAGAAACTCCCCAGACCTCCACAAACAAGTTTACTGGAGATCTGAAGGAACTCCCCAAACCTCCATGATTTAGCAGGAGACAAGATAAGGGTAATCACCCCAGCACCTGGACCCATTTAGATTAAGCCAATTTACTGGGGCTCCAGAGGAAGGTCTTCAGGACTCAGATCTTGGTTATAGATTAAAAGAAGTTCATCACTTATATCTTTAGATGAATGCACACTTACACATAGACTAATAGCTTAGAAGATATATAAGCTCCGGAAAACTGCAATTTTGAGTTGGTCTGGGCAATATTTTCCAGGCCTTCTCCCTGTAACCGGTTACAGAAATAAAAACTCTCTTTCTCCCCAGTTCATCTGCATCTTTTTGTTGGGCTGCGAGAAATAGCAGTCCTACCCTCGGTTTGGTCCGGGAACAGGGTCATGCTACATCGCCTACAAATTTTAACAACGTCCTCGAAGGCCTCATTCTGTCTTTATCCCAAGGGCCCCAAGTGCTTCTGGCTTCTCATAGTGACGCAAGCCTCTCACATCTTGCATTCTGAATTCTCTACTTAGAGCAGTCACAACAGTCCATAACACAGCTCGGCACAGTCCAGACCCCAGGACACTCATTTCCAGGCCTCTCTGAATGTTTAAACTGCTGTCTTGCAGAAGTCTCAGAGCCATCACGTGAGACAAAACAAAACCAGGTCTGGAAAGCCTGTTCGGCACAAGTAAAGACACTGCGCGCATGATAGACACTCAGAGGCATCACACAACGTGAGTGTGCCCTTACGGCCCCTGCTTCTAACCCACAGCGGCTAAAGCAAGGTGCCCCCAACCTGGAACTCTGAGGCCACAAAAACAAGACTACACCTCCTTTTTGGGGATAATAAACCCTGAGTAATTCAAGCGCTCCAGAACACCTTCCAGCTTCCTTGAAGTCAGAAAGGCCGCATGGCCCATTCTGGCCAAACGTGAGCAGTATGTGGTATGTCTTTTCCCAGCCACAGCACAGAGGAGCTGTCTCTTCTGCTGGTGACACTCGAGATGATGGGGCCTCTGTCAGGGTGGTCCCTGACAAATGGATGGCAGAACCTTCTCCTCCTAGACCCCCACCTTCCCACCATGACAGGCACTGAACACAGTTATCTCCTGAACCTCTGGCCGTGTCGGAAGACACATTTTGTGGTCATAGCTGCAGTGGGGCAGACTTGCTACTGATACCTGGTAGGGAGAGGCCACGGATGCTGCTCCACAGTCTAGAATCCACAGGGCAGCCTCCAGCACAGAGAATGATCTGGCCCCAGATGTCAATAGTACTAGTACCCAGGTTGACAAGCTCTGTTCTACAGCAAGAGTGAGAATAAATGTTTGCTGGGCTGAGCCCCTGAAATGTCAGGGCTAATAGTTATCATAGCACAAATTCGCCACTCCCTACACATGAACCCTCTGAGAGCTAAGCTATAAAATAAGACAAACTTTATTTTTGATAAAATGAGCCAGAAGCTGGACTGAGACAGACAATCCTCACAAGTCCCAAGGCGTGGTGATAAACTGCATGAATGAATGAACAGCTCTAAAGGACAGGAAAGGCACCAAAGATCCATAGGCAGTATAGAAAAAGCAGAGACAGGTAGAGTTGCTGTGCTCTTCCAGGACAAATATGATGGAGAAGGGGTGGTGCCAGGGGCCCGAAGACTCTCTTGTTCTAGGATGATAGCAATGTCTTTAGAAAAGAGCATTTGCCTTTCTTAGCCTGATGCTATGTGAGACTTGCATAGACAGAGGAGTCCCGGGAGGGGCGGGGGGTGCTGGCGGTAGGCGGGGAAGAGAGAGAGAGAACGCACTAGCTAGAGGGCAGGTGCTTCGGCCAAGGTTTTTCCTGCCACTGACTTGATTAAGGGCATAGCTCTGAGCATCAATAGTTTAGGTTCAACCCCGAGCTCTGCAGTTTCTTACATACGTGATGCTGGGCATAGCTGCTCTCACCTCTCTGTGTCCCAGTCTGCTCCTCTGTTAAATGTTCATAATAATAGTTCTTCCCTGGTAGCATTGCTTTGAGGATTAAAAATTGGTTCCTATATGTGATGCTGTCAGAAGGAGGCTGGGTCTATAGTAGAGACTATACATGAGTTAGCTGTGAACAGAAAGCTGCAGCCAATTTACGCAAGAAACAATTCAGTTTCCATCTGCCCTTCAATCTGTTGCTACTGTAATACATGTCGTAAGACATTTTTTTTTCTGCTAAGGATTCTTAAAGTATATGGAAAACTATTAATAAATCTACATGGTTTCAACACAGTGGCTCTTAATGTATCACTCAGATTTAAACTTCCCTTGATGAATGATGTTCAACTGGTAGTTTTGGCGAGATTTATTTTGGGTGCTTGGAAGACTGCATGTATATATCATAGAAGGTATACACAGATATTTTGGGTTTTCAGTCTTGGCAGCATGTACCTCTGTTGCCATCTTGAAGTTCTTCAAGAACCATTTCACATACTGTTCCATTTTTCCATTGTGAGGAACCCCCACACAAAGAACCCTAGGCCTGCCCCCTCAGTAAGTTTACAGAAAAGTTAATGTCATCCACTGAACTGATGTCTGAAAACCCATCTCATGGTGCCCTCCTACTCCTGCGATCCACCTAAAAAATTGTTCCATACATTACCCTAGTCTCATCCAGATACCCCACACTAATGCCTCAAATCTTTTCTTACACCCAAAGATTTTACAGTGTGTCCATACCTGAGCCTCCATAGATCATGTGTCTTCTAACTTAATACATGCACACTCACCAAAAGCATCTTGGCCCCAAGCTCTGTTTCTGACCCCTGAGGTTCACTGCCATCTGTTTACCATAGCACAAACCCCCTAACTATTCAGCCCTTGGCTGATATATAATCGATGACAGTAGATAAGTTCTGCCTGCTTCCTGCAGCTGGCAGTACCAGAGCTCACGATACAACAACAGTGAGAAGGATGAGGAAGCAGCTCTGGTGGCTGGGTGCATCTGTTTCACAGCCAGCCAATTTGAGAGCAACACAAGCTTTCCCAACTGATGCCTGAGTATTTGAGGACAAAATACTCCCTTTTACCAAGCCTTGGGTTTTGCATATTAAGGGACAGAAATATATAACCTGGAACAAAGTGGGTGTAGGATGTATATGAGACTCTTCCCTCACTTTCCCTTCCTTGCCTCCATATTGATATTCTAGCTGTCCTTCAAAGCCCTGCTGTGTTCTCCTCCATGCACCCATCTGAATTCCCAGCTGGAAGTCACCAGTCTTCCTCTGTTCCTCTCACCACTTTTCATCACTCAGTCAACACTTGAGGTCTCCAATTCTCTGGCTGGATTATTTCCTCTCTGAAGGCAGGGACTATATCTCCCACATCTCCTAAATGTGTAGTGCCTAGTATCTTAGATAGAATAGAGGCCCAATAAAAATTGTTGGGGCCAGGCACAGTGGCCCTCACCTGTAATCCCAGCACTTTGGGAGGCCGAGGCGGGGTGGATCACCTGAGGTCAGGAGTTCAAGACCAGCCTGGCCAACATGGTGAAACCCCGTCTCTACTAAAAATATAAAAACTAGCTGGGCGTGGTGGTGGGCGCCCGTAATCCCAGCTACTCGGGAGGCTGGCACAGGAGAATCGCTTGAACCTGGAGGTGGAGTTTGCAGTGAGCCGAGATCGTGCCATTGCATGTCAGCCTGGGCAACAAGAGCAAAACTCCATCTCAAAAAAAAAAATTGTTGGATAAATTTAAAAAAAAAAAGAGATGATGGTTATTAGGAGGAAGGGATGGAAAGAGAGGGGAGGAACCAGCTGTCATTATGAAATCCAGGGTGAGCAGACAAGAAGCCAAATACACTCCACAGTCCCCTCGGGACCTACCCGGAGCATCCTGCCTGAAATCACACAATGGCTCTGCACCATCTCCAGCCTGAAGGACCAACAGACTACTGTGAGGCACTGGAGATTACTGTCTGATCATGGCAGATAACGGAGTGAGGAAGGCAGAGAGCTTGGAAGTACATTTGCTTTGGGATTGCTTGGTGTCAAAAATGGGCAGTCATCAGGAATTGTGCAGGGGGCATAAGTCATTTGGCCCCCAGGAAAGAACATTCATGGAGAGGGAGGAGGGCAGCTGAGAGGACGAGGACCAGGCATGGAGCCAGTGGAAGGAGTATGAGACCTGATGATGCCAAGGATGTCCACATTTGGGGAATAAGAGGATGTGGATGAATCGTGGACTCAGTGCATGGGGGCACAGAGATGTCCAGATACACGGTTAGGTGGAGGAATCATGATTTATAATTGTGAGTAAAAGAACATATTGTCTTAGGGGAAGACATTTCGATTAATGGGAGACAGACTCAAAAGCAAATGGTGTTGGTTGCAAATCCCAACTTGGCCATCAACTTTGCAACTGTATGCCAGTAATGCGACCTTCTACCTCTCTGTCTCCCCATCTATAATTGGGAAAAAATAACACTGGGAGGAGAGATAGCTAGCTGATCCGCCAGCCTCCCACAGTCATTGAGTGTTCCTCTGGGTACATGAACACCCATAACAAAACTCTCCTTTGCAGCCTCCTGTGAAGCTAGGTGTGAACAGGTGACCAACTTCTGGCCTCTGAGAAGAGTCTGACTATCTTCCTTGGGAAGTAGTAGCCATGCACTTTTTTCTTCTCATCTTTCCCATCCGTCCCGCCATTGTATGCGTTTAGGGTAGACACAACCATCATTCACCATGAAGATGAAGCTGTCACATTCTACAGGAGGTGGAAAAGCCGCTTGAAAGATTCTGCACCCCAGAGATTTTGTAGACCATTCGCCTCTGGATGTCACCCATGAGATGGAGATATAAACTTCTCTCTAATGTAAACTACTGTTTTTTTTTATTGTTTTTTGTTACAGCCAAATCTGAAACTAATATAATCATAATCTCTTCTAATGAGATATCAAATACAATGTTCTTGACAAACTGTCGGGCAGACAGTAAATATGCAACAAACATCAGTGTTTACTGTCATCAAGCACGTCTTCAAAAGATACATAATGATCACAAAAAGAGATGACAAATTTCAAGAACATGAGATTAACAAACGGAAACGTCTATAACCACCTACAAAACATTTTTGTACAGAAGATACGAAAGTAAGGAAGACACAAAAAATTGCTAAATATTGCATGCCCTGGTTAGAACTAAAATGTCTATTTAGAAAACACCAGGTCTGAGAGCATATGAAAGCAAATCTGGCGGGGGGTTAGAGACATAAGCAGACATTTCGGGAGAACTGAGAGACACCCCGTGTTGAAGTCAGGGAAAAGAGATGTGTAAAATACTGTAGAAAATCAATGAAACGGTAGGACGGAGAATGCAAGGGGAAAAGATCAGAAGTGACCCCTGGCAAAAAGATCAGAATAAGCTGGGTGCCAAGCTTAGATGGAAGAGGGCATTTGATCATTCAGCCACACCAAGTTTTTTGGCGCTTTTTTTTTTTTTTTTGTATTCAAGAAAGAAAATTCAATTTTGATTTACTTTGTTTCTATAAGGAAGTAAGTTTGCATTGTAGCAAATTATCAAAAGTAATGACCAGGAATTTTTCTTCCACAGTATTAGTGTAATCTTAGATCAGACATACTACAACTTTGGTTGAAAAGTGAACGTTTATCTCAAATATTGTCTGATACTGTCTATAAGGTAATATGAAGTTCCATAAGAAAATATATGTTTAATAGGCTATGTTGGAAAACACAAAATCTATTTATGTGGTGATTTTTTTCCACTGTTGGAAATGACTGTTAGGGGAAGTTAAGCTGTTACTGATGTGTCTAGATGATAATGATATAAAATAAATTTAATAAAAAATTAAAAGTTCTATGAAATCTTTTCTAACCTCATAAATCACTCCTTTTCCTAGATCTCCAAAGCAAATTCTGTTCATCCCAGGACACCATCATCCTGTGTTGCTACAATTACAAGTACAAATGTTGTACCTTGTACTGGGCTTCACAGGCACATGAGTGAAATAATAGCTGCATGCCTGAACTATTAAAAGCTTGTGGCAATGCAGCATTTGAAGTGTTCACAGAGAAAATAAATCCTAAGACTTAAAAGTTATCCTTGAAATGGTTTACATATATGTGCTTTTTCTTAATTGCTACAACAGTTACAGAGTAGGATGAAAATATGTCCTTTCATAAGGTCAGCTGAAACACAGGATAGATCCTGGTGAGCTTAAATTTGGAAATGCTGCATCTCACATTAGGTCAGCTTCAGCCTTCGATATTTCATTTCTGACACTTTAGATCCTAATTCTGAGGATTAGATGAGGAAGGGCATCTGACAAGTACTCACCAAAATTACTAGTGATGATGAAAGCCAAGTGCTGCCTTTCTGATGCTGTTAACTCATAAGTGGCTGTTATGAGAATTTCTTCTCTTTTATTAGGTGTGTTTTAGAGGCAAAATTAATTTTTTAATTAAATGAAAATGCTAGACAGTGAGCCATGCGAGCACTTTTCTTTATGTTACCACGGTAAGCTGGTTTTGATTTTAAACCATTTACTGAGCTTGAAATGAAGGTATCTTTCAGAAAGCCGGAAAGGAACACATTCCTTTGGAATGAATTCCATTACCCTATGGCTGTTTGCTGTAATTTTATTTAATTATTTACTTTTTATTGATGCATATTCAATGTATGTATTTTCAGGGTACCTGTGATCATTTGAAACACTCATATAACCAAATCAGGGAAATTGGGATATCCATCACCAGTTAACATTAATTGATTGTATATTTCACAATAGCTAGAAGAGAATCATTCAAATGTTCCTAGTATTGTCATTTTTAAAATAAAGCTTTATTTATTTATTTTTTGTTGTTGGGAAAAAGTTTCCAACAAACTTGAATAGAATATGGAGCCAGGATTTATGAAACTCTGCTAGTCCAATGTGAGGATGTCTACATCCTTCTCCTAGGGAAATAATGGTATTGGTGCCCCGTTCCCCTAAGTAATTTTTATAGCTTCATGGAGATCCCGTTTCTGACTAAAGTGTGACATTTTAAATATATGTGACTTTCTTGTCTACATGATGCTAAGATTCCATATATGTCTGTACAAAACGCTTTAAGCTGTTAACTATGTACTATATTGCATTGCATTCTAGAATATATCTACAGCTATCCCATGGATTTTGGTATGACCAGCTGGTTTGGGGACTCTCCATTAATGTGAATATTTATCTCACAGACTACAGTCATCAGCTTAAAAATCCTGGAGCCAAGTATCCACCTACCCTCTAAGATCAATTCCATCCATAAAATCAAGTTGTCATTGTGGTGAATTTTTAATAACATTAATTCATATGTCAAACATTAAAGCCAAAATTTTTCATACCCATTGAATGTTAAATTTTAACTCAAAATTCTTATTTTAGTGCAAGAAAAGTTATCCATGTTATAATCATGCTTTCATGAGTTCTTATAAAATGTAATAGGAATAATGATATCAGGTCATAATTAAATTATGTCATTCAATTTACTGAGACAACTAAATTATAGCGAAGACATTATATATAAATTTTAAAAGAGATTCATGTTTTAAAAGGGTGGAAATGAAATCCTAGCATTAAGTTTTTTGAAAATCAGTATTTCATGAGTTTGGAATTATAACATTTAATCCTCTAAGTAATCAAGACAAATGGTAAACTGCATCTTAAAAACATCTGCAGTCAGTTCTACTGATACCAACAAACTGTTGTTAATCTAGGGCTCTGAGGGAGAAAGGCAACCTGTATTTGTTGTGTTTGCCAATTGCCGTGGTGTAAACACCCACAACACAGCCAAATGAAAACAGACAATGGTTTAATAACAAGCTGGCAAGATTTCTGAACGATCAGGAGCTGATTCCAGCATACCACTGCCTGCTACTAAACCCTAATACTACATTTCTTTTTTTCTATTTTCTAATAAAGTATTCTGAGGTCAGGCGACAACCCTCTTATCCCTAAGATTCATGGAATATGTTCCACAGTCTAGTGATTATTGGCAAGCTCCTACCAAAGTCTATCTGAGATGACCTATGCAGTCACACTCAACTATTACTAGTTTAAGATCTGTCTTCCCCAGGTGACAGAAAGCTCCATATGGATGAGAGTCACGTTTTCCTTACGCATCCCTGTATTCCCAGCACATTGTACAGCTAGCAGTGCCTCATGCTCTAAAATGTAAGCTACTCTTCAGCAGGGAACTTTGTCTGTTTTGCTCACTGACAGATGCCAGCGCTAAGACGATATGTTCCACACAGTAGGTGCTCAATACATATTTCTAGGAAAAATGAACACATAAAATACAAAATGACTAAACATGAAGCCATACACAAAAGCCAAGACAGCAAATATGGTTGCTGAGTTTCAGATAGCATCTGAAAAATAAATCATAAATGATTCATAAACGTCTTGTTTTCCTGAGGTCCTTTATCTCGATAAATGATTCTAGCCTTCAGATACTGTGATTTCTCCTTTTTTTGTTACCAGTTCAAGGCAGAAGAGTTGAAGGAATTGCATTCAGAGTCTAAGAAGCAAATTTTATCCCGGGGCCAGTTGCCTATCAGAAACTGGGTCTTGTTTTTCTCACTCCTATTTTCTGTCTCTTCCTGTCCCCTTTCTCTTTACTCCTCCACATAATGTGTTCCTCCAGCCTCTGATCCAATATGTTCCTTCCCGCTTCTCTAACTGGGGATTTGGCTCTATTAAAATACAATTTTGCAAGGTTCAGGACATGATACAGACTTATTCGAACATGCAGTAGTCACAGAAACTTTGTTCTTCACATTTCTTGCCGGCTCCATATGAAAAGAAATTAAGAGTCCTTGAGCTCTCATTTATTACAAAGCTCAGAAGTTGATGCTATAAACTGATCTAAAAAAGAAGGAGTATTCTTATGGAAACTAGGAATTGTGGCCACATGGATGAGATATGTGAATAAAATGCTTCCAGAAGTAAAATCGCAAGCCCATGTTTCTGTTGTTTTTTTGTCTTCTAGAACATATCATGAGAAAACTGCCAGACTTAAAGGAGAAACTCTGAAGCATAAACCTGGTGTGATTTCTGTGGCTAATAGAAAGGTTGTAATTTTATGGAAAAGTTGTAAAAATAAAAGAGAGGCTTTTCTTTAAATGATAAGTCTTGGGTAAATTGGCTAGGTGAGTGGGGAAGAGACAAAGATTTGTTGGAAAATGGAATGGAATCACCCTAAGTTTAAGAAGAAGTTAGCACCTAGGAGGTTATTACACACCCCTCCTTTGGGGCGGGTGGGGGGGGCAGTCCTAGGTTCTAGAAGCAGAGCTCCAAAGCCCCTTAGAGAAAAGGGGAATTTCATTTTACCTCCAAAGAAGGAACTGAAAGTCCAGCCTCAACAGGTACCTCTAGAACATACAATAATTGTGTAAATTGCTCACCACTTACCATTGACTGCCAGGTATCTTAGTGATAGGAATATTACTGTAATTCTAAGTTTCACGCTACCTGACTTCAAACTATACTACAAGGCTACAGTAACCAAAACAGCATGGTACTGGTACCAAAACAGAGACATAGACCAATGGAACAGAACAGAGTCCTCAGAAATAAGACCACACAACTATAACTATCTCATCTTTGACAAATCTGACAAAAACAAGAAATGGGGAAAGGATTCCCTATTTAACAAATGGTGCTGGGAAAACTGGCTAGCCATATGGAGAAAGCTGAAACTGGATCCCTTCCTTACACCTTATACAAAAATCAATTCAAGATGGATTAAAGACTTAAATGGTAGACCTAAAACCATAAAAACCCTAGAAGAAAACCTAGGCAATACCATTCAGGACACAGGCATGGGCAGGGACTTCACGTCTAAAACACCAAAAGCAATGGCAACAAAAGACAAAATTGACAAATGGGATCTAATTAAACTAAAGAGCTTCTGCACAACAAAAGAAACTACCATCAGAGTGAACAGGCAACCTACAGAATGGGAGAAAATTTTTGCAATCTACTCATCTGACAAAGGGCTAATATCCAGAATCTACAAAGAACTCAAACACATTTACAAGAAAAAAACAAACAACCCCATCAAAAAGTGGGCAAAGGACATGAACAGACACTTCTCAAAAGAAGACATTTATGCAGCCAACAGACACATAAAAAAATGTTCATTATCACTGGCCATCAGAGAAATGCAAATCAAAACCACAATGAGATACCATCTCACATCAGTTAGAATGGCAATCATTAAAAAGTCAGGAAACAACAGGTGCTGGAGAGGATGTGGAGAAATAGGAACACTTTTACACTGTTGGTGGGAGTGTAAACTAGTTCAACCATTGTGGAAGACAGTGTGGCGATTCCTCAGGGATCTAGAACTAGAAATACCATTTGATCCAGCCATACCATTACTGGGTATATACCCAAAGGAATATAAACCATGCTGCTATAAAGACACATGCACAAGTATGTTTATTGTGGCACTATTCACACTAGCAAAGACTTGGAACCAACCCAATTGTCCAACAATGATAGACTGGATTAAGAAAATGTGGCACATATACACCATGGAATACTATGCAGCCATAAAAATCAACAACCACACCTAAGATTATAAACCATTTGTTCCTGTATGCTAATTGGAAATGCCACTATAAAACAAGTATTAGAAAACCCACAAGATATCCTGTTCAATTGCACAATTAAAAGAACCCCCAGTTCAGAAAATGAGATAGAACTGAAGAACATTTTAACTTTGCTTTAAATATCTAAATGTAGCAAATATGCATGACGCACAAAATACAGATGCAGTGAGTCACGATCCATCATCTTTAGGCTGGGAAAGTAAGTCAGATAAACATTTAAATGCTCTTCATTCCTTCTCTAGCCTTTAGTGGCTTGCTAGAAGAGTGAGGGGAATGTTTTGAGGACATGCAGAGGAGGTGGCATTTCAGCAGGGCCTGGGGGGCATTGAGGAGTACCCTCCAAGAAGGATGAGGCAAGACATCCTTCCAGGAGAAGAGCCTGCAAGTGTAAGCACAGCAATGCACAGAGCACAGGGGCTGCTTTCTTCAGTGTGAGAGGAGTGCTAGGAAGTGAAGCTGGGCAGCTGTGCATGCAATAAAGCAACCGGCCACAGCGCCCTGTTGAGAACAGGGAGCTTTCTCTGCTGGGATAGAGAAGCTGTGGGTGGTGTTCAGGTGGGTGAATGACATGGCCTTCTGATGTCCTCCTACCTGGACAACTATGTGACCAGAACGAAAAGAGAGGAGGAGGAGGGAAAAGAGGACAAAGCAAAGCATGGGCGCACATTGAGGCACCTGTTGGCCTCCATTGAGCAGAGCCACCTTTTTACCCTTTAGTTTTATCTATTCCCATGGCATAGGTTGCACGGAGCATGAGGAGCGTGGAAAGGTCTGTTTACTCACTGTTCTGAGGGTGCCAGCGCACAGCATTTAAGTAGGCGTTGCAGTAATGGAAGAGAAACTCATGATCGGAGCGTTGGCTTTTTCCTTCAAGCAGGGGCATCAGATCACGTCCATCAATGATCCTGTGGGATAAACAGCCAGGCATCAAGACGTGAATCAGTCCTGTGTTCTCAAATGTCCTTCTGAACCAATAAGAGCATGAGGGAGCTCCAGTCGTAATTAATACAAAGAAGACTGACCCCACCTGGGTGCCCTGTGCAACACACTGATCCCAGCTCTGTCCGTGCATTATCTCATTACATCTGCAAAGAGCACCATGAGCTGGAACTACTGTCATCCCCACTGCACAGATGAGAAAACAGAGGCACAGAAAGGTTAAGTAATTTGCCCAAGGTCATGGGACGAGTAAGAACTGATGGGATTGAAATCCAGCTGATCTGGCATTCATACCCTTATTCTTCCTCTTGCTTCTCCAAAACACAATTTTCTGTCTATTGCCTGATCAAAGGGAAAGCTTTATTCATGACATACAGGCCTGCTGAAAAGATGGGCACCTGACAATTTGGGATTAAAATAAAAAGATACTATATTGCATGAGGCAACTTGGATTCGTAGACTGCAATGAATGCAAATTTCTCCTTAGAATGAATTAATGTATATATAATAATAATGATACCATTAAATAACCAGGGAACGGATTATTCCCAAATGAAAATATATCTCCTCTACTACTGGGTATCTAACTAGGCCAAGAAAATAAGACATATGCAGTTGGTGATGAGCAAAATAAGATTACTTATAGTTTGAAGAAAGGAATAAGGTATAAAATTGTGTTTTGCATTAAACATAAATTAACAGCTACATGAGAAATTGAAGCCATGATACCATTAGGCCATTGCCATCAAAATGAGAGGCAGATAATTATTTTGAAAGGGTGAGTGTTTAACTTGAGGATTTTCTTTCTCTGATTAAAAACACTACATCCCTGCCATCTCTTGTTACAAGGCGTTTAGAAACTGGAAGTTTGGCGTGGCTGTACAATTTTGGTAAGTGTGCTTAAGAGGTCCTATGTCCCTTGAGCTTTCTCCCATGGTTTATTTTGTTGTCACTAAAAACCTATAATGTAATTATAGCCTTGTTGTTAGCACTTCTCCGGTCTCAACCCTTGTTATTAATCATGCACTCTGCAGAAGTCTGCAGACTGAAAATATTCTATTATCATAAGTAAAAATAAGAACAAAAGACTGGCTTGGCTCACTTCTCAAACCAAGGTTCCTGTGAACCACGAGGGGAAGAAAAAGAAACACCGTAGAGAGAGTTCTATTGAGACACAGCGTGTGCCCTGAAATACTGTTTCCATCCCGAAATGGCAGTCATTGTGCGTGGTTCTTTTCAAATTCCTTTCAAGAAAGACTCAGGCCTTTATGAGATCCCAAATAAAGCTGAAAGGAAGGAAGAAGTAAGAGAGGAAGTGGGCAGGCATGAGAATTAGACCAGGAAAAGCCCCCAGTGGTGAAAAGTGACCTGAAGGGGAGAGACGAGGGACAGAGGATTTCTATCCTTCCCCAAGCAGGGAGAATGTCTTTCAATGACTCCCCAAAAGCAAGATGAAATCCCCATTTTCTGGGACACAAGCTAGAATTTTACTTTTTGAATCTGGCTTTTTTTTTTTTTTCCATCTGCCAACAAAATTCATCATGTGATATTGTGATATAAGAACATGAGAGATGGAATTGCTGTCTTAAGATCAGTATTTTTCGATTTTTTTTTTTTTTTAGAGACAAGGTCTTGCTCTGACATCCAGGCTGGAGTGTGGTGGCGCGACCATAGCTCACTGCAGCCTTGACCTCCTGGGCTCAAGCGATCCTCCTGCCTCATCCTCCCAAGTACATGGGACTACAGGTACATGCCACCATGCCCAGCTATTTTTCATTTTTTTTTTTTGGAGCGATTTGCCCAGACTGGCCTTGAACTTCTGGCTTCAAGCTCTCCTCCGGCCTTGGCCAAGATCAGTATTTGATAACTGAAATTGATCATGATTATAGGAAAGGGGGATTTAACTAAAACAAAATAAGACTCCAAGTCTTATAATTATTTTTTCTTACTTAAAAATGAAATATTTGAGGTTTTTTTAAAGGAGGGGCACAAAGTTTATTCTGCAAACTTATTTTTCTATTTTTCTTCCAAAGTGGAGATAGACTTTTTTTTTTTTTTTTTTTTAATATCCCACACCTAACGTGGTCCTTCCTAGAGGCAGGCCATAAATCACGCTGCTATGGAAAGCCACCATTTAACAGTGCTGCAGAAATATGGTCTGTCAAAGGAAGCCTCATTTCTGCCATGAAAAATGGAAAGTGACCCTGTTGAGCTAAACTTTTAAGTGGTGTCTAAGCTATCGAAATATTTGGGATTGTCTTAAACCACTTGTGGGATTCGCAGTTAACTATGGCAATAACCCAGAGAACAGCACATTTCCATTAACGCTGCTAGTACAAAAATGCTTTTAGAATGTCGTGTTCTGGGGGAGATGGGCCAATCCACTTTCAAAGTGACTCAAAGCATTGCTGTTTTCTCTGGAAACAGTCTAACGGGATTTTTCTTGCAAACTAATTCAAGTTTTTGTAGCATGTTTGCATAACAGCCAATGCTAAAAAAAACTGAATGTGTTTTCTGCCCTAGTGCCCTCATGGCTCTTGGTGGAAAAGGGAGTGTTTGGGAGTGTTTTTAATTTGGAAGGTGAAATTATTCTCCTTGGGTTCCTGACTGACAATGATGGTAGCGCTATTAACAGGTTGTTTGCAAGGTACCCTTGTGTCAAAATTTCAGGTCAAGTTAAATACCATACAGACAATTTTTACATAATTAAAAAGGGCATGTTCTGGAAACCTTCCCTGAACCCTATTGACGTCATTCCTCCAAGAATGTGCTGTGCTCTCTCTCAGCTCTGAGGCTTTCAACATCCTCGTCCCTCCACGTGGGATGTCCTTCCCACGCGCCCTTTGCCTGGCCAAATTGCCAGGCCAAGGACTGAAGGATCATAAGAGAAAGAAAAGGTTTGGGGTGATACAGAAGGTAAGGTCTTGGAGACTAACAGAGAAGCTTATTTGGGGCACAATGTTGGTGAGCAGCTTATTTGATATACAAATGGCAATGATTTCAATGTAGACAGTCATAGTTAAGGAAACATCTTTAGGAGAAAGTACATATATCTGTAATAAATTAAAGGGAATCTTAAGTATTCAGAAAGTTATTATCACAATTCAGAAAAATATGTTTCCATTTGTAAACATTAAACCCTCTGCCATAGTTGAACAGAAAGCAAGATCAGTATAAGTGGTTACACACACAAACTTGGGATTGTTCCCATGAAGAGAGTCACCTTTAGTTCTGCAAAACTAATGTAAAGCAGATACAGCTCACTGACTTTTTCATCTGTATCACTCTATTGAAAAGGTCTTCTCTAGTGGCTCAACTGTAAGTCAGCAAAAGTTACTGGGAGAAGTCAGCTAAATCCATTCCTTGTCTCCATTAGACAAAAGTGTGTTAAGCATTAAAGCATTAATTTGTTTTTGTAACTTTAAAAAATGAAGTCAAATTTTGTTTTAATTATGGACCACAAGCTCTAAATATTTCACCTCTAAAATTTGATTCTTGAGGTTGCCAGCACTCTGTTTCCTTGCATCCCAGCTGAAGGGTCTATGGTTAAAATGTTGATGTTTTCCAAAAGGTGTAACCAACTATGGCTTGTTGCCATTCTCTATTACTGATGTTAATACCTTGTTAGGAAGGGGCATGGTCATACTCATACTATGGCAATATTGTATCTGCTTGCAAAGATGAGACCCACAGAAAGAATTTTCATGTTAATGAATTAATACATTTAGATATTCGATTCTTCTTTTTTGTAAGTCCTTGTTGCTGCCTTTTGTAACACAAAAGGTTGTCCTCCATTTATTTCCAAAATCAGCTTATTTGGAGACCTGGAGGGAAATAATTTTTCTGAATATGCCCAGGGTGATGGACACTGAAATTTCTTCTGATAAGTCATGCCACTGAATGAAAATGAATCACTAACGTGCATATGAAGGAAAAATTCACTGCCAGAGAGAAATCTCACGTAAGCACATCATAGGGTTGAATTAGAGAATTATTCTCACTGCAGTGTTAAGATGCTGCAAAACAAAAACAGAACAACAACAACAACAACAACAATCTTTCCTGTGTTCCTCCGGACTACCTTTCTTTTGGCTTAAGTAGAAACCTTGGATCCACGGGCTTCTGATCTCCCACCATGCTTTGATTGGCCATGAAGGACTCCCACTAGATCCAAAATGCTTCCTGAGAATTACAGGACAGTGCGTGAAGAATGGAGGTCTGCTGAACAGAAGTTATCTTCTTCAAACAAAACGCAGAAAGAAGCAAAGGCACTTTGTTAAGTGCTCATCAAACAGCTTGGGTCCAACCGTCTGAATGAGTTTCTTCTCCTGAGAAATGCAAATTTAATATCTCTCTAGCAGGGAGCTGAGAAAGCTTATTTGCACCACTCTGAGCAGGAAGGAGTTAAGACTATTTTCTAAAGGGCAGACATCTGTGTATCACATTTATAGATGGATATAGATGTGAGGGTATTGTCTAGATGCTTTTATTGAAAAGTTTTGATGGGATTTTCCATTATAACAACATTTTCCATAAAAGAGCAATAATAAATTTCAGGGTAGGATTTCTCGACGTCAGCACCGCTGACATAATGGGTAAGATAATCATTGCAGTAGGGCTCTGTGCTGTGTGTTGCAGGATGTTTAGTAGCACCCTGAGCCAAGACAATAAAAAATGTCTCCAGGCATTGATAAGTGACCCCTGGGGGAAAACACTACTTTAGATATTCAAAGTCTTCTGGACAAATACATAAGAATATTACTGTACCTGGTTGGCAATATGCTTTAAATAAGGTACTGTGTGATAATTCTATTCCCATAAGGCACTTGGAAGCACATTTCTGTTTTCTAACCTGTGCTGTCTCTAGGATGACAAAGGCATTTTACAGCTGGACTAGTACCAGGAGCTAGGACCTCAACACAGAAGCAACATCTGTGGTTTAAAACCAGGTCAACTGGCCGGGCGTCGTGGCTCATGCCTGTAATCCCAACACTCTGGGAGGCCGAGGTGGGTGGATCACCTGAGGTCAGGAGTTCAAGACCAGCCTGGCCAACATGGTGAAACCCCATCTCTACTAAAAATACAAAAATTAGCTGGGCGTGATGGTGCGCACCTGTATTCCCAGCACTTTGAGAGGCTGAGGCAGGCGGATCAGCTGAGGTCAGGAGTTTGAGACCAGCCTGGCCAACATAGTGAAACCCCGTCTCTATTAACAATGCAAAAAATTAGCCAAGCATGGTGGTGCACGCCTGTAGTCCCAGCTACTCAGGAGGCTAAGGCAGGAGAATCGCTTGAGCCTGGGAGGTGGAGGCAGAGGTTGCAGTGAGCCGAGATTGCACCACTGCACTCTAGCCTGGGCAAATGAGCAAGACTCTGCTCAAAAAAAAAAAAAAAAATGAGGTCAGCAAGCACCTCTGAGGTCCATGAAAGGAATCAGAAACAGAGGGGAATCTTCAATATTGAGAGTTGGTTCTACTGATGACACAAACCCACACACAAAATCCTTGGGTCTTCTAAGAGGGAGGCTGTTATCTTCTTCATTGAGCACATAGAAGAAACACAGATTGGCCTCCATCAGCCTCAGACTAGAGTGGCTAGAAGGTAGAAGCAGTAAGATTTCCCTTTATGAATCTTCCTCTTTGCCTCTGAACTTTTTCCTTACCTTGCTTTTCCCCCACTGGGTAGAAAACCATTCCAAGATATTATGAAAGTGAAGAGCAGTGATGGTTTTAACATTATGGGTGATGAGAGACAAACGTAATAAATGAGATTGGCTGAACACTCTGTTCTAGCTACTTGAGGAAGTATTAACCTTTATTCCAAAGGTAAGAACTACAGCCAAGGAGGAGGTGAAATAGAGAATGGGATTTTTGGCTTTATATAGGAAAAACTTTCTGAGACACTGCTGCCATGTTTTCCATCACTAGAGTGTTAAAAAAGAATAGTTTGACTGGAGTAGGAGATCTTACAATTCCCCTTTTGGCCTCATACTCTATGATTTTATGACCTCGGATGAATATTAAATGTGGAAGAGGAAAGAACTGTACTAATAATGTACATCTGACTACTACCTCAAAATGATAGGCAAAACAAGAAATGGCAAACATTCATGCCTTCTTTGTACTGAACATTACAGGCAAGGAGGTTTTTAATCCTCCTATTGATCCTGTAAAGTCAGTGTTATTATTGAACTTATTTTCCAGAGAAGGAGTGAAGGCCCAGGAAAGTTCAACGCTTACCCTGCAGTGATGACAAGAATATGAACTCAGCTGGGCTCAGTGGCTCAAGCCTGTAATCCCAGCACTTTGGGAGGTCGAGGCAGGAGGATTTCTTGAGCTCAAGACTTCAAGACCAGCTTTGGCAACATGGTGAAACCCTGTCACTACCAAAAATACAAAAAATTAACTGGGCGTGGTGGTGCATGCTTGTGGTCCCAACTACTCGGGAGGCTGGGGTGGGAGGATCGCTTGAGCTTGGGAGTCGCAGGTTGCAGTGAGCTGAGATCGCGCCACTGCACTCCAGCCTGGGTGACAGAGTGAAACCCCCATCTCAAAAAAAAAAAAGAAAAAAAAAAAGAATATGAATTCAACCAGTGCAGGTCTAGAAAGGTCTAGAATCTCCACTCTTAGCCATAGCACCCACTAGTCTCAAAGCGTGATCCAGAGACTCTCTGGGACCCTTTCAGGAGGTCTGCGAGGCCAATGTTATTTTTATAACAATAGGAAGGCACTCTTTGTCTTTCTCACTATCACCTTTTTAGGAGTGTACAATGGACATTCCTTGTGGCCACAGGGTAAATGATGACATCATCGATGTATTAGCCAATGGAATGTGAGCTTGGAGTACTTTGGTGCCTTAAAAAATTTCATTTTTTATTACTAATATAATAAGCGTCGCTCAATACAATCCACATCAGGAAAAGATCACTGGGGTCCTCGATCATGGAAGAATGAAAAGGGGTTTTGAGACCTCAAAGTTTGAGAATAGTTGAACTGTCAACGCTGCATTTCTCATTGGTGTGTGTGTCTGTGTGTGTGTTGAGGAAGGGTGTATACCTAAAGCAGAGTTGAAACCAGTAAGGAAACAAGGTCGAATACAGCGGGAGGGGAGGAAACCCATCTCTGGACTTGCTTTGGCAGCGTGGCTGTTTTTGTCTTTCCTTTCCCCTTTCCTCTTCCTTCTCATTACAGCTGAATTTAAACAAGATTTGCAGCCGCCTGCGTGACATTCGCCTGGTCTGTCACCAAACTAATGAAAACAATTAATCAGTGTGCTTCACTTAAAACTCTTCAGATTGGTAATAACACTTAGGAAGAAACCACTGGCAATGTCATATGAAGTCGTATTTAAATTTAAGAGAAAGACATTTCATTTAGAACTTCTCAGTGAAGACGTGCTGGGAAATGGGGCCTTAGCTGGGGACCCGGCTGCATTTCTCCCTGTTACAGCAAAGGGCTGCTGAGTGTGGACAAAGGAAAAGGTGTGGGATCCCAAAGTTGGAGGTCAAAGAGGTTGTGGCCAAGCTGCACAATGGCAAGCTACGGTGGGGTGAACAGACGAGAAGAGCGTCAGCACGATGCCGAAAGACCAAGGCTGAATTAAACACCACCCGTCCACATTCCTGGTCACTAAAAACCTTCAGTGCCTCTGAGTTTATTTCCCTCTGGATAAAGAGATTGGCAGAGGGGTTTTTACATTGGCAAACCCACCAGTAAGGCCCCAGACCGGACAGAGATAACAAGTACAGCTGGAGGCATCGTGACACTCCAAACCGAGGGCCTCAGCAGTGGCCTCAGTGCAGTTTTCCTCTGACTTTCTCCTGCCCTCCTGTCTCTCAGTCCCACTCTACCCCAAGGCGCCAGAGAAACTAGAATCCCTCTTCCCCAATGCAGGTCGTAAGAACCAAAACCCCTGATCCCCAAAGCCAGCATCAAACCTAAAAATATGACTCCAACTTTCCCCCTGCCTTTCTGTGTAAAAACTGCCCATAAATAAATCCTCTGACCTACTTTGTTTGACTGTAGGTCATAAGACCCCCGTTCCAGAGAGGGCCCTGCCCCATGCCCAGAAGGAAGGAAAACTGCTCAGAGAGGCCAAGAAGCATCTAGATAGACAGGCCTGGCTGGGTTTCCCCACTCAGTCCGTTAGCATGAGGTCAGACCTTTCCCTCCAATCCTACTTCTACACACTGCCCATACTTTGCTGAACCACAGCAAAAAAATGAACAATTTCCCCTGTATCTTTGGGTCTTCCTTTGGAAGCCTGCTGTGTACACATTAAGTAAATGTATATGCCTTTTATCCTATTAATTGACCTGCCTCAAACCTGTGATTTTCAGGAAAACTCCAGGGGGCCAAAGGCCTTGGTCCCCACACCATTATGCAGGCAAACCAGAGCATACTGGGCTGTGAAATCAGAGCTCAACAATACCAACCACCCTGGCATCAGAGTACCTGTCCTCAGGCAAGGGAGCTCCAGCCAGCTTGGCTACTGTAGGAAATATGTCCATGTTGCTAGTGGGCTCATCAATCTTCTGGCCAGCCTGTATCACCCTGGGCCAACGAAGGATGCCTGGAACCCGGATACCTCCTTCCCAGTTGTTTGCTTTTCCTCCTAAAAGATCAAAAAAGAGGTAAGAGGCAACAGGGAGATTTCAATCCTTTCAATGCTCACTTCAATGGACTCTTTCGTGCTCAATGTAGAAGAACCAACTGCTCTAATTACATAGATTCCATCTATGAGTATTCCATGAGCAATATAGTATATGTTGTATTGAAAAAAGGAATATATATGATACAGTCACCACCATATGTGACATGGTCAGCACTGTATGGCATCTTGAACAAAAACTTTGTAATCAGAGGGACTCAACGCAACAAAGATTTGAGTCACCAAAGATTCAAATCAATGACTCTGGAGTCAGGGAATTCAAGTTCCATTTCTACTTTACACCAGCTGTGGCAGGCAAAATAATGGTGCCCCCAAGTGTCCGCATCCAAATTCCTGGAGCCTGGAGCCTGGGGAAATGGGTATTTTGCCTTATATGGCAAAAGGGACTTTAAACATGTGACTAAGGATTTTGAGATGAGGAGATTACCCTGCATTGTCTGAGTGGATCTAATATAATCATAGGGTTGTAAACCAAAAATAAAATTCTAAGCCCCTCGACTAACAGAATAGACACCTCCTCTCAGCAAAGGGCATTCTAAAGGTTTAACCTGAAACACTAGTTCAGTCCATGATGGAAACAGGGGATTGGACATGCCTCATTTTACCCTCCTTCTTTTGGAATTCAGGTACAACTGACCAGCATTAGCATTAAAACACAGACCTTAAGACTGACAAAACAGACTGTTTGTAGCCATAAGATACCAACACGACAGATAGCAGGCCCTGATAGAAATTGAAGTAGTTTACCCCAAAATATATTTATTTGACATATTTCAAAATAGCCCCACAAAGCTGTCTCTTGTGCAGAAAATCTACATTCTGTAGACAATCTCCTTCTCTTTTGGGGTCTTCTCCCTGATCCGGGAGAGAACTGACCAAGAGTCTGGTATCTTTTAAAGTCTGATAAGAAACACGTACAATCTGTTCTCTCTGAAGCCTGCTACGTGGAGGTTTCATCTGCATCATAAGAACCTTGGCCTCCACAACCCCCTTATTTTAACCCAGACACTCCCTTCTATTGACTGCAGGTCTTTAAATCAACTCTTTCAACCAACTGCCAATCAGAAATTCTTTGAGTCCACCTATGACCTGAAGCCTCCTCACCCCCCACCCCCCGATTTTGACTCATGCTACCTTTCCAGACTGAACAATGTACATCTTACATATATTGACTAATGCTGTATGTCTCCCTAAAATGTATAAATCAAGCTGTAGCCAGAACAACTTAGGTACATATTCTTAGGATCTCCCGGGGCTGTGTCAACTTGGCTCAGAATGAATCTCTTCAAACGTTTTACAGAGTCTGACTCTTTTTGTAGACAGGGTTCTTTCAAGGGAAAGAGGGAGTCAGAGAAGTGGAGGGGTGTAATCACAGAGAGAGGCTGGAAGATGCTATGCTGCTGACTTTAAAGGCAGAGAAGGGCACCCCAAGCCCAGGAATGCAGGCAGGCTCTAGAAGTTGGATAAGGCAAGGAATAAGATTCTCCCCTAGAGCTTTCAGCAAGAAACATAGCCCTGCCAACACCTTGAGGACCCATTTAATTCATGGTTATTCCCAAAGGAAAATAAATTATTCTACCAAAAAGATACCTTTACCTGTATGTTCATTGCTGCACTATTCACAATAGCAGACATGAAATTAATCCAGGTGCCCATCGACAGGGATTGGATAAAGAAAATGTGGCACATATACATCATGGAATACTACACAGCCATAAAAAAGAACAAAATATTGTCCTTTGTAGCAACATGGTATAGCTAGAGGCCATTATCCTAAGTGAATTAATGCAGGAACAGAAAATCAAACACTGCATGTTCTTACTTATAAGTGGGAGCTAAACATTCAGTACTCATAAACATAAAGTTGGCAACAGTAGACACTGGGAACTACTAGGGGGGAAAGAGGGAGGAGGTCAAGGAGTGAAAAACTATCAGGTACTATGTTCACTACTTGGATGACAGGATCATTAGAACCCCAAACCTCAGCATAATGCAATATACCCATGTAACACACCAGCACACGTACCCACTGAATCTAAAAATTAAAAAAAAAAAACATGTTGTTTTGAGCCACTAAATTTGTGGTCAATGATTACAACGGACATAGGAAACAGATACACCAGCCCTTTGCACTTGAGAAAATAGCTTCAGCTTTCTGTATCTCATATTCCCACTATGTTTCCACGTGATTATTACATGGAATGATTATCCCAACTGCCAAGCTCAGTGCCTGCAAGAGAGGCACAAAAAATGGCTATTATCTTCGTTGGTATTATTTTATTACCAGGATGGCTCTTAACCAGGAGAGTTGAGGAAACAGGCTTGGTGCCTATGAAGCAATTAGAATATAATTAAATACAGCATCGAAAGGGTACCGGCAGAGGCAGGAAGGGTGAGTTCAGAGTGGATCAGAATGTCAGCAGATAATCTCAGAAGATGGTCACTGAAGGAACCAAAATATTTCACCCCAAAATACTCTTCTTTGACATATTTTGAGATGGATGTTCACAGGGTCTGCAAACAGAAGCAGCCCTGCAAAACTGTCTTTTGTAGAGGAGGTTTGAATCTATAGAGAAAATCTGGCTGGGCATAATGGCTCACACCTGTAATCCCAGCACTTTAGGAGGCCAAGACGGGTGGATCACCTGAGGTCAGCAGTTGAAGACCAACCTGGCCAACATGGTGAAATCATGTCTCTACTAAAAATACAAAAATTAGCCAGGCGTGGTGGCGCACGCCTATAATCCCAGCTACTTGGGAGGATGAGGCACGAGAATTGCTTGAACCCGGGAGGTGGAGGTTGCAGTGAGCCAAGATCTCACCAGTGCACTCTAGCCTGTGTAACAGAGTGAGCATCTGTCTCAGAAAAGAAAAAGAGAGAGAGAGAGAGAATCTGCATTGAGGCAGCCAGGCTTTCTCTGAAGGCCTCCGTTGTCCGATCCAGGAAAGATGAACTGAGAGACACATACCTTTAAAGGTCTGCAAGAAACATTCACCATCTCTTCTCTCTGTGGACTGCTACACAGGAGGTCTCATCTGCATAACAAGACCACCTCTGCTAGCCAGGCGTCCTCTTCTCCCCTCTCCTAACCTGTGTTGCCAGGAGGCAAGGCCCCATTCTTTCTGTAACCTCAAGATGGTGTAAAAGCATCAACCATCCAGCCATTTCTTTGAGATCTATTTTGTAAGGCTCCACGCACGTGAATAAATTTGTGTGCCTTTTCTCAGTTGCCTTTGTCAGCTGATTTTTAGCAAACCTTCAGAGGGCAAAGGGGCAGTTTTCCTGTGGCCCCTATATGACCAACACCTCCCGTTGAGGGATGGAGACCAAGTGCTCCAGTATAGGGCTCAGACAGGCCAGGGCTGAGGTCACTCCAGCTGGGCAGGTGACCCATCGCTGGGGGAATAAACACTGCTTCCTCACCCTTCATGACAAAGACAGCATAGGGCTAAGGGGCACTGAAGTAGCCGTCAGGAATTTAGGCTGGGGACAAAGGGAGTGGAGTTGAAGTTCAGCTACTCAAAAAAGAGGCTGTTTTAAACAATTGGTGTGAAGCATTAAATAGACAGTTAAGTGAGAACGAAGCCAATGAAAAAATGCTCATTCCTTGCAGGAATATCATGTGTGAGTCAACTGGAAATAAATGCCACTTATATTTAGGAAGTAAATTACTAGAAACAGAGGTTTCAGGGGTCCTGAAGCAAATTTCCATTGTTAAAAGCTCATCTCTTTCTCTTTGTTTTTCTAACCTTTACAGGAATGCCTCCTTTTATTGCACTCTGCTCTAGTGTGTTTTTCAGATGTTACATTATTTATCTATGTATGTATTTGTTTATGTATTTACTTTTATTTATTTTAGGTTCAGGGGTACATGTGCAGGTTTGTTATATAGGTAATCTGCATGGCTTGGGAGTTTGGTGTGCAGATTATCTCATCACACAGCTAATCAGCATAGTACCTGATATTTAGTTTTTCAATCCTCTCCCTCCTCCTCTTTCCCTCCACTCTCAAGTAGGCCCCAGAGTCTGTTGTTCCCTTCATTGTGTCCATGTTTACTCAATGTTTAGCTCCCACTTATAAGTGAGAACATGCAGAATTTGGTTTTAGGTTCGTGCATTAATTCTTTTAGGATAGTGGCCTCCAGCTCCATCTATGTTGCTGCAAAGGACAGGATCTCATTCTTTTTTATGGCTGCATAGTATTCCATGGTGTGTATGTACCACATTTTCTTTATCTAGTCCACTGTTGATGGGTATTTTGGTTGACTCCATGTCTTTGCTATTGTGAATAGTTAAAAGCTCATTTCTTACAGCTGAAGACTGTAGTCTCCTCAGCAGGCTCTGACCTTTGCAGATATTCAGACATTCTATATGCACAGTCACTTAGGGGAGATTCCTATGGAAGTTCACATCATACTTTGTAGTTTCTGTGATGGCCTCCTAAGAAAGTTAAAACTCTTCCCCTTATTTTATCCTTTCAACATCACTTGAAGGTAATTCTCTGACAGATACTGTGATTCCTGCTTCACAGACATCACAGCCAACAAATGGGAAGTTTAACTACTTTGCCGTAGTTCATTCAAGCAGTTGAAAGCAGATCTTTGGGAGGAATCTCAACGTGTGAATTACTGTCTAGTTTTCCTTCTGTTCCATCAAACTCATAAAATTTTCACCTGCTTATCCTGCTACTCGATCAAACTCACACCATCTTCACTTTAAATTTAACAACAAAATAAGTGATCGCTATACAACAAAAAAGGGCTGATTTCATTAATGGTTTAGATATACACATATTGCCCCCTTGTTTTAAATAAAACAGCATAAATAAACAGGAACAAAAACCAAACTATTAAATCAGGAAAAAGCACCCTCTAAAAGTTAATCTTCTAGATGTAACGTGGCATTGTGTATTGATTCTGAAACAGAGAAAGGGCATTAATGGGAAAGCTGGTAACATGTGAAGGTTAATTTTGACAAATACACCATAGTTGTGTAGGATGGTAAGATTGCAGATAGCTGGGTGAAAAATATACCTCTGTACTACCTTTGTAATTCTCCATCAATCTAAACTCATTCATAACATTTTAATATTTTATATATATATAAAATAAAATATATATAATAAAAAATATATAAATATATAATAAAAATATATATAAAATAATACTTATATAAAATACAAAAAATATATATAACTATATATAAAATATATATAAAATATATATATAAATATATATAATATATAAATATATATATAAATATATATAAATATATATATAAAAATATATATATAAATATATATACATATATATAAAATATATATATAAATATACATATAAAAATATATATATATAAAATAGTTGCACAATCTGAGGCTGAGAGAACTTCAGTTATGTGCTGACTGTCACTTATTTAGTAAGCGGTAGAGTTACAGATAGAAATCCAGGTTTGTCTGACTGACTCCAAAGCCTGTGAATTTAAACAGTTCTCCAATATCACTTTATCTTTGCAGCAAGAGCACTGGTGCCAAGTTGTCTATGTCCTGAAAGAAGAGGATCACACCATATTTGTAAACCACATTTAGTTTCTACACCCTATGTAGAAACTCAGAAAGATACATGTGAACAGTAGAATTAAGGACTGAGGCACCGAGCGAATTTCGTACCCTCCCAGGAGTTGATCTGTACATCATCTTTAGGGTGAAAGGCAATGTCTGAGGATGGTTTACTAGGGGCTCACCAGGGGAAGCCAAGGGATGCACCTGGCTGTAGAGCCACTTGACAGAGTGGCTGAAAAACATGGCCCTTAAACAGCAGATAGTGGCTGGGTGCAGTGGCTCATGTCTGTAATTCCAGCACTTTGAGAGGCCTAGGCAGGTGAGATGCTTGAGACCAGGAGTTCAAGACCAGTCTTGGCACCATGGTGAGATGCCATCTCTACAAAAAAATATTAATAATAATTAAAAAAATAGCCAGGTGTGGTGGCACACACCTGTAGTCCCAGCTACTCAGGGGGGAGGACTGCTTGAAACTGGGAGTTTGAGGCTGCAGTGAGCTATGATTGTGTCCCTGCACTCCAGCCTGGGTGACAGAGAGAGACGTCATGTCTTAAAAAACAGAAAACAAAGCACATAGTTTCACAAAAATCCACAGGCACATCCAATGTCTGTGTATTTTACAACCCAAGTGCCAGTGATCTATTCCCCTCTGAGGAATTTGCTAATATCCCAGAACTCCAGGTGATGGAAGAGACATCTTATGAGAACATGGCTTGATGTATAACCACTTTGAAAACAAAGCAAAATAAAACAAATCTCCTGCAGAGGCCCTGGAAATATCACAGCCTGCCAGAGATTCCAGATTCCCAAAGGAGCTCCAAGCCACAAATGGCCACCTGGTGGCAATACTTCTGCTTGGGTGCAAAGAAGTAGCTTACCCCTGCTCAGGTAAGATGCACAGAGCACCTCTATTGCAGGCACTGGACTATGGGGGCAGCTGTGCCTGTAGCCCCTAGATCTAGCCACCTACTGACCACCTGAATGGTAGCACCAGGCATGGTTTCATCTGCAGCTAGTGTTAACAAATTGTCACACCCGAGAAACGCTCTGTTGGAAGCTCTGAACCCACTATGTGGAACATCACGAGATTCCCATCTTGTATTAATAGTTCTGAGTCTATATTCAGGTCCTAAAGAAATGTATCCATAAACATAATCTTGTGCAATTTTCTAAAGCTATAAAGGGAGAGTTTTTACAACAGTCATGGCAAAAAAATGTTTTAAAATTTTTTTAACAGATGATAAACACATCCGAGCACACACTGCCTATGGAAAAACATGTTGGAGGAAGCATGATCACACATTTGCAGGCATGTGTTGATGAGCAAGTGCCCTTGCTTGTCAGATGGTGTAGCTTTGAGTCTCCTTCCTCCTGCGATATTGTGTGGAAAGCGAGATGCGCCAAATGTGTCTGTCAGGCTGAAAAAGCACCGAAATCTGCTCTCCCGGGCACCACTCACATTATCATCGAGCAGAGTTTAGAGGAACTCAGAGGGTGGACACGGGATGCTTCATTCATTCAGCAGACATTTAATAAGCAATGACTTGCTATGATCAGGACTAATGATGGAGTTTCACATGTTCCCCAAACCATTCAAACTCGTGACTTTATTAACTCTTGATTCTCACCATGACTCTGCAAGGCAAGTAACCCATTTCACAGCCAAGAAAACTTTGGCAAAGGTTACACAGCCAGTAATTGATGGTATTAGGTATAGTTCTAGAACCTGTCCTGCCAAATGCTAGGCTTTACTGATTTTCACATCCCCAAATGGGACACAAAGATATACAATGGAGATTACGCCCTACAGAAACTCACAGCCTCAAAAGATAGCTCAGATAATACCCACTGAGAACTCTGATTGTATGCCAACAGAATCCCAGAGAGAACACAGTGAAGAGGGACCTTGCCCTACAGAAATTAAAGGTCTCAAAAGACAGCTCAGATATATCCACAGGCCAGGCACAGTGGCTCACACCTGTAATCCCAACACTTTGGGAGACTGAGGTAGGAGGATCACTTGAGGTCGGGGTTTGAGACCAGGCTGGGCAACACAGTGAGACCCAGTCTACAAAAAATAAGAAATAAAAAAGCCAAGCATGGTGGTGCATGCCTCTAGTCCCAGCTACATGGGAGGCTGAGGCAGGAGGATTGGGTAAGCCTGGGAGGTTGAGGCCATAGTGAGCTGTGATCACGCCACTGCACCCTAGCCTGGGTGACAAAGTGAAACGCTGCCTTAAACAAACAAACAAACAAACAAACAAACAAACCAAAAGATATGCCCACAGATAACTCTGATTAAACACCAACCAAAATAAAAAGAAATGTCTTTTACCTGGGCAAACCTGCCCTGTGCCAATAGATTTTGACTTGGGTTTTGAAGGAGAAATAAACTTAGGAAAGTTGGAGAATGGGATATGGGGGAAAGAAAAAAAAAAACAGGTGAAGGAGTATGAACTATTTTTTCTGAAAATTTATGAGCAGAGAAAAAGCCATGGTCTAAGTTTAACTTTTTGTAGAGTAATTGTCCAATTCACAGTTTTAACATCTTGATGGCATGTTGTGATGATGTTCTCATCACAGAAGGATGATGGCTGAGTTACTCAATCTCTCTAGGCAAGCGTAGCGAGGATTCTTCTACAATTTACTCAAAGACTCTTGTTAGAAACAGCTGTTTGCAAACCAGGCTTCTATTTTTGTCCTTCTGAATGCTACCACACAGCAGGTCAAATCACTTTTAATGGCAAGAGCATATGCTAGTCATTCTTATGCTTGATCTGGGCAGAGTTTTATGAAATATTGTTTTTCATTTTTCTCCTCAAATCTTCCCATCTGAGATAACACTAATTCTCTGAATTGAGGCAAACCCCGTTGAAGTGTGTGATGATAATTCACGGGAAATGTTTTCTCACCCAAGATGCTACATTTTATACTCTCCTTGATTTATTCATGCCAAAGACTAAAACCCATGAATTGCAGATGGGAAATATAACAATATTTTTCAGGTTCCACCAACGTATTACCCATCTATTATGAAGGCAAAAATAAGGAACCTGGTGATATCAGTTCCTAAATAACATGTCAAGAATTGAAGAATATCCTTAAAATTAATTGACACAGGTCAAATGATTAAGAATGACTCATCAAGCAATACATCCAACTGCTAAGGAATCTAAGTCAAGGGTTGGCAAACTTTTTCTCTAAAGAGCCAGGTAGTAAATATTTCAGGCTCTTTGGGTGGCTTTCTCAACTACTCAACTCTGCTGTTGTAATTAAGAAGCAGCCAGGAATGAGACATCCACAAATGAGCACAGCTGGGTTTCAATAAAACTTTATTTAGAAAATCAAGGGCTGGTTTGCATTAGGCCCACATGCTACAGCTAGGCCAGTCCTGTTCTAATTTACTAAATTTTGATTTTTTGGGGTGGGGTGAGCACACCAACTTGGACCTTACTCCATAATATTAAATCCTTCAGCATCGGGGGGAAGTGTCACAGCAACTTCTACTAACATTTTTCTTGTCACTTAATTGAACTCATACTTAATATTGTCTGCAAGAATGAAAAACTAAAAAATACATCTTACTCTGGAATGCGAAGCTAACCATGTCCTGACTGGGGTCCACCTTTCCAACATCACACCTTGGTTGAGCTGAGTCCCACGAAAATGTCCTGGTCAACAGCTCATCCTCTGCTCTCCGGAAAGTTCTGCTGCTCCCTCTTGATGGTTGCTCTGCTAGGATTTGACCCTGGGATGGTTAATATTGAGTGTCAACTTGATTGGATTGAAGGATGTAAAGTATTGTTCCTGGCTGTGTCTGTGAAGGTGTTGCCAAAAGAGATTAACATTTGAGTCAGTGGGCTGGGAGAGGCAGACCCACCCTCAATCTGGGTGGGCACCATCTCATCAGCTGCCCATGTAGCTAGGATAAAGCAGGCAGAAGAACGTGGAAGGACTAGACTGGCTGAGTCTTCCAGCCTACATCTTTCTCCCATGCTGGATGCTTCCTGTCCTTGAATATCAGACTCCAAGTTCTTCAGGTTTTGGATTCCTGGGCTTACACCAGTGATTTGCCAGGGGCTCTCGGACCTTCGACCACAGACCAAAGGCTGCACTATCATCAGCTTCCCTACTTTTGAGGTTTTGGAACTCGGACTGGCTTTCTGGCTCCTCAGCTTGCAGACAGCCCATTGTGGGACTTCACCTTGTGATTGTGTGAGTCAATTCTCCTAATAAACTCCCTTTCATATAGACATCTATCCTATTAGTCCTGTTCCTCCAGAGAACCCTGACTAATACAGCCCCCACACCCAAATCATTTACAAAGCTCCTTAAAAGCCTAGATAACAAGCCTCTCCGATTTCATTAAGCCTTCTATGATCACATATTATTTTTCAACTTTCAATTTCCACAGTATTTTTCAAGTTCAAGTTTATGGGACATATGACAACCAATTCTATGCATGTCTCATTCCAACAGTATCAACAGTATTTGAGAACAAACTGTCTAATGCACTGTTAAATCAACTAAAGTAATAGTGAAATCCCTTCCAAATAGATGGTACTCAATATATTTTGTGAAATAAATGAAATAATGAATTAATCAATGAAGCGTATTACTGTGGGAAAAAAACAGAAGCCTATAGGTGAATGTGATTACAAATTCCTATGTCTAACCTCTTCTGGTCTCTATTTTGCTAAATGTTTCATTTCCCTAATACATTGCATTCCTAAAATTTTCTCCACCAGTCATATACTAAACAGCTTGACCTTTGACTATCAAAAGAGAAACTCTCCCTGCATGTCATCAAAGAAAATGAGCCCATAAGCATGAGCTATGCCCACTCCCTGCCCTCACAGAGCCCAGTTACCCACCGTGGCCACATCCTTCTCACTTTCCCACCTCTTTGCTGTCCCGGAATCCCAACCTTTCTCTCCTGCAGAGCACGCTTGACCACACAACTTCAATCTTGCCCATCTCAAAAGTGAGAAATTCAAGCCTCCCATTACGGGATCACAATCTCCTGCCTGTCCATGTGACTTTTTCAACAACAGGTGCAAGCTCTGCCACATTTAACTGTGTAGTATTAAGGTCATACATTTTGTCAACTGAAGCCAATGCAATCAAATCACTCTGCCTACGGCAATGCCTGAGACAGTGGTGATCCAGCAGTTGCATTTTCTGCTAAAGTGGACAGTCCCAATCATTCCAAATGGCCCTTCCATTTTCAGGGTGTTCACTAATGTTAACCCATCTGTCTGGTCCCTACTCCCAGCTCAGATAACCCACAAGGCAGAGCTCAATGCCCGGACATGATACCAAGTCTCCATCACCTGACACTGTCAGTCCTTGCTCACACTTTTTTTTTGAGACAGGATCTCACTTTGTTACCCAGGCTGGAGTGCAGTGGTGCAATCAAGTCTCACTGCAGCCTCCACCTCCCAGGCTCCACTGATCCTCCCATCTCAAGCCTCTGGAGTAGCTGGACTGCAAGCACATGCCATCACATCTGACTAATTTTTAAATCTGTTTTTTAGAGATGGGGTCTAACTATGCTGCCCAGACTGGTCTCGAACTCCTGGGCTCAAGCGATCCTTCTGCCTTGGCCTCCCAAAGTGATGAAATTACAGGTATAAGCCACTGCGCCCAGCTACATTTTCATCCCTAGAAATACTGAGCTGCTTTTTCGCTCCCCATAAGTATTTCACACCTGCCTACTGTGTACTTCCCACCTGTCCTCTCCTAGCCAACAATGCAAAACGTCAACCTGCAAAATGTCAGCTCCTCCTGGAAGGTTCTCTGAATTCCCAAGTTGGGCTAACTGCCTTTACCATTCTTTAACAGTTCCCTTACCAGTACATTACACTGAAGTGGTCTCTTATATATCTATCCTAAAAACTAGTAGAATTTAGAGGCATTCTGTCTTTTAGTAGAATTTAAGCTACTAGCTTCTAGTAGAATGTAAATTAGTAGCAGTCGGAGACCCTTTATTCTTTGCCTTTATACCCTATCAGCTAGCCCTGTGCCTGGCATGTTCTATAGAATCAATATATAAATGCATGCCAGTAAAATTAAACCAAATGCATGAACACATAAATGAGACTGATGTGATCTTTCAAAGGTTAAAAGGCTGTGGATACCTGCTGGAGGACTAAATACTGACACTAGCATGAAGAGGCAGCTTTGCCTACTCTTGGGAAGCCAATGACAATGTTTGCCAACATCATTTGAACATAACTACCTTGTAATAATCTACCAGAGTCAGTTGCTACTATTTTTCTCTCACAATAAAAGTATCAATTGCTCTCAGAAAGCTGTGTTATTGAATGACAGGAAGAGATGTCAAAATCAGTGACTGTAAGAAGCAACTCATAAGTGACATGGACTCAAGCCACGTGTTTGGAATTTGGCCTTAAGGTAAGGAAAAAATGCCTGAAGAGCAGTGCCTTCCATGCAGCCATCAGGGAATTTTAAAAGCATTTCTCTGCACATGAAAAAAAAGTATATATTCTTGAACACTCTGGAAAATATG
This sequence comes from Homo sapiens, assembly GCF_000001405.40. NCBI lineage: Eukaryota > Metazoa > Chordata > Mammalia > Primates > Hominidae > Homo > Homo sapiens. The sequence goes on along the minus strand of NC_000023.11, from coordinate 7,313,192 downwards.
ATCCCCCACCCCCACACTTCTGCAGAAGCCATCTATAGAGTTAATTTATCCATTCCATTGACATTTATTACTTGCCTGTAGGCAGAGAAAAAGGGAGGGAGGAAGAGCCTCCTTCAGGGTGACCTTGACTTGGGAGAGGGATGGAAATGAAGCCAGACATATGAGTTTAACTGTTCTGTTCTGAGAATAAGGAAATCTTGTAGTATGAGGAAAAGGCAAACAACTCTAAACTCAACTAAAAGAAAATCTTAAGGAAGTTATTCTGGTCCCATCTAAGGGATATTTTAGGAGAAAGGGAAGAAATAGGGAGAGAAGGAGACAGAAGGAAGAGAAATCTGAGAAGTGTTCACTATTTGTATTAGTCCATTTTCATACTTCTATGAAGAAATATCTGAGACTAGGTAATTTATAAAGAACAAGTTTTAATGGACTCACAGTTCCACATGGCTAGGGGGCCTCAAAATCATGGCGGGAGGTGAGGGAGAAGCAAAGGCATGTCTTACATGGCATCAGGCAAGAGAGTGTGTGAAGGGGAACTGCCCTTTATAAAACCATCAGATCTCATGAGACTTATTCATTATCACGAGAACAGCACAGGAAAGACCCGCCCCCATGATTCAATTACCTCTGACCAGGTGCCTCCCATGACATGTGGGGATTATGGGAGCTACAATTCAAGATGAGATTTTGATGGGGACACAGCCAAACCATATCCCTACTCATTCAGTAAGTTCTTATTGAATGCCTACTCCATGGTTACTCAAGGCACTAGGACACAGTGGTAAATGAGGCAGCCCAGATTCCAGCTTCCATGGGAGAAGGACTATGAGCAAATAAAATAATAAACAGGTAAGTTATCAGAGATGCGAGCAATTAGAATAAAGTGGTGGGAGAGACAAGGACTTTTGATTTGGTGGTCCAGGGAGACCTTACAAAGGCAACATATGAGTGAAAGATAAAATCCATCCAAAGATGAGATGGAAGGATGAGTTTCTAACACAAAGACTCTGAGGTGGGAACAAGATGAAGGGGTTGGGGGACCCAGGAAAAGCCAGGAAGAGAGGAGGAGAAAACTGTACAGCTGGGGTGCAGACTTCACATTGTATTTTCAGTGGATGAGAAGATATTGGAGTGGTTTTTTGTTCTGTTTGTTTGTTTGTTTGTTTGAGACAGGGTCTTGCTCTGTTGCCCAGGCTGGAGTGTAGTGGTGCAATCATAGCTCACTGCAGCCTCGACTTCCTGGGCTCAAGCGATCCTCTTACCTCAGCCTCCTGAGTAGCTAGGACTCCAGATGTGTACCACCACCCCTGGTTAATTTTGTTTTTTAAACTGTTTTTTTGTAGAGACAGTGGTCTCCCTCTGTTGACCAGCCTGGAGTGCAGTGGTGCAATCATAGCTCACTGCAGATTCAAACTCCTGGGCTCAAGTGATCCTCCCACCCTAGCCTCCTCAGTAGCTTGGACTACAGGTGTGCAACACAACAGCCAGCTAATTTTTACATGTTTTTTGTAGAGACAAGGTCTCACTATGTTGCCCAGGCTGGGCTCCGACTCCTGAGCTCAAGTGATCCTCCCATCTCAGCCTCCCAAAGTGCTGGGATTACAGGTGTGAGCCACCATGGCTGGTTGATATTAGAGTGTTTGAAGAAAGGAAAAAAGCCATGTGAAGGTGGAGGCAGAGATTGGAGTGACACATCTACAAGTCAAGGAAGGTTAAGAATTAATGGCAGAACAACAAAGGATTCTCCCCTAGAGGTTTCGTAGGGAGCCCACCACTTCCAGCAGCTTGCTTTCAGACTCCTGGCCCCCAGAACTGAGAGAAAACAACTTTCTGCTGTTTTTAAGTCACCCAGTTTGTGGTGCTAACAGTTATGTCAGTCCTCAGAAATTCAATAGAGTACATTGACACTATGTTTACGAAAGCTCACTCCAGTGTCTGGGTAGAGAACGGAGTGTGAGAACAAAGAATTAGGGAGACCACCAAGAAGCACACTGGAGAAGTCCAAAGGGCAGACCACAGTGGCCTGGACAAGATGGAAAATTGATACAGCTGACAAAAGATGACCAATGTCAGATAAACTTAGAAAATAAAGTGAATAGGATGTGATTCCAAAATATGGGATACATAGGGGTTAAAGAGAGGCAAAATAAAACAAGCCCATCAACCAGCAAATATCGTAGCACTGAGGTTCAGTCACGGGGTAAAGCATTCAATAAGATCATGCAGATTTGGGCATGTGTGGGCTTGGGCTAGCTTGCATTTGATGTCTAGCTTGCATCTTTCCGAGATGACATGCCTACTGAGCTTCCAGGTCATGTGGCAAGTGGGCAGCTGAACATAGCAATGTGGACCTCCACAGCAGGGTCCCGGCTCTGTATGTGGGATGCCCTGCAGTTGGATGTCATATGACGTCCTGGATTTGGATGACATCAGATAGGGCAAGTGTGAAGATAAAGGGAAGGGGGCCCAGGACAGAGCCCTGGAGGTCTTCAACATTGAGAGGTGGATCAGGTGAGAAGCAGCTGCAGTGAAGGTTGAGAAGAAACTTCCATGAATTTGTTTGCAACTCCTCATGCAAAGAGAGGCTCAAAGGCTTTGAACCCTGATTTAGAAAAGTGAAGCTAGGGGTGGGGCCACTTGCTCCTTCAATAAGAGAACTGCAATTTGCAGGACTCTCAGCTTGAACTCCTTTCTGTTCTACTGCCTTGACACAGATACAAGTGCAGAATGAAGCGTCTTCTCAAGACTCACCCACCAGGCTGATCCAAATAGATCCAATACCTGTCCAGGGTGTAGGAACATAAATTGAGAGCCATAAACTAAATTTCCTAGAAAGAGTTAAGGATTGCATAGAAATCTTAAATCCTCTATTAGTTTCAAGCAATGGTTTCTACTCCTAAGGTCCCAAAGAAGCAATGTGAACATTTTCAAATGTCAACAGCCCTGATGGAAAATTTTACATTTAACAGCTACAAAGGGTCACAGGCTATGGGATGTTCAGTGGTTTACTTATTTATCTTGCTGTCTATGAAAATCATAATCACATGGTATGGAACACAGTCAAATTAAGTGGAAGCCCTAATGGAGATAATGATTTCTTAATTATTAAATGGGAAGATAAATTATTCCTTAGAAAATTGGTTTTATTAGGTTGACACAATCATTCAAAGCATGTGGACAATAGAAGAAAATTTATTTTAGAAGGGTCTCAGAGGGAAATATTTTAGGAACTACTGTATAAAGGACTTACTGCCAAGATTTCTAAACTTTGACCAGAATTATATCCAAAGTATACATTTGACCCTACCCTTATTTCCCAATTTCCCTTTATGCTAGAACATTTTGACAAAGACAAAATTTACCCATATCCAAACCTAAACAGAATAATCATACTGCAAAGTCATTTCCTTAAAGAAATGAAACAGTCCTATTATTACTCCCTCACCCCTGGAATATTAGATAATTGTTTTTTAAATGTAGACTGCAGCAGACATGTAATGTACCTCTTATTAAAAGGAATAACCTATTGAATTTAATGGAAGGATGATTTAATCCTAGCCATTCTACCAAATTTAGCCCATAGATTTTTTTTTTAACAAGAAGTCTGGTATATTTTATTTTATTTATTTATTTATGTTTAACTTATTTTAGGTTTGAGGATTCACGTGAAGGTTGGTTTGTTACATAGGTAAACTCATGTCATGGGGGTTTGGTGTACAAATTATTTAATCACACAGGTATTAAGCCTAGTACCCAATAGTGATCTTTCCTGCTCCTTTCCCTCCTCCCACCCTCCCCTCTCAAATAGACCCCAGTCTCTGTTGTTTCCTTTTATGTGTTCATAAGTTCTCATCATTTAGCTCTCACTTATAAGTGAGAACATGTGGTATTTGATTTTCTGTTCCTGCATTATTAGTTTGCGAAGGATAATAGCCTCCAGCTCCATCCAAGTTACAAAAGACATGATCTCATTCTTTTTTATGGCTTCACAGTATTCCATGGTGTATATATACCACATTTTCTTTATCCACTCTGTCATTGATGAAGCCCATAGATTTCACCAGGGAAACAGATTTGACTTGGGAATACAGTAGAATCATTAAGTTCAAATACCGAGATGGCTCCGCTGCACTGTAGCCTGGGTGGCAGAGCGAGATTCTCTCAAAAGGAAAAAAAAAAGTTCAAATAGCAAAGTCCTTTGAAGGGTTTTGATGGACAGTAGAAGTCATCATTGTTTAGAAAGGATGCTATTTTAAACAGGGTGTTAAATCCTATGATTTCTCTGTGTCTGCGTAAACCACAGGTATGTGTTCGAGTTTGCAGCTCTAGAGAACAAGATATCTTGACACTTGACACTCAGAAGCCTACTTCCCATAACTAGAAGGAAACCCCATCTTCCTTTTAGGGCATTGTATTTTAACAGTGTTTCACTGTGAACTTGATTTCAAATAAGTTGACAAAAGGATAATACTTTGCAATAGAGCGGTGGCTGAGACATTAATCATGTTACACATTCATGGTCTCTCCAGCATGCAAGCAAAACATTTCTAATACATCAAATACATTTCTTTAAAAAAAAAAGAAATTTATGGAGTAGCTCCTGACATGCTTGCAGGGTTGTATGATAAAACTGGGGTTCCCAACCATTATTCAAGACCATTGAGGCTCCCTTTCTGATCTATACCTCTCGTGTCTCTGAACCCTGGTGAACTATCTGTGCAAAACGTGATGCAGCTCCTTCTCTGTCCCATGAAACTTCCCCGGGATTGTCAGTCAGGGGTCCCCTCTCCCTGCCCTGGGGCTCTATAGCCTTCCATAGGTAACTTTCTTAAGTAACTATTACTCTCCAACCACTTCTAGAATTGTGATTGATGTACACGTCTCCTCCTCGGCAGCTGCTAAGCTATTTTGGAACTGAACAGGCACTAAGAGAGAGAATGAATGAATGGATGAACTAGAGCGTGGAATGCAGCCTGGAACTCCAGTCTTTAGGGACACTGGCATCTACAAAATGAAATAAAAACAACTCTATCCACACAGGTTATAGCCTTGTGAAAATAAGACTGAAACACCAATGAGATGGAGCAGGGACCCCTCTTAGGGGCCTGCTGGACTCCCCCAGGCAGGGAAATAAGGAAAAATCTTGAGTTCCTTCAAAGAAAATTCCAGGCACCTAGCTAGCTTTGAAAAGTAAATGAGCAACTGATAAGCAAGAAGGTAATCATAGAGTAAAATAATAGACAAGGAAGTTAGAGCCATAAAATGTTTGGTTCCCTGTAATAACTACAGATAACACTTTAACATATGTCCCATAGTTGTTTTTCAGAAAGTGGACCCCTTCCAAATGGAAAATGCCATCTGCTGGCACCTAGGCTCCAGGTAAAGAGGAACTGAGGACTGAACTCTGACTGACATTCTTTGTTCCAAATTTCTTCCCAAGGGGCCTGGAGGAAGCCACGCCCACAGGCCAGATATCATGTTTGTTTTTGCTGACCCCAAATTTTCAGACAAAGCTTCACTTCCTAAACCAATCGCAAATCAGGGAATCTTTGAAGCCACCTATAACCTGTGGGCGCCCTTCTTTGGGATGTCCTGCCTTTTTAGGTCAAACCAATGTATAATCTCCATGTATAGACTTATGACTTTGCCTGTAGCCTCTGCCTCCCAGGCTTTAAAAACCTTTGCTTGCAAACCATTGGGGAAGTGGAATCTTAAGTGAGAGAGGCCTCATTCTACTTGCTTGGAACCCTGCAAATAAACACCCTCCTTTCTCCCACTGCAAAACCTCGGTGTGGATGTTTGGCCTTACTGCGCTGGGTGAGTGGACCCCAGTTCAGCCCGGTAATACCAAGTCTTCATATATTAGGAATACATGTTTCCACTTTTTACTACTTTTAAAGTAACATGGCACACAGAGAAGGGCTGAAAGAGTGATAGCCTACTGGGGTTAATCCTGTTCAGATTAAACACACCGGTTCATTAATCAAACCCACATTACATATTGATTATGTGTCCTGCATTGAGCAAGGTAACAATGAGACCTAAAGGAAGGGGCTGGGAGGAGGTCTGAGCAGCCTATGAAGGTTGTCCAGATGCACCTAACAGGCATCTTTTTGTGCTAGGTGCCAGGTAACAAAAGGTGTAGGAGACGGTTCCTGCCCATGGGTGCTCAGCCGGTCATAGGGCTCCAGATGTGCACACAGAGACGTAACTAGAAGCATAAGGCTTCATAAGCTACCTGCAGCCTTATGCTGCAGGGATAGACTACAGAGGACTATTTCTCTTTGCCTCAGGTATGGTGTAATCTGGCCTTACTGAGCTCCTTGCAGTTTGCAGAACAAGCTATTTGCTGCTTCTCCTTCTTTCCAGCATGACAAAAGAGAGCAAGGGGTTGGAAGAGCAGAAAGAGACAGAAGGGGAAAGAAAGCAGAGGCACAGACCCACTGGTGACCTCCTTTCTAGCCGTGTCTCCTTTGCAAACATTCCTGGGAACCCCTCAGCCAAGTGAGGCTCTCTTTCCCCTTGTGCCATTAGTATCTTGTGCATGCAAGTGTTAGCGCCCTTGTCAAATTGTACTGGGTCTTCCCAGGCTTCACGTCATCATCTACCCACCCACCTACCAGTTCAACATGACTTCCTTCAGGGAAGACACCATGTTATATATTTACTGTTGTGTCTGGCCCAATGCAAGACACACAGAAGATAATCAATATTTCTAAACAAATTGATAGATAAAAGCATTCCCTATATCATCCTTTCATATCTTTGCAGGTAAACTGTGATTCACCCTCCCCTTTTGGTTAAGGCGTCATCTCTTCTTGTACCTTCAACCCATATCCACTGCAGATTTGGCTGGGGAGTCCTAACCCTTAGCACAAATACACCCTTTTAGGTATCATATCACTTTATGAAATGGGCCACGTTGTGTGTCATGTAATGTCTGTCATATAAGATAGACATTAGATATGTCTAATGTATATAGACATTAAATATTAGCTATGTATAAGTACATAAGATATGTCTAAATGTATATATTAGACAATATATATGTCTATCTTATATTGGCAGAGCATACACTATACAAGCCAGTAGCTGGGTCTCATCAAATATCTCCAATGACTAGCATGATGCCCAATCCACCATGAAAGTGGCTCAGCTAATGCTGCAAAAAAAATTTTTGAAAAGTGTTAGCTCAAAATACTATTGTGGGTTCACGTAGGCAGAATAACGGTCTCCCAAAGATGCCCTCGTCCTAATCCCTGTAACCTGTGAATATGTTACACCCCATGGCAAAAGACACTTTGCAGATTAAGTTCATGATCTTGAGATGGGAAGATGATGTGGGATTATCCAAGTGGGCCGAACGTAATCTCAAGTGTCCTCATAAGAGGGAGGCAGGGGTGTCAGAGTAAGTGAAGGAGATGAGATTATGGAAGCACAGGTCGGACACAGACACGGAGGTTTGAAGACAGTGAATTGTTAGCTTTCCACATGGAAGAAGGGGCCATGAGCCAAGGAAAGTGGGAAGTCCCCAGAAGCTGAAAAAGCCAAGGAAACAGATTCCCCCCAAGAGCTTGTAGAAGGCCCTACAGACATCTCAATTTCAGACCAGTGAGATATCCATCTTGAACTTCTGACTTCTAGAACTGTAAGTTCATAAATTTGTTTTAAGCCCATAAGTTTGTGTCAATTTGTTACAGTAGTGACAGGAAATCTACACATAGGTGTAGAGGAATTCTTGTTTTAATCAGTTACATTATATGAGGCTGCATTTACATTTGGAGATACATACTCTCATTCTAATGTCTTGACACAAGATGTGGGCTTTTAAATTCTGTGGGAACCAGAACAGAAATGGTCACTTTGGCCTTCTGACTGTCTCCATGACACAAGGAAGTCCTACCTATTGCAAAGTAGCAGAAGAACTATGGAAAAGCTCGAAAATCAAGAAAAAAGTGACCAGCGGATGAGCTGAGAGGCCAGAGCTTCTCCATCCCAGCATTTCTCACCTTTATAGATCCCATTACTTCCGCCATGAATTTCTCCTTTGGAAGACACTTCTTCTACATGTGCTCCCTGGTCCGATGTGAAGTAGATGAGGGTATCATTAGCCAATCTCAGCTCATCCAGAAGGTTCAAGATCTGCCCTGGAGGGGAAAAAGACTCCATTTAAAAATAATGCATATTCATAAAGCAAATGGAGATGGTTGCCCTACTCAGTGGGTGGCTAATTTCTCAAGGTGGAAGTAAACGTTCTTACATATTGGAGTTTATCCCAGCATGAGACGTGATGCAATCAAGACTGGCTGTGGCTGGCTTCTTAGAATAGACACCAAGATTCATTGACTTGAGTGCCATTTAGAAGCACCATTTGAACCTCTGGGTATCATGAAGTGATTCTGCAGGGAGACCTGAGAAAGTATTCTAAAAGTACCAGGTTCATTGATGGAGAGCCACTTGGAGGCAGGTGCCAGAAGAAAGAAGCTGAAAGGTTGTTCTCACCAGCTGGTGTTGGCTCTAAGGCTATAAAGAAGTCTATCATTTTTCTTTATTGGATGGGAAAACTAAACCAGTGATGTTCCTCTTATGTGAACAAATATGTATATAGATATTTTATGAGAATATTCTCTTTTAATACTTACAGTAGATACCCAAATCTAAACTATCCCTCACATGAATATCAATATTCCTCATTGATAGAGGAATAACCGGGAGTTATTCTCCAAGTCTAAACCGTCCATCACAAATATCAACATTCCTCCTGACCTCACCTTCTTTCCCCAGAACTAACATTGTATACCACCTCCAGATAACCCCTCAAAAAATAATAGCAACAACAATAATAATAACAATAATTGCTACCCTCTGTTGAGCACTGTCTACATGTAGAGAATTTTATTACATATTATCTTGTTTAGACCACACTGAACCCTATGAGTAAATGGCACTAGCTTCATTTTATGGGTAGAGCAACAATGCTGTAAAAGGCCGATTTGTTCAAGTTCAGATACTTAAGAAGTGGAAGAATCAGAAAGTAAGAATTAAATCTGATTGAAAACTCAAAATGCTCAAATCCTGAACAGGTGAATAGATAGACTCAGTGAGAATCAGAGGAGTAAAAAGTACACCAGAGAAAAAAAATCTTGTAGAGATATATCCTGAAATACCCGTAGATGAAATGGAGGTGGTGAGGAACATGATAGCTGCTGTCTTATTCAAAAGAATGCAGGGCGAGAATAAATGAGTATGGGATATAGATTCAACAAGATTAGCCAGGAGTTAATAACTGTTAAATATGAGTGAAGGGCATATGGAGGTTTAACTGTACTATTTCATTTCTGCATATGCTTATAATTTTCTGCAAGAAAAAAACAGAGGAAAGTTGAAGTTTGAAGAAGGAGCTGAAACATGGACTTTCTGATTAGGAAGCTATCACTCAGCTCTCAAATCAGAAGACAATGATGGGCAAACTAGAGGTAGACAATGTACAATTTCCACAGGGCTCTACATAGTCATATGCTGCTGATTTAATTTAATAAGTCAGTGCATACTGCTAGGCTTTGACTGGTATATTAGAGCCTGACTCCATTTCTTAATGTTTGAGTGCTAAGAGTTTTTAAGCCTCATCTCTCCCTCTTCTGCTCGTGCCACGCAGGCTGATAAGAAATCCTGGGCGCTCCCTCCTTCACCGCCGGTGGGAGGTTGGAACTATGCAAGCCCCTGTCTGCATGCAAGAGACCCTTATCCCAGCCCCAAGTACTAATCACCATAACAGCAGAATCCGTTTCTTTTCCGAGCTCTCTCAAGCTATTTTTTGTACTGGTTTAGTAACCTGCTGTATTAGTCTGCTCTCACGTTGCTAATAAAGACACACCCGAGACTGGGTAACTTATAAAAAGAGGTTTAATTGACTTACAGTATCACATGGCTGGGAAGGCCTCACAATCATGGCAGCAGGCAGGAGAGAGAGCCAGCCAAGCGAAAGCAGAAACCCCGCATAAAACCATCAGATCTCGCGAAACCTATTTATTACCATGAGAACAGTATGGGGGAAAATCTCCCCCATGATTCCATTATCTCCCACCGGGTCCCTCCCACAACACGTGGGAATTATGGGTGCTACAATTCAAGATGAGATTTGGGTGGGGACACAGCCAAACCATATCACCTGCTCTCCTCAGAAAGCCACATTATATGAGTAATAAGCCTTTTCATATCCTCTTAGTGTGTGCATGCTGTCACTGGTCTAGACATGGGAATCAAATTTTGGGTGGGCTCTTAGTCACACTAGGATGTCCACAACAACTGATATTCTACAATGGCCGCAGGCATCCTCTGCAGTCGAAATAATTAAATATAGGATTTGGAATACATCCTATCCAGCAGGTAGATCACACCCTGCAGTGCCAGACCCTTCGCTCCAGGTTGCACTCACACCCACTTGGTCCCGAAAAGGGGAAGGAGAAGGACTGCAGAGTGAGATGCCCATGGAGGTGGCAGAGATGATTTCTGATGCAAAAGCAACAACCAAGTCATTTGTGGCAAGGCATATTTTTGCTATTTGATTGCAAGTGCCACGGGCTAGAGTATGTTCAATGTTTCTCAATTTTTAACTCAAATGATAAACATTCCCAGAACCCACACCATATATGTAAATGTCATACTCAGAACCAAAAAATAAGACACCCGAGGGCCATTTTAGCAATTTGTCTCCCATGATAAATCATGATCAGGCAGACATTTATTATGGTGTTATCTGGTGCAGCTAAGCAAACCACCTGTGCTCTCGGGCTTGGGGTTGTTTGGCTGAGACACTAATTTAAGCCTAATTACTTTGAAAATGGTAATTAGCTTAATGAGTTGAAATAGAAGGAAACAATAAGGCGCTATAACCCCCGTTTATACTTTGAAAGAAAAATGCCCCCTTTTGCTCATACAACAACCTCTGTGTAAAATAACACAGATTAGGCAGGTAGCAGAGGACTTAGGAATTTGCTTCCGTGTATTGTAGTTAGTATTTAGTAAAGGGCATATGACCATACACCCTCCTTTGAAACAAAATTCATCTTTCTATATGTAGAAGTATCTGCACAAAGAAAATGCTGCAAAGAAATTTCCTATAAAAATGTGTCTCCCATAATAATTCATGTGCACACAAAAACCCACACACAAATATTTATACCATGTCTATTTATAATCGTCAAAACCTTGGATGCAATGAAACTGCCCTTCAGCAGTTGAATGGATAAATAAACTGTGGTACATCCAGACAATGAAAGATTATTTCAGAGCTAAAAAGAAATGAGCTATAAAGCCATGAAAAGCATGGAAGGATCTTAAGATATTTCTAAGTGAAAGGAGTCAATCTGAAAAGGCTACATACTGTATGATCCCAGCTATGGGACATTCTGGGAAAGGCAAAGCTATAGAGACCTTAAACAGATCAGTCATTACCGTGGGCTTGGGAGAAAGGAGGGATGAGGAGGCGGAACACAGAGGATTTTGGGGGCAGTGAAACTACTGTGTATGATCCTGTAATTGTGGATCCATGCCATTATACCTTTGTCCAAACCCACAGAACATACAACACGAAGAGTGAACCCTAATGGAAACTATGGACTTCAGTTAATCACAGCTTATCAATGTTGGCTCAATTGTAACAAATATACCACATGAATACATAATATATATAATAAGGAAACTATGTGCAGGGGAGAGTGTATGAACACTCTTTACTTTCTGTTCAGTTTTTATGTAAATGTAAAACTGCTCAAAAATAGTCTATTATTTTTGTTGTTTTTGAGACAGGGTCTTACTCTGTCTCCCAGGCTGAAGTGCAGTGTCACAATCATGGCTCACTGCAACCTCTACTTCTTGGGCTGAAGTGATCCTCCCACCTCAGCCTCCTAAGTAGCTGGGACTACAGGTGAGTATCACCATGCCTGGCTATTTTTTTTTTGTATTCGTTGTAGAGATTGGGTCTCAGTTTGTTGCCCGGGCTGGTCTCAAACTCTTGGGCTCAGGCAATCCCCTTGCCTCAGCCTCCTTCTGTTAATTTTTTAAATGCCTTTCAAATGCAGTTTTGACTCCTAGACTTCCTCATGCATTCATTCAACATGGGTTTATGAAGTGCCCACCTTACACGGGCTGTGTGCTAAAGGCTGGGGTGTCACAGAGTTTTTCAGGGACAGCTCTTATCCCCAAAGCCAAGGCCAGCTACATCCTACTTACAGCTTCTCCTCTTGCCTATTTTTAACTCCAGACAAATTTACAGCTGCATTTATTATGCAGATTCTCTCAACTGAAATATCCTGCATCCTTCCCCATCTTAATGCTTATCCCTGGATATCTCCTCCAAATTCCAATATTTCAAATGACCATGATATTTAACATGTCCTCATCAAGTTTCTTCTTCATTGCCTAGAGTGATCACTTTCATTAAAGTGCCCTATACAACTGGGCTGGGATTAGTACAAGAGAAAGTAGCTGAGGCTGCCATGCACGTATGCATGGTAGAATATTTAGCTCAACTTCCTGAGAAATGGTCAGATTTCTAATTTCCTTTTAGCCCATTCTTTCCCAAAAGATACAGTCTGGATCCCATACTACTCAGGTCTTAAGCCAGAATCTCATTTGTAAATCCCAGAGCCCATTCGACATTTAATTTTTTATAACATTGATCCTACAAAGGTCTAACATGTTTCCCTCCTAAACACTGTGAACAGAAATCTCCCATGAGAACAAATGCTGCTGTATTATTTTTGCTTTCAGAGCAATCTATTATAAATTAGAGGTCTGCAAATATTATTTCTCAGGAAGGTTCTCAAGATATAATGACACTGATTTATATAGAGTGATAGTTTTGAATTGCCGATGGTGAGCTGCATTATAGCTTGTAAATGAAATGTTCTATCTCCAAAGCTTTCTGCCTTTGTTTTCTGAAGGAAACAAATATAGAAAATAAGCCATTTCAAGAGCACTTTGTTATTTAACTGGAGATAACAAGAACAAGCTTATCAATGTGAGGGCTTCCTAACCAGACCTTTTGCAGTCCCAAAGAAGAAACCTTGGAAATGCAAAAATCTGGCTCCTTCCTCTGTCAAGTGTGGATGTGGGTTGCAGAGGAAGCCTAAATTCTAGAAAGTTCTGTCATTCCATTTATTTAGCCCACAAACAAGCACTAAGCTACTATTAAGAGTCAGGCACTGAGCTACAAAGTGCAGAGAGAGAAGGGTTTCAAACATGAAAGCAGAATTCGAGGTCTTAGGTGAGTGAGGTGCCACAGCATAGGACTAAGTGCTAAAGTTCTTGCTTCTAGGTCCTGACTTAAGCGAGTTGGTTTGAAACCCAAGTCTCTGGCTTCTCACTGGGATCCTCTGCCACTAAGTCAGAGGTGATAATGGATAATAGTAGGGGGTTGCTGTGGAAGAATGAGGAATTCCACCCAAAACACTTCATCCTGGACTGGCCGTACAGGGAGTGCTCACTGTTCCTTAACTTTACAATGGAGTTAGAACCTCAGCTTGCCTCACCAAATCCTTGTCATTTTAGTTCATTTCGCTTTGCCTTTTCTTCTACAAGGTAGGTACACTCAGACAGAATACTGGAGCAAAGTGCTATGAAGTCACTATATATATATGAAAGTTATACTTTTGGAAGCATTAGGCTCATTAAATATAACATAGATATGTTTTATATTATATATAACACACACACATATATGTATATATGTTTTATATTATATATGTGTATATATTTTTATATACACATATATAAAATTATATATTTTATACGTATATTATATAAATTTATATAGAATGTTATAATTTTGTAAGTATACATGTAAATTATGTTTTATAATATTTCTAAATTTAATTAATATAATTATATATTTATTATCATGTTATTTATATTTATATACTTACATATAATTTATAATTATAAATTTTATAATTATATATAATTATATAAAATTTATATATTTTATATAATTATATATTTATATATTTATATACTTTATATATAAATTTTAATTATACAATTTATATAGAAATTATAATTATATAAATATATACTTATATATGTTATATACATATAACATAATTATTATAAAATAATTTATATATAAATAAATATATTTATTTATATATAAATATATAAATAAAATATATTTATATATATATAAATATATAATTATTTTATATAATATTAATATATAATATAAAACATAGGTGTTTTATTTTTATATCACATATGCTAGATAGATAGGTAGATATCCCCTTAAACAGGCACCCACTGTTAATAATTAAGAAAGCCTCTTCACTTACTCAGTGTAACTCCAGGGCACAATGGTACCCTAAAGTCTCCCTGAAGCTATGCTGGTGAGCAAGTTACTCCTACATCTGACCAACAGAGATGGCGAGACTCCAGTATTTCAGCTAAAGCTAGAATTTTAAGATAGATAAGAGTTGCAATAATTGTACCACCTGGGGGTGGCTACGACTCTCTGCTGGCCATATAAAATGCTAGGTGTTACTTCAGGGATGTGGCCTTTGGAGCGTTATTCTCATGCTCTCCTGAACCATTGTGGAGTGGCACAGAGATATTCTGCTGTCACTAGTCCCAGAAAGGGAATTCTTTGTTAGGATTAGAAGTAACACCAATGTCCCATACATCAGGGTATATCTGTCACTGCACAAATAGGTGTATCATCTCCAGTTTGATACAATGTCCATTTCATATAGGTGAATTCAATCTAGTACTTCTTCCTGAAATAAATGGTCAAGATTTCCAAAACTTTAGTCCTGATCTCCTCCATCCATATGGAGCTCAAGGGACCCTTCAGATCAGACATTGGAAAGCATATGATTTATCTACAGTATAAAATCAAATCTAAAAGTTTACACATAAAAGAAAAATAGTATAGGACCAAAATAAAAAGGCATAAAGTTGATAATCTGCATTTTGTATGTTGGTTGAGATACAAAAGTGATGTGCTGTCTTTTGGGGGGTTTATTAAGGAAGTCTTTCCTACCTACTCAATGTAACTGCAGGGAATATTGGTGTTTGTATGGCTTTTCCCTTTTTTTTCAAGAGAAGAATGCAAAATGGCATAATAGTTAAATAGGAGAAGTTGTGCTTTGCTGTACTCAACATGGATCTAATGCAACTCCTGCATAAAAGGTCATCTGGGATTCAATCAGTCAAATGCCAAGTGGACAGCAAGGTCTAAGGAGGGCACTGGAAATGAAACTCTTGCAGGAGAGTTGCAGGAACTAAGGAACTGGGAGGCAGATGGTGAACTCCAGCACATACTGTATCTACTTCCTGAATAACAAGAGAAGAGTGGCTCCTATCTCCCCTAATGACTGAGCAAGAGACAAGGGGCTCAAACTTCTGCCATGGGCAGTTTATGTTAATAAATGCAAATTTGTCTGCCTCAAATAGATGATGGAGAATCATCCTCTCTGAAGTTCTTGGATTAGAGGATAAATTTCTCTTCGACGGTGATGGGTGGACGTACCCAATGCAAGATCTTCCCATTCAACTAGTCACTACATGCATTAATTTGTGTATCATCATGCTTTTTATTAATTTACTCACTTTCACATGTCATAAGTTAACATAAAAATTTCATTCAAAACATGTTAAGAAGACATCCCTAATCGTTTTTTAAATAACTATGGAAAAGTAAGCAAATGTGATATTCGGAAACTGATTAGATTAACTTAAACAATTTTTTAAAGAATTCTGCTGGCTGAACCAAACTAACACACAAGACCTTGTACTTAGCATATAGGTTTCATAGTATAGTCACCTTATATACCAATGTTTCTTGAATTTCAATTGGCTAATTCATGACCATGCTAAAATGAAGGTTCTGATTCAGTAAACCTAGAGTGGGGATCTGAGAATTTCTAAAAAAAAAAAAAAAAGCTCTTACATAATGCTGATGGTACCTGCCCAAGAACCACACTTTGAGAGGAAAGGTTACCTGCGACTAAATGCTTAATCAATGTTGACATATAAAAAGAGATGGCTGGAATTTCACAGTTCTCAGTAACAATGCTCATAATGAGACTTGGCTAGTTTCAGACAATTTGACACATAACTTTCAAACATAGTAAATAATCATACTATGCATATAATCGGAATTATTAGGGTACTTAAAACATGGAAAACTGTAAGAGTGCAATGTCGCCATTCTACAGATAACCCTGTCTTCACTTGACTGGGTTTCCCTCTTTGGTTTGTTCCTGAGTTCATATTGTCCCCTGGTAATTAATTCTTATATTGTGTTGTACCTGGTTGTTGTGATAATGTTGTGATTTCCTCCATTAAACCCATCTTTGCCCTAATGGCAGTCGTAATGTGTGATTTACCCTCCTGCACTTGCATCTGCTCTCACCATCTGGGATGCCTTCACGGATCTACTCCACTATTTTCTTGGATTAACAATAACTTGTGTGTTTTCCAGGGTGTTGCATTTGCTGGAAATAATTTAAATAACTCCAACTTGTTCTCACGTTCATGGGGCACACCAGTGTTTTCCTGCATAGATGGGAAAAGGTGCGGGGAAGAACAAAGTCATTGTACCTGTTCTGTGGAACTATACTCCTTCCGGTGTCTGGGAGAAGACCCAAAGTCAGCATGCCTGTAGCTCAAGGGAAGCCACTTTGGACATCGTTTCCATAGGGTTATCGACATCACAATAGAGTGGTTTCCCTGAGCCATGGGCATTCAGACTAGCAGGACATGTTTTGAAAGAGCAGAGTTCAAAGTGAGCACACTGTCTTTCAATTCTTGATCCAGCAATGCCATTGTATTTCCTGGACTTTCTCTTCTTGCAAAGATAGAGATTGGGTAATCGGGTACAGCCATTTGCTGTTTGGTATGGCCATCAGCTGAACTTGCCCTGGGAGGTAACCCAGCCTGTGCCATGGAGTAGGAGGTTGCACAGATGCTCATTGCATCATTTCTATGACAGAAGTCAATGCAAAGCTCTGGACACAGATCAGCCAGAACTTCTCCAGCAATATCCAACTGGAGGTGCAACCTTAAACCTCCAGACTGAGCCACAAGGGAGGGAGGACTGTGAGTCGAGAATGGCCAGAGGCTATGAACAATGGACTGGGAAACAAAGCCCTTCAGAATTCTTCATATTTATGATGCTCTACCACACCATCGAGACTCACGTTCATGCTACAACTAGGTCTTTGCATTGGATTTTACCATCTCTAAAGCTGAAGATACAAAATTGAAAATGATGTTTTCCTTTGCTGACACCTTGTACATCAGTCACAGGTCCAAGCCTTTCTTTCCACTTGAATTAAAACATGGACAGATTGATTAATGCCTTGGTAAACTCATCTTTTATGTTTTGCAACCTCCTTAATCCATGCAACCTTCAGTTTGCCAGTCACAGCTTCTTTGCAATATCCTCCTAACTCCAGGATGATCTGTTTGCTTTATGTGGGGACTTGCAGTGTTAGTCGAGAGAAGCAGATCTTTCCCCAAGATCCTTAATACCAATGCTATTGGTGGGCCCTTCTAGGGACCGTGGGTCCTACCAGAGATACCTTAAATATAAGGTGAGCTAGTAATAAAAAAGATAAGATGATGCAAATATCTGCTTAGTTTTCCATTATAGACGTTTTCTCATCTATGATTTTTCTACTCAATGTAATGGAGGTATAGGCACATTTTAAGCAAAGATGCTTTACACATCTGTGGAAAGAAGAGTAATCATAACAATAATGATAATAATAATGATAGCAGTTACCATTTATTGAGCCTGTCTTGCAAGCCAGGCACTATGCTCACTACTCTAAATATATTACTTCATTTAATCCAATTAATTAATTCAATTATTTCAAGCAGGCTGAATAAATTCATGGAGGAGGAATGTTCCACTAGATTTTTTTGACTGAGCTATAATTGGGCCATGACTTTAAAGCAACAGGTATTCAACTCTAGTTCTGACCCCTAATTTTGACCTCACTTTTCAAATATACACATTGGTATTCAGTGGAGTATTATTTAGAACACAGCTTTAACTCAAACTCATGGATTCTAATGTCGTTCCTTTCTATGCCTTGAAAGACTTAATTAGCAAAATTAAATGTGCTTGGAATGGTTAGATGGCAGAAAAAGCATTACCCAAAACACCCTTGTAGTACCCATAGCTTCTACTGTCCTCCACATCCCTTGTTTAACTTTGAACCCAGATATCTTTATAGTATCTGAGGCAAACTCAAGAACTCAGGACTTGATGGAATACTAGAATACAGGAGTGAGAAGAAAACTGTCAGAGGCCATTGGTCCAAACAGACTTGTCTTATACACAACCTGCAGCTCCAGAGCAGGAGACTCTCCCCAGCAACCAGGTAGGTCTACTGTCTGAATTCAATTCACAATCCAGAACTCTTCTCATGCAGCCAAGAAGCTCTATAGTGTAGTGGCTGTTGGGCAATCCTGACACAAGTTGCTCAACCTAACCAAATTTTGCTTTGTTGCCTTTAAACCAGAGGTGATGATAAAAGTATCTTGTAGCATAGTTGTAGGGATTACATTAAGTAATCCATGTTTAGACGCATGACTAAGATTGTGCTTAGAGATGTGACTAAAATAGACTAAATGCTTTTGCATTTTAGCTATTGTAAGTCTTAAATGTTTATTATTATTGTGGTGCAATTGTGTTGCTGCTAATTATTGATAGTATTCAGATGCTCTCATGTACTTTTATTAATCCCATCTGAATTAACTAGCCAAATGGTCTTTTAATGGTCATTCCATCATGACCATTTTAGCGTGGTCATGATAATTGATAACTTGATTCTTTGATAATTTCTTATGGTATCTTCTTGGAAGATACCATAATAAATGGAAGATACCATGGAAACGATAGAAATAATTTATAAGACAACATTAAACACTATTAATTTTAATTTGAGATACAAATTCCAGGTAAGATAATATTAGTTTCAGGCTCAAGAACCTGAAATTAGGTTTGCAGATGTTTAAACATGGTAACATCATTATAGACTTGATAAGACTCAGAGATTAATGATTTATAAGCTAAATTAATGTAGAGGACCAAAATCAATACTCTATACAATGGATTTTCAACTATGTATTACAGTTAAAAGTTTTTTTTGGCTCTCCAGGCCTACCTTGGTCTGGCCATAATGCCCTTACCCCATCTCTCTCAAATTTTATTTTTTTTAAATTTATTTTAGAGATGGGGTCTTACTTTGTTGCCCAGGCTGGAGTGCAGTGGTGCAATCATAGCTCATTGTAGCCTCAAACACCTGGTCTCAAGCTAACCCTTCTGCTATTTTTCCTGCTATGTACTGTTTCCATCTGTAATCTGAGGTTGCAAAAACCTCTTTCTGCAAAGTTTACTATTTTGTCACAAATGCAGATTTACTGGAAACTCAAATAGAAAGTGGAGAGAGAAGAAAAACATACACAATATCTACATATCCTTCATTCTTGCTGCACTGTTATCACTGGGTTTTCTGATACCCTGGTTTACTTTGAGCTTTCCATATGGGTGTAACTGAGGCATACATTTAAAATCAAGAATAGGATGATGGAAGAAAAAAAAATGCCATTTTCGAAGATGTGGATTCACCTGCAAGAGCAAAGGATTTAACATTAATGCCATTGAAAGCATGCTATATTCTGACTACAGCACATATGGGGAATATCAAATTAGTGGGCAAATGGGTCACAAAAAGAATCATTGAGGAATTCAGTGGAAAATAACTCCAGCACTGCCACTCATACCAGATAGTCGAGGAGAGGCAATGAAGAGTTTCTCATCTTTATGTCCCTAGTGTTCCGGCCTTGTCTTTAATCATACTTCAGTTGATACTGGCTTTATGTAGAAGTTCCATTCCTCAACTCTTTAAAAAGTACCAAGTAAAGAAGTCCAATAAACATTTTTGTGGGGCTCATGTTCAGGGGCATGAATAGTTCAACTATCACACTCCAGGAGGCTGCCCAAGGGCACAGAAGTCTAACCCGGAAGTAGAGATGGCAACTGAGAGCCAATGAGGCTTGTTGCATTGAACTAGTGTTTAGACAGCAGTCACCTAGAAAGTCATTCTTCTCCCTCCCAAAACAGAGGCAAGCCCTGCCACCCTACCCACTCTTGCTTTAAAAGCACAAAGAGAAGCCAATGCCAAATATCAGGCAACTGGCATTGAGACAGTGTGGTACCAGTACCATGCTGTTTTGGTTACTGTAGCCTTGTAATATAGTTTGAAGTCAGGAAGCATGCACTGAAAGGATGACCTTGCCCAGTGACCTCCATCTTCAGTCCTAACTAGACTGGTTCAGTGGCAAAGTGAGAAAAGTATTCTTTGGAATACTCTTAAATTAAGAAATGCTTCAAGCAGGACTCTGATGCAATTGCAAGCAGAGGGACTGAGCAATTTCATTAGAATAAAGACCTTCCTCCAGGAAATGACTATTCTGTGAATGGTCAACTTGGCATATGGCATGCAGTGGATCAAAGCACATGGCATGCAATGCAGAACATGGTAAGGAACGACAAGACTATGGACCAAACCAAGCAGAAGCCATCTGCAGAGCCATGAGTAGCTAAAGGATTTACTGGCTTTGGGTGAGACATGGTGGAAGGAAATATGCTACATATTATGTGTAGTTCGCTGCATGCTTTTATGCAAATCCATATGAATGTGGATGTATATTCTATGATGTGGATCCAGGCAGTAACACCACTTGTGGATGTTATAACTCAGTGTATACTGTTCTGTACAAAGACTCCCTTTCCATCTCCCAAACTGAATAGACTGAAGCCCTTCTTGGCCAACGATATCTGAGCAAGACCCACTCCTGTCTACAAGAGCTGTGTTTTGTACAGATGCATCCCCATGCTGGGACACCCTCTCGGGAAGTTCTGCAAGGATAAAGTTACAAAGAAATAGTAACACAGAAGCATCTACTCTATCTGTAAGTATGGCAATTCTCTCTGTTTCCAAATAAATTGTAATGTCATTTCACGTCTCTCCTTCCTATGCTTAATTGCAAGGCAGCACTACGCAAAACCAAAATGTCAAGTTGTGTAAACAAAACAAAATCGTTTTTCTCAAAGTCAGCGCTCAAAGCTTCAAAGATTGTCAAAGAAGCTTGTTTTCTCTAGGTTTTTTTCTTCCTAAAGTATGGTATATTTACTTGCAACAAATCGGATGCATAAAAGCATTTATAGATGGTTGTTACTGATGAAACTTGGCAGACAAGAAATAGCTATTGTCGGCACAGGTATTTGACAGGTAATTCCACCTTCAAGTGATTAAAGTTAAAAGACTTAAAATGCTGTAATTTTGTCATTTTTGTTTTGTTCTGGCTATTGTCTTACCTTAGAATAAAAAAAAAATTATGACAACAATGTTCTTTCACTAACAATTTTCTACAAACTGGAAGTGTGAATAGGTGCAACAGTTAGATTTTGCCGTGACTGACTAAATGGAGTTCATTTAGGTGAGCATCAGTATTTGTTTTAAAATTTAAGTAATTGATGAGCTAAATTAGTCAGGGTACACTCACTGTGAGTGACCTTAAATAAATGAAATTTTGTGTTAAGTATGGCAGGCACTAAGGTAACGCCAGAAACAGCAGAGGTTTGTTCTGTTTTAATTTTTTTGCTTCAGTGGTATCTGGGGTACCCAATGAACAAGATCCATTTTGCACTGAGAAGGAGTAATATACGAAAGTATATGCTATGTTATAACCTTCTCTTTTTTCTACTTCTTGAGAGCAAATAAAATGACTTACAGAATCCTGTTGTAAAGAAACTTTCCTTCCTAAGTGTTTACCTCCCCAAGAAAGCATTAAGCCACTGTTGCCCCCAAACCACGGGCGCTGCATGCCATGTTGAGAGATGCAGTCCAAGTGGGTGAGCCCAGAAATCACCCTAAGACAGACAGTTAGCTCCCAGCAGACTCTGTGAGCAATCCTGAATTTCTACTCCACGAGGCTTGTTGGAGAAGTGACTCTTCAGATTGCAGGCAGAGAGGCGTGCTCACATGATCTCAGATGACAAAGTTATGGAAATATTTCATTTACTCCATTTTTCTCATGGTGAGATACCAAACCAACGAAAGGTCACAAGACTCGAACACACGAAATTGTGCCCTAAGAGAGCTATGGCCATTTGCTCCCCTTTCCTACCAAAAAGCAAAATAAAATATACTTGGAGGAGAGACGGCAAAGTCAAGATGCACAGAAAAGAGAATCAACTGACGCTGTGATGCAACAAAAGCTCTGTGTGAAGGCTTCCTAACAATAGTGAATGTTTGCCCAGTGCTTAATACACCGAAGGCACTCTTCAAAACATCCCCAGCAAGAAAGGCAATGAAATGATCTCATTTTACAGAGAAAGAAGTGGGGGCTCAGTGAGAGAGGTCACCTGCCCACATTTAACCGCCAGAGGTTGGTCAGTGGGGGATAGAATCACATGCAATCTGGTCACAAAGTCTGTCCTTTCTTGGCACCGCTGCTGCCATCAATATGCTGAAGCCAGAAGTGGTATGATATCATCGTCCCAGTATACACTGTGTGGGGCGGAACCATATACACATGGCTCTGAATGTTGCCTCTGCAATCTGCTGATTTTGTGAGCTTGCTGAGACTAGTTACTGCCTTCCAATGCACCTTGGTTTACACATCTTTAAAATGGGATAATACAGTTCCATTCGCAGAAGGCTGCCATGAGAACTACTATGAATGCATAACACCTGGCAGACAGTAAGTATATAGTGAGAGAAGAACGAGTAACTTTATTAGTAGTAGTATTAATATTATCAGTGGAGCAGATGACAGCGGCAGCGTGACAACAGGACACAGTCTAATGTGACAGTGAACACAAGAAGAGCAAGGAGAAGAGATGGCAACACAGCACTGAACCCCCAATTTAATGCTGCCAGTACCATTAAGGGCCTTTTGGTTTTTGAAAATGGTCCCATGATGCCAAAGAAAGGGCTCAGATCAAGAACTGTCTGCTTTCAATTAAGTATGCATTCATTCATGGGATAGAAATGTCTTCTCTTCAAATGATCTCATGAGTTGTATTTCTCTTCCCTCTTTTCTAAATGCAGAAATCTAAACAGCTTGAGCACTGGTTTCATAAGATTCCAGAAACAAGGAGAACATAGACCAATTTCTGCCTCCTTCTTTTTCCTAGCTCCCTTTGCAAAAGTGACATAACTACTCTAGAAGAAACATATTCTGTCTGTAATCCCAACATTTTGGGAGGCTGAGGTGGGTGAACTGACTGAGCTCAGGAGTTCAAGACCAGCCCGGGCAACATAGTAAAACCCTGTCTCTACAAAATACATACACACATACAAAAATTAGCTGGGCATGGTGGCACATGCTTATAGTCCCTGCTACTTGGGGGGCTGAGGCAGGAAGATTGCTTGAAGCTGCAGTGAGCCGAGATCACGCCACTGCACTCCAGCCTAGGTGACAAAACGAGACCTCATCTCTTAAGGAAAAAAAAGACATATTCCTGGATTCATGACCATCATAGGAATCTGAGTGGGGGACATGGCTGTACACCTGGATACAGATGAGATTCCACAGGTAAGGACCCACAGGTCAGGGAAGGATGCACAGTAGCACCAGCCAGCTGCTCCCTCCTCACTGCTTGGGGAAGACATGTGGGAGCAAAGCAGGAGGCTCCCTTTGGAGGCAATTGAGAAAAGCCCCTCCTTCACTTGATTTCAAGGCTTTGTGCTCCTCATCCAAGTGGGAATGGTAGCACCTGAGGAAAATAGCTCTTGGAGGGTACAGTCACCAAACCATCCCACCCTCCCCTGTGTGCAAACTACTTTCCCAGCCCTAACCTTGCCCCTGCCTGCTCACATGGGTTGCAAATCACTGTTGCTGCCCCATGGGACCAAGGGAAGCCCAACCACCTGATGACCCTCACCTCCTCCTAAAACCCCACCCAGAAATGGTGGCTACAGAAGCCAGTCCAAAAGTGAGGCTGTTAGAAGCCATCAGCAGCTCCCAGAAACCATAGGTTGCTCTTGACAGCTCTAGCAGTTGAAGCCCTCCTTGTGGTCCTAACTCATTTGGCTGGTGGATGCCACGACCACCATGAGGACCTCATGTACTTGCAAGGGGAGCTTGGCTTCACTCCCAATCTCCTGCAGTGACAGTGTAGGTTTGAACTAATTATTGCTGCCCACTCAAGGGTGGATCTAGCTAGATGAATCAGCCAATGCTGGACCTCATGGGAAGAGACTACTGGGCTACAGCCACCTGGCTTCCAGTGGTTTCATTATGGTGACCCTCTGCATAGCCCTTGCAGAAAAGATCCTAACTGGATTCCTACCACCTGAAGACAAAGTATAACACTGGGCCACCAACACTTGTCCTACCCAAGTTTTAAGAGGTCCCACACCAGCCAAGAGTACTGATCAATCAAGACCCAAATTCACAAGAATAGGCAAATAACACATGGTCCATCACAGACACACACACACACACACACACACACACACACACACACACACACGTACAGAATTTCCTCCACAGATGAAATATCTAACTGTAAAGCATGAAGCCATATACATATTGGGTGAAAATACAAGGGAAAGGGTGTATACATATAGGTTGAGTATTCTACATCTGAAAATCTGAAATCTGAGATGCTCCTAAGTCCTGAACTTTTTGAGTGTCAACATGATGCTCACACAAAGGAAATGCTCATTGGAGCATTTTGAGTTTCAGATTTTTGGATTAGGGATGCTGAGCTGGTGAGTATAATATAAATATTCCCAAATCTGAAAGCATTCCAAATCTGAAACACTTCTGGTCCTGAGTATTTTGGATGAATATTTGAGTATTTTGGATACTCAACCTGTAATTTGTAGGGGAGTAAGAAAAGCTTTAAAAAAAAAAAATCTTCCAATTACAAGCCCCAGACATCATGAAGGTTTAACTACAAAAATTTATTGCAAAAGACTCTTTAAATAGAATGAAAAGACAAAAAAAAAAGGCAGGAAAAATATTTGCAGTGTACAATAAGTAAAATATTAATGTTCTTATCATATAGATAGTGCAAACAAATCAATAAGAAAAAGATCTACAATCCAATAGAAAAGTGACCAAAGAATCCTTGGGAGAAGAAATACAACACTGTACTAACCCTACACACAATAGAAAAAAAAATAGTGAACTAGCATTTTTCACCCGATAGATGAAAAAGAGACTGATAATATCCAGGGTTGCTAAGAGTATGAGGAAATTAGCGTTCTCATTGATTATCAATGGGTATCCTACTATCATGGTGAAAAAAAGAGTATACCTATTTTAGGCAATATCAAATGAAAGCAAATTTTTTATGCTCTTTGATCCAGCAAATTTGATCTCGGCTGAATTTTTATTTCAAAATTATTCCCACCAGTTCACACAGCTTTACAGAATATTCACTTATAGCACTACCTGAAATACAAATAAATAAATAAATAAATAAAATAAAAAATAAAAAAATTTTAAAAAAGGAACTCAGATGTCCCTCACAGAGGAATGATTAAACAAATTGTAGTCTAAGAAAGGTAAAATGAAAATCGAAATGGTGAAATGGAAAAATGACCAAATAGATAGTTGAGCGAAAAGAAAAAACTGCAGAATAGCATATAGAGTTTGTGTAAAATATTCTTAATAGTCAAATCTTGATATTAATATGTCATACTGGCAACATATAAGAAATAAATCTATCCAGCAAACTATTAATGATGCTGCCTATTTAGGGGTGAGATTTCATGGGTCATTCCCTTTCTGTACTGTTTGTGTCTATATTCTTCGGTTTTGCATACTGCGGATTACTTTGGTAATCAGAAAAACATTTATACAAAGTGTGGAAAACACTAAAAAAACACAGAAGACTGAGGCAACAATTTAAATTTTTTTTTCTGTTGCAAAGTGGTATGTGACATGCTATCTCACACTCACCCCCAGAACTCTGCTCTTGAACTACATTAAATCATAGACCTTAGCTCTCAGTGACTTCATCCTAAGCCTCTGCATGAAGAGAAAGCTGTCCAGACATCGTAGGAAGGCACAAGAAAAGCATAAACTCTGGGACAGTCAGCGAGCATCTCATAGCTACTGTCTCCTCCATTCCACGCCTTGTCACTCACAAAGGCTTCCCAAACACACAATTCTGAAAGTGACAATCAATAGAAAATGTTGACATATGTGATTTTATTTCAATTTACCAAAAATTCATTTTCTTCCTGCAGTAATGAAAAGGAGTAAGAACCCTAGATAAAATTATATTCCAGTAACAAATGGTCTATCCTATTTGAGAAAGCCTTGTATTTTAAAAAGTATATACAAAACACTCCCAAACAGCAAAACAGCACATATCCTAAAGTGTACTATATATCTTTACAGTCAAGCATGTAACTGGCGGTTTTTAAACTGTCTCTTTATTAAATACGTTTGGCAATCGTGGAAAGAGAATCACGCATAAGTGGGTTTGTATTAGTCATTCCTTTGCAATGTAGAGGTTGTCATCACCTCCTAGATGTTTTCCTGAAGTTTCAAAACCTCATTATGCATGTTGCATTCAGGTAAACAGTGGTCTGTAATGGAAATGATTTCATTTCTCTCCTGTCTAGATCTGCTTGAATAAAAAATTGGTTCATTAGGCAGCAGAGGCTTAATACCAGCCCCTGTCAAAAGTCCCTGAGAAGATACTGTCTATCTGCAATTTCATGATTATCACAGCAATCTCAGCAATACGGGTGTGCAATGACACGATCAGAGGTCATATTTCATCTGATCCAGAGCTCAGCTATGACTGCAAGCATATACCAAGAGTTGACAGTCTGAATAAACCAATGGATTTCCTTTTTTTTTAACTGCAGTTTCCACTTTGGGGAATTAACATTACATTAGCATTATTAAAATAAGTAGATTTCACAGACTCATTTTTTAAAAAGTGTGATTTAGGATGAGTGGGAGATAAATTTAATGTAAAATATCATGTGTAAACACACACATACATACACACACACACAGATAACCTAAAGCCTTTTGAAAGACATTTCCTAAAGGGGATTTCCAATGAAGAAAAACATCAGTGTGAAAATAAAGCCCAATTTGTTGCTTCACTTGAGTTTTAATCATTGTGTCATAGATGCCTTGGGATTCATAAATGAGAGGTGTTGGCTGAATATTTAAAATATGCCTCGTAAGCTGAAACAACAGTAATATGGTATCAGCGGCAGACTCATAAGGGATTCAGTGGCCATAGATTTCATCAGGTCCTCCTATAAGCATTGGGGATTAAGGAAAGATTCTGACTCCACTGGATAAATGGCAACAGATTTTTTTTGTAGTTTAATTATTTTTTTAAAAATACAAGAAAAAAGTCTGACCTATTCAGGAATCAGTATAATGTGGTATGTGTAATTTTTAAAAAGAGCTGATCTCTTTCAGTTATTTTAGCAAACATTTAATTTTTTAAAATCATAATGCCCAATGCTAGAACATGTGTAATGAACTGATACAATAAATTGGTATAATCAATGTCTTTTTCTGATATTTATCTTTCTATCATTTGCTTTGTATGAGCTCTTCCTATATCTCAGGAGTTTTCTTTTTATGTTGATGATGCACATGCTTTTTAAGTCTTTTGTCATTGGTCTTTTTGTTCAGTTTATGTTATATTTTTACCTGACATCAGGAGATTTTAGATTTCATGAAGTAAAATTCTGCAATCTTTCTCTTTGAGTTAGTTATTTCTTGGCTTTTGTGCTCAGAAAGACCTTTCTCAATTATCCTGTATATCAGATAAATATATCTCAATATATTTTTTGGAATTCTTCAGTACTTCCATTTTCCAAACACAATCTGCATGGGGAATTTATTTAAATATATGAGGAACAGCAAGAATAGCATAGTATGTAAGACAGACAAGATTAAAATCCTAGCCATCATATGCCATCTCCATGACTTTGGGCAACTTACTTTAATCTTCTATACTTCTTGTAAAATTGACTTCTTTATTTTGAGCATCACAACGTCCCCCTGCTTCCTCCTCTTCATCTTCATTATTTTCATCATTATCACCATCTTCACCACCATCATCACTATCATCATAATTACCACCATCATCAGCATCGCCATCATCATACCCATCATATCATCATCAACATTATCACTATCATGACCATCATCATCATCATCACCATCATCAGCATCACCACCATCACCATCACCATCAACACAACACCATTATTATACCATTTAAGCACATGCAAAGCACCACAATGCCAGACAGTAGTGAATTAACTACAATCGCTCTCCTAAAAGTTTAATCATACCATCACAATTATTGTATAATCCATTCTTAGCCATCTGCCTTGAAGGGTCACCTTTACATTTACATTTTACATGAAATTCTTTTTCTGGGCTTCCTGCTCTGTTCCATCATGCTGTCTAGTCTGGAGCCAGTGTCACATGGCTCTATGCTCTATTTATTTATCTTTATTTGAACTCTATGAAGCGCATGTTTAAAACAAAATGAAAATTAAAAACACATTTAAGAATTCATACCACATCCAACCATTGCTGCGGAAGCAGATGAGAGAGAGACTAGGGGATACATTTGCTTTTCTTAAGAGTTTTAAGACAAAATGCTTCCACGTTCTATTTCTTATTGCTCCAAGTGCATCCCCCTGCACATCACATCCCACTGGGATGTGTGCCACAGCTATGAAGAGATAACTAGTTGTATAGTCTCAGCAGTTAGCTCTTAATACTGCCTTAATGCCATTGAGCTAACAGATGGGTCTGTGCTGGACAGAGGGAAGCCAGCTTTCTTAGTGTGCATGGACCACCTCCCTGACTCCCTGAAACCTGTTAAAAACCTGAAACGTTGGCAGGTAACCAACGATTGAAATAATTTTCAAGCCTCAATTTTGAGTGTTTGATAATATTGGAAGCTCAGTTAATGAATGAGCAGTCCATAATGGTTCTACATTCCTCCTTACAAAGTAAACCATTATGCAAGTAAACCATTATGCATCCCCTCTCTCTGCCTGGCTATAAACCTCCACCATGAAAGTGAATAAAGATAATCAGCCCTAGGAATCACAGGACAGCCGTGCATGGCATCTTTGCTGGTGCACAGTCATATGAAGGCACCAGCTGAACACTCTGGCTTCCCAATTCCATGACCTCTCCAACGCCAGGAACTTGCCTTCCATTCATCATCCAGCAGGCATGCCATGCACCTGGGAATACCTGGAATGATTCAACCTCTGGAATATAAACACTTCCACTCTGCCCCAGCCTTCCAACACCTTTGCTGCAATCTTGTTTGAATCTCCAGTTCATCATCACAAGCCACCAGCTCTCTTCCTTCCTCATCCCCCACCACCATCTGCCACTTCAGTCCTTCTGTTGCTAATCACTCAAATTCCACTGCCCAGTTGCCTTTTGTGACACTCCCTGCTAGCAAAACTTCAATCATCAATAAGTTTGGTGATCCTACTTTCTGGCCCTGCATTGAACTGAAAATCCACATACCTATGTGCCAACACCCAATTCATGGTCTCCAAGCAGAGATGAGCTCAGACAAAGCCTGGTAAGTCATCCCTTGGCACAAATTCTTCCATTCCTCTTGAAAGAAATATCCAACCTCATTGACCTCAGCTCCTCAAATATCATTCTCTGTAATACACTATAATTCTACAATTTACAGGAGTTACATTCACTTGTCCCTTTTCAGCCCTTCTTGATGTCTCTGAAGTACTCGTTGGTATTGATCATTATCCGTTGAAATGCTCTTTGCTCCTGAATTCCCTGATCACACTTCTCTGAGTCTGTCTTCCCAGTTTTTGGCTGTTCTTTTGGTTTTCTTTTAGAGGTTCTTTCTGCCGTGACCTTCCTTTGGATGCTGGACTGGACCTTCCATCCTCACTGTGCACCAGAAGTGAGCACATTATTGTCACTTTTTAAAGAGGGTTGCATTGATCAAAAATAAGAATGTTTAAGAAATTCAAGATAGAAAAGTGATGCATTACACCCCAAGGGAAATACAAAGCCTTAAGATCCAGGCTAGACTCTGTATAGGGCAAAGAATGTCAAATAGAACATGGGCTTTTGTTTTTTTGGGTCTTACAGTTTTGAGAAGTAAAGACATGAAGGTTGATTTCTAAACTCTTATCCTGGATTAGATGGAGATAAATTGTGGGTCACAGGTTGCCCAACTGCCTGAAATATTCTTGCAGAACAATCTCATCCATGCCCATGGTTGGACTACTATTTTGATATATAGGAGAAAGCCAAGTCAACCTTATTCATATCTGTGTTCCTAGTAATTCCTGGCACCTTGGATCAGGCTTTGCAAATATCAGGCACCTGACCGCCATACTTTCACTTTTAAAACTTCCTTATTGAGCACCTAATGTGTACCTGGTCTATAGAACTTGAAGGAAATCAAAATATTTTACCACAAAATATATTTATTTCATATATGCGAGATGGCTCTCAGACAGCATGCAAGGAGAGCTGTTTTTGTGGGGGAGATTTGCATCTGCAGAAACTCTGTATTCATGTAACCAGGACTTCCCTCGTCCAGATCTAGGAAATACGAAATGAGAGTCCTACACTTTAAAGATCTTAAAGAAACATTAACTGGCCAAGCATGGAGGCTCACGCCTGTAATCCTAGCACCTTGGGAGGCCAAGATGGGAGGATCGCTTGAGCCCAGGAGTTCAAGACCAGCCTGGGCAACATAGTGAGACCTTGTCTCTACAAAAAATAAAATTATTAGCTGGGCTTGGGGGCAAGCATCTGCAGTCCCAGCTACTCAGGAGGCTAAAGTGGAAGGATTGCTTGAGCCCAGGAAGTCGAGGTTGCAGTCAGCCAAGATTGAGCTACTACACTCCAGCCTGGGTGACAGAGCAAGATCCTGTCTCAAAACGAACAAACAAACAAACAAACAAACAAACCATTTACCACTTATTTTATCGGAGGGCTGCCATGATGCAAGCTCCCATTCTTTCTGTAACCTCAATATGGTATACAAGCTTTGGTATCCCATAGGGGGTTTGGGTAGCCACTCTGTGATGCTCCCTGTGTGCAGGTTAATATAGTTTTTATGACTTTTCTCCAATTAATCTGCGTTTTGTGAGTTGAGCTTTAGAGAAACTTCAGAGGGTGAAGGGGAAGTTTTCCCCATGGCCCCTACAGATTCTAAAAGTAGATGTCTTCTACGTATATTGAATCAGAGGACTTTTGTCCATGTAAATGAACCTATATACAGAGGGGTTATTCATTGCATGCTACAGTCCATACTTTCACAATCATTTTAATCCAAACCTCCTAAAAGAGTCTATTTTAAAATGGATAATCCATTACAACCATGTCTGATAATCCAGGCCCTACTTAAAATTACACTGCAAATTTGAAGGGCTTAGACCAATACCTATGGTTCCCCATTGCCAGAGTTTTCTTGTGTTTCTTGAGGTTCTTGACACAATCCTGAGCTCTTACGAATGAGGCCTTCCAATTTATTCTCCATCCCTCAAGACGAGTTGGGTGCATGGCCCTTGCTGCTACATTGAGTTGCACATGACTGACTAAATGTCAGGCATGGCAAACACGCATTCATTCTGTAACATCCCCCAAGCTCATCTCATGAATTCACCACTTATTTTTCCTCCAGGTTGGTTCTCTGTGCCCAGAGGGTACGATAGCAATGTCCAGGTCCTCCTGCAGGGAAGGCAGAGGAGAGTGAGAGAAATCAAACTGAGGGTTGCCCTGTCATGCTCAGCCAACAGGGGATGCCAAGCTACCAATCCTGAGCAACTGAACGACAAATGCACAAAGACTTCTGGAACTCCATCTAAAGATGAAGACTTGCCATTCTTGTTTGAAAGAATCTCATAAAATCAGTTGATTCCAACTCTCAGCAGTGGAAGGGTGTTTTTTCTTTTTTTTTTTTCCATAGCAAGGCTTTTTTTTTTTTTTTGATGGAATCTCACTCTGTTGCCCAGGCTGGAGTGCAGGGGCGCAATCTTGGCTCATGCCAATCTCCGCCTCCCGGGTTCAAGTGATTCTTCCATCTCAGCCTCCCAAGTAGCTGGGATTACAAGCATGTGACACCATGCCTGGCTAAGTTTTGTACTTTGATTAGAGACGCGGTTTTGCCATGTTGGCCAGGCTGGTCTTGAACTGATAACCTTAGGTGATCCACCTGGGATTACAGGCATGAGCCACCACACCTGGCCAGGAAGCTTTGATTGGAAGCCAGAGATTTGTTTTAGCATTCACCTTCTTGTTCTCCACTTGAATTTTTCTTTGTAATAGTACAGAACTTGCTAGTCTAATCCTGAGCAAAGGCTGATTTATGATTCCTTCATGTTGTTCTATTAATAGCACAGGGCTCTGAGTGAATGCTGATTGCATGCAAATTCCACTTCACAGACTAGCTGTGATCACTATAATGGTGTAAGCTGTAGATAAGAAACCCCCGGTGAGAACTACATCCATCCTTCCACCTGACCCCCAACCATGAACAGGTCTATGAAAAATGTCAGTCTATTTCCAAAGGAAGAGAAACAGCCAGAATGACACGCCTCCAAAATGCTTGTTGTATACTGGAGAACAATGAGATTTTACACGTTTGTTCTTCCCTGATGCTTGGGCTGCTTCAGAATTAACTGGGATTGAAAATCAGACTTTGCAATAGCACCATGATTGCCCAAAGAATTCCACTGTGGGTGTGCCCTGCTGAAATGATGTGGCTGCTGTATCCAACATGCACAGCACCACTGCCCTTCCTGCTTCCAAACTGTTCAAGCACTTTATCTGCACCTCCCTCATGACATTCCTCACTTTCTGCCCTGAGTTGTTATAGGATCTCCTGAAAGAATCTTAAATTTCTTACTATCCTGTAGGCTGAACATTCTCCCCTAAACCTATAGTCTTATCATCATTGCACCCCACTCCCACCCTACACTGCCAAAAAACATTTAAGCACACAGTTAGCATCCAGTCAACATGACTAATGAATGAACTAGATCTGTCCCGGAGATATGTTGTTGGTTGTGCACTGACATGATGCACGCTTTCTTATTACATGGAAAGAAAAGAAACAAAGTGGTGTAGATTTCATGTTCTAGGTGGGACACCTGCATTGGAACTCATGCTCACCCATTATGAATTCTGTAACCTGAGGTGGGTGTACCTAACCTGCAAGCCTCACTTGCCTTACCTGTGGAATGCGAATGATGAGAACATCACCTGCTGCACAGGGACCACTGGCAGCACAAAATGAGGTAAGATGCTGGGACTCAGAAACTGATATCCCCAAAGATTGCATTTTGACATGCTAAACCGAAGAAGCCTCAAGTCTCTCTAACCTCCCCCTCATCCCACACACAGTTTCTCCCATAGAAGGTGAAGTTCTTTTATCTACCTAAGATCCAGACCCCCACAAGGAGAACATTTTTTTCCCTTCCCCTCCCTGTAATTTCATTGTCTGTTGCAGAAAAGAAGACCAAGATATGACTACCCCTGAGGAGACCCTTTTCCAAGTACAATGACTAACTCCAAGGATCATTTAAATTACAAGATAATCTCTGTTCCTGTATCCAATAATTCTCCCTAGCAATCATTTATTGCCCCTCAACAGAACTCCTCTTCTCCCTGACCCGCATAACCTGTTTTACCAGGATCCAAGCCCCCATCATACACACACACACACACACACACACACAGACACACACACATATATATACACACACATATATATACACACACACACACACATATACACACACACACACACACATACACACACACACACACACACACACACATATATATATATATATATATTTTTTTTTTTTTTCTTCCTGGAGTACAGTGGTGCGATCTCGGCTCACTGCAACCTCCGCCTCCCAGGTTCAAATGATTCTCCTGCCTCAGCCTCCCCAGTAGGTGGGATTACAGGTGCACACCACCATGCCCGGCTAATTTTTGTATTTTTAGTAGAGATGGGGTTTTACCATGTTGGCCAGGCTGGTCTCGAACTCCTGACCTCAGGTGATCTGCCCGCTTCGGCCTCCCAAAGTGCTGGGATTACAGGTGTGAGCCCCCATGCCTGGCCCAAGCCCCCAACCTTTCTGTAACCTCAGGATGGTGTATAAGCTTCTGGACCCCATTGGGAGGTTGGGTCTTCATTATGAAGGCTCTTGTGTATGCACATTCAATAAATTAGTATGTCTTTTCTCCTATGAATCAATCTGCCTCATGCCAGTGATTTCTTGACAACCTTTATGGGACCAAAAGCCTATGGCTCCCACAAATACATGTGCTATCAGGGCCCAGTATACGGCCAGCTCTCAATGTTAGTCACTCTGATGATTAAAATCATGTCGACCACCCCGTGAATTTGCAGAGCAGAATTGTATCTCCTGGATTTCAACTGCCCTTGTGTGGTTGTACTGAGAAGCCCCTTCTGCAGCTCTCACAACATCTGTATGAAGTCAGTCTTTCTCTAGTTACTATAACAATATGAGACACAGCACTCACTCAGCTAAGAATAAGGCAGTAAGCCACAATCACGGGCAGTAGAACTGGTGTACAGTTACATAATAAAGGTTCTTGGTCACTGAATATGCCTTTCCAGGCTTAGAGAAACCTGCAGTGGAGAAAGTGATGATCCACAGAATTATACAGCCCTCAAACATGTGGAGAGAACATGCTCTGAGTGACTGAGATGCACCCTCACTAGTTAACCGCTTCCATCTCAGTTTTCCTTTGTGCAGGGAGTGTTTCTTATGAAGCAAATATCCCCCTTTTATTTTATTACATAATTATTCAGAATCCAACAGTCCCGTCCTGTGTAATAAGGAAAAGCCCTTCTTGGAAAGAAGAAATATTCTTTAGAACACTCATATGTATTGGATTTAAAAAACAAAAACTTTCTTAAAAATTCATGGAATGCTTAGGGGAAGGATTTTATCTTTCCGCCAAAAACAAAAAAACAACACAAACATCTATAAATCAGGGGCTAAGGCAGGTCTTGAAGATTGAAAATACTCTCCAAATACTTTAGAGGAACTAGTAGTGAGACAACACTGGAAGTTAGACTTTCTAATGAGTCAGGCATGTATGCCATGCTAATTAAATAAAATTTAATCAACAGGTGTGATGAGATCAGCGTGAGGTTGCTTGCTAGCCAACAGAAATCTTAGAGTTGCATAAGCAGCCTGACACATTAAAATAGAACACTCATTAAAAAGAGAAAATATTCTACTGATTTACACTAAGATGCGAAAAATATAAATTGATTTATGTGCAACATTTTAGAAAGGAAAAAATAAAAGGAGGCAGGCTTGTATTGGTATATGTACGAGCCCTAAGCGTAATGCATTCTTCTTATAAATCTTGTTAGAGAGAATGTTCTGGTTTTGTTTTTCCTAGTTAGTATTACAAATGGTACTCACTCTCATTACTTTATAGAATCACAGACTATTAGAGAAAAAAAGAACCTCAGAACTCGCCTAATTTGAATCCTCCTATCAAGATGATAGAGGAGAGGCCTGAAGATGTAAAACATCTCCCAAGTTCACAGAGATAATTAAAGAAGCATCTAGAAGCTGGAAGAAGAGCCCAGTCTTGTTTCTTAAGAAGGTGCTCCTTTCATGATTTAAAACAAAACAGAACAAAATTTGTTCTGACAATCACCACAGTAGGTGACCACCACTGCCATCAATTTTCTGCTTTAAACAAACAAACAAACAGAACTAGGAAGCAACTTTCATGGATTTCCAAAACATCTGGATCCAAAGATTAGAAACTATTGAGTTATTTCACCAAAAGAAATGGAAGGAAGAATGAGAGAGAGAAAAAGTAAAAGGAAACAAATATATGAAAATCTTCAGGAACCTGGGCGAGTACTGGAATATGGACAAAATGATCTCTTCTGTCACTCTGATACTGTCCAGATGAGCCCAGCAATGTAAAAGTAAGAGGCAATGCTGCTAGAAAAGACTGGAAGTTGTGAGAAGTTCCGAGTGGACTGGAATGCTGATTTTTCACTCCTTTGCGTAACTCACACACTAAGGCCTTCCCTACCTCATTCAGCATGAGATTGCATGCCAGCCAACCCCTTAGCTGTGTACAGCTAAGAGACCCCAGGTGTAATCCCCCATCCTGGGATCTCTGAGCTCTGCAAGACAAAATAAAAGCATAGGGATGATGATGTAGATATGGAAGACATGCATTTTAACTTAAACAAAGCTTCAGTAAGGAAGTCTTCCCAATGTCAGTGAAAAATGCCATGTTTCTCAGAAATAGGGTTATTTGCTCAGGAAGGGAGAGAAGGAGTTTGGAGAACAAGCAAAGCTTTGCCATCGTTAGATGCAGCAAGAAGAACACGAGGATCTCGTCACTGTTGCCCTGAGAGCCTCGCCAAGGCTGTAGCCAGCTGCAGGTATTCTGGATCCAAAATCCATCACACATTTAACTGCTAATGACAAGGCATTGTTCATATTTCATTGTTGATAGAATAAGGGATAATAAGGACTAAAGTTTTGTCTCTTTTCGTCCATGAATCTCTTCCATCTGCAGCCCACAGACTAGACTTCCCCTGAAATGTATCCACTAGGAACTGCAGACATGCAAAAGAGGGTAAAGATATATATATTTTTTTTAAGAGACAAGGTCTCAGTCTCACCCAGGCTGGAGTGCAGTGGTGCAATCATAGCTCAGTGCAGCCTCAACCTCCTGGGTTCAAGACGTCCTCCCACCTCAGCCTCCCAATTAGCTGGGACCACAGGCATGTACCACCACACCTGGCTGATTTTTTTTTATTTTTTGTAGAGATGGGGTCTCCCTATGTTGCCGAGGCTGGTGAAGGTGCTTTTTGTATTCTATTTACCTTTCAGGATCAATGCATTTTTGGTTACTTTCAAAAAACCCCATACATTTGCTGTCTCTAAAGGCATCAGGAACAAAGATAGAAATACACAGGAAAGAAAACACAAGGAGGCAAAGACTTAGCAGCTTTCTAAGCACTCACTGAGGAGAAACGTACCCACACTCCAGTCCATTTCCTCAACAGCATCCCCGTAGACTCCGTGTTGACTTTTGCCAGCAAAGTCTTTGCTGGAGAACAGGGCTGTGTGCACGTGGAGGTAGGACAAGACAAGCAGGAACGGAGTCTCAGTGTTCCTGCAAAAAAAAAAAAAAAAAGGGAGGAAAAAAAAGACCACAGATAATGTTAAGTATGTCTGCCACCATTCTGATTAAGATCCACCTATTATCATAGCAGGCTATTTGAAAATTCACAAAATATTACAAGTTAATTGCCTAATATGGTATCTTCTGTCAGAGAAAGGTAAGTCTCTGTTGTGTCTCTATGAAGTGACTTATTGTTACCCTCTATGGATCAGTAAGTGAAGAATTATGTTATTGAGACATCCCCCAAAGACCCAACTCAGGAAGAGATTTAATAGAAAATTGCCTATATTTGTTTTTTGTTGTTGTTGTTTAATTCTGTTCTTCCTTCTCTATATGGTGATTAATATGAATTCAAGCACCTTGAAAATAGTATTTCTTTGGGAAAAAAATTTATACACAAATACACATACACACACTGCTAGAGAAGACTACCTTTTAAAATTTTTAATTGATATATGCAAACAATTATACAAATATATATACAAATTTTGTATATATAGGTATCATTTGATATATACAAATAATTCTTGTATAGACTTGTTGGGGACAGTGCAATAATATATGTTTACCATGTGGAATGATTAAATAAAGCTAATCAAAATATTCATTTTCTCATATAGTTGTCATTTCTTTGAGGTGAGAACATTTAAAATCTACTCTCTCAGCAATTTTGAAATATATAATACATTGTAAGTCACTACAGTCACCATGTAATGCAATACATCCCCAAACTATTCCTCCTGTCTAACTAAAACTTTTTATCCTTTGACCAACATGTCCCCATTCCCCATCCACTCCCCTAACCCCAGTCCCTGGTAACTGCCATTCTACTCTCTGCTTCTAGGAGTTCAACTTTCTTCTTAGATTCCACATAGAAGTGAGATCTTGCAGTATTTGTCTTTCTGTGTCTGGCTTATACAACTTAGCAGAATGTCCTCCAGGTTCATCCATGTTGTCAAAAATGACAGCATTACGTTCTTTTTAAAGGTGAATAGTATTCCATTGTGTACCTTCAGTTGTCAATTACTTTCATCAATGCTGTTTGAACTCCAACTCAATTTTGTGTTCTACCCTCTTCTATAATACAACAAGTCTCCTAGAATGAACACTAAATGGTCAATACTGAAATTTTCAAAGTTAAATAGAACATTCATTCAATTGGCCTAAACCTCTCGAGAGAGGGGAATGATAATGCAAACATATTCCTTAATTCAGAGAGCACCTAAACCTCCTTCATTTGAATTGATTAGAATGCACAGATACTCAAGAGTTATAAGTCACTGTCAATGCGTGGCCTTTGCTACAATGGGCTGTGAGCGATGTTGCTATACGAAGGTATGAGGTTTCACAACTGAGTCTGCTGATAGGGATCAATAAGTCCCATGGGTGCTTCTTCACATCGGGTTGCCCTCTGAGAAATGCATTTAGTGCTGTGTCTCAGTTTCACCTCGTAGGCTCAATCTTTACCTCTCGTCTGGGAAATAATTAGCAATTCCTTTCTGCTGAAAGAGAATACTGGGTGAGAGGCCTTTTTGAAGGCTATCAGGGAACAGGACAAGTGTCCACTTCCCCAGGGTTGGTGAGAGCTCTGAGAGATTTGTGCAAGAAGCTGCAATGCTTAGAGGGGACAGACACACCTTAATGACAGCCCCTGCCTCACTGCCCACTCCCCAATGGCTTCTTCTTACTGTGATTCAAGCTCTTCCTTTAACTACTTCTGTGAACTTGGGTGGGTTCCTTAAATAACTACACTTCAGATTTATTATCAAAACATGAACAGTCCTGACGAAGCCTTATGTTGATGCCAATACTCTCACACAGCCCAGCTTCTACCCCAATATGGTAACCAGTCCCAAACACAGCTTGCACATTCACAGCTCAATGCTCTGCACATCATCACCTCTCAACCTAAAACTTACTTCCCCCTCTCCCTGGCAAGCAGTCATTGTTCAGAAGCCATCTCCAATGCCACCTCCTCTGAGAGCCTGTTCCCCTTTTCCAGGAAGTCCCATCAGGGCTGAGCACCATGGAGCATTAACCTTCCACTGAATCTCCAGGCCCTAGTGCCATGCCTGACCTGTAGAAGATACTTAATAATATTGCCAAACAAATGAGAGAATGAATGCATGGATGGGGGCAGGAATTCAATTTCTTTTTTTTTTAATAGGAGAAAGGGCATACAAATTCATTTAATGTGTACACATAGGAGCCTTGAGAATGAAGACCCAAAGATAAAGGGGAAATTGACTATTTTTATGCTTAGGTTCAACAAAGTATGTACAGCCATGTAGAAATAGGATTGGACAAAAAGGGCCTGATCTAATGCTAATGAACTGAGTGGGGAAAGCCGGCAAGGCCTGTCTGTCTAGATTGTTCTTGGCCTCTCTGAGCAGCGTTCCTTCTTTCTAAGTGTGGGGTAGGACCTTCTCTGGAATGGGAGTGCTAGGACCCACAGTCAAGGTAGGTTGGGGAATTTCTTTATGGCCAGTTTTTACATAGAAAGGATGAGGAAAAATTGGTCCTATTTTTCAGTCCTATGACTTGATTGAGGGAGAAGGGGTTCTGGTCTCTATAACTTGCCTTGGGGAAGAGGGATTCTAGTTTGTATGGCTAGCCTCAGGGGAGACTGAGATGATTCTCTGCTGGTCATTTCCTCTTTCTCTTCAGTATTCTCTAGTTTCCCTGTTGGGGCTCAGAAAAGGGAACCCTAAAACAATATTGTTAAGCATCCCCTACAGGCCAGGCATGGTTGTAGGGTCTGGAGCTTATTTTTTTGTTATTATTTTATATTTGAGATAGAGTCTTGCTGTGTTGCTCAAGCTAGAGTGCAGTGGCATGATCTCAGCTCACTGCAACCTCTACCTCCTGGGTTCAAGCAATTGTCTTGTCTCAGCCTCTGGAGTAGCTGGCATTAAAGGTGCACACCACCATGCCCAGCTAATTTCTGTAATTGTTTTAGTAGAGATGGGGTTTTGCCATGTTGGCCTGGCTGGTCTGAAACTCCTGACCTCAGGTGATCCTCCTGCCTCAGCCTCCCAAAGTGCTGGGATTACAGGTATGAGCCACTGCACCCAGCCCGGAGATTCAATTTTTATTAGCAAATGCTAATAAAGTATGTGTTCCACGACACCAGAGCTCTTTATGTGCTCTCTTCTCCCACCAGACCACCAGGCAGGAGGTGTCATTTATATCATGGTGTTCCTGACACCCGCAAAGTGATTGGCAGGTGGCATGAATTCAGCAAATCTCTGCTATTGGATGAAATACTGCATTTGCTTTCTGAGCATTGGCAGCCCCGCCCAGCAGTCAAGTGAACGACAGGGCCTTGGGAATGCAATGTGAATTGCATTGTGAATGGTTTATGTTGCATATGGTTTAGACTTCTGCCTAAGTCTCTTGTTACTTAGAAGGGATGTGGTTTATGTAACGGTTGCTCTAGAGCAAGGATTCCTCTGCAGAACTTCTGTCCTAAATCTCGTTACTTTGAAGGAATGTGGCTTATGTAACAGTTGCTCTAGAGCAGAGATTCCTCTGCAGAACTTCTGTCCTCAGTCTTTTGTTACTTTGACGGGACATGGTTTATGTAACAGTTGCTCTAGAGCAGGGACTACTCTGCAGAACTTCTCTCCTAAGTCTCTTCTTACTTTGAAGGGGTCATCTCCTATGGTCCACATCTTTACCAGCCAGTAAAAGTTCAGAAGACTACATATATATATATATATATGTAATTAAATTAATTTTTCTTCTATGTATTCCTGGCTTCCTTAACTTCTCATGATAGCCAAAAACATTCCAAATTTTGGACTGGGTGTCACAAATACTAATAAGTTTTTCTGGAAACAATAAATGGATATATGCTTTTCTAAATGCATTTTGTATTTTGCTAATGTTAATATACCTTGGGCTCCTCGAACTGCTCACACCTATGGCTGTAACACTTCCCTTTTCAGTTCTTACATTTATTAACCCCCTACTCCTTTGAAAGAGAAAATTAGCACAAAACAGCACACTTTGGGTTAGAGCTAAGCCAGGCATCCCCAGTTCTCTGAAAACAGGCAGATCAAATCTAACAAGTTATTGGTAATCATCAGTACCATGTTTTATTATTCCAGTACTTGGTGGCAAATTAGGTACCCCCCAACCTTTTTTTTTTTTTACAAGAATATGAAACAAGGAAATGTTGTTAATATCTCACAGCCAAGAAAGTTAAAAAAAAAAAAAATCCTGAGTGGCTTGTCTCACCTCTCACAGGAACTGGAATAAGAAGGCATGCAATGAGAGCCCACTGGACCTGGTCTATAACATTCACTGTTAGATCTCAGAAAGAAAAGAGGACATACTACTGCTTAGATGGAAGCACTGTAATTGTCATCCTAGCTGATGACTTACATATGAGCATCTCTACCAAGCCATGTGTTTGGCTCCTTCTAAGAGAAGATGCCCTTGAGGAACCTGGAGGAGCTGAAATGGAGCCACAGTATGTTAGAGAGCTTGGCCACACAGAGCAGACTGTGAAGCCTCCATCCTACTTATTATGGGGAAAGTTTACTCACACCTGGGCAAATTGCACCTCCTTCCCCAGAAGCAGATTGTGTTCCCCTAAACTGGCTTAGATTCCTCAAAACGAACATGAAATTACAGTCTTTGTGTTCCTAAATAGAGAGTTACATTATGTATGAGAACAATCTCACTGCAATTTCACTCTCATCTGTTCTCCCATTTATTTTTAGATTTAAAGTTAAGGAAAATAGATAAGAAAGCTTAAAAAGTCAATCTCCCAAGCATAGTACATGGTCATACAGGATGTGAGTGACAGAATTTGCTGAGAACGAGGAGCTATTGCATGGATTGAAATGCCCAGCACTGGGCTCCAGTCCAGTTTCGACTTGGATTCTCCAATTTTGGATAGCAGTCCTCTTGCTCAAAAGTTAAAAAAAAAAAAAGAAGAAGAAGAAGAAGAAAGAGACATCCATCAACATGATTGGCAGGATCATAAAATTGTGGCATATTAAAATGTGAGGTGGAAATAAAGAAATAAATGATAAAGATGACACAACCGGCAAATAATAAAGCCTGAAATAAAAGCTGGTTCATGAGGACTGAAAGAACAGTTGAGTCAAAGACCTGAGCTTCAGGGTTCAATCAAGGCTACGGAACATGACCTTTGTCTTGGAATGCAGGGGAATCCTCCTTAGAAGGGGAGAAGGGAATTAATGTGTTTATTATCAAAATTCACATATTTATGGAACTTGTTTTCTATCATCTCTCTATAAAGCAGTGGTTTTTTATTCTATAGGGGTGACATCAGAGATACCAGCATCTTTATGTATACTCTGTGCATCGAGTAGAGTTGATTAGGTTTGACATACAAAAACAAACCCAGAAAACAGAGAAAAGCATACTTGGCTTGCAAAAACACTGTTCCAAGATTTACCATTCAGGAACAGAAGTGAAATCAACGGTGCATGGGAATGTTGGCTAGACAGACATAAATCACTGGCTTTCCTGCACACACCTGGGGTGTAACTGACAGCCTGTGCCCAGGTGAAGGAATTCTTGCTTTGTGATATCCTTTGAGAGACCAGGAAAGACCATTTGCTTCAAACCCAGGCTCAGGAAGGAGATCTGGGTTTCTCTTCCTCTCTACGACCTTGAAAGCTGAATGACACATCAGCAAGTTGGTGGAAGAAAGATTTCTCAATAACAGCTTAATTCCTTTTTTATTAGCTGGAGTACTTCAGTAAACAACTCTTCTGAAAATTTATTGCCACTGTCTTGCACACTGTGCGAAAAGATAGAACTTTCAGCTGCTACATGCCTGCGCTCCATTTGTTAAAAATACAGAAGACAGCCCTGAGCCTTTCCAGCAACATGTAATCATTCCAATCTCAGAATCAAAAGATTTACATTCTATAGAGGCAGGAGTGAAAATTCACACAAGAAGATGGCTAAGGCATTTTTTTTCTGTCTGCCATAAAGTATACTTTTGAGGATCTTCGGAATAATAATCTTCATCTGAGTGTCTGACCTTTATTATTGTAGTATTGTTCCAACTACAGTGGGCATAGGGAATAACAGGAATGCAAATAGGGATGTCTGTGAATTCCTTCTGGCTACCTTCTGCTGCTGGTAATTAGAGTATGGCATAAATCAGATAGCGGTATCAACAACCGCCACCCCCAACCCCCACAAAGTTCATGTGACCACCTCTGCGTGCAGCAGGTGGATTTATACACCCAGCTGTTCATGTCTTCCATCTATAAGTTTTGCAGTTATTAAGCAAATGTTCTGCTGACACACAATACCAGGCACCAGAAATATAAAGAGAGACTGGACCGGACCCTGCCATCAGCAACCCACAGTTCAGACAAGAGCATTGACAGCTAGTCTAAGCTGTCTTAAATGCCCCACTCAGTGCTGCAGAGAATGAATTCAGAGGAGAACTTATCTCAACCTGGCAGGGGTCAGAATTTGCTCCCAGAAAGAGGTAGCTTTCAATGGTTCACATAGCATGACAGTGTTTGTGAATGATTTCCATAAACATGTAGGCTTTCGAGCTATTCACAGGCATGATATTCAGAGATACAGAAATGTATGGCTGGAGAGGCATTTCCAGGGTCAGGTGTAAGTATTCTTTATCTATGCCCCAGTGAGTTGGGAATGCCATGGACCCACTAGATCTAGTATGGCAAAAGACGAACATCCCTCAGTACCTGTATTGTTACAATATGCTCAGCCCGAAACCAGAGGTTCATTCAAAAGAGAAGCCCTCCCCTCCTTTTTTTTTTTCAGAGACAGGGTCTTGCTCTGTTGTGCA
Organism: Homo sapiens; assembly: GCF_000001405.40. Taxonomy (NCBI): domain Eukaryota; kingdom Metazoa; phylum Chordata; class Mammalia; order Primates; family Hominidae; genus Homo; species Homo sapiens. The sequence goes on along the minus strand of NC_000023.11, from coordinate 7,269,124 downwards.
GGCTGGAGTGCAGTGGTGCAATCATAGCTCACTGCAGCCTACAACTCCGGGGCTTAAGAGATTCTCCCACCTCAGCTTCCTGAGTAGCTGGGACTACAGGTGTGCACGACCATGCCGAGCTAATACTTCCTGATTTTTTGTAGAGACAGGGTCTCACTATATTGCCCAGGCTGGTCTTGAACTCCTGGCATCAAGTAATCTTCTCATCTCAGTCCCCCAAGTAGCTGGGACTACAGGCACACACCACCATGCCCGGCTAATATTTCTTTATTTTTTGTAGACACAGGGTCTTGCTGTATTGCCCAGGCTGGTCTTGAACTCCTGAGCTCAAGTGATCCTCCCACCTAGGCTTCCCAAAGTGCTAGGATTACAGGCATGAGCCACTGTGCCCGTTGCCCTCATTTTTAAATACATATCCCATAGGCCCACAAAAGTTAGAAACAAATCATGTGTTACCTGCAGTTATTGAATAATGTGACTCTTTGATAATTCTTTAATTATTTACTTTTTCCATTTTTGAATGAGCATCTGTGTGTGTCCCTGTATATTGCTCTTAGTGTTTAATCTGATTTACTTTTCTTACCATGAATTAAAATCAATATCACCCCATTCCTTCCTGGCTTACACTCTTATCGAAACTAATGAAACCTCCTAAAGATCCCTTTATTCAAAAGACACTTTGAGCCAAATCACAGCTATTCATCACAGCCACTTACACTGGGGTCCAGCTGGAAGTGGGAGAGGCTAGGCTGGAGGAACCCAATAAATGCATTTCGGGATTGTGACTGTGCCAAATGGTGATAGCAGTACATAGACCAGGACAAAAGGTCATATCTTCTTCCAATAATACATTTATCAGCTGTCATAGATTTTAGGGAATTATGATTACACAAGCAATGCTTGTAGAAAGGAGTATTTATTTATCATAAAAGTACAGACCATAGGAAATGGTAGGAGAGATTCTTCCCCATGGCTCTCCACTAAATGTATAATCTTTTCATGTAGGTGTTTCCCCCCCACCCCTTGATTACTGATACTTTCCATCATGCTGATGTCTTGGTGTGTTTTCTGTGGAGAGTTGTCAGGGAGCAGGGTTTACTGTTTTCAGAACAGGAGATCTTACCACTCCGGGAAGTCAGAGATTAAAAACAGAACTCTACATAATTTCCAAATTTTTGATTTGCTATCCATAAACCCTTTGCTGAAAAAATTCATCTATAAAGAACAAGAGTTATCCTACATTGAGCTTGACTAAAACTTATTAGCTTTTATTGAACTTCTAATTAAAATATCTCAAAATATACATACATATATTTAATATATTGAAACAACTTAATAAACTTCAGCCTGGAGAACCTTATACTAATGGCAAATTCCAGATAAATCTATAAATCCCATAACTGTATAACATACTATACAGATTATGTAGGTGTGTATAAAGTCATTGCCATTCTTGGAAATCTACTGTTCGAAGTGGGCATGTATATATCTTCAGAGAAAAACACGAAGTGATTTACTTAAATATTTTTCCTAGCAATGAAGCACTGTTTCAATGAATTCAGAGAAGAGGCCAACATATCTGTTTTTTCACAAAGCAGAGTGACCAACATCCATCTCTTTCTATTGAAGACATAAAACATGAATCTCATTCTACCCACCAGCATGACACCTTTTTAAAAATTAGCCTTGACTTGAACTAAAGAAAAAAGCTGTTTGTGAATAAAATTAACTTGCTACATTCACCCATCATCCTTACGCTTTATTTTCTCTTCAGAGCATCCAGGTACTTCTCGATTACCATAGTAATGATAAAACTACTGATCTTCAAACTTATCTATAAGAATTACAGAGATGCATTCTCCTTCCTTGAGCATTGGACCTAGACTCTTCCATCTGGAGAAAGGTGTTGAGACACTCATACAATGCCCTAATCTTCTTCCAACTAATCCTCACTCGGACTAATCCTCACTCAATAAGTCTACCGCACTAGAGTAGATGGAAAAGATTCCCCCAACTGTTTATGAAGCATTCCAAAATTTAAAAGGTTGAGTTAGTTCTGTTTAAATTCAGCCTCTACTCTTTATTACCTGTGGAGCTTTGTTCATTCAAAGGATTTCAGCTTCAAAGTTTCTCCACAGTGAGACATCTATTTACCGACCTCATGAGGTTGTTATGTGGTGTGAAGGAAGCAATGGGTGTGGGAGGTGCACAAAACAATGTGTGTATCCACAGCACCTGACGTATAATTGGCAACCATTCCACGGTGTCCATTACACTTGAACATGTCCCATTATGTGTTACCATTTCTGCTGTGCACCTAAGTTGGATCTGTTTTGCATTGCAATGAAGACAGGGATGGCAAAACCGAAAGCTGTGATAATGGGATGACCCTACAGGGCACATACAGAGAGTTGGGTATCTCCAAGAAATTTATAATTCACTCCTTTATGCAAGAATAGCAAGGATTTCTGGCTAATTAAAGTGCATTCAGGATGACCCATCTCCTGAATTACTATACAGTGTATAACATATGGTGAGCTAATTATCCAGCTCTCTAATAATAGAAGCATCTCCCCCAGATAAATTTATCCCTGAATGAGTCAATTAGGGTGAGGGATTGTGGAGTGGATGGTTATACATTCTAAATCATCGCTCTCCTCAACTTGAAAATATGTGCTTGGAATCCCAGGCCACAAACTGGGTTTGACTAAGTGGACCTCATTTGCAAGAATCACAAACCAATGAAGCATCTTTGCCTTATGCCTCCTTGTCATTCATACCCTAATATTGCAAGCTAGCATCTCAGGAGCAAACCCTTGAGTATAAATCATATCAGTAACACAGTGTAGAGAAAGGCTATAAATTTTAGAAGTAGGAGTTTTAAATCATTTTCCTCACCACCTTTGACAGATGAACTGAGAAGCAGCTGTGTACAAATATATATATATATGTTAAAATATCTAAACAAGGCACCAGTTGTAACTGGAAATTTTTAAATTTGAAAGCATTTGAGTAAATTCCACTAATACTACCATTGCTTTGATCAGGCATTCCTTTTTCGGCTGCTGAATAACTCTACCTCCATTTCTCACAAAGGTGGTAAGACCTGGCTAAATTGCTCAGGATATTCTGGATAATGAAATAACACATATAAATGTGTCTTCAGACATTGAAAAAATGTTTTATGAACATGGTGGTGTCACCAATGTTAGGATTCTTTGGTAACATATCAAGGCCATTCTCTCAGGACCCTTGGATATTATATTTTGTGAATCAGATAACTAATCTAACACAGATAGACAGCTCTACCCAAGGATGATTGTAACAATGTGCTTTAAATCTTTGTATCTTCAGATAAAGTATGTAAGAAGCTGTTTGTGAATGTACACAGTGTACAAGATGCTAGCATTTTCACTAATATTAACCATGCTGTGAGTGCTCCAATGTGGACAATAGCCATCTACACTAGAATCACCTATTTTAAAGAAAAAATCCTTTTGTTGTAATTCAATAACCATCCCTTCAACTTTGGTGCTGCCAGAACATCTTAAATCTGTAGTTCTAAAAGAAAATCTCAGCTCTCTAATAATTAGAGATAATCAAGATTAACTTGTCAGGCTTCAATATCCTCATGATCAATAAATTTGTTTTGGTCCCCTCTCAAAATTATATACCCATTAAAATGACTTGTAATCATATGAATATTTATATACCTAATAGATTAAATAATTTCTGTCAAAATACATGTCATACAAGGTGATTCACCCTGGAAGCCAAGTATCATTTCTGACTATCCATTGTATAATGGACGCTGTATTAATCTCCACCTTGTCTCGTTTTGAGAGATTTGTGGTAGATGAAGACTGATATAAGGATGTCCAGCTTTCCCAGCAAATTTGATAAACAGCACACTGTTGTTTTCTGCCTTAAATAGGCCCAAGAGCGCCGCTCCATCTTGGAATGGCTGTGCTCCTGTTTATCAAACACAGTAAAGCTCACACACTAGGTAAGAGCATGGTCAATCATGTAGACTGTGACCCATTGATACATCATGAAATTAATTAGTTCCAAAACCAGATTATTACCAAAAAAAAAAAAAAAACAGAATAAAATGGGGTAGAAAATATTAGGGCAATCACCCTAGTAAGAGAAAGATCATTTCCATAAGCTTTTGTTTTAATCACATATCTATGTGCACCTTACTAGATGATGATATAACTGAATGATGTATCTTATAAAGTTCCAAAGCTTTTACATGAGATCACCTGTCAGCATCACCTTCTAGAAAAATCTAGGTGACAAATAACTGCAGTGTTTCTGCACAGTAGCCAAAGCTCATACATGTATATGAAACCCAGTGTTTCTTAGAGTGTCCTATGAAACACCCAGTTTAGAATGTCTTGAGAAGCTTATTAAAATGCTGATGCAAAGTCTCATTTGGAACTACTCTGTGACAGTCCCTAGAGTTCATCTTGGCCATCTTCAGCTGTAATAAGCACCTCTGGGGTTTTCCTTATGCAAAGTCTGAGGTATCACTTGTCTACCCCTGTAGTCCTGGACTCTCCCTTTTCCCTTCTTTGTCTACCTGCAGGAAGTCATAGTGATCCTACATTATACGCCACCATACACTAGGCTAGCAAAGGCCACCCTACAATGTACAGTTCTGAACCAAGCGCCATGCCCAGGAGGCAGGTGGTCAGCCCTGCAATGCCTGCATCTGGCTGTGTGGGCTGACCACGGGCACTAACTCTGCAGTATCTCTGTACAAATAATACTGGAAATAAATGTTCAGGAGTGTGACTGACAGCTTGAAGTCTTCCTTCCTCTCTTAGGAATTGCACGACATCCTTCACCATGCCATTTTGCTGTGAGCAGAATCCGAGAGGTTTCTGCAGTCTCTGGCACCTGGGTAAGACAGGCTGTCAGCATGGGCATGACATGATGGAGCTATGGTTACTCACAGATCCCAATGTTTACCAAGGACAGGCACCCAGACAACAGGCATATTGCCCAAGAACGACTCATAACCCCTCCAGCAAGTGCCTGTCAGCCCAAACCTGTGAAAATCATGACAAATAGCTCATGTCTTACCTGAATTCTGATAGATCTATAAATAGTTGCTTAAAGGACTTTTAGTGGCTATTATCCAACCCTGGGCAGAAAATTCTTTATTCTTTACATTAATACTTGCTGCTGCTGTACATGTATATCTCCTATAGCTTCCCTTGGAAATCAATTTCAATAATTTATCTCTTTGTAAATTAAATACATATGTGTGTAAAGCACACACACACATATATATACACAAACACACACACATATATACACACACATATTTACACATACATATATATATACACACACAAACGCAACACAACACCAAACTATAGATTTTCTTTACTCTATTTTTCTCTGATGAAAATATTAAAATACCAATAAGCAGTATACTTCACATCAATGCTTCAAGTACAGACATGCATCATATAGTGACAGGGATATGTTCTGAGAAATGTATCATTAAGCAATTTCATCATTCTGCAAACATCGTACAGTGCACTTACACAAGCCTAGATGGTATAGCCCACTGCACACCCAGGCTATATGGTAAAGCCTATTACTCCTAGGCTACAAACCTGCACCGCATGTGACTGTACTGAGTACTGCAGGCAACTGCAATGCAATGGCAAGTATTTATCTAGACATATGTACACATAGAAAAGGTACAGGAAAAAATACAGTATAAAAGATACAAACGTGGCCGGGCGTGGTGGCTCATGCCTGTAATCCCAGTACTTCGAGAGGCCGAGGCGGGTGGATCATTTGAGGTCAGGAGTTCGAGACCAGCCTGGTCAACATGGTGAAACCCTGTCTCTATTAAAAATACAAAAATTAGCTGGGCGTGGTGGCACACACCTGTAATCCCAGCTACTTCAGAGGCTGAGGCAGGAGAATCACTGAAACCCGGGAGGGGGAGATTGCAGTGAGCCGAGATCGCACCACTGCACCCCAGCCTGGGCAACAGAGCGAGACTCTATCTCAAAAAAACAAAAAAGATACAAACGTACAGCTGCATAAGGCAGCTCCATTATAATCTCATGGGACTTCTGTCATATACGTGGTCCATTGTTGACCAAAATGTTATTATGCGGTACATGTCTGCAATCCAAATTTTTATAATAAAATAGCCCCTTTAGTTTACACCTATCTATAACCTTGGGCAAATTCCTTCAACCTCCACTCACATAGCTGTAATATCAATTCTTTTTTAAAATTCCAAGGCTGGTGTTGATTTTTCTCCTGGTGTGCCTACCTTTTTTACTTACAAATGTCTGTTAAATATTAATTTGCCTAGAGTCTGCACTAACTAGATGTTTGCTCACATGTTCTTTTATTCTTTTGTTGCAGAGTCTGCCCTTTCTCTCCAGCTGTTCATGAGATTTCCATGGGGCTTTATTAAATGTCAGCAATTTCCAAATGCAGTCCTCTGTTCCAGGTTCACCCAAGCACTGCAACTTTTATCCCTCTGACATACTTAGCTTCTCATAAAATTTCATCTGAAATATTCCTCAGCTTTAAAACAAATTTGAAAATCACTGTTTGCAGTAGGAAAATCACTGCTATATGTTCAGCAAGGCCGTTTCATTTTCTTCTTCCTGAAGACATGGGGAGACTGCCTCTTAGCCCCATGTCAAGTCAGGGTGGAGACATGGGGCCTGGTCTACATGCTGACCCCTGGGTCAGTGAAGTAACAAAAAGCCCCCAAGGGACCCTTCAACTCTTTTCTCCTGTGGACGCTACTGGGAAGGCCATCTATTGAGATGACAGAACCACAAGATATTAGCAACCTGGATCCCTGAGTCTCCTCATGGAGCAAAGCTTCCCTAGAGCATCACCCAACCAGCAATAGATTTTGCATGGGCAAGAAACAAATCTTCAAGTGTTAATCCACTGAGATTTTGTCAGTCTTCACTGACAAAAACAGAAACTGGCAGCAGAAGTTGGATGTTAACCAAAATAAAAACTTAAATTGTGTGGTGCTCCCTCAGCCGTTGGGCAGCTAGTACATAGAATACTCTCTGGAGCCAAGTCCCAGAGGCTGAAACTGAGAATACTTAAAATGACCAATGACCAGTTTATATATTTCACAGTTCAATGACAATTTAGATTTTAACAAAATCTGTCAAAACTGAGAGGCGGTGTGAACTATAAGAACTAATCATTCTATTTGTGTCTCATTTTTAGAAGGAGGAAGTGATACTATCAATTGCAACTTTTGTGTAAGTCACTTCGTAGTCTGTTCAGACACCCAAACCATATGTGGGCTTCTGTCAGAGTTGATGAAACACTTTTGTGATACCAGAGAGATATACTAAAATACACCCTATGATTTATCTATTGCATAATCCGTGATGTTGTGGGTAGCAGGACACTGTTGTACCTCCAGGTGAATGGGTTGCTCCTATGCTGTTTCATAACTGGAAGAAGAGAGTGAGGAGAACCACTGCCCATTCCCAACCTCCAGTAAAGCATCAACTCCAGGCACACAAGATCTGGACAGAGGAACACAACATCTTCCATGTGAGGAAATGACAACATAATTTTCATAGAGTACGTTACCTTTTACCTTTCTCACCAGCCCTAACTTATGTAGCTTCCACATACCTTAACTATGTATTCTCTTCTTAGGCTGAGCATATTTGCTTGTTTTTAAATTAAATCCCTAATATAGTTTCCCTTCATCACAATAACTTCCTTTTCATTGTCATTCATTGTTCAATCCAGAGATTGATTTTACAATTTTGTGTCATGCAATTAATTGGATGACAAACCAATATTACCTATATTTCCTCTGTCTCCTTTATAATTTTTAAATCACCCTCCCAACTCTCTTTTACATCTCTCATAGAGTTTAAGTCACCATAAAGACCAAACGTCTGATTTTCAGATGAACTTTCCATTTCTCTTTAGAGTCCTGTTCTCCACAGTTACAAGTGGAACAAAATACTTTTATTTGCTTGTTTTGAATAGCAAGTGTTTTTGACATAGCCTCTATATAATATCTACTTAATTATATCTACTTATGCTCTCTATATTATGTATTATAATATAGATATATATTATACCTACCTATGTAATTCAGGAATGCTGTCTGCTCCACTGTTGATGGTTATTCCATTTACAGATTGCAATCCCCAAAACTATAAACTCAATGGGACCTGACAGACCCAAGAGACATCATTCACTTCACCCAGTTTACTCACAGAGGTTTTTGTTTTGTTTTGTTTGCTCAGAGATTAATCCAAAATATTTTGGATCTTTCCACATTGTTTATATCACAAGGACAACCTATAAACTAAACATAAGCCATTATCTTGCCTCTCTTGATGGCCACATTTGAAAATTAAAGACCAGTGGGGCTGGGTACTGTGGCTCACACCTGTAATCCCAGCACTTTGGGAGGCCGAGGTGGGTGGATCACCTGAGGTCAGGAGTTCAAAATGCAGACTGACCAAGTTTGTGAAACCCTGTCTCTACTAAAAATAGAAAAAAAATTAGCCAGGCATGGTGGCAGGCACCTGTAATCCCAGCTACTCAGAAGGCTAAGGCAGGAGAATCACTTGAACCTGGGAGGTGGAGGTTGCAGTGAGCCAAGATCGCACCACTTGCACTCCAGCCTGGGCGACACAGAGAGATTCCCTCTCAAACAAACAAACAAACAAAAAACCAGTGGGATATCTGACACCTCCTTTGTCATCAGCAGACATTAATTTGCCATGGGCCTTTCCAGCCCAGGATGTGGGGAATGTTGGCAAAGAGACTCTAAGGAGAGCACACTGCATTGCAATACCTTTCTAAGGCCATTAAACATGTGCTATGGCGAGCTCTGGCTGAAGAAATGTGTTAGGCATGGAAGGGAAAATGTGGCTAGCATAATAACCCTACCAGTTCTGGCTGGGCGTGGTGGCTCACGCCTGTAATCCCAGCACTTTGGGAGGCCGAGGCGGGCGGATCACGAGGTCAAGAGATCGAGACCATCCTGGCTAACACGGTGAAACCCCGTCTCTACTAAAAATACAAAAAATTAGCCAGGTGTGGTGGCGGGCGCCTATAGTTCCAGCTACTCAGGAGGCTGAGGCAGGAGAATGGCGTGAACTCGGGAGGCAGAGCTTGCAGTGAGCCGAGATCACGCCACTGCACTCCAGCCTGGGCGACAGAGCAAGACTCTGTCTCAAAAAAACGAACAAACCACAAACAACAACAACAACAAAACCCTGTTGGTTCTTCCACCTCCACGAGAAATAACCCAGAATGTTTTTTAACAGGCAGCATCAGAGGACAAGGCAATACCCACCGCTGTATGAACTGGGCCGCCTCCACCGTTAGCCTCTGGGTGAGATTGTCATAGGACATGGGCTGCTGAATGATCTCGTAGTTCCTCATCATGAAGCAGTTCAGGGGCCGGAAGTAATGAAGGAAGCCCAAGAAAAGGGTCAGGATTAGGGCTGCTAGGAAGAGAAGGCTGAAAAAAACGCCTAGAGGCACGTGGAGTAGCCCCAGACAATTGAGTGCAGCAAGGGTAAGGAGGGTGACCCCGACGATCTGCAGGGGGAGGAAGACCAGCCTCTTGAAGCCCGTGGTGAAGACACTGCCCTCTCCGGGCTTGCAGTCTCTCAGATTGGTCAAAGAGATCCCATAGAAATAATTGAAGCCGTGATGTAAAGGGTGGTGACAGAAGTCAGTCTTGCTGTGACAGCTCATCCCAAGGTGCCATTTCCCTGAGAAGACAAATGGGGGATCACTTCAGTCCCAATAAACACCCTGATTCCAATCCAAGCTTCTGTTCCTACATGCTGAAAAGGAGGTTCTTTCTGACTATTTCATGAAGCTAGCCTTCCCGCTCATAGGACCCTAGAATTTTTCACTTTTTTTTCCCCACAAACGCTAAGGTATTACCTACTCACTCTACCAGAAAATAAGAACTAATTTAGCGATTCCAACAAAACAAAACAAAAAAACAAACAAAATCTCAACCAGATAAAAATCCTCTACTCACTCTACCAAGAAATAAGAACTAATTTAGTGATTTCAACAAAACAACACAAAACAACAACAAAAAACCCCAATCAGATAAAAATCCAAAAAGAAAACTAGCTAATATCTTTAATAGGCAGGAAACCACACTCTACAGAAAAATACAAGTTTGTTTTTTTTTTTTTCTTTTTCCTGGTCAGATGCTTTTCTGAGACAGGCCCTTAAAATTAAAGTTTTAGAAGCAACTTAATTTTGTTCCTTGAATGTTAAAAGTGGAAACGAATCCTTACTTCAGAACCTACCCCTGAGGCATGAGGAAATCACACTCAGTAACTCAGCAATTATTTTAAGCACCTCTGAAAATTTCTTATAAAATGTTAATTAGATCACTAAATTAATGAGTGCCTCACAAAAGAAAAAAATGATAGTTTTTTAACAAGATGTTGGAAGAAAGAAAAGGGTCATTTTGCTCCTCTGAGATTTGCTAGGATTCATTTTATGGCCTGCTTAGATTCAAGCTCTTCATGCAAAAAGGAAGGTGTCAACCCTATCTACATGATAAAATCAGTGGGTGTGTCAACCAAGACAAATTCTGACATAATTTTATATTGGAAAGTAAAATGAAAATCTTTATCAATAGCATGGTGTGAATAGTTTTGTATATTCTTTCTATGTATATGTCTATCTTTCATTTGTTCCATCTATCATCTATTTCATCCATCCAATTGCCTCATTATCTATCTATCCATCCTATGTAATCTTTGTCTCTCTCCCTGCATCTATTTATATATAACATCTATCTATCTATCTATCTATCTATCTATCCAACCATCTATCATATCTATCATCATCTATTTCATCCATCCATCCATCTACCCCATCTATCTCATCTTTGTCCCTCTCTGCATCTATCTATCTATCTATCTCATCTTTGTCCCTCTCTGCATCTATCTATCTATCTATCTATCTATCTATCTATCTATCTATGTCTGTTTTTCTATTTCTCTATCTATCTAGCTAGCTAGCTAGCTAGCTATCATCTATTCCTTCCATCCATCCATCCATCCATCCATCCATCCATCCCATCTATCTCACCTTTGTCTCTCTCTGCATCTGTCTATCTAGCTAGCTAGCTATTTCTCTACCTATTATCTATCTATCCATCCATTCATCAATGCTTTCTTCCATCTATCCATTCATCCATCTATCATTAGGTATAACCTAAGTATCTATTTATCTATACACACATGCACACACACACACAAACACACAACACACACACACACACACATCTATACATTTGAGTAGTCCAGATAGGCTCATTGTGTTTTAACCTACAATTGAAATCATTTTGTTTCCATTTAAAGTTATGCAAAGTGTACCAGCAAAGTCATCCCTAAGATAACTGTCATGATGTCCTCTCCCACTCTTTTGCTAACTTTGTCCAAGTCCTCCCTCCCATTCCCATACCTATAGATGGTTCCCATCCCATAGATGTCCATACCTATCAGTGCTGTTGAATAACCTTGATCCTTCAGAAGCTTAGCAAAGGTAATCTCATCGGTGGGAAGTCCTCCCGAAGAGGCTGTGAAGAGGAAAACTCCAGTGCGGGACCAAGATGCCATTCCTGGACCAGGAAAAAATCAACCCTTAGGAACCAGGAGATACCTCGAGGTGGGAGACTGTCCCGAAGGTGACCACAGCCCCTGCGATGCAGATAGGAGGTTACCTGATCGGACAGGGTACCGGCCAGTCATGAAGGCTGCCCTGCTTGGTGTGCACAGCGGTGATGCTGCCAGGTGCTGAGTGAGTTTCACTCCCCCACTGGCCAACCGGTCGATATTGGGAGTCCTAGAACAAAAGAATCATAGCATTTGTGATCATTTTCATTTATTGTTCATGTATTTAGTTTTGAGACAGGATCTCACTCTGTCACCCAGGCTGGAGTGCAGTGGCGCAATCTCGGCTCACACTACCACGCCTGGCTAATTTTTGCATTTTTTGGTAGAGGCAGGGTTTCACCATGTTGGCCAGGCTGGTCTCAAACTCCTGACCTCAAGTGATCTGCCCGCCTCAGCCTCCCAAATTGCTGGGATTACAGGCGTGAGCCACTGTGCCCAGCTCTGTGATAATTTTCAAAATGAAACTGTCTATGGCTCTTTATACTGGGAAACTTCTCAATGAGCAAAGGCAAGTCTGGGGTTATGTGGGAAAGAGAGGCGAGATGAGAGGCAGGGGAGGTGGGGAAGAAGTGATACAGAATCAAGACTCAAGCTACAACAAAACCATGCAGATGTGTGAATGATGCAGGCGGGACATCCCCAAAAGGTCCATTCATGTTACAGAGGGCTCTGAGCTCCTGGTCCCACTAGCCCTGAATTAGAAGAGAGAAACCAAGTCTTTGAAATAGGATACTGCAGGGAGGGAAAGTAAGGGGTGAATGAGGATGAGGCTTCACTCTTCTCCGATCCACATCTCCTAAGTTACCTCTGTGTCACCAAAAGAGAAATCTCCAGGGTCAATCTGACTCCCCTCTCTTTCCAACCACAGCCAAAGGGAATCCCACAACCAGCTTTAATGAGCCCCTGCCTAATTTCTACATGCCCCCAGGGACAGGGAATAATCAGACTCCATGTGCCTCAACCAGTGAGCATCAATAAATGGGTTAATACGCTCCAGGGAAAAGGCACAAACACTACAGTGAAGAAATTAGATGCTGCGACCCCCACATACCCTTTGCTGGCTTATATTTTTTATGCTTCATAAATACTTATTTATGAGCTCACTTGTAGAGTGATACCTTTAGCCTTTCTCTATGAATGGATTGGCTGAACATTTTGGGAAGTCATTTAGGAATTAATATCTTTTAGTTTTTGGACCATACCAAGTTATACCCCACAAGATATATCCACGTCCTTCACCAGGAATCCAGGTCCATTCCTCCCTGCCTGGCTTGTCATCTGCCATCCTTCAGTTCCAGGTACAGATGGAATTCTCATGGGCCTCCAGTGCCCTTCCTTGTTTATGCAAGGGGATTGACCTATATTTGGAACAGTAGTCCATACTCCACCAGACAAGCAGCTTCTTCACTGTAAAGCAATGGCATGGCTAATTGTGCTCCCCTTCAAGATGGCTGCCTGTAGGGTGGGAGTATACATCTTGTTCATTGGTCCCATGGCTTCCCTAGATCAGTGCCCTCACAGAGTAGTGCTGCAATGATGCATAGCTTGAAGGGGGAAATAATTTTATTGCATCTGTAATGTCAAACTAGTGACCATTTATTAATTTAGTGAATGTGTTTAATTACCAATATTTCTAATTTGCTTTTTTCTTAAAGGGTGAGATGCTTAGAAGACAGAGACTGTTTTTACATTTGAATTAATCTTCCTAGTGTCTATAGTGGCCTACAAAAAAAAGTGACTATTTTGGGGTGTGATATTACAAAATATAAAAATGAAAAATGTAATTCAGAAATAATGGGACTCTAATACAGAGACCAAGGCAGATTTAGGGTATATATTGCCATGAATTCTTCCATGGGGCTTTATAGACATTTTTTCTTTTGATAATTGGTAAAGATTTAACCTCAAAGGCTTGATTTTAACTTTTTAATTAAGACATCTTGGTAGGAACAGTTATCTACTATCTCAATATATCTTAGGAATACATAATATTAAAGAAACAGATAAAATGAAAAAGCTGAATAAAATTATGATGCTGATAAGAAAAACTAAATTAATAAGATCTATATCACAAATGTATAAAGTGATCTGTAAACATTTTACAAAAGTAGGCAAAAGGTGGGGCAGAAAACATACAAAGATAATTACAATTTTAAGAGGACATTTAAAGTGCTCTCTTAAAATTGCAGATCTTACCCTTGCATATGCTTTTTAAAATTTAAGCAATGTCATAAGTCAATATACTCTTAAAAAAATAAAAAGCAACATTTGATGCAAAGTTTCAGATTGAAAGTGAGACATATTTGGCTATGTCTTGTGGGAAAGATTTTCCTTAATATCATAATCTATTTAATTTTTGTTTGGTCTGATATGCAATGATTAAATATACTGTCCAAGATTTCTCATGTTAAAAAGAAGATGAGGAGTAAGAGAATGGAAGGAAAATAACCAGCGCCCCATGGCACTTGGCAATGGGTCCATTCCTGGCTTCAGGTATTTAGTATTCACATATCCTACAAGAAAGTTCTGGGCCGGCGCAGTGGCTCATGCCTGTAACCCCAGCACTTTGGGAGGCCGAGGCAGGTGGATCACGAGGTCAGGAGTTTGAGACCAGCCTGGCCAACATAGTGAAACCCCATCTCTTCAAAAAATACAAAAAATTAGCCAGGCATGGTGGCGCACACCTGTAGTCCCAGCTACTCAAGAGGCTGAGGCAGGAAAATTGCTTCAACCTAGTAGGCAGAGATTGCAGTGATCCCCGAGATCGTGCCACCACACTCCAGGCTGGGCGACAGAGTGAAACTCCTTCTCAAAAAAAAAAAAAAAAAAAAAAGAAGAAGAAAAAAAGAAAAAAGAAAGTTCTGGTAGAAGCAAATAATCTCTTTCCTCATCCTCTCCTTTAATTCAGTTTGTATTGATCTTTCATGTGATGAAGCTCTCCATAGAACTATTTTTATGCCATCATCTCCACATTATTAGGAAGAGAAAGTGAAATTTTAATGTCAGTATTCTACTCCCCAAGGGCTTACTTTCCTTTTTAAACAAAAGGGTCCTTAAAATAGGTCTTATGTTAGGTTGATTTTACGCAGAGGGAGAGAAACAAAACACCCACTTCTGGGAGGATGTTCAGACCCAAGGGTCAAATGACCTCGAGTCTCGTTTGATTGCCTTGTTGCCACTGTTTTGATAATTACTGGCAAGTTATGAGGTCCTAAAACATGATACCTCTCCTGATTGTCAGCTATGGTCTCGATGTTTGTGTCCCCCCCAGATTCAGATGTTGAAATGCTCACCCTCAATGGGATTTTATTAGGAGGTGGGGTCTTTGGGAGGTGATGAGGTCATGAGGATGAAGCCCTGTAAATGGGATTTATGACCTTATAAAAGGGACCCAGAGAGCTCCCTCCCCCCTTCCACCATGTGAAGACACAGTGAGAAGGTTCTGTCTATGAACCAGGAAGCACGTCCCCACCAGACGCTGAATCTGCTATGCCTTGATCTTGGGCTTCCAGCCTCCAGAACTATGAGCAATACATTTCTATTGTTTAGAAGCCACCCAGCCTATGGCATTTTGTCATAGCAGCCTTTACAGACTAAGACAGCCTGCATAGCTGACGACAGGGTAGGGCCTGGGCTAGAAGAGGGAGAGTTGGGCATGAGTGAGAGTGAGAGTGAGAGTAAGTCACTGATGAGCCAGGACAGAGTAGTACAGACCCATAACCAACCAGAATAAAGCCAGATGCCAAAAGGAGAAGACGAAATAGGTGAACAAAAGGGATGGAAATGTGAATGTGTGGAAAGCAGCATCGTAGCCATTAGTAAAGAAGAACTGTGATGCACACCTTCTTAGTGATCTCCCTGAGCTCATCCAGCTCCCTGTTCATAGTCAAACAGATAAACTCACACCTGCCTTCATGACACCTACATCTCAGTGTATCTACATGAAGCCAGGCATGGTTTGGAGGGTTTTGAACGTTTCTACATGTTCTGTGCTCTGTAGATCAACAATAACCATCCCGGGGACTGTTGCCTATGAATACAGCCATGTGTTTACTGAGGAGCTGCATTACCAACCTGATAGTTTTGTTCCCATAGCACCCAGGATCTCCAATGCCGAGGTCGTCAGCCATCACCAGGATGATGTTCGGCCTTGATGCTGCGTGGCTCTCGGCTTCCCACAGAAAGAACAGTAGGAGGAAAGGGATCTTCATCTTCCTGTAAAGGACAAGGACACAAAAAGGAACTGAAGGATGTCAGCTTGAGACAAGGTTTTGCTCTGTTGCCCAGGCTGGGGTGAGGTGGTAGGATCTTAGCTCACTGCAACCTTGAAGTCCTGGGTTTAAGCGATCCTCCTGTCTCAGCCTCCCAAGTACCTGGGACTATAGGCATGTGTCACCACACCCAGCTAATTTTTGTGGATTTTGTAAAGATAAGGTCTTGTTATGTTGCCCAGGCTGGTCTTGAACTTCTGGGCTCAAACAATCCTCCTGCCACACCCTTGCAAAGTGCTGATTACAGGCCTGAACGACTGTGCCTGTCCTGGTTTAGTAGCTTTCTAAGGGAAACACAGAAACCTTTCAAAACTCAAAGTGTATGGGGTCAACAGCCTGGGGCAGCTCTTTGTGCTGGAAAATGTACAGAGGGAAGAGAATTCATCCATCGTCCATGTCTGCCATCCCAACACGCTCTCACCTCACTGCATTTCATTCCTTGTAAGAATAACAGGTGATGGAATCTTTGGGGAGGATGGTGGCTTGAACACACACATGATGTCTTTCTTGTATGGAGGTCTGTGTACGTGTTCCAGCAACCTGCTTCCTTTGAGTTAGACCCCTTCTTGTTGAGGAGGACGTGGGCTTTCTACTTCATTTTGCTGTTTGCCTCTCTTCTCACTCTTGAGGTTTTGCTGCCCCACCCTGCAACAGGTTCTCCATTTAGAACCGGAGCTTATGTTGGCAGCAAATATGAGGAGGTTGCTCAACAGGTTTCCCAGCCAGAGAGAGGCCTGGCTTGGTTCCCCGGAAGGTAGCAGGTAGGTGTGCAGTGTGGTAGCCTGAGGTCTTACTTACTCAATATCGATGTCCTTCTAGTCTTCCCACCAGCAGTGGTAGGCAACACCTCTCCCAGCAACTGGTTCACAGCCTTGAGCCAGGTTCTTACTCTCAAATACTTCCAGAACCAAGTCTCTGTGGCTCTGACCCTGACATCAGGAGACAAAACTCACTACTTTCTCTTTCTGTTTCTCATCTGCCTGGGGAGAAATTTTTATACTTTATTTTTCTCACTGGCCCGGGGAGAAATTTTATGACCTTTATTCTAGGTGGGGGAGTCAGGGGTAGGTGTTAATCATATCAGTTCTCTGAATCTTAGTTTTCTTAACTGTAAAGTGAAAGAAATTGAACAATTTCTTTGTTCTATTAAGTAATTTTATTTTTATTTAAAAAAATTTGAGACAGGGTTCTGGCTCTGTTGCCCAGGTTAGAGTGCAGTGGTGTGATTATAACTCACTGCAGCCTCCAACTCCTGGGCTCAAGCGATTCTCCCATCTCAGCCTCCTGAGCAGCTAGAATTACAGGTGCACACTGCCATGCCTGGGTAATATTTTTATTTTTATTTTTTAGAGACAAGGGTCTTACTATGTTACCCAAACTGGTCTTGAACTTTTGGGTTCAAGTGATCCTCCCATGTCAGTCTCCTGAGTAGCTGGGATGATGGTGAGGACCAATTTTATTTACTTTTAATTTTTAAAAATGTTTATAGATTTAGGGGGTACAGCGCAGGTGTCTTACGTGCATGTGTAGTGGTGGAGTCTGGGCTTTTAGTTTACCTATCTGTTCTCTCCTGACACTGGACCCTCATTGCCGTGTATCTGGGAGCACTGACAGTCCTTCAGCGTGTGAACTGGCATGTGAGCTTGACCTCACTCTGCATCTATTTTTGCACTCACACCAGCCTTGGTGCATGCAGACAGCTCCCCCAGAGTCACTAAGGACACTGGACATCAAGGCCAGTGCACATGGTGTGGCAGAGTCTCTTCCCTGGCTTTCCAGCAACACCTGTCAGAGTGAGCCATTCCCTTGCTCAGGAATGCACTGCTCTTTGAACATACTCTCTGAGTTTCCTATTGTGTCTCTCTTTCTGCAGAGTCTCTGTTTGCTGGTTCTTCCTCATTCATGGACCTCAGAATCAGGAACACAACCCCACATAATTACAGAGGCTGGATGGGGGATGGGAAATGGCCTGGGTTTAGTCATCAATATGGGGAGGGGCTTTGCCAGCCAAGAGCTTGCACCCCTCCTAAAGAATGTCACCCTTGTAGCAGCTTCCAATTTTTAAAGAGAAGACAGACACACAGATTTGCATGTGCAGTTGTATGACCATCAATTTAATAATTTAAACAAATGTGTAGGCTAACTTGGTGCAAAATACTCAAAGAAACAATCAAACAACGACTAAACATATTTCCTGGCCTGGTGCCACTTCTGAGTGTCCACTGTCCAGTCTGCACTTTAAATGTTGTGAGCCTCAAGACACTTTCTGCTTTCCTCATCTCCTCCCTACCTTTATGAAATACATATGCTGTCTTGGTGAGATTAAATACTGAATGAATGCTTAGAAACACCTAAGTTTTATGTCCAGAGAGACTGTATATCCAAATACTGAATTAAGGTCTCCATACAGACATATATCTGGTATCTTGAATTTAACATGTTCAAACAGATATCATGAATGTAAAAAGCACCCTGCTATTATTACGTGAAACCATTTTTGCCATTTAGTCTAAAGGCCCTCAATTCGGCTTAATCTGCTAAATGCTAAATACAGATAAAGCTGATGCAAAGTAACTTCTTACTGAATTCCTCACATAAGACTGCATGAAATAATCCAGTTATACAATGCCATCACAACAAAAACCTTGTCTATCTTAATGCTTAAGCTAATATTTATGCTTGGAAAGAAATGAGAAATTGCCTATTTCTTTCTTTCTTTCTTTCTTTTTTTTTTTTAAAGCATGGTTTAAGACTATGGTCTTTATACAACCAAAATCTGGCATGAACTTAAAGGCTGGCTTGAGAGCAAATCACAACATTCAGATAATATAATTTCAGTTCAAAAAGGTCTTGCAAATCATGTATCCCAATTCTCTTATTGTCAGATGGAGAAACAAAGACTCAGAGAGATTGGCTGGTCATGGTGGCTCACACCTATAATCCCAGTGCTTTGGGAGGCCGAGCAGGGAGGACTGGGGGAGCTCAGGAGTTGGAGACCAGCCTGGGAAATATGTAAGTTCCTATCTCTACAAAAAAATTTAAAAATTTTCTCGGCATGGTGGTGCACGTCTGTAGTTCCGGCTACTCGAGAGGCTGAGGCAGGAGAATTGCTTGAGCCCAGGGGTTCGAGACTACAGTGAGCTCTGATGGCGCCACTGTACTCTGGCCTAGTTGACAGAGTGAGACTCTCTCTAATTAATTAACCAATTAAATAAATAAAGAATACAGACTTTCTACAACCAAAACGTGGCATGAATATAAAGCCTGGCTTGAGATCATATAACAACATTCATATAATATTCAGGTAATACAGTATCGGTTAGAAAAGACCAGGCAAATCATGTATCCCAATTCTCTTACTTTTAGAAGGGAAAACAAAGACCCAGAGAGATTCAATGAATTGCCCTAGTCATACTCATAGCAAGCTGTGGTATCTAGACTAGCACCCAGGACTCCCTATGGCTCTTCTCTCTCAGATTGTCCCTGGAACCCAGTATTTCTAGGGCTTTTCAGCATTCCACATGGTGGAGACTTCAGTGCTTTTCTAATTACTCGAGCAGTTCCCTTGGCTACTGAATAATGCCTGTCATTTCCCAGGGCTCTGTAGTGATGCCTCCTGTTCCTGCTGATAGAAACAGGTCCTGTCTAAAGGACCTCACAACCACTGCCTACCCAGTCTGAGTCCCACCACTGGTGGCTGATGATAAGGATACTGAGCTCCATCTCATGGGCTCTGGGGTTTAACACTGCTAAAGCCCCTACTGCTGCCAGCTGGCTGGCTCCTGCACTGGTTGCTCCTGAAGCTGCCAGCTATATGCTGCTGATGCCCTAAGCTCCTAATATTCCATGTAGATTTCAGTAAAAGCACACTTCACTTTTTCCCCCTTGGATTAACCTACTACTGCTTGGAACCTGAGAATTAGGTAGACTTCCCTGTTGAGTGATTGATGGACATGGGTCTGAATGTCAACCAATTTCTCTAATGCAGGCTCCCTGGCTATGGCCCATACTGCTTCTCGGCCTGAACTTGGAAGGAATTCCTTCCCAAAAGGCTTTTTTATCTGAGTAAAACACACTTCTGTGGGGCTCCTACCTTAGGTCCCGAAGACATACATGTCTGTATCTTGGATAGAATACACCTTGGGCATAGGTTGGGCTGACAACTATAAATGCATGCTATATGCCAATTATCTCTATAAAAATAAGCCTTGCTCCCATTAAAAATGGGTGGTAGATTATTATTTTTTTTAAATAAGTACTCAATCCCAGGGGAATTGGGAATAATTATTTAATAGATACAGAGTTTCAGTTTTGCAAGATGAAAAGAATTCTAGAGATGGATAGTGGTGATGGCTGCAAAACAGTGTGAACATACTTAATGCCACTTAAAAATGGTTAAGATGGAAAATTTTATGTTATGTGTATTTTGCCACAATTATAAATAGTAATAAATCTTAAAAAAACAAGAAAAATTCTTATAATGTTAAATTTGAAATGGAAATATTAAAATGAACTTATTAGTTAAAATAACGCAATCCTTTCTCTGACCCACCGGTATTGAGTGAGGCCATGTATCCTGCATTGGCCTTATAGAGACCACAGTATACTTGTTCAGCCTTGATTTGGAGCTCAACCATGTGATTTGTCTTAGCCAATGGGATGCTATCAGATGTGAGGGAAACAGAAACGTTATGCTTGCATGTTTAGCTTGGTCCTGTTGTACTTTTGCCATCACCACAAGAAGCTCTTTCTCTAGTATGTGCTACCTCCCTTTCAGCCTGAGCCCCAGAGTAAATGCATTGTAGCAGACACAGCCCAACAGACAGCCTGGAGCTTGTTTGTTTCAGCCAACAGACAAACCAATGAAAATATACACTGTTGTGTTAATCTGTTGAGCTTGGAAGAGAATTGGTACATGACATTATTGTGGCAACAATTCACTAAGACACTATATTATCTGAATTGACAGTTTGCAAAGACAGACAAAGGGTATGCACTGCAAATGATAGAATATACATAATTAGGGTCTGGAGAAAATCAATAACATTTTGAAGTAGAATTTTTTTGGTTTGTTTTCATGTGTGTTCACCTTGCCTTCCCATTAGGTATTTATAATCCCTCAATTTTCTTTTGCAGTTCTCCCCCATGGCCCTGCGAGTGAATAAATATTCACTAAATTACTTAATTGAGCCTTAGTAAAGGAGTACACACAAATGCAAATTAGCCAGGATAATGGGTTCCATTACAGGTCATGAATTGCATTAAATCAGGATTTCTCAACCTCTGCACTATTGACATTTGGGGACGGATGATTTGTTAGTGTAGGGGCCTGTCCTGTGCATTGCAGGATATTCAGCACATCTCAAGCCTCTACCCACTACATGCCAGTAGCATGTATAACTCCCCTCAGTTATGAGATCCAAAGATGTCTCCAGACTCTACCAGCCATTGCTGGGAGAAAGGGAGACAAAAATTTCTCCTGCTTGAATAGTACTCTATTACAGCAAAAGAGGAAGCTGGTGTGAGAGAGTAGACATCCAGTAATGAGAGAGAAGTCACTGTCAACTACATAGCTCTTAGCTCCAAGAGAAGTATATTTTCTTACAACATCCTATACAGTTGTTCCATGCAATCATCAACTCTATGTTCGTGCAGCTGCACTCTTAGAATGTGAAGTATTTTGAGAAGCATGATATTTTTTAAAGAAGACAGAGTAAATGTGGGAAGCTATGTGACTGGCAGTCCGGGGGTACTTCCTTCACACATGACACTACTAATCATAGTCAATCACCTCTCTCTCTCCTGATCCACTCAATTCTCCTTATCTACATTGAGTTGGTACTTTTGTTATTCAGTTAGATTCCTAAGCTTTGCAAAGTGATTGAGTGATTGACTATCTTACTCTTATTTATTCAAATAAATAGGGCAAAAGAGTTTTTTGTTTGTTTTATTTTAAGTCTCTTCACTTTTATCTCCTTGGGAGACTTAAATCCATGGGACTAATCCTAGAATTCAAGGATGTGTTCGATGGTCACATTCACTTTCTATGATAGAGGAAAATGTTTACATGAAAACACACACACACACATACACACACACACATATTTGCTATATTTATTCAGCTTAGCTCTGTCATTAACTATTACCATAGAATTATTTTATGTGACACACTTATGTCTTATTTATAATTTATGACATTTATTTGACATGAATTCTATACAAAGTCTGAAGTGAAATGATTTAGTCCCTGGCGTAGGCCTTGCATCTTCTCTCTTTTAAAATAGGCCAGAAATAAAACTACCCCTTATCTCATCATAAAATTATTATTTTGCAGCTAAAGATATGTAATGGCTTCATGCTGGCCTAAGACACAGACTGAGAGTGTAACTAATGGATCATTTCCTTCCCGGGTGAGAATTATCATCCCCTGAACATCATTAACATAAAATCCCATGCAATACCCTGCTACCTTCCTTGCAGACTGTGAACACTGTGCTGGGCAGGACCTGCAGCTAAGTTGAAAGTCTCTCCCAGGGCCGGGCGCGGTGGCTCACGCCTGTAATCCCAGCACTTTGGGAGGCCGAGGCGGGCGGATCACGATGTCAGGAGATCGAGACCATCCTGGCTAACACGGTGAAACCCCATCTCTACTAAAAATCCAAAAAAAAAAATTAGCCGGGTGTGGTGGCGGGTACCTGTAATCCCAGCTACTCGGGAGGCTGAGGCAGGAGAATGGCGCGAACCTGGGAGGCAGAGCTTGCAGTGAGCCGAGATCGCGCCACTGCACTCCAGCCTGAGCGACAGAGCGAGACTCCGTCTCACTGCACTCCAGCCTGAGCGACAGAGCGAGACTCTGTCTCAAAAAAAAAAAAAAAAAGTCTCTCCCAAATCTTAACTCCTTAAACACAAACTTGGTAACAAAGAGCGAACAATGGCTTATCTTGTGAACGGGTTTTTTTACGGCTAGGCTCAAGATGATGTGTGCTCTAACAAATGTTCTTTTTATTCGAAACACTATCCCTTTCTTGGAACAGCTGTTTTGAGACAATTCTTCATTGCGTTCAACATCTGTTAACTCTTTGGCTGGCAAATCCAGGCTCCAGCCCCACATCCGTGACAGAGAAATTGCAAATATGAGCAAATATATCTATACAAGTACTACATGCTTGTGTTTAAATAGCTAGGTGGGTGTAATAAAAGGTGAACTCTCCTACCTTCAACACCACGATTGTAACAATGGACCTCATATTGGAGTGAGGTGCGGAAAGGCTGAAGAATGAGAGGAGGGCAGAGATAATTTGGAGAGGCCAATCTTCAGCCCCCATCCCCAGCTTTCATGTGACTTATCTAGGGACACCCTCTAAGATTCCTTGCATGGGAGGAAGTTCCCCTTTTCTTATCACTGTGCATTTCTTTCTCAGCACTGATGATACAAGCAAGTGCAGTTTGAGTTATTTTGCGTTTAATCTTCCCTGCTGCACTGGAAGCATTCTGCAGCCAGGAAGAAGTCTAAATGCCTCCTGGCTATATCCCTAGCATCCTCTCTCATGCTTCGCACACATTAAATAGTCAAGATTTGTGGACTAGGCAAATGAATAAATAATGACAGAGAAGGGTTGTAAATCTGAGATCAGATGATTGTTCCCCTTCCTAATTAGACTGTAGACACCATGTGAGCAGGGGCTGGTTGAGCAAGTATCAAAGAAAGCCACATTAAATCAAAAATGTATGTTTATTCTGTTTAATTAAAAGGCCCTCATGCCAGTTCAACCAGAGAGGAAATTAAGCAGGGCCATGCACTATTTTTTTAAATGGCTGGAAGGTTTTACGGGGCACAGAGAAGATTCAAAAATTAGCATCCGTCTTTAAATATGAAGAGTGAGACACACTAGAGGTTTTTAAGAAAACTGAAAACACCATTAATAATGCCCACGAAAAGCTCAGGGTTGGAGCATCAGGGGTCCCTAAGTAGATTTAATGGCTTACAAATCCATAACTAATACCAGGAATTTGCAAAAGAGTGAGTTTAATAACCTCCTGTCCCCATAAGAGTGCAACATATAGCATTCATATCAGAGAAGGCCAGAGCCAGCAGGCTGTGTTCTGCATCTCTACTTCATTACTAGGTTCATGTTTCAGTTGATACAGGAAATAAATACATAACTTTTCTTATTTTAAAATAACAGTTTTTTGGGTGCTTAGTATGTACCAAGCACTGTAACTGCTTTACCTACTTCTTAACCAATTTCTCCTGTGTGAAAAAATAACATGAGAACATGTTTTTATCATGAGTTGATATTTGACTTAGGGACCTCAGATTTTGTTAATAGTGTTTCTCAGCCTCAACACTATTGACATGTGGACTGGATGAGTCTTTATTGGTGGGGAGGGGGCTGTTCTGTGCATTGTAAGATGCTTAGCACCATCCCTGGCCTCTACCCACTAAACCCCGACAGGATGCTGTCCCCAACTTCTCTGTTCTCCCCTAGTTGTGAAATAACAAATGTCCTCCAGATATTGCCAAATGTCCTCTGGGGAACACAACTGTCCCCAGCTGAAACCACCAACTTAGTGCTAGCATGTTACCCGCCCTATCATCTGTAGAATTTTCACCTCCTGAACATAACAGAATTGCAATTCATTCCCTCTGCTCCTGTATGTAGGCAGATCGGCATCTACCAAAGGATTTGGAAATGCCAAACCATTTGAGTAGGTGTAAATTTCTCATTTGCACCCACAAGTACATCTTCGGTGTTAACAGACAATGTTTCTCGGGTATAACATACTTCCGCAAATTATGGAAGCTCTTAAATTCTAATGCACATAGGCAACCATCTCCAAAAAGGCTCTTCAAGGAAAACATTAGGCTGCAAGCATTCCTTCTTCTCATGCCTTCTAAGTTGCTTATTTTGTCATTTGTCCATGTGGCAAATCTTTTGCTACCTTACATTTTTATCAGGAGTTACACTCTGCACAACAGCATCATGCTCCTTGCCTGTCTGAACCCCAGTCAAAGAATCCTTACTCCTACACATTAGTCATTGGGAGCCATACTCTTCTTCTTTTTTTCTTAGACAGAGTCTCACTCTGTTGCCCAGGTTGGAGTGTAGTGGTGTGATCTCGACTCACTGCAACCTCTGCCGCCCGGGTTCAAGCAATTATCCTGCCTTAGCCTCCTGATTAGCTGGGATTACAGGTGCCTGCCACCTCAGCTGGCTAATCTTTTTTTGTTGTTGTTAGTAGAAATGGTGTTTCGCCATGTTGGCCAGGCTGGTCTCGAACTCCTGATCTCAAGTGATCCACCTGCCTCGGCCTCCCAAAGTGCTGGGATTATAGGCGTGAGACACAGCTCCCAGCCTGGGAAACATAAAATTCTCTCTCTCTCCCCTGACCTACTTCCAATAGTCCTCTCACCTCCCTCCCTTTTCGGGGTCTCCCCTTTTCATAAAAAGCAAACGCAGATCACCACGATTCTTCCTGAAAGATAACCAACCCAGGGAATGTGATAGTCTCTGTTTGTTTTTGTTACAGCTACCCTCTCATTCCTAACTCTCCTTAATTCTCTTTTTGCTGGCTTTTATTCTCTGCTTGTCAAGAACTAGCAGAATGAGAGGAGAAATAAGAGTCAGAGCTCTGGCCTCATCTCAGGCCACCAGCCATGAGGCTTTAGAAGGCATGTTCTCCTTGTGAATCACTCTTCTGCACATTACCCTAAGATGTCACCTTGACCATGGGGGAGTTACTCAGGATACTAGCGATAAAAGGTTTCCAAAATGCGACCAGATGCAGTAGATTACACCTGCAATCCCAGCAGTTTGGGAGGCTAAGGTAGGAGGATTGCTTGAGCTCAGGAGTTCAAGACCAGCTGCAGGAACATAGCAAGATCCCATCTCTACAAAGAATGTAAAAATTAGCTGGGTGTGGTGGCACATGCCTGTAGTCCCAGCTAATCAGGAGGCTGAGGCAGAAGGATGGCCTGAGCCCAGGAGTTTGAGGCTGCAGTGAGCTATGATTGCGCCACTGTACTCCACTCTGGGCGACAGAGTAAGACCCTGCCCTATCCAACCCCAAAAGAGGTTTCCAAAATAATAAAGTGCTAGACAAATGTAACTTGTTAGGAGCATTTTAGTCTAGCTACACCTTTCCAGTGGAAAGCAATTCACTGAGAATTCAACCGAATCTATTTCAATTCCACAAATACAGGGCAAAACCCAGAAAGATGACATTATAGCAGTCCTATGGTGGTTCTATGATTGTATGAGACACACAGTCACCCTGCAAGACTCTGACAGGTCAAATGAGGAAATGCACAAGTACCAAACCCACTAAGGTGGGCAGTGGAGTCAGAACTGCAGTTTATGCTGTTGAGGTTTTCTTTCTTTCTCCCCCACTTGCTAGCAGTGAAACCACAAGCTATATATTTAGCCTGTTAGTTTTCTTTTCTGTAAGAAAGGAATAATAATACCTTACAAGTATTATTTTGAAGATAAAACTACACACTTAGGACCTTTTTATTTTTATTAATTAATTTATTTATTTTGAGACAGGGTCTCACTGTTTCACCCAGGCTGGAGTGCAGTGGCGTGATCACGGCTCACTGCAGCCTCAACCTCCCGGGCTCAAGCAATCCTGCCACCTCAGCCTCCCAAGTAGCCGGGATTACAAGGGCACACCACCATGACCAGCTAATTTTTAATTTTTTTTTTTTATAGAGACAGGGTCTCTCCTTCTGGGTTCTTAGTACTTATTGATTCAGCAAGGGAATCATAGTAAGAGGCCATAGTTGTTCATTATAGTTATTTAATAATATTAAGTTATTATTAACTTATAAAGTTATTATTAAAATTACAACTATTAATAATAATAAAATGTTATGTAGAGTATAATAAGTACACTAATAGAGTTTTGAACAAAAATGTGGTCAGCCAACTAAAAGTGGCCCCAGTGACTTCCCTTCTGGTATTCACATCTGATACAATCGCCTCCTGTTGAGTATGGGCTGGACCTAGTGATTTACTTCCAATGAGTAGGATATGGAAAAAGTGATGAGATGTCAATTCTGTGATTGGGTTGTAAAAGACTATGACCTCTATCTTGCTGGCAAACTCTATCGCTTGCTGGCTGTGGATGAAGTAAGTGGCCATTGTGGAGAGACCCATGTTATAAGAAAAAGAGAGAAGTGTCCAGCCAACAGCCAGCAAAAAAAAATGAGGCTTTCAGGTGAACATCCTGCAAGGAACTAAGTCCTGCCTGCAACTATCTGAATGAGCTTGGAAAGAGATCCTGCTACTTTTGGACCACAGATGAGACCACAGCCATGACACCTGAAGTAGCCTGAAAGAGACGTAGAAGCTAAGGAGGATCCAGCTAAGCTGTGCCCAGATTTTTGACCTACAGAAACAATGAGATAACAAACGCAAGTTGCTTTAAGCTGCTAAGTTTTGGGGTAATTTGTTACACAGTAGTAGATAACTCCAATAGCTTGAGGTGAGAAGGTCAATTTTGTCAATGAGGACGAGAAAAAAGCTCCCCAGGACAGCGGCTCTGAAATGTCATGTTGAACTTATTTTAAGAACATGTTTCATTAGTAATGAGTCTCAGAATTTATATAAGCAATTTAAGGACACATGTCTCTGCTCAGCAACCATGTAAAAATGAATTTTTGTTTTATAACTGAAAGTTGAAAGCACCTGAATTAGAAAAGGGCATTTAGGGTAGACCAAAGGGAAATGGCTAAAAAAGAGATTAAATAGAGCAAAATTCAGGCTCTATATGAGGACTAACTAAAATCTCACCAAAAAAACCTAGCTATTTAGAGACCTACTTTGGACTATTATGCTTTGTGATTTTTGTACACAAAAATTGATTTTTTTAAATAAATGTTTTGTTGTATTTTTACTATTATAAATGTACAAAAGAGAAACATCAACCAGCCACTCAGAGAGCCACTCAGGTAATATGTGTGTTTCTCTCCATGTTCTTTGTTTTTTATCATTATTGTATAAGTTGCTGATGTTGCAGTATTCCTACAAACTGTGCGCATTGGTTGGTTGGTTATTTTTTCCATGCAAAAGTCTGACTGTGAGGTGGAGAAGAGGTCAGGATAAATCATCGTGATCAGACATGGAGGGCATTTATCTTTTTCCTTTCTGTTGTTTTAGGTTTGGGGCATTTATCTTTATCCAGAAGTGATGAAGCAGAGATTGAGGACACTAGGGATGACAGGCATGGTTTCGTTTCACTCCCGCAGGCATTCTGGTTGCTCCCTGGCAGAAGGGTTGGGCAGAAACTGGAGTGGATCGCACGACAATGGCCATAACCCCCCAAGGAAGCTGGTCCAGACTAGCACAGGGGCAGGTGGGAGAGAACTGGAGAGAACTGAGCCGATTTGAGACACAATCAACATGAGCTGGTAATTGCCTGGATGTGAAGTGTCAGAAAGAGGCAACAGTCAATGATGACTTCAGCCTTGTTCCTTGGAAAGATACTGGTCCCATTAGCTGGGTAGGGAACAATTAAAAATACTGGAGGATTAAGATTATGAATTTGTTCCACACCAAGATGCCATCATAGAAGGGATCCATTTTATATATATATATATATATACACACACACACACACACACACACACACACACACACACACATACATATCTGTGTGTGTGTGTGTGTGTGCGCGCGCGCTCCTTGGAGAAGATTCATTTCCATTTTCTATGCTTTGTGGTAAAAGGGTTAGTTCAGGTGCAGACCATTTTATTGAAATTGAACACAATAGGATAAAAGCCCATTAATAATTTTTCATGCCTATATTAATCTCTGAATCACAAAATGATTTTGGTTAGCTCAGCATATCATTCATTATACCTCCAAAATGTGCCTGGAGGTAGATATTATCAGGACTAGGATGAGAAATACCATCTAGCCCAATTAAGAATGTGTGAAAATTTAAGTTTGTTAAGAGCCACTTAAGGCTGGTCAGGGTGGCTCACACCTGTAATCTCAGCAATTTGGGAGGTCAAGGCAGGTGGATCACTTGAGACCAGCCTGGTCAACATGGTGAAACCGTGTCTCTACTAAAAGTACAAAAAATCTGCCGGGCGTGGTGGTGCTTGCCTGTAGTCCCAGCTACTCGGGAGGCTGAGGCAGGAGAATCGCTTGAGCCTGGGAGGCGGAGGTTGCAGTGAGCCGAGATCGAGACACAACACTCCAGCCTGGGTGACAGAGTGAGTGACACTCGGTCTCAAAAAAAAAAAAAAAAAGCCACTTAGAATCCCACTGTATATAAATTATTACCAGCAGAAGTAAGTGGACTTTGCTTTTTCTTTCCTACAAGCCTGGCTTACAAGAAGGTATTGATAAAGAGGTTTCAAAAAACTGAAACAGAGTCAGTTAACATAAAAGTACTTAAAATTAAATAAAGCTGCTCCACTCCAAAATATTAAGAACATGGCACATTAACTTCTGAAAAACTGCATAATTTTCCCTTTAAAAATTATTTTTCTGAACAAACTTAATTTGGCAAAAGAGCACGAAAAACTTTTTTTGTGGAGAAAGCAGCTATTCCTACAACAGCATCATTAGGAAAGAGAGAGACAAAGGAACATTTTTATAACTAGAGATGTAATTATATTAAATTTGTTCATTAGAAGAAAATTAACAATGTGCTTACGTAACAGAAACTTTAACCACAGCAAAGAAAATGTTCCTGATCTATTTGCTCGATGGGGAAGAAGGCTTATTAAAAACAGAGAAAAACTTGCACGACAAACAATATTTTTTAGAAGAAAAGCAGCTTCGTTCAATCCAAGGTATGTACACTGGTGAAATTTGATTCACAAAGTGCTATTATCCAACAAAGGTCCTGTTTTAAATCGATAAAGAAAAATAGTCTGACATGAGGACAGAAAAAACCCATTCTGAAATTGTGTCTAAACAGACTTTTCTATAGATTTAAATACCTATTTAAATCACTTGTGATTTTTCTAAAATAAATGTTCATGTTTTATTGATTTAGCGAATCTGTTTCTATCGACTATACAACAGTACCTGGTGCATTGGTCTTTGTATTTCTCAATACAATCAATTATACCTAGTATAGTTGAATTCATTATAATATACATTGAGTATTAATAAAATACTAATTAAAAATTATGTTTAAAAAAGTAAGCCTTGCCTAACCTGTTTGTTTACATTTGAAGTCTTTACACTGAAGTCTTCACTTAGTGAAGACACACTAAGTGTTGCATGTGTGAAGATTCTATTGGTTCCTGCTGATTTTTTAATTTTTTAAATTAAAAACACAATTTTTAGAGACAAGGTCTCACTCTGTCACCCAGATTGGAGCACAGTGGTACGATCACAGCTCACTGCAGCCTTGAACTCCCCAGCTCAAGCAATCCTCCTGCCTTAGCCTCCTGAGTAGCTAGGACTACGGGCATGCACCACCACACCTAGCTAATTTTTAAAAAAATTTTTGTAGAGATGGGTTCTCGCTATGTAGTCCAGGTTTATCACAAACTCTTGGACTCATGGAATCCTCCCACCTTGGCCTCCTATGTAGCTGGGATTACAGGTGTCAGCCACCACTCCTGGCTTTCCCCTTATTTTCCCCCTTCTCTGTCATTGCTCCAGTTGATGCATCATGAGATGGAGGGGAGGACAATCAGCAATGGATCCAGAGATGGTAGCTGCCATCCTGTTGCTGCTGCTAACTAGCTGTCAACATTTGGACATGTCACCCAGTCTTTGCAGGTCCCTGTTTCTACAGCTGTACAATAAAAAGGCTCCTATCATGTCTAAAACCCTGTGATGTTTATGCTTCTATAATCTGATGCTTTTTCTCTGAATCTACCTGGAGCTAAGGAGATGGAATCAATGTAAATGTCCATCAACGATGACTGGATAAAAACAATGTGCTATCTATCTATCTATCTATCTATCTATCTATCTATCTATCTATCTACACCACGCATTGTGTGTACACACACACACACACACACACACACACACACACACACACCATGGAATACTACTCAGCCATAAAAAAGAATGGGCTCATGTCTTTTGCAGCAACATGGATGAAACTGGAGGACACTTCATCCATGTTGCTGCAGAAGACATGTAAACAATGTGCTTACATAACAGGAACTTTACCACAGCAAAGAAAATGTTCCCTAGTGAAATGATTCAGAAACAAAAGTAAAAAATCTCATGTTCTCACTTATAAGGGAGAGATATACAATGAGTACACACAGACAGACAGAGTGGAATAACAGACATTGAAGACTATTGAAGATGGGAGTGTGGGAAGGGGTGAAGGAGAAAATACTACTTATTGGGTAGAATGTATATTATTTGGATGATGGGGGCAATGGGTACACTAAAAGTGCAGACTTCATGACACAAAATATTCATGTAACACAACCACACTTGTACTCCTAAATCCATAAAAATAAAAATAAGCAACTGCTAATCTCTTCCACAAACACCCTCACAGACACACTCAGTAATAATGCTTTACTAGTTATCTGGGCATTCCTTAGCTCAGTCAAGTTGATGCATGAAATTAACCATCACAACATACAATGCAATATTATTCTTACAGTATTATTCTTGCAATATTGTTAACCTTACAAAATGAAGAAATATTGCAATATGCAATACACAGATGAACTTTAAAATACTATGTTGAGGCCAGGCATGGTACTTCACACCTGTAATCCCAGCACTTTGTGAGGCCGAGGTGGGTGGATCACTTGAGGCCAGGAGTTCGAGACCAGCCTGGTTAACATGGTGAAATCCTGTCTCTACTAACAACAACAACAAAAAGTGTGTGTTTGTGTGTGTGTGCATGTTTGTATTTAAAAGGCCTTCGTGTTTTGTTGTTTTGTTTTTCTCTCCTAAGAACTTGTCTTTTTTTTTTTTTTTGAGCAAATCTTTGGTTTTTGGGGGGGTTCTGGCCAGAGTTCAGAAATCTAGTTAAAAGATAGATAGTCCTTATCTAAACAAAATTGGTGTCCTTATGCAATCACATAATAGATATGTGTAATTTTACGTTTGATCTGCTCAAAGAAAAATAAAAGGATCTCCCTCTAGCAACACCAGATCTTTTCTCTCTCTGCCTTATGATGTAAATTTGCTGTTTGATTTTTACTTGAGTGGTTTCCTTTAACATGCAATTTTAAGGCTATTTAGCTGACAACCACCTAAGGTTGTAAAACAGGTTATCAAGAATCTGAAAGTCTAAGATAGAAAAAAAAAAAGGATGGTCTTTATGGATCTACAAAATGTACTTTCATTCGCATACCTAATGCATCTATGTATTTATGCGTTGTGTACACAATGTTTCACTACTAAAAATATATAAAAGAGCTCTAATTAATTGGCTTAAAGAAAAATAAAAACACTTAAATACTTTATCAGGAAAAAAGGACTAGTCAAATGCTTTTTCAAGTTTATATAACTTAAAACCTTTAATAAATAAGTTAGCTTTAAAATTATTGGTAAGTAATATTAGAAATTTCTTAAGAATTGTCAGCATGCATTGTTTGCATTTATTAATTAAGCAATGTCATACTTATCCCTGCCAAATACTATAAGGTGTCAAATTTTGGCATAGGGGTTACAAAACTAAAAACCCAGCCCAAAACAGAACGACCTTTGCTTGTGTAATTTTTAATAAATAAGACATTGATATTGGTTTAATGAAAATAGCTACATCTTTAATTATTTAGTAAAATTACCATAACTTCTAATCTCGTGGCTTTAGGCAGTCTAGTCCACAGGCAGTAAGGAGGTTTGTTTTGGGAAAGGACTGTTATCATCTCTGTTTCAAAGCTAATCTATAAACTAAGTTCCTCCCAAAGTTAGTTTGACCTATGCCCAGGAATGAACAAGGACAGCCTGGAGGTTCAGAGCAAGATGGAGTCAGTTAGGTCAAATCTTTTTTCACTGTCTCAGTTATAATTTTGCAATGGGGGTTTTATAACTTTAAATCATAACTATCACAGTTTTCATAAATAATCTAGGTAAACAAAATAAAATAGATAAATGTAATAGGATAAATACTTGTAGTTAAATTGGTCATAATTTAGAATATAAAGTTATATTAAATTAAATAATAGGTATTTCTTTATTTGGGTATTTTCCAATAAATATATATTGTAGAAAAACATTCTTGTTAAAAACAAAGTGAACATGTTTTGTCTAATTCAAAGCTTATCTAAAGGTTATGTATAAAACAAGGTAAAAGGAACCAGAAAATAAAAAGAGCACATTCACATACACAAGTGTGTAATAACCAACATTGGATATCTCTGCTAGGACTTCAATTTCCTTTAATTTCCCTATGTTTTTCAGAAGACTAATTTTTATTTGAGACAGGGTCTCAGTGTTTCCCAGGCTAGAATGCAGTGGCATGATCACAGCTCACTGCAGCCTCAACCTTCTGGACTCAAGCAATCCTCCCACCCAAGTAGCTGAGACCATAGGCACAAGCCACTGTGTCTGTCTGGCCAATTTTTAAAAAATTTTTGTAAAGATGGGATCTTGTCATGTTGCCCAGGCTGGTCCTGAACTCCTGGGCTCATGATTCTCCCACTTTAGCCCCTCAAAGTGCTGAGATTACAGGCGTGAACCAATGGACCCGGCTAACTAAATATTTTTCAAACAGTTTTTCTGAAGAAGGTTCAAGGTTTCAAACACAAGTGCATACCACAGACCAAGGCAACTGGAATTAATGTTACCTTGGTGTAAGCTCCTCATCCCTGTTAGTTTAGCAAATGTACAGACTTGGGATACATTTGAGTGCCATCATAGGCAGGATACCTCTGTTGCAATTTTGGTTTTAACCTCTCTAATGAGATCCAGAAGGCCCATTATGTGTAATATGTGTGCTCTCCCTGAGGCAAGATATAAATGGTGCTCACCATAAAGTTACCATGTGGAAGGAGCCATTTCTCTCTTGCTCAGATCTAAGACCTCTACCCAACCTCCAAATCCAAATGCTTTGCTATGAACCACTCATCACAGCTTACCTAATATTTTCATTTATTTACAAGGTACCAAATTTGATGGAGAGGACTGTGTCCCATAGCGGTCCTAAACAATCTGGGGAGTCTGAAAACATTCCTCTCTGGCATGTTAAGAGGCCACCATATTTGGAGAGTTCTTGGCACTGTAGAACAGTGGACAAATGGTTCATGATGGTGGGATTTGAAGAAAAGGTTGAGAAGGCTATGTTTAAATGATCTCTTCATTGGTAATAGTGAATTATAGAAGGATTTTGTAAGAAAAAAAACACGTCTAGAAACATATATTGAAACTTTTGTACTTAACAGAGGGTGAGCCTAAGACTTCTTCTTTCTCCTGTAAAAGGATCAGATTCAAGAACAATAAACTCTCCATGAGGATGAGGATAGTCTTTACATCCTCCAAGTGCCTAAAGGATGCTCAAGTTTGAAGTCATGGGTTAGGTCACAGATTTCAGAGGTAGAGTGTTCTAAAGAAGCCAAGGTTCCCAGAGACTGCCTTAAGAATGACAGTGAGCTAAGAGGCCAGAGCTGCCTCTGACTGGAGTGTCAATTTTCCCTCCTTGTCCAACATCTACTCTCCCATATAGTCTCTGTCCCAGCCCTACAGCTCCACCACCCTTTTATTTGCTCTGTCCCTCTATTTCCTTTCCTGTTAAACCAAGAGAAGTCCCTTTCCTTGCATGTCGGCAACAGAGTCAGTCAGTCAGTCTGGACTTAGGAGGAAATGATGGTGGATGTCTGGGACATGCAGGAAAGGAGCTCTGGGCAGAATTCAGTCTCCTGTGAGAGTTCTTTGAGGACCAGTAGTGGAGAAAATAATAAAGTGTTATTCTGCCCCCTGAGGGCATCTCTGTGCACAGAGTTTTTCCAGGGACCTCACAGGAAGCTTTGGTCATGATAGGTTTTGTATATTTGCATTTTCCAGGATCCCCTGGATGAAACGCCATAGAGCATTCCCATCTTATCTGACTTTCCAGCATTTGGTAACCAGGGGTTATGTTACAGGGGAAATCAGGCAGAACAAAACCATGGGCAGCAGATGTAAAAGGAGAGAAAATAAAATACACACAAGTTTGAGGAGAAGAAAAAGCAAGGGATTTGGGGATGGCATGAAGTGCTTCCACACATTTAATATATATCAGCATCTGCGCTGTCAATATCAGAGGGCCTCTGGGATTTAACAACCAGATGAGGAAACAAGACAAAGATAGCTCAAACCATCTTGGCTCAGCTGCTCTGTGGATGAGCATTTTCCAGGATCAGTGGATGGCCAGGCTGTTGTTATTCTTACCTCCCACTGCAGCAAGCTAGTTAACCCTCTGTGTTAAAGAGGTATTTCATAGACATGGTAATCAGCCCGGGCATCTGACATAGGAAGACAGCGATGGGAGGCCCTAACCTGTACACTGAGCTCCTTCCCCTGAACAAGCTGTCTCATAATTGCTGCTCTTTTTTCAGGGATCATAAATTGGTGCATACAGCTGTGATTATCTATAAATAAAAAGATGTAGAGGAATTTTGTAAAAATTGCTTTGGTAATTAGATGACCAGCAGGTGACCTGCGCAGGTGGAAATGTAAACTAGTACAGCCATTATAAAAAACCGTATGGAGACTTCTCAAAAAACTAAAACTAGAACTGCCATATGATCCAGCAAGCCCACTAATGAGTATTTATCTAAAGGGAAATATATCAATGTGCCAAAGGAAGACCTGCTATATTAGTCCATTTTCTTACTGCTGTAAGAAATATCTTTGTGAGGTCGAGGCAGGCAGATCACTTGAGGTCAGGAGTTCAAGACCAGCCTGGCCAACATGGTGAAACCCCATCTCTACTAAAAATACAAAAACTAGCCAGGCATGCTGGCACATGCCTATAATCCCAGCTGCTTGGGAGGCTGAGGCAGGAGAATTGCTTGAACCCTGGAGGCAGAGGTTGCAGTGAGCCAAGATCGCGCCATTACACTCCAGCCTGGGCGAAGAAGTGAGACTCCATCTCAAAAAAAAAAAAAAAAAAAAGAAAAAAAGAAATATCTGAGACCAAGTACTTTATAAAGGAAAGAGGTTTAACTGGCTCACAGTTCCACATGGCTGGGGAGGTCTCAGGAAAGTCACAATCATGGCGGAAGGTGATGGCGAAGGAGAGACCTTCTTTGCATGGCGACAGGAGAGAGAAGTGCAGAACGAAGTGGGGGGAAGCCCCTTATAAAACCATCAGATCTTGTGAGAACTCAGTCACTACGATGAGAACAGCATGGGGGGACCACCCCCATGATCCGGTCACCTCCCATGAGGTCCCTCTCCCAACATGTGGGGATTATAATTTGGATTACAATTCAAGATGAGATTTGTGGTGGGGACACAGCCAAACCATACCACCTGCACTCCCTTTTTTACTACATCACTATTCACAATAGTGCTTCTACCCAGTGGAACCAGCCTTCCCAATCGCAGGGTCTCCAGACCTGGGCTGTCTGCAGCAAAAGCAGATACATTCTTCTCATGCCCCTGTTCAAGGTAGGAAACTGCTCGCCTGCTATATCTACCAAATTGGTATAAGTAAAGGTGAAAATAAATTTTAATGGAAACCTTGCCAGCCTCTTCCCCTTGGCTAAAAGATATCAGAGACAAACTAAGGCATAAGAATACCCAAATTGCAACAGAACAAAATGCATGTCACTCTGCCTTCTCTAAACCCATTCTCTATTTCTCAAGGTGGTTAAAAAAAATAAAGGGGATAAAGTCCTATAAGTGCCTTTTGCTAACGCTAATGCACTGTATAAAGGTTTCGCTAGCCCTAATGCAGTGTATAAATGCACCATCCCTCCCTCCTCACTCATGCACCTGCAGCTGGTGCCTGCTTTTGGGGACGACTCCATTTCCCCCAGAGCTTCTGATTCACGCTGCTTCTACCAAACTCCTGGCCCCTGGGCCTTAATTTGTTACCCCAGATGTGGTCAAGTTTTCCTAAAAATTTCCACTTACCCTCACTGTTGCTCTTTGCCATAGGATCCTAATAGGACCCTATGCCATAGCACCCTAATAGAACAACCCAGAAAGCAAAAGCTGACAATTAGCCTCTGTCTACTCAAGACATATGTGGCCAGTTGAAAATGTTTACAGAAAAAAACAAATTTAAAGTTATAGGCTATGAAAAGAGCAGTCAGCTTTAACTGCTAATTGTCATGGGTGAGTGGCGACTATCTGCGGTCGGTGGTGCAGGAATAAAAAGAATTTACCAAGACAGTTGTAGGTTAAGAAAAAAAAAAAAAAAAAGCAGATTTATTAGAGAGAGTATGAAAATACGTTGCAAGCGTGCAACAGGCAGGTCAGTGAGAGAAGAGCTGACTGCAAAGAGACAAAGACTTGCTGGGGATTTTATAGGATGGTGCTTGTGCTGTGTGCTGAAGAGGGCTTTGTGCAGTACCGATAATGCCAAGGTTGCAGTGAGATAACTTGCAATTTTCTATCAGCCAAGGGTCTGGAGATAGCTGGGTGTAGGCAGACTGTGAGTTATTTGCACAGGAGGGCTATCTGTTCTGGAGCATGAAGAAAGGGAGACTTATAACTTACCTGCCTTCTCTTTCTACTTTCCCTCCATCCCCCTAGCCTGACCTCTCTCCCTAATTAGGACTCCACACTAATTAAGACGTGGAAAGCCAAAGGGACCAGTGAACACACATTGACAAGGTAAAGAAGCCATGAAGCCTTGAACTCATAGTTTCTTTTTAAATTATTATAAAACCACGTAATATCAACTTCACCGTTTAAAGCACTTTAAGTGTACAACTCAGTGGCATTTAGTACATCAATTTAATTGTACAACAATGTTGTACAACTGTCAGGTGTATCTCATTCCAGAACATTTTCATCACCCCTAAACGGAGATCCCTGTGCCTGTCAGTGGTCACTCCTCATTCCTCTCTCCCAGCTCCTGAGAACCACTAATTAGCTTTCTCTCTACGGATCTGCCTATTCTGGACATTTCATATGAATGGAATCATGCACCATGTCTGGGTTGCTTTCACTTTAGGAAAATCATGAATAATGCCACTATGAGCATTCACACCTGTTTTCAATTCTTTTGGGTACATACCTAAGAGTGGAATGGCTGGGTCATATGGAAAATAATCAGGCCTTTTGTATCTGGCTTCTGTCACTTAGCATGATGTTTTCTAGGCTCACCCACCTGATAATATCGGCATAAACATACTACAGTGTTACCAAAAGTACTTTGTTCCTTTTATGCCTAATATGGTTAGGCTTTGTGTCCCCACCCATATCTCATCTTGAATTATAATCCCCAGGTGTTGAGGGAGAGACTTGGTGGGAGGTGATTGGATCATAAGGGCAGTTTCCCCCATGCTGTTCTTGTGATAGTGAGCTCTCATGAGATCTCATGGTTTTGTAAGGGGCTCTTCCTCCTTCACTTGCTCTTCTCTCATCTGCCACCATGTAAGATGTGCCTGCTTCCCCTTCTGCCATGATTGTAAGTTTCCTGAGGCCTTCCCAGCCATGCGGAACTGTGAGTCAATTAAACCTCTTTCCTTTATAAATTATCCAGTCTCAGGTATTTCTTTATAGCAGTGTGAGAGTGGACCAATACAATGCCCACATAATATTGCATTGCATGGCTGTGCCACATTTTATTTATCCATTCCTCAGCTGACACATGTCTGGGTTGCTTTCACTTTAGGGAAATCATGAATAATGCCGCTATGAACATTCACACCCATTTTCAATTCTTTTGGGTACATACCTAGGAGTGGAATGGCTGGGTCATATGGAAATTCTAGGTTTAAATTATGAAGGAACTACCAGAATGTTTTCTAGAGTGGTTGAACCACTTCACATTCCCAACAGTGATTTATGAGGCTTCCAATTAAAATCATGGCTTTTTAAGATCCATCAAAAAGCTGAGGATGGACCTGGTGGTGGCTCATGTCTGTAATCCCAGCACTTTGGGGGGCCAAAGCGAGAGGACTGCTTGAGGCCAGGAGTTTGAGACCAGCCTGCGCAACATAGAAAGACCCCATCTCTACAAATAAATAAATAAATAAATAAATTAGCCAGGCATGGTGGCACATGCCTGTAGTCCCAGCTACTCAGAAGGCTGAGGTCGGAGGATCTCTTGAGCCCCGGGGTGCAAGGCTGCAGTGAACCATGATCACACCAGTGCACTGCAGCCTGGGCAACACAGCAAAACCCTGTCCCCCCGCCCCCCGACAAAAAAAAGGCTGAAGATGCAGAAAAAACATAAATGAACTAGAATCCAGGATGTGATGAACCTTCCTACAAAGAAGAAACCTTCAGTTGCTTTCACCCCTGGTAGCAGGAGTAGGGAGAAGAGGAAGAATCCAGCTGACCCTGAAAGGAGTTTTTAACGACTGGGTGTAGGTAGGCTGGCACGGCAGATCAGCATCCTGATGAGGTCCAGCCAGACAGCCCACCTGCAGCCAACCCTTCAATGCACTCCTGCAGTCTTCATGAAGCCCCCTGGGGAATCGTACACCACACAGTGCAAAAAAAACTCAGAGTGAGGCAGTGCAGGGAAGCTCAGATGCACCCCTCCAAGGCACTCCAAATCTTCCCCATGGGCAGCCACACACCTGTCCCTGTTCCCCAGCTAGGATGGGAATTTGGAATGACCAAATCCAGGGCAAGACAGAAAACAAAGAGGACCCTTCAAAAACCCAACAAGTGAGCAGTCAGGCTGCAAACAGAGCATGACTTAAGAGTCTCACCAATGCTCAGATCCTAAGCTCTGCTAAAGGGAAAGTGTGGATCCCCTCTCAAAGCATCTGAAGCCAAGGGGGTGAGCGGAACCTAATTAAAACCAAACAAATCACAACCACACTGAAATGGCAGCTTACCAAGGGGCCACACAGATGAAGCGTGTGATGTTTTCTAGGCGAAAATATGACTGACTCGGTCTCCACTATTTTTTATAATCAATGTCTATTATGCATGCATATTTATGTTTGCACGTATGACATGTGAAATAGCAGGAGGTATGCAAATGTTAGATATTTCATCTATATCCTTTAAGACATCCATAGGAAATCCATAAAAGAATCTAGCAGGAAAGGCAAACAGCATGTGTTAAGAGATGGGGAATTTCAGTGGCAAGATGAAAATACAAAAGAAGAAACAAACAGAAATGCTAGCTATAAAACAAAATAGATGTAACATCAGAAATAAGAAGTTCATGTCATGGGCAAAGAAAAGAATCAGAGACCTTGAAGACAGGTCAAGAAAATTATCCAAATTAAAATGTAAAGAGTAAAAGGTAAAATGAAGCAACTATTTCTATTCATCAAAAGATACTTTTAAGAATGTGAATAGGCTTCAGGCCATAGAAGCAAAAACAGACAAGTGGGACTACGTCAAACTAACAAGCTTCTGTGCAGCAAAGGAAATAATGGAGTGAAAAGGCAACCTATGGAAGGGGAGAAAGTATTTCCAAACCATATACTGATAACCATATATCCCAAATATATAATGAACTCCCAAACTCAATAACAAAACTACAAATAACCCAATTAAAAAATGGCCAAAGGACTTCACTAGACATTTCTCCGAAGAACACATACAAATGCCAAGAAGCACATGAAAAGATGCTCAACATCACCAATCATCAGGAAAATGCAACTCAAACCCACACACAATGAGAGATCACTCCACACCTGTCAGAACAGCTGCTCTTAAAAAAACAAAAAACAAGAGACAAGTGTTAGTGGGGATGTGGAGAATTTCTTTGCACATGGCTGGTGGAAATGCAAAAAGGTGCTGTTGCTACGAAAAACAGTACAGAATTTCCTTGACAAATTAAA
Organism: Homo sapiens; assembly: GCF_000001405.40. NCBI lineage: Eukaryota > Metazoa > Chordata > Mammalia > Primates > Hominidae > Homo > Homo sapiens. The sequence goes on along the minus strand of NC_000023.11, from coordinate 7,228,277 downwards.
AAATGGAACTACCTTGTGATCTAGCAACCCCACTCCTGGAAATATACCCAACAGCATTGAAATCAGGATCTCAAAGACATATCTGCACTCCTCTGCTCACTGCAGTACTATTCACCATAGCCAAGATATGGAAGCAACCTAAATGCCCATCAACAAATGAATGGATTAAAAACAAAAAAAAACATGGTCTATACATACAATGGAATACTATGCAGCCTTAAAAGGAAGGATATTCTACAATATGCAACAGCATGGATGAACCTTGAGAACCTTATGTTAAGTGAAATAAGCCAGGTACAGAAAGACAAATTCTGTATGATTCCACTTACAGGAGGTATCTAAAGTAGCTAAATTCATACGACCAAAAAGTAAAGTGGTGGTTTCCAGGGGATAGGGGAAGGGAAAATGGGGATTTATGAGTCAGCAGGCATAAAACTTTAGGTAAGCAAGATGGATTAAGTCCAGAGACCTGCAGTCAAACATTGTATCAGCAGTCGACAATACTGTATTGCACACTTAAAATTTTAAGAGGTTAGATCTGATAGTATTCTTATCACTATCAAATAAAAACATTTTTTAAACATATTGCATGGAACAATGACAATGGCAAATACTAAGGTCACCGTTCATTATTTCACATCTTTATGTCTATTCTAAGACTTTTGCTTGGAAACTTGGCCTAATAATATGTGCTTTCCTTAATAACTATGTGCTTGGAAACTTTCCTTAATAATACAAATATCCATGTTTTTTATTCCAAACTCTCAAACTAGCATATTGTCTCATCAGATAGCAAAATAAAGCTTGCTTTTATAAAAAAAAAAAAAAACAACGATTTGAACAAGGCTAATAGAGTAACTAGAACTGAACAATGGCTATAGAAAGGTTTTAATTTACTTTTTGGGGAATGATTGGTTTTTTTAGATGCTTCTAATTTATCATCAAGTGAAGAGAGTGGGACTATTGAGAGGATACATGAGATAAAATAATTCAAAGTAACATTCAATTTTTTAAAAATTAAGGAAAAAGGAATATAGATAAGCAACATAGACCAGGGAAACTTATTTGTAAGACAATTATTTTTTAAAGGATTTATATCCAGAATATGTAAAGAACAAATCAATAATAAAAAAGGAATGAAACAATGAAATGGGTAAAACAATTGAATATGCACTTTATACAAGAAGATATACAAAAGGCTAATAAGCAAATAAATAGGTATTCAGCCTGATTAGTAATCAGAGAAGTGAAAATTACCACCATGAGATAGCATTTTACAACCCCTACGGTGGCTAAAATAAAAACAAAACAAAACAACGAAAAACGGAAAATATCAAATGCTAGTGAAGATGCAGAACAAGTGGAACTCTAAGTTTTTTTCTTGAGACAGGGTCATGCTCTGTCACCCAGGCTGGAGTGCAGTAGCACGAACAAAGCTCACTGCAGCATTGACCTCCTGGGTTGAAGCAATCCTCCCAACCTCAGCCTCCCAAGTAGTTAGGACTAGAGGCAAATTAGCCACCACCCTGGCTAATTTTTTTATTTTTGTAGAGATGAGGTCTTACCATGTTGCCCAGGCTGGTCTCAAACTCCTGGGCTCAAGCAATCCTTCCACCTCAGCCTCTCAAAGTGCTGGGATTGCAGGCATGAGCCACCGTTCCTGGCCCCTAGAACTCTTATATATCACTTGTTGAAGTGTAAACTCATGCAAACGTTTTAGAGAAAAGTTTGGCCATTTCCTATACAATTGAATATACATGTATCTTACTGTCAAGCAATTACACTACTCGATGTTTAAACAAGAGAAATAAAACTATCTATCCACCCAAAGCCTTAGTCACAATAACCAAAAACTGGAGACAATCCAAATAACTATCAACAGGAGAATGCATAAACAAACTCTGGAACATCAATCTAACCTAAGACTACTCAGCCATGAAAATAAATGAACCACTGATACATGCAACAACACATAAGAATCTCACACACATTATGTTGAGTGAAAGAGGTGAGACCCCAAATAATCTATATGGCTTGAATCCATTCATATGCAGTCCAAGAAAAGGCAAAAATTGTCTGTGGTGATAGAACTCTGAAAAGTGTTTGTCTCTGGCTGGGGTATTGATTAGAGAGGGGCAACAGGAACGTTCTGAGATGATAATGGACATGCTCTATATATTTTGTTTGGGACAGTGATTATATGTTTGTATAAAATTATCAAAACTTAAACGGAACATTGAAGATCTGTGCATTTTACTGTAGGAAAATTATATCTCATAAAAATATACTAAAAATAAGAAAAGAGAAAAAGAAGAGAATTGGCTTTCTTATCTATAAAATGAAGTCATGGGCTACATCCAACATTCTCCTCTAGCTTTTACATTCCGGGATGCATCTAGGACTTCATGGTGACAGAGTTTGTTTCCTTAAAAAGATAATAAATATAAAACACTTTAGAAATATGCAGAAAGAAGTTAACATAGAGGACCTGAGATTGCTCTCCTTAGAAAGGCCTGCTTGTAACATGTGCTCTTGGTTGGCAATTGGGAATTAGATTTGGGGAGGGTTCTCACCCTTCCCAGAATTAACAAGAATGGCTCACTCTGCCTGAAATGCTTGTACAAACAACATAGTTTATGCTGAACACCTGCTTCCTGTCTGGGAGTCTGCAATTTTGGTAGTACTAGGCAAAGGGCACCTATATGAACAGCTCCCAATAAAAAACCTGGGCACTGAGTCTCTAACCAGCTTCCCTTGTAGGCAACACTTCATATGTGTTGACAGCTCACTGCTGGAGGAGTTAAGTATGTCCCGTGTGACTCCTTTCAGAGACATACCTGGAAGCTTATGCCTGGATTCTGCCAGCCTTTACCCCATGTGCCGTTTCCCTTTGTTCAATGTGTTCTGAATTTTTTTGCTGAAATACATCTTAGCCATGAGCCCCACTATGCACTGAGCCTGTTAGTCCTTCTGGTGAATCGCTGAACCTGGGGACCTCCAGCACAAGAAACAACATCAGACCATTCTGGCTTCGGGGTTCTCACTGTCTCCTCCCACACATTTTCTATTATTGAATCCGAGCTACATTCAGTCCAGTGAGCCAAAATGCATTTATATAAAGGTTGATTCATAGCTGGGAGTCACATTAACCAGAGGGTATGAACACAGGGACAATTGCTGTCATCTCACCTCCTGGAACAGTTCTAGACCTCAGCCTACTGTTTTAAAGTTTAATCGGCTTCCCAATGAGGACCCCAGCTGTTCTTACACCTTAGCCAGAGGCTTTGAAAGACATCTTCCATAGCCCACTGGTGAAACTGCAAGTGCCATGCAGAGAAAATTACAGGGAAGAGAGAATTCAGCCAAGGAAGCCAGAAAGAGCAAAATAAAGTTGGAAGCAAGAGAAATGTTCCACCAAGTAGGAAACATCAACCTTCAAATGGGGAAGGCTTTGAGAACCACAGACGATTAGACCCAGAAGGTTCTATGAGACCTCATGGGTGGTGAATACCCTTATTTTACAGATTGTCTTAGTCTATTTGGGCTGCTATCGTGGAATGCAACAGATTGGGTAGCTTATAAGCAACAGAAATTTATTGTCACAGCTCTGCAGGCTGGAAGTCCAAGACTAAGGTATTGCAGATTCTGTGCTGGTGAGGACCTGCTTCCTGTTTCATAGACAGTGCCTTCTCCCCATGTTCTCATATGGTGGAAGGAATGAGGGAGCTCTCTGGGGTCTCTTTTATATGGGTACTAATCCCATTTTTCAGGACAAACCCCTCATGATTAATCACATTCCAAAGGCCCCTCATCCAAATACCATCATCTTGGGGGTTAGAATTAAAATATATGAATTTGGGGGGGAAATAAACAGTCAGTCCATTGCACAAGTGAAGGGACTGAAGTCCAGGGAGGTTAAATGCTTAACTCTAATGACAGCCATAAAATTGGTATGAGGAGGGACTAACCCTACCCCTGTGCTTAGTGCTACTGGTTGATGAATTATCCAGTGCTTTGAAACCATTACATTTTAATTCCTGCTCAAGTCAGAACTTGGCTAGTATAAAATAATGTCCAGGACACCTACTTTTCTCATTGAAGAACTGAGAGCTTTAAGTGAAAAGATCAGATCATAAAGTCAACTCGTCCCCTTTTCAAATATTGGCTTTATCACTCCAAGCTTCCATGTCCCATTATCTCCATTTTTAAAAGAGATGAAGTGCACCCAACTTCCAAGGCAGATGGGAGGTGTTTAGTGAATGATATTCCACTCTTTTCCTTTCTCCTTCTCTTTCAACTAACTCTCGCCAATGCCTCTCCTTGGGTCACAGTGATGTTTCATGTCTCAGAATATTTCCATGATGAGGAAAGTGAAAAAAAAATGAATGTCTATGTAGTCTATGTCTTCTGCTGGTTTCCATAAACTTAAAAAAATATATCTAATTCACTCTTGGCTTTACTTCATGACCAAGTCCTCAAAAGCAAATGCAACAAAAACAAAATTAGGTAAACAGGACTTAAACTAAAAAGCTTCTGCACAGCAAAAGAAACAATCAACAGAGTAAATAGACAACCTACAGAATGGAAAAAAAATTGCAAACTATGCATCTGACAAAGTGCTAATATCTAGAATCCACAAGGAACTCAAACAACTCAATGAGAAAAAAAAACAAAAACAAATAACCCCATTAAAAAGGAGTCAAATGACACAAACAGACATTTTCCAAAAGAAGACATATAAGCACCCAACAAACATATGAAAACAAAAATGTGCAAGACCACTAATCATCGGAGAAATGCAAATCAAAACCACAATGAGGTACCATCTTCCACCATCAGAAGGGCTATATTAAAAAGTCTAAAAACAACAGATGTTGTCAAGAATGCAGAGAAAATGGAACACTTACACACTGTTGGTGGGAATGTAAATTAATATAACCTCTATGGAAAACGGTATGGAGATTTCTCAAAGAATTAAATAGAACTACCATTTGATCCAGCAATCCCACTACCGGGTATGAACCCAAAGGGAAAGACATCATTGTATTAAAAAGATACCTGCACTTGTACATTAATCTCAGCACTAGTCACAATACCAAAGATATGGAATCAACCTAAGTGTCCATCAACAGAGGATTGGATAAAAAAAAGTGGTATATATATATTCCGTGGAATACTTCTCAGTCATATAAAAGAATGAATTCATGTCTTTTGCAACAAAATGGAGGGAACTAAAGGTCATTATCATTACTGAAATAACTCAGAAAGTCAAATACTGCATATTGTCACTTATAAGTGGGTGCTAAATAATGGATAGACATGGATATACTAATTGGAATAATAGACATTGGAGAGTATAAAAGGTGGGCAGTGAGATAGGAGTGAGGGTTGAAAAATTACTTAATGGGTACAAAGTTCACTATTTGGATGATGGGTACACTAAAAGTCCAGACTACTGCTACACAATATATCCCTGTAACAAAATTATACTTGTACCCCCTAAATATATAAAAATAAATAAATGCCTAAAAAGCAATAGGAAAAAATACAGATAATGAATGCTATCTCTTAGACATAAATTCCTATAGGGCCATTTAATATTAATTGAATATTTAGGGCAGTAGTTTCTGTTCTGAGATGGAAAACATTGCAAAGTCTAGATAGAGCAAAAAACTTAATGATGATAGTTGTCTTTAAACATAATTTTGAAAAAGACTGAAAACATCTTTTTTTTTTTTTTTTTTTTTTTGCAGCTGAGGGCATCCTTTCTCACAAATAGCTGTTTTTGTGCTCAATCCCACTGGGGAGGGGTCCTAATTGAAGACTGTCTTTTATAAAGCAGAGATGCCCTTGACACAGATTTTCATATGTTAAGTTTGCTTAGGCTTCAAGCTTATTGTTACTTGCAGACAGACAGTTATGGCAACAATAAACCAACAAGATCCAAATTCAAACAACATGATTACACAATTCTACTTAATTAGCCAATGACAATTCCTTGTTTATTAAAATGGTTCTTGCATTGGTCTGTTTGGCTGTTATGCCAAAGTACGATAGACGAAGTGGCTTATAAACAACAGAAATATATTGCTCACAGTCCTGGAACAACACATCTGTTCTTGGAAGTGCAAGAACAAGGCACCAAGAGATCCAGTATTTAGTGAGGACTTGCTTCCTGGTTCATAGATGGTGCCTTCCTGATGTGTCCTCACATGGTGGAACAAGCAAGGGGACTCTCTGGGGCCTCTTTTATAATCACTATGGGAAACTAGTCCCATTCATGAGTTTCCACCTTCAGAACCTCTTCACCTCCCAAAAGCCCCACCGCCAAATACCATCATTTTGGGGGTTGGGGTTTCAACATATGAATTTTGGGGAGTCAGAAGCAGTCTATAACAGTGCTTATGCAAATGCAAACAAAAGATGCCCAATATAGCCAGAGAGTATGCTGTGTATATTAGGTGAATGTCCACCGATAAACATTTACTGCCTAGAGGCGCACATGGTTTGATGTCACTTTATAAACAACCATGTTATTTTTAAATAAACAAAGAAGATATTAATTATCTTTCTTTTAGTTAGACTAGTCAATGCAAAATTTGTCTGACATAAGATTCCTGAATTCATATTCCTAAAGATGGTTCCTGTGCACTTAGGAAGCTAAACCGTGAACTTTTGGTGCCATCTTGAGCTCTCTGGGAACGACATTGGCCTCCTGTCTTTTGAGGTAATGCTACCAGACTTCCTCCTTCCAGTAATATCAGCAATAGAATGAATAGCCATCTAGCTTAGAATTAGAAAATCATGTGTTACAGCATCTAAAAGTTGTAACTAGCTAAACAAACGCTCCACAAGGGTGCTGATTAAAGCTTTGTACCGAACCAGAGAGGTTACTGAGCCTGTGCTATACAGCTCTGCACTATTCCATAATTTACATCAATGATTTGTATGAATCGACTATCAGAATATTTATCCAACATGGGGAATGGCATGTGCGTCAGAAGAGAACAGAGATTCAGAAAAGACCTTGAGAAGTGGAACAAAAGATGGAAGTCACAAAATTAAATGCAATGGGGAAAACACATAATCTTCTTATTTAAGAAACGTAATCAATGACACAAAGATGCCAATATTCAGACGTGACCTACTTGCAGCTCCTACGAAGAAGACTTTAGACAACTACAAAGCAAGTTTTGTCAGTTGGGGAAGGGAATGACTGAGAAGACTGAAGTTAATACTAGTTTGGTGTACGTTAAGAAGAAGATGCTTTTGGGACAAGGAAGATGAGTTCCACTCAGCTGTTTACACGAAGTCAGACCAGAGTCGGAATATTTTTCAGTGCAGATCCCTGCGATTTAAGAGGGATGGAGATTCAGTGGCATATCAAGGGAGAGTGATCAGGATGCTTAAGGGTATAAAAACCATCTGATGGCCAGGCGCAGTGGCTCACGCCTGTAATCCCAACACTTTGGGAGGCCGAGGCGGGCGGATCACGAGATCAGGAGATCGAGACCATCCTGACTAACACGTGAAACCCCGTCTCTACTAAAAATACAAAAAAAGTAGCCGGGCGTGGTGGCGGGCTCCTGTAGCCCCAGCTACTCGGGAGGCTGAGGCAGGAGAATGGCGTGAACCCGGGAGGTGGAGCTTGCAGTGAGCCGAGATCGCGCCACTGCACTGCAGCCTGGGAGACAGAGCGAGACTCCATCTCAAAAAAAAAAAAAAAAAAAAAAATCTGACATCCAGGATTTCTTAGGAATCGGTAACATTTCACCCAGAGCGGAAAATGGCATTCGAGTTGCACTTAAGTGTGCTCGAATGGTGGTCTGTAAAAGAGAGAAAGGATTTAGCCATTGTCTCAGAAGCCACAGCTGGGACAGTGTCCAGAACAGAACCAGGGACTTACAAGTGCTGCCAGACCACGAAATGATCAGCCTCTCAAAGTCCCTTCCTCCCATGAGGGAATTGGGTGGAGGGTGAAAAGCCGCATCTGTCGGGGATATTGCAGAAGGGATTCGTTTATGGAAAATTAGGAAATTTAAACAAAGTGGCTCCCACCATCTTTCTCAACCAGAAGATTCCGACAGCCCATAGACAAACTCGTCATCTGAGATACATAGAAGTGGGAACAAAAAATAAAAACACACCAATGGAGACAGAAACCCAACAAAACAAGCATTCTTTCCCACTCTGCAACACATATGCATGATGCTCTTCCTCACTCCACCTTTTAGACAGTGAATGACATCTCCTGATGCAATAAACTTGATAGGAAGATGATAATTAACAAATAATTTGGCAACAAAATTTAATTATAGGTCATTTAGATGTTTTGAAACAGCCACAAAAGCGATTTGCATGTCACTAATTAGCCGCATTTATAACCTCTCCTAAAATGTTCCCTCGCTAAGCCTCACAGAAAATCATTATAATCAATGGAAATTACCAAGCAAAAACAGATTTAAGAAACAAGAACAAGACAACACATGTTGGGAGAATATGCAACACAAGCAGGTAGCTGCTGTGAACATCCCAACTAGTATGTTTCAGGGTTAAAAACTCCCAGCCTGGCCAGGGGAATAGACGCTTACCTTAAAGGCATCTCCAGCTTGTGATCCTGTTGTTGGGGAACTGAGCTGTGATGGAGGAGATTGCAACTTCACTTGTTCATCCTCTGTTCATGGTTTCTGCACCAGTGGGAGTTTAATAAGCATATTCCCATGAGAAACCTCTGCTTTGAAGCAGGCCAATCCTACTCAATCACTGCAACCTCACTACAGCTGGGTCCCGTCAGCTGCTGGAGGCTTGGCCAACAGCACTGTGCTTGGGCAGATAATGTGAGGCGGAGACACTCTTTGCCTAGTTGCTGCATTCTTTTGGGAGTTTCAGGTGATCCTGGTAAACCGGATTCTTCAGAAGGGGCAACTTCTCCCCTTCGGTATGATTTGTGTCAAAGATAAATGCAGACACAATCTGATACCCAAGCGGTTTATGCTAGCAGCAGTGTTATGAAACTTACAGCAGGAACAGGCCAGTGACATGGGCCATAGAGAATGAGATGGTCAGATAAGAGACTGAACGGGAGTTTAAGGGATTTTCCCCCCTCTCTTATACCTGTCTTCAGTCTGGGTCAATGACCAGGCATTTCTTTCCTAAAGATAGTTTAAGCTATTCTTATAAGAGTAAGCTTTATTTTAAGGTCTATAAAAGCTGCACCTGTGCTGAGGTGGTTTTAGCTTTTGGAAAGCCCAGGTTTGCTAACTGCAGAGCCAGGTTGCATCATGCTGCTAAGTGACAAGTGGTGTCAGCCTGAGAGACCCTCAAGTGAGCTTTTTGGCAATCGTTGATCTTATAACCACAACATATCTCTTATTATATGCTGTTCCAGCCTAAGTGAGCATTTTCTTGGTGGATCCCTTGAATATTTTCTCCCTTTCAGCTCAGCAACCATGACAAAACAAAAAAAGAGGTTGCTAAGTTGAAATACCACCGACATTGTCGCATTCCACCCGAACCCTTTGATCTTGGAAAACAGCAAAGGTTAAGAAATCCCTTGACAAAGATTCCTTCCTTGACCAAATATAACCCAGTCTCCTGAATCTTGTTCTAAGATTATCTGTGCACTTCTTTGTAAAATCCAGTTTTTGCAAGAAGCCCTCACCCTCACTATCTGATCACACATGATATCAGATCATTCTCTATAGGGTTCCTCAACCTCCACCTGCCCCCAGGCGATGTCTATATTCTTAGCATTACATAGATGTTAAAAGTTAAGCACATAGATTAGTGACGCATACATAAGCATCATTTTACAAGGTCAGCAATCCCGCAGGAAAAGCAAAATTGCAGTCTACATATCAATGTGACTAATGATTCAAAAAAGCCAACTTTTCAGATTTCCTTGAAGGGCATACGATGAAGAATGGAGGATAAAACACAAAAACAGGAAAAGTATTGGCTTCTCTCAGGAATCTGATTGCATCAAGTATAAAGGTTCCTTAGAACATATTAATGCAAAGTTAAAATAAAATTTTCCTTGGCAATTAAAAATGCTGTGCGCTAATACCCTGCTTTCTAATGTGATTCAATTCAACAATGTGGGGAATGTTTACTACACTTCCAGCTTGATGTCAAGCAATGGGGAATACAAGTTCCAGTTCTGCAAAGATTCATCAACTCCCTTCTTAGTTCAAGAGAGAGGCTGAGAAATGCAGAGAGGAATAAGACACAAAACAGTCCCAACCTCCATGATCTGAGAGTGGGGAAAGGCCAGATTGTTACCCAACAGGCACACACTCTAAGGCCTTTTTAGGGGCTCACAAAATGTTTTAATTTGTGTTATAATCAGAAGAAAATGAACATTGGGGATTGAAGATCATATTGGTATTTGCACCAATATAGTTGTAAAATACAAATGTTAATGTTTTATGTTTTTACATAATATATTTTCATATTAAAACATATTTAATATGTTTTGCCTTCATGGCCCATGAAAGTCTTACTGGGCCCTGGGGAAGGGACTCTAGCCTGGTGAAGCAGCGGCTTTGCTCTACAAATACCTGGGGCAGAAATTTGATTTGAAAAATATTTTTCTCTCTTCTCTCTTTCAACCAGATTCCTTAGGAAAACCAAACAAGAGTCAAAACAAACCTCCGAAGCAGTAAGAGGTTGGATGAGATGGGCATACTATTGGGACTAGAACTGGCTCTCATACGCCCGAGCAATTTTAATAAAAAGGCAAAAAGTTGCCATAGAGAGGCTGCTGGCAAGTGCATGGCCATAGGGGGCCGACATGCTCAGGAGGGAAGGTGTTGATCATGTGGAGGCCTCTAAAAGCTAAAGCCTTGTTACCTTCTCTTTAGTGCCTAGAAAATGTGGTATGTGATGCAAATGCTCAAAACCTCTTATATCATAGCTGTCTGACCTCTGGGGACCTTCAACCTTCTTCTAGGCCCATCTGTGCACTTGCTTGTAAAATCCAGTTTTAGCAAGAAGCCTGTTAAGTCAATTTAGCAAGAACACCCTACTGGACCCCCCCTCCATCTGTTCAACCTCAGTATCTGATCAGGGATCAGGCTCCTCAGCCTCCACCACCCCCAGGGGATGTGTGGTCACCTGGTTGGCCTTATGCTAGAATCCTGCTAGGTCGGTTAGGAGGAATCTCGCTGGCCCTTGGTGTTTCCTCTTAGTAGTTTTCCATCCACTGATGGGCACCCTATTCCGTGGCTATGAATCCCCACTTTCCCATGCTGTATTCAGATCTGAGCCCAATCTTTCTCCCCCACTGCAAGTCCCCATTGCTGTGGTCCCTGCACCTGTTGCGATGGTCCTGAATAAAGTCTTCCTTACTGTGCTTTATCAAGTGCTACTGAATACTCCTTAACATCCTCCCACACCTTGTGTTCTGGAAAATGGCTTATTGCAAAGAACCCCCTTCCCCATATGACTGAGAAAAGACTCACAGATGTCCCTTGTCTAATAGGACAGAGACAGACCCTCTAAATCCTAATTCTTTGTCTTATAAACAGTTATAAGTTAGCTGAGCCACTTGTCCTCCCTAGTCAAATGTTGGATCAGTTTCCCTCTTTCCCCCAGAACCCTGAACATGGGCCCATCCTCAGTCTGAGTGAGCAGGCACTTCCTCCTGGGAACAGTCTGGCCTCAGAGCAAATGTTTTCTCATCTACTGTCTAATCAGGCCACCCTTAAATTCAAGGTCAGTGCCTGTTATGTTTTCTAGCCTTGTTTACTCTTCTCCATAAAAGAAAAACCATTTTTGCCCCTAGCCTTTGAGAGGCTTGCAGACCTAGAGTGTTTTCCCTCTTGCATTAAGCTTTTTGAATAAAAGTCCCTCCTTACTAAGTCTGCATTTGTTGTTTTTTTATTTGATACCAACCGGGGAGACTTTTGGACCAATGGAGTTGCAGCCCTGTTGAAGTTTGATTTTTATATAAAATAAAATTTCCTGGGAGACCCCCTAAAGACTAGAGAATCACAGCCCTTGATGTAGCATCCTGCTATTCTGCATCTATTGGAAGCCACATGTCACTTATTCACCATCATGTTGATAAAAAGGGGGTGCAGGTGCATGTCTGCTCCATCTCTTAAGATGTCAGTTGTATCACTGTTAGGTTGCAAGGCAGATAACCCCACTGATGACTCAGTGACTATGGCAAATGTCTCTGACCAGCTTGGAGGAGCAACACATTCCAATATGTTTGCTATGCACATGAGCTCCTAATTAGCCCTCTGGTTCCTCTGCTGTGGACAGCCCTGTGGTCTGTGAATAGGCTGTCATTTCCCTGGGGGTGCCAAGCAGGACCTAGCATTGGTCACATGGTCCCAGCAGAAAAGAAGAGACACATGGAATATAGGACAATGAGAGGAGAATTTACTGAAAAGACAGCTAACAGCAGTGTGGACAGGAAGAGGAGGAAGACGGCTCATCCCTGAGGCTGGTACCACTCAGGCCCAAAGGCGAAGGAGTGATCCCAGAGCTTGTGATGACCTTTGAGGAGTGCAGGGTGCAATCCTGGGCAACCCTGCAGGAGGGAACAGAGGAGATGAAAACCCCAACCTTGTTCTCCTTTCCCTTTCATTTGTTGACTTTCCTTGGCCAGAAACAACCAGGACAACAGAAAAGGCAAGACAGCCTATGGATGCCGTTCATCCTGGGCTTCTTCCAGGGTAGAGAACAGGTGGGGATAGGTAGAGGGGTTCCAGGGATAACAGGAAAGATTCCAATCCAGGCCAGTCTCCACTGGAGGTATCATTCATCAGGAGCCCTAAATCCACAACTGCATCACTCCTTTCTCACCCCATATTAGATGGTAATGTTTTTCTCCCCATTGCACAAGAAGTGAGGCTTAGAGGGTCCCCACATTTATCCAGGATTTGAAGAAGTTGAATACCAGAGGGGGAGCATTGAATGGAACCCTGGTTTGTCTGCCTCCAAAACACCTTGTTCTCACTCCTGGGTATCTACCCAGAGCTAAAGAAGTCATTATACAAAAAAGATACTTGCACACTCATGTTTACAGCAACACAATTAGCAATTGCAAAAATGTGGAACCAGCCCAAATGCCCATCAATCAACGAGTGGATAAAGAAACTGTGGTGTGTATATATATATATATATATGTGTGTGTGTGTGTGTGTGTGTATATATGTGTATATATATACACATATATACGTATACATATATACGTGTATATATACATATATACGTATATATATGTATATATATACATATATAATATATATATATACGTATATATGTATATATACGTATATATATGTATATATACATATATAATATATATATACGTATATATGTATATATATATACACACACACACATATATATATATGATGGAATACTACACAGCCATAAAAAGGAATGAATTAATGGCATTCACAGCAACCTGGATGGGATTGGAGACTATTATTCTAAGTGAAGTAACTCAGAAATGGAAAATCAAACATTGTATGTTCTCACTCATAAGTGGGAGCTAAGCTATGAGGATGCAAAGGCATAAGAATGATGCAATGGACTTTGGGGACTCAGGGGGAAAGGGTGAGAAGGGGGTGAGTGATAAGACTACAAATAGGGTTCAGTGTATACTGCTCGGGTGTGATGGGTGCACCAAAATCTCACAAATCACCACCAGAGAACTGACTCATGTAACCAAACACCACCTGTTTCCCAAAAACCTATTGAAATAAAAGCATAAATAAAAATACCTTGTTCTCATTATGTGTAATGTGTAAATTCCTTTCATTCCACAAGGGAAGAGAAGACATTTTAAAAAACAGGAGTAGTGTACTGACTCAGATTTCCATTAGAGTATTAAGACAGCTAGTCATTCTTTCTAGATAGCCAGTTTCAACTGTGATTAATCAGAGACAATAAGGCCACTGTGACCATGTGAAGGCTTTGGAGGAATGGTTTTATGGAAAAGTTAGGAAAAGGAAGACATAGAGAAAGCTGCCAGAGTTACTAATTTTGCATTGGGGGCCCCCCTCCGCAATCAGTCAAAAAATAATGTGACTCAGCAGAAAAAGGGAACATGTTCAAGGGGGAAAAACATGTAAATAGTGTTTATTGTCTTCCTACCATGTATCAGGCATGCTTTGCATTTTATATAAATGATGATGACAATTAATACAATCTTTTATATTTTTATGTTTTCAGACAGGGTCTTGCTCTGTGGCCCAGGCTGGGGTACAGTGGTGAGATCATAGCTCACTGCAGCCTCAACCTCCCATCCCAGACTCAAGCAATCCTCCCGCCTCAGCCTCCTGAGTAGCTGGGACTACACGCAGGTACCACCATGCCTGGCTAACTTTTTAATATTTTTTTTCTAGAGACAGGGTCTTAGTATGTTGCCCAGACTGGTCTCAAACTAGCCTCAAGTGATCCTCCTTCCCTGACCTCCCAAAGTACCATGATTACAGGTGTGAGCCACCACCGCCAGCCTAGATTAACAGTCTTTAAAGTAGATATGCTGGGATAGGTGAGAGGAAGTGAAAAGCCAACTGGGACACACAAAAACAGTCAGGAGCAGCCTGGGAGGGTGACTGTAAATTGTTCCTTTCCTGAGCTTGGAGATGGATACAGTTTTTACACACGAAGGAAACCAAAATATCCCTTTTTAAAATAATGAGGATTATTGATTGAAAAGAAGAATCCTAAAACGCAGTGGACACACTGCCCCTCCATCTGCCTTCCTCATAGCAAGACAGCAATTTACAAAGACAAGGTCTTCTGTCCACCTGTCTGCCTTTGCCACCTTCCTGCCCTCCTGCCTGCCTTTCCCACCGAAAGATGGTCCCCTTTACAACTCTCGCCTATTAGCTCAGAGACAGCACTACAGCAGCTAGAGGCAGATTTTACTCTTTCCAGAAATTTACCTTTTGGTAGCCTGCAGATGTTCTCCTCTGTGTCTTGTCAGTACATAGGATTTATGGCTCTTTGTTAAAATCCTATTTGAGCAAGGCCCCTAAGCCACTGCCTTGAGAGAGAAGTATTTTTGAACTGAGGCCTCTCCTGTGTGATGGGTAGAATATATGTCATCCTCCTAGGCTGCTCCTGGCTGTTTTTGTGTGTCCCAGTTGGCTTTTCACTTCCTCTCACCTATCCCAGCATATCTACTTTAAAGACTGTTAATCTAGGCTGGCGGTGGTGGCTCACACCTGTAATCATGGTACTTTGGGAGGTCAGGGAAGGAGGATCGCTTGAGGCTAGTTTGAGACCAGTCTGGGCTCAACAGTTTTTCTTTTGTGAATCTGACTTTTATTTTCAGGAGAGTGTCTCAACTAAGAATCTATGAGGGAAAGAACAGACATTAGACTTTCTCCCTTACACATACAAAAGAAACATTAAGGAAGTGGGATGTCCATTAGAAGGCACTTCAGATTGTCTCATTTTCAACAGGAACTGCATTTGTAGACACACAGCAAGCATAAAATTTAATTTCATTATTACAATTTAATCAAGCAAATTCACTAAAGTACAGTACTTGTCAGCCAGAAAATTGTTTGTTTAGTATAATTCATCAATTACCTTGAAAGGAAAAAATTATGGGACATATATGTATAAATAACTACGTATTCTGGTTATACCAGAAGGATTATCTGCAGGATCTGTAGATGAGCTATCTATTTAAAAGGAGTAACTCCTGGGGCAAGAAGGCACAAAGTCAAAGGTACGCATTGTATAAAATCCCCTTTATAAACAGCAAACTTTTAGCGTCCCTAGTATCTTGAGACAGAATTCTTTTTTCTTTTTTCTCTTTTTTCTTTTTTGAGATGGAGTCTCACTGTGTCTCCCAGGCTGGAGTGCAGTGGCAAAATCTCAGCTAACTGCAACCTCTGCCTCCCGGATTCAAGCAATTCTTGTGCCTCAGTCTCCAGAGTAGCTGGGGATTACAGGTGCGTGCCACGATGCCCGGCTAATTTTTGTATTTTTTAGTAGAGATGGGGTTTCACCATGTTACCCATGGCTGGTCTCAAACTTCTGAGCTCAAGCCATCCTCCCACCTCAGCCTCCCAAAGTGCTGGGATTACAGGCATCAGCCACTGTGCTTGGCCCAGAATTCTTTCATAAGTAATCATTAATAACCACATCCCCTTCTCAATTCACATCTTCCATTAGCCATATTATCACTTGCATACACCTGGATATCAGCGCATATTATATTTCTTCTCTTATGCATTGCTGAATGATTCTGACTGGCCCAAATGGACAGGCTGCAAAGGGAAGGAATACATTGACACGTATCTGCTCCCGCGATCTGCAGCAGGAAGTCCCGAAAGGAAGGGGAGGAGGAAGGAAATGCAGATGTTTAGATTCAGTCCCAGTTTGGCTTTTATATGTAGCTCTGATCTCTATGAAGAGATGTCCTATTCCCATTTTGGGCAGGGCAGGGATGACTCTGGCCCTGAGATTAAAAAATAAAGAAAGATAGGCAGTGCCTCTGGGGCATAAGAACAGGTCAGCCTTCTCCTCAAAGCCCACCAGTAGAGACTTTGATGCCTGTTGGAAATCTTAGCAAAATGATAGGTGTCCCAGGAAACTGGAGCATCTCACAGATATACTCACATTGTGGAACATGAGAAATACTGGTTGGAAAAACAAAGAGAGTGGTTTCCCTGCAGAGCAACTTTCTACAAGGGGCAAGGCCAAGCCAACCCAGAAAAATTCGTGGGAGTAGTAGGCAGAATTCTAAGATGGCCAGAAGTCGGACAGAGATGCTGGACACCAACTGGTGCCCACAAAGAAGCTGACGGTGATGATGTGAACTTCCTGTGGGGTCCACAGACCTAGAAATTACTAGTGGCCCAGGACTTCCAGCAGTAAGAAAATGGGGACCTCAGTCCCAGAACCTCAAGGAACTGAGTTCTACCAACATGCACTGAATTTGGAATAGCACCGGGAGGCTCAGGGGAGAACACAACGTAGCTGGCACCCTGATTTCATCCTGGCGATCCCCTGAGCAGGGTAAAGTCTGTCCTTGCTTGGACTCCTGAGCCCAAAGAGAAGATACACAGGTGTTGTTGCCAGCCACTGTGTGCTATGGAGCAATAGAAAATGAATACAGTGGAGTGAATATTAAAGTAAGTGTTTTTCATTGGGGAGATGTTGGTCTAAGGATACAAAGTTTCACTTAGGAGCAAGAGTTCCAGAGATCTTTCCTACAACATGGTGACTACAACATTCATGTGTAGTGAATAACAACACATTGGATATTTGAAAATTACAAAACAGTAGATTATAAGTGTTCTCCCCACAAAGTATGTCAGGTAATGCACATGCTAAGTAGCTTCATTTAGCCATTCCATAATGTACATACATACATATATATATAAAAAACAAAATGTCATGTTGTATACCCTAAATATACATAATTTTAATTTTTCACTTAAAAAAATTAATTTTGCTAAAAAGTAAATGCTTTTCTATCCAAAGCTAGAGATCTCAGGCTGGGATATTTGGTTTAGAAATTTATTTGCATATTTTACCTAAAAAGTTATTATTAAAATATTATAAAGTATTAAAAGGAATATTATTTATAGATTTAATATATATTTCAACATATAACACCTAGTATATATTAAATATACATTTATATATACATTGATTTATTTATAATTATACATTTAATATAAAAATATTTATTCATTTATGTATAAATATAAATACATCAATTTATATATTTAATATGTATTAAGTGTTTATTATTTATTATACATACATCTATTTTTTATAAATATATATTTAATATTTAAAAATTTATTTAAAATAAAACATTTATATTGTATAATTGTATAAATATATAAATATTTTATATTTCTATGAATACGTGTGTGTGTATAGATATATATAAGTAAATGCATATTCTCTGATCATCAGAAAAATGCAAATCAAAACCACAATGAGATACCATCTCACACCAGTCGGAATGGCGATTGTTAAAAAGTCAGGAAACAACAGATGCTGGTGAGGCTGTGGGGAAATAGGAACACTTTTACACTGTTGGTGGGAACGTAAATTAGTTCAACCATTGTGGAAAACAGTGTGGTGATTCCTCAAGGATCTAGAACCAGAAATGCGATTTGACCCAGTAATCCCATTACTGGGTATATACCCAAAGGAATATAAATCACTCTACTATAAAGACACATGCACATGTATGTTTACTGCAACACTATTTACAATAACAAAGACATGGAACCAACCCAAATGCCCATCAATGATAGACTGGATAAAGAAAAGTGGTACATATACATCATGGAATACTACACAGCCATAAAAAGGAATAAGATCATGTCCTTTGCAGGGACACAGGTGAAGCTGGAAGCCGTCATCCTCAGCAAACTAACACAGGAACAGAAAACCAAACACCGCATGTTCTCACTCATAAGTGGGAGTTGAACATTGAGAACACATGGACACAGAGAGGGGAACAACACACACCAGGGCCTATTTGGGGGTGGGGGTGACGGGAAGAAACTTAGAGGATGGGTCAATAGGTGCAGCAAACCACCATGGCACATGTATCCTATGTAACTAACCTGCACGTTCTGCACATGTATCCCAGTTTTTTTTAGAAGGAATACAAAAGAAAAAAATTTAAAAATAAAAATAAAAATAAAAATAAAAATAAAATATATAAAATAAATAATATGAAAATAAATATTTTTTTAAATCTGTGGTATTCATCTATTCGAATTCATTTTTAAATTATATTAAAAATAATTTTTTTCATTTTTAATCATATATTTTAACTAAATATATTAATATTTAAATAAATATTTATTTAAAATAAAACATTTATACTATATAATAGTAAGTATAAAAATATATATTTCTATAAATACATATATATGCATTTATATATAAAATTATATATAAAATACATAATATGAAAATAAATATTTTTTAAAATCTGTGGTATTAATCTTTGTATTGCAATTCAGTTTTTAATTCCATCTACAAATATTGATTGAACTACAACTTAATGTTACCTGCTATGGAAGATCTGGCACCACCCCTACATGTAAAAAAGGCCCAGAATCTATTGGCTGGATGGTCCAGTCCCAAAACAGAAAGAAGAAAGGGACGTGTTGTGGGCTAAGTAATGGTCAGGCCCGAGGCGCCCACAGCCTGATCCCTGGCACCTCACACTTTACCTTACATGGCAAAGGGCACTTGGCAAGTGCCATGAAGGATCTTGAGATGGGAAGAACTTCCTGGATTAGCCAGGTGGGCCCACTGTCATCACAAAGGCCCCTCTAAGAAGGAGGTGGGGAGAGACTGGAAGACACTATGCTGCCAGCCTTGAAGATGGAGGAAGGGCCCAGCAGCCCGGAAGGTAGGTGCCCTCTAGAAGCCAGAGAAGGCAAGAAGAGGAATTCAACCCCTAGAGCCTCCAGAAAAGAAAGCAGCCCTGCCCACACCATGATTTTAGGACAGTGAAACCCACTTTGTGCTTAAGACTTCCCGAACTGTAAGGTTATATTGTTTTACATAGTTTTAACCCACTCAGTTCACTATAACGTGTTATAGCAGTGTTTGGAAATTACAGAAAGGAAAGGAAAAATATAAGGAAGGAGGAAGGAAGGTAGGAAAGAAAGAAGAAAGGGAGAGAGGAAGAAGGGAGGTGGAGACAGAAATTATTTGAATCTACTGAGGAGTTTCCAAGTCTAGAAATACAAGAAAAAAGATCTGCTGAAAAACAGCAGTTTTTGTTATCACTGGAGAAGACAGGGTAAAGGGTAGGAGAGACTCCTCTGTACCATTTTTTCATAACTACTTGTGAGTCTATAATTATATCAACACAAAATATTTAAAGAAAATTATAAAGTGGAATGAATAGTAACCTGCCATTTCTATATATTACACATAGAAAATTCTGGAATTATATCTGTAAACTGTTTCCATGGTGAGTATAGACTATCATATGCTTCTTTTCTATGCTTTTCTGATTTTTGGATTTTTTTACAATAAGCATATCTCTTTTCTTTAAAAACAAAGACACTTTTAAAAAATAAAGTATAAAGGGTTGAAGAATAAGAAACACTCATTATCTCTTGGAGAGAAATAGCTTAATGCCCAAGTTTTGTTAACTCATATTTTTACTG
This sequence comes from Homo sapiens, assembly GCF_000001405.40. NCBI lineage: Eukaryota > Metazoa > Chordata > Mammalia > Primates > Hominidae > Homo > Homo sapiens. The sequence continues at coordinate 7,208,133 of NC_000023.11, read as the reverse complement.
TATTTCAAATACCACGGCAAATGCTATTGCTTTGTATCACCGTATGTGAAGCAAATGTTGGATTTTACCGTAATAGATAAATGAGCATTTCAGTCTCTTTGTTGTTGATTCCAATAACATCCAACTGAATGGCTGTTTTTTCTGCTGTCCTGCAAACCAGGAGGCTGGGAAACCATTCTTTTGCCCCCTACAATCATCTCATCTCCTAAAGCAGAGTACAACAGGGAAAATTGTTTCACACATCAATTTGTGGACAAGTCATGATATTAAAAAGGTATGTGTACCCCTGAGCCTGCTATCGAATAGCCGATTCTTTCTGTCAAGTTATAGTATAATTCTTCAGTTACTTGTGAAGTTCCTGACCAGTTTATAATTATGAATGATTTTACAAAAACATAACAAAATATATATGCAATTTCATTTGTGCATAATGATCCTTCTTCCATTAAAGCTCAAAATTGGTTTATGACATTAAAATACTTTGAACTCTGAATTTCCCTATCATTACATTGTACTATATGGTGAAACCTTCCTACTGGGACTTGGTTATTTCATCATTACCTAAAAGACCCTTTTATGACATCATTTAGAAAAAAATTAATATGTATAAATCCAATCAATATGGAAAACTCTAAACTTCCTCCCTGCCTAAAAGTGTTCATAACAAAGAATTTCTTGACTGAATTGTTAAAGCTTAACCACCATTCTCCAATCCTGTACTTCCAGGTACAATCTAAATCCCTGTAACTTGCACATATCCTGGAAATGCTTGAAGACAATGCCAACAAATTCATGTCGGCAATGCAAAAGAGATTTGAGGACAGGGTGCTAGTTGTTACTTCTTGAATAAAAATGCAACTCCTGGGCAATGCAGAAAAATCAATCAGCAACTCTTTAAAATGTGTTTCCTTTGCATGAGAGAATAAGTGTAATTTTTTTTTTTAAAGACAGGGTGCCACTCAGTTGCCCAGGCTGAAGTGCAGTGGTACAATCTCAGCTCACTGGAACCCCCTCCTCCCAGGCTTGAGGGATCCTCCCACCTCAGCCTCCTGAGTAATTGAGATGACAAGTGACTTTTTTATTTTTAGTAGAGATGGAGTTTCACCATGTTCCCTAGGCTGGTCTCCAACTCATGGGCTCAAGCAATCCACCCTCCTTGGCCTCCCAAAGTGCTGGAATTGTAGGCATGAGCCATTGCCCCCCAAGCCCAAGGTGTAATTTTTAATGAAAACTTTAAGCTATTAAAATGGAGTACAGAAAAAGAATATCAATTGTGTCTGCCAAACCAAAACTAAGTAACTGTTTTTTCCCTCTGATGACCATTGGATCGAGATGATGTATCTAATAATAATCAAATTCACAACAAAAATCCTTCAGCATAGCTTTCAGGTTAGTACTTCCTTAAATTAAGATTTAAATTTTATGCATACAGATACCTGCATGCCTCTTATTTAAGGCCCTTGGATCACACAGCTCTATGTTGGTTTGGAATGAAAAAGAAGGGTTTTCATTATTGATAAGTGAGATAACATCTCTTTATCAAATAGGATGAATCATTTGAAATAGCCATTTTTGCAGATAAAGTATGGTTAACTATCAGCAATGTCATATGGCTGGTCATATATGGACAGCGATCAAAGAACCAAAAAAAGAAAAGAAAAGATTGATCAATAAGTAAATAAATAATAAAAGGATGGTATGAGAAAAGTACATTTAGAGAACAAAATAGAACTTTTGGGCATGCGGAACATGATAAATGAAGTAATTCAGCAGAATGCTGCGAAGATCAAGGTGAGGACATCTCAAAGAGAACTGGAACAAAAAGCCAAGGTGATTGATAACAGGAGAGAAAAGACATGAAAATTAGGATATCATAACCAGGTCCCAATCTTCAGCTAATAGATATTCCAGAGGAAGAGACTGAGAGAGAGCAAGAGATTACCAAAGCAATAAAACAAAATATAGTTTTAGAACTGAAGGGCATGAATCTCAGTATTGAACAGGCCTGGGGGCCCAAAACGATGAAGGAATATAAACCCAGAGCAAAGCCCATTTTCATGGAACCTTAGGATACAGAGGACCAAGACAAAATCCTAAGTGCATAGGGGGTGCAGTGGGTGGATGGGTTACATACAATCAAATCACGGCTTTGGCCTTTACCCTGAGTGGTACAAGACAATTATGCAATGACTGTGAAATCCAGAGGAAAAATGATTTCCACCGAGAGTGGTGGCTCACACCTGTAATCCCAGCATGTTGTGAGGCTGAGGCAGGAAGATTGCTTGAGCCTGGGAGCTCCAGACCAGACTGGGCAATATAGCGAGACCTTGTCTCTACAATTTGTTTTTTAATTAGCCAGGTATGGTGGTGGTGTGTGAGAGGACCACTTGAGCCCAGGAGGAAGAGATTGCTATGATCGCATCACTGCACTCCAGCCAGGAGTGCCTTGCTCTTGCAACAGAGCAAGAAACTGTCTCAAAAAAAAAAAAAAAGAAAAAAGAAAAGAAAAGAAAACGAAAGAAAAGAAAAGAAAAAGAAAAAGAAAAAGAAAACCAAATAATTTCCAACCTACAGTTTTATACCAGCCAACCCCTCCAGACACAGTTGCATTGGCCCCTGAATAAAGTCAGTGAATACACTGAGTGCCCACTATTTGCTCCTCAAGCTGAAGGTCTCTGCTCCCAAGCAAGCTGCTAGTCAGTATGGGGAGAAAGCCTTCATGCCTAATTGATGTGATTTTCTGTGGTTGCACTCTCACATGTAATATCCCCAAAGAACCACAGCATAGAGTTGTCACTTTTAGCTTGGGGGGAACAACAAAACGTGATGAATAATAATTGCAATAATTACATTCCCATTCTTTCTCTTCCTCACTATGAAACCAGGATGTTGGTGTGTAGGCAGGGAAAGCCCCTCTTCTTTCAAAGTAAACTGGAAGGAGAAACACCTGCTAAGAGCTTTCCTGTGCTAGCATGGATGATTGTGCAATTGCCCAAAAGTCTATTTTACTAACAACTCCAAATCTTATATTTCTTCTTCCGTTGTCCATGGAGTCTGGGTACCACACATGCCCAAGCCCACCAGTGTGTGTACAACAACAGGCAACAGAAGCACCTGGCCTAGGGCCATGTGGGGCCACAAAGCAGGTCAGCAAAACAATCATGACTATCCATGGTCTCAGAGTGGAGAAGGATATCATAAGTAACTGATTAGGGAGCAAGAGAGAGAGCGAAGGAGGGAGGAATAAGGGAAAGGAAGGAAAAAAAGGGAGGCAAGCAAAGAGGAAGGAAGGAGGGGAGGAGGGAAGAAGGGATGGAAAGAAAGGAAGGCAGGGAGAGAGGAAGTTAGGAGGAAAGAGGGAGAAAGGAGGGAGAGAGAGGGAAGAAAGGAAGAAAGAAGGGAAGGAAGGAAGGAAAAATGAAGGAATGAAAGAAGGAGAGAGAGAAAAGGTGAGGAGGAAAAAAGGAAGGAGGAAGGCAGGAGAGAGAAAAAAGGAAGAGAGGGAGGGAAGAAGGAAGGGAAGGAAGAAAGAAGATGGAGAGAAAGGAGGAAAGGAAGGAAAGGAAGAAAAGGAAGGGAAGGAAGGGAGGAAAGGAGGGAGGGAGGGAGGGAGGAAGGGAGGAAAGGAGGGAGGGAGGAAGGAAGGGAGGGAGGAAGGAAAGAAGGGGAATCAACAGAGAAAATAATCAACATCTAATATTTTTTAAAATGGCAAAAGACAAATGATGAATGAGAAAACAATTGTAAATTAATACAAATATGGAAAATGTTCAACCTCACCAGGAAATCAAAGAAAATTAAAGTTTAAACACAAGGAAAATGCTATTTTTAACCTACTGATTTGGCAAATATTATGGCATGCCAACACTTGGGTTAGAAAATTAAGAAGTAGGAGACTTGAAGAAAAAATAAATTAAACACTAGAATATTCTCGATTTTTGAAGAATATTTTTTCATATATAAAACCTTATGGTATAATTTTAGGGTGTAAAAGGCAGAACCAAACATGATATAAAGGCAACATCAGCACAAATGTGAAAAACAATCTGTCCAGGTGCAGTGGCTCATGCCTGTAATCCCAGCACTTTGGGAGGCCAAGTGTGGGAGGATCACTTGAGGACGGAAGTTTGAGAGCAGCCTGCGCAAGATGGCAAGACCCCATCTCTACAAAAAAGTTAAAAATTATCTGGGCGTGGTAGAACACGCCTGTAGTCCCACCTACTTGGGAAGCTGAGACAGGAGAATTGCTTGAGCCCAGAAGTTTGAGGCTACAATGAGCTATGACTGTGCCATCGTATTCCACCCTGGGCAGCAGAGCAGGACCCTGTCTCTCTCTCTCTCTATATATATATATATTTGCATATGGATATGTATGTTTCATATGCATATGTTTGTATAGAAAGGCATACACATAACTGGAAAGAATGATGATATAATTTTATTTGGGATTAGTTTGCAGGGAGCAGAACTACCAGTGGTTTTATATGATTCTTTATAAATTCTTGTATATATAAAATGTTCTACTTACTTTTATAAACAGAAAAAAACAGTTTACAAAGTACAATTTAATCATAGTGTATTCCTACTGATGGAGAAAGTGTCATAAATTCACAATGCTCCTCAAATGTGATAGTTTTTACTAGTGGGAATAAAAAGAAAATGAACTTGGGCTTACAATTGGCCTAAAGAGACCCTAATTTAGAGAACTTCAGCTTAATGAGCTCTGATCCCTGTGCAGCTGTCCCTTGTCACATAATCAGAAAAAACTAACAAGGTTCCTTTTTTTAGAGAAATTTGTTTAGTTCCTATTTTTTAAGCACATGGTAAGTGTCTAATAAATACCTGTTGCAGAGAAATGAACTAATACAGATTTCTAATCTTTAGAGTTTTTTGCCCCATGGAAGAATGTTCTAAGTATAGTAATTCTCAGCCTGAGGCCAAAGGCCTAAGAACTTGTGGCGTGGGTAGCATAGATCCCGGAGTCCAAGGGTGGGAGAGCCTGGAGCTCTAATATTCTAGGGCTAGAGATGAAGAGTGTCTCAGCTTGAAGAGAGAGAAAGAGAGGGACAGGGAGAAACAGAGACACAGGCAAGGAGGGAGAGACAGAGACAAAACCAGGGAAAGAAAGAGAGAGATGAAGAGAGGGAGAGAGACACAGAGAGACAGGGACGTGGATAGAGAGCGAGAGACAGAGATGGATAGAGAGAGATAGACACAGAGAGACACACAGAGATAGAGATAGAGAGGGAGAGAGACAGAGAGATAAAGAGAGAGAGGGAACTCTTTTCTCTGCTTTGTGTTCTATCTGGGCCCCCAGCTGATTGGATGTTGCCAGTCCACATTGATGGTGGATCTTCCTCACTTAGTCCACCAACTCCCATGCCAATGCCCTCTGGAAACACCCTCACAGACACACCCAGAAGTAATGAACATGTTACCAGTTCTCTAAGTATCCCTTAATCCAGTCAATTTGACACCTAAAATCAACCATCACAAATCCACCCATCATCAACTTGGCACCCATAAGCATCTCCTTAAACCATACTTAATTTCTAAATGAAGATAAGAAAATTACAACAGTTCCACCTAACGTGATGTAACCATTCTGCACACAGCTGAAAATGCAGTAATCCCCTTCCCCGGAAGAGGAGGTCAAGTCCTTGGGTGATGTTGACTCTTCTCCTGACATCCCATCACTTAAATACCATGAGGTAAAATTAATAATACTTAAATACTGATAGAGAGGTAGTCAATAGAGTGGTTTATATATTATATGCATTTTTGTGGTTTCCATGTTGAGAATGTTCTCAAACAAACATGTTTGTGGTCAAAATTTCTGAGTCAATAACAAAGATACTCCAAGAACGCTCTCAACAGGAAAACACAAACCATCATATCATATACTGATATAAAGTCAATATACCTTATGTTATATAATAAAGGAATAAGAGAGGAATGAAAACAAAGATATTTGCTAAATACATGTATTTATGTTTTATCTTGATACTAAATATATTTATATATACACACAGATGTATTCTTAACAAAATGGGGAGAAAATACTCGTGACAATGACAGTCCTCATTTCTGTAGCTGGCCACACCAGTCTCCTCTGGAAACACACTCACAGACACATCCAAAAGTAATGCTTCAGCAGCTCTCTAGGTATTCCTTAATCCAGTCAAGCTGACACCTAAAATTAACCATTATGAGCATCGTGGATTAGAAAACAGAACAGGTGGCCATGTTGTCAGGGGTCCATCCTAGCAACAAACATAGACAATTCCTTCTTCTGAGGAGGGCTCAGATCTGGACTCTCTAAAGGCTTCTCTGTTCTTGTATCCCTGAAGCCCAAATAGCTGAAAGTCTCTAGATCAGTGTTCAAAGACAAACGCATGAAATCTCTGGCGCAGTTCCCTAAAGCACAGCGGATCTCCCACATCTACACAAACCATGAAGCAATAACAACTTGCGAGTGGATTACTGTTGAGAAGAATGCCTTTGAAGAGTGAAATGGATGTGATGAAAGAACATACCTCCCACAGCACAAGCAGAAAGGAGACAGGATGGAAATGAAATTTCATTCACTAGGTGGAGGGCCTGCTGACCCTTCTCTATAATAATAATGATTCTAATAATGATTCATAAAGCCACAACTCTGGCCAAAAAAAAATTAAAAAGTTAAGTATGTGTGTGAGAAAAGAGAGGCTATAAAAACACAAAATTGGTTTAGGTTTTTATGCTGAGAGAGCAATCTTGAAGGAGTGATATTTGTTGTTGATTCAGAAAATTTAACCACAAACATGTCCCTTTGAGAACATTCTCAACATGAAAACCATAAAAGTACAGAAATGGAAACTGCTATCTATCTATCCATCCATCTATCTGACATCAACCTATATATCAATCTAGATATCTATATATCTATATATCCATCTATTTATCTGTCCATCCATCCACCTATCTATCATCTATCTACATATCTGTCTGCCTATCATCCATCATCTATCTATATATCTGTCTATCATCCATGTAGCCATCTATTTATCCATCCATCTACCTATCCATGCATCCATCATCTATCTATATAGCTGCCTGCCTATCTATCATCCATCGATCTATCATTTATCTACGTATCTGTCTATCATCCATCCATCCATCCATCCATCCATCCATCCACCCATCTAACCAGTTTATGGTTTTATATATAGCTTCATTTAAACTGTGGGTGGCAAAGCAAACTGCATGTGGAAAGACAGCTCTTGTCATATGTGCTGAGGGTCATGTGTGGCTTGCAGGTGAACAGGGGAAAGGGGGCAAAGTGGTTGAAACATGAGAGTTTAAGAAGGGCTAAGCTTTAGAGAAATGTGTCAGATGAGACTACAAAATATGCTTGGACTGCGGTTCTTGGTGTGAATCCACAGAAGCCCCCACTACCAAACTCAGAGCTAAGGAAATATGTTCACTGTGGCACTGGGGCATCCATTTTTGTCCTTGGCATCTCCTTCCCGTCACTGAACACACAAACGAAAAATCATCTCCCCTCCTCCCTTTCCGTTTCATCCATCTTTTTCATGCTTGGTCCAAGAAACATCCAAAGACAGCAAGAGAGCTCATTTTATTGTTTTTAGCATTTGCTTGGTCCCATTTCACTAGTTCTATCTCCCAAAATGAGAACATGAGGTTATCAATTACATGTCAGAGGCAGAGAAAGCTGAAGCATGTTTTTCCATCAGAGACGTCATAATATGATTTGAAATTTGAGAGTCTAGAGTTAATATACGGGATTTCAAAATTTCCGACATGTCTGACAAAAATTTTCTTAAAGGAATTACATCATAGTTATTGAATCTTCCCCCATGCGATGAAAGAAGAAAATAACAAAAATATTCCTTATAACAAATTTGGGGAGTTAGCAGTAAAAAACAAAAAATATTACTTAAATAATATTTTCAAAGGACTAAGAAGAAAACTAGGAATTAAAGACTAAACTGATTCTAGATATTCTCATACAAGAGGACCTAGGATAATATTTGAAATAAAGTACACAACAGTATTATTAAAAAAAAAAAAAAGAAAGCTCACAAAGTTTTCTAATACTTCAAATGTGTGGTTTGTAGGTAGGAAATCAAAATGAGTTTGAGTTATCATTATTAGGTTCAGTGTTATTAAATGTGCTTCACATACTTATCTTTTACATTTGTATGGTAATGTCTCCAAAGCTAAGGGTTTTATTAGGTAATTTATTTTTTTTTTTATTTCTAGCAAAGAAAAATGTCCTTAAATTTATATAAGAGTCAAAGTTTGGATCTCAGAATAACTGGTCTGGGCCTTATTTTAAAAAGCAAAGAACATAAGTAACTAAGCAAGGAAATGACATCTGATTCATTATTGTAAATGTATATTATATTGGCTATGTACTTAATCAACCCCCACTCTGAATACTGGAATCTTGAAATAAATAAAGTTGACAGATGACTAATATCAACTGGCTCTCCATTCATCAGGTGTGAAATATCACACAAACATACAGCAAAGCCCCTCAGGCTCTGGAAAGAAACTGCAAAAACCCTAAGGACTCCCAGAAACTAAAACAGTCATAAAAATTTAGAAGTCTAAGCAAGAACCTAAGTTTTAAGTTAAGAGAAGAGGAAACTGTGAAAACACGATTTATTATAATAAGTGGTAAATTTCTACTATGCTATAACATTCAGAGTTGATTTTAATAAAATAGAGATAGAAAGTAGGATCGATTAACACAAGTATTATACTAACCATTCTTTGTCAACTGATTATTATTGTAAAATTAGAAGGCTGTGACCCTAAATTATAAAATCAATCTAATTTTGGACACTTCATTACTCTTCCAACATTTTATATTGAAACATGATGAGAAGTTGTAGTATAGATGGATCACTTCCTGATTGACTTCAAATATCATAATATTGTATTTGAAAACTGTATTGCAGGCTCGCTCCTAAAATAGAGAATTTCCATAGAACTTTCTATAGAACTCACTCCTAAAATGGAGGATTAAATATGAATTTTATATAGAAAAATTATTCTCATAAGCCAGCTATCTCACATGCAGTATAAACTAAGGAACTGCTATACTTATTAAGTGATTGTCAGTAAGGCAGCTGAAGCACACACAGGAAAATATGGCAGGAAATTCATGGACCTTAGTTTAAAACTCTATAAAGAAAAAAAAAAAAACTTGCTGCCAGGCAGCAGACGTTTTTGCTTTCCTCTGGAATCTTGGGTAGGTTCACTGGATAAAATCTTTTAACAGGTATTAGGCTTCACCCTATTTGAGGATATAAACTCAACAGAACAAGGCTAAAGTTTGTGAAACCCCAGACAGGGTTAAAGATCTGAAACTGCCTTTGCAAAAGCAGTGAGAAAATTACGACAGTGAAAGAGATGTGACCTAACCAACTACATCTTGCCTTTAACCTGCAGACTGCCCTCGTTCATTCCTGAACACAGACTGAGCTAACTACAGGAGGAATTTACAGTGTTAACATGGAAACAAAAATGGTAACAGCCTTTTCCGGAAAAAAATCCCATTTTTGCCTGGGGACACACCACCTCTGTAGGACAACAAATTCGCCACAAGTTTAGAAAGTATGGCTCAGAAGTCCTGCAGTCAGAGGCCACAAGATTCTCAACCTCCCCAGTTGGTCCTAGGGATACCGTCACTATTGGAATGCCTAAGATTGGAGTTGAAGATGTTTTTTAGACCCTGTGATCTGATCTACCAACTGGTGCCATGCAGACCAGGAATCTGCCTCAATCAGTTCTGCAATCTCACCCAGGCACAGAAGACAGCAAGAAGAACCCACTTTGGGCCCCTATTATTTCATCTCCAATCTGACCAATCAGCATTCCTCACTTCCTAACCCCCTACCTCCCTTAAAAAAAACTCAGTCTCCAAATGCACAGAGAGCGTGATTTGGGTAATAAAACTCTGGTCTCCCATTTAACTGGCTCTGTGTGCATTCAATTCTTTCTCTATTTCTGTCTTGATAAACAAGCTCTACCTGGGCAAAGATAATCCATTGGGGGGGTTACAGATCATTTTTTATATTGGTGTCAGTTATTGGCTAAATCATATCAGAAAGTTGTTTTTTGCCTGTGTGACTGAAATCCAAAAATATATAATTTTTATCAGTATTGTATTAATATGGCATTGGAACTATTTTTTTCATCCATGTATTTAGCAGTTATTTACTAAACATCTACTAAGGCACGCTGTGCATCGTAGGGATACAGTAGTGTTAGAGGGGTTTGAACCAGAGCGACTCAATCTTGAGTGAGGGCTAGGAAAATGAGGCTGGAACTTGCTGGGCTGCACTCCCAGAAAGTTAGGTGTTCCTAGCCTCTAGATGTTTACGGTTAAGGGAACAGATTGATAATGTTTAGTAAACAGACCCAGAACTGGGAGTGTCCTAACACCCTGATATCTTGAGAACAGAGGCATTCCTAATTTTGCTTTAAATATAATAATATCGATTCTTGTAAAATATAGCAATTAAGAAAATTAATCCTTTATCACAAACACTTGTAGCAGAGCACATCACCCCATGATCTTTTTTTATCCTATATGTAAACAAGTACTGTACCTAGAGTGGACACATTCCTCCTCTTAGCTTCGGGAACGCCCTACTCTGTCTATGGAGTAGCTGTACTTTCACCACTTTACTTTCTTAATAAACTTTGTACTGTGGACTCCCCCTGAATTCCTTCTTGCACAAGATCCAGGAACCCTGTCTTGGGGTCTGGCTCGGGACCCCTTTCCTGTAACAGTAGGATGCACTGCATGGTCTTGCCTTCATAGAACTTTGCAATGTGTTTGCAAAGTCAGATCTTATTCAAATAATCAATATTGGACAAATAATCACACAAGAAATAGTATGAAACTGCAAATGCAACAAGAGTGCCTGGAGCACGGAGTGGTCATTACTTAGCCAAAGAGAGGAAGGAAGCCTACTGGAAGGAGGAGTTGGCTGGGGAGATGGCCCTGAGGGGAAGACAGCCTGGGTAGTAGGACAGGTTTTAAGACAAGTTGCCTGATGGGGTAAAAGAAAGCCAGGGGGAGGCAGATGCAGGGAGGACCTGAGAGTAGGAAGAAAGGTAGGAGGCAGACAATGGAGACCCATCCAGGCCTGGTTCTGAAATTCCACCTTCCTTCCAACGGGAAGCCATTGAAGGATTCCAACAGGGCCAGTGGCAGGGTTAGGCCTGGGTTTTGAGAAGGTGCCTCTGGCTGCTGGTGGTGAGAGGGAGACCTTGATGGATACAGGCAGACTACCAGGAGACCAGAGAGTTGCATACCTAAGACATGAAGATGACTCAGCCCAAGGTGTCCAAAATACAGATAGAGAGACAGGTACACGTGAAGAGACAGCTAAGAAACAAATGAAAGACAGCTCAGATTGTTTGCATTAAAGATCTTTGAGTCTGAAAATAATTTATTCCACTAAAATCCGTCCATCTCTTTGTTGTGGTGGTCACTGATAGTTGTAGTGGTGGTGGTGTGGATCCCATGGCTAGAAAGTGTAGAAGACAGTGGAGAGAGAGGTGTATACACACATATGCATATATCACTTTTTTTTTTTACATCAGTACAGTAAGAAAGGACAAGAATACGTCACCCCACAATGTGCTTCTTTGGCGTAAGAATTATTTTGAGTAATTGCAGACACAGGAGAAGCTCTTAAAACAGAGTAGAAGTTACTGTTTTCTAAGAGAGATTTACATCTGTAAAGGAAATCTCCATTTGTAAGGGTTTCTCCTTCATGGTACTGGAAGAGAAGGAAGGCTGAATGATTAAACACTCTTAAGGTTGGAGAAGGCACCAACTGAAATGTGCACAGCCAACCTTACCCTGGTTTACCATACTTTTCCTGGTTACTTCTCCATAACTGTCCCTTCCCACACCTTTCTCTCTTTCACTTCTTTGAGATTTACTCAATATTCCTTGGATATTGCCCAGATACACAGGAGGTATCCATGTTAATAAACTATTTGTTTTCTCTTGTTTATCTGCCTTTTGTTACAAGGGTCTGTCCTAGATAAGAACTCAGACAGGGTAGAGGAAAAATTACTTTTTCCTTCCCTATGCAATAATTCAGCTAAAGAAATCACGGCTAAGATGCAGGAGAGGGTATCCACAGACCTTATCTAGTCTTTACATAAACAGCTTAATATCTTTCAGCTTCAGTGTTGCCTTCTGTTATAAAACAGAACAGGTAGAGAAAGTAATGGTTGTCATTGTTTTTAGTCACAGAAACTTCTATCCATAAGAATGTCTAATAGAGATGAAAATCAGTGCTGTTCTTACAGAAGTGGGTGGAATTAAATCTCTGACAATTCCCACCGCAGGGCTGAAGAAGCTCCCAGGAGCAGCCTGAGGAACCCTGAGGGTTCCAACAGGAGCAGTTTGCCAAGCACTGAACATAAAGTCAAACATTCTAAGTGCTTTCACTAGAGTGGATGTAAAGATAGCAAATTAAGTGTTTGGCTGGAGTGTTTGTAAGACGTCTTCTTATAAATGCAATGTTTTCTTCCTTAGGCACTTCTATACACTATGTTTTAAAACATAGAACAAAGTTATTCTCAATTCTGAAGCCAGGGTGTGCTTGCCGAGAAAAAGCAAGACAGGCTTTGTCGCTCTTGCACTAATTCACAGGTCCACAGAGCCACAACACCTGTGTTAATCCTGATTCTGCAAACCATGCAGAGACAAACACAGAATGGGAAGTGTGAAATCCACTACTATGTCTATAAATCCTGAGACAACTCTAGAGATTGTATTCAGTAGTCATTATGTTGTCACGTGAACCCTGTCTTGGGTAAAAGAGTAGAAGTTGAGAAGTTTGGAGGGTGGTACAGGTATTACCAAAGACAAGTTCTAAATGCACTTCTTGACAAAAATCTCCCACGTGCTGAATACTACATAAAGAAGCAACATGGAAAAGAAACATTGCGGCCTCCACACTTATTTTATAAATATAGTCATGTACTACATAACGATGTTTCGGGTAACGATGAATCATATATACAATGGTAGTCCTATAAGATTATAATTCCATATTTTTTACAGTACCTTCTATGTTTAGACATGTTTAGATACACAAATAATTACCATTGTGTTACAACCGCCTGCAGTATTCAGTACGGTCACTTGCTGTCCAGGTTTTTAGTGTAGGAGCAATAGGCCATACCATACAGTCTGCGTGTATAGTAGGTTTGTGTGAGTATACTCTATTATGTTCACGCGGTGACTAAATCACCCATCAGAGCATTTCTCAGAACGTATCCCTGTCATCCAGCGATGCGTGACTGTATCACGTAACAAAGCAATAGGAATTTGAAAAACGCCTATGCAAAAATTGTAACAGTGAGAGAAATCTAACATAACTGGTTCCATCTTGCTTCTAATGTCACAAGCTAACTTCCCTTGTTCATTTCTGGGTAGGCCAGGTCAACTACGGGAGGATTTTAGTTTACAGTTTAACATTAAAGCAAGGATGACAACAGTCCCTTCCCAAAACTACCCCTCCTTGTTCGGGGACCAAAACCACCTTTGTAAAACTAATGAACGGCCCCAAGGTTAGACTTGTGGGAGGGACCTGCATTCTGCTAAGACCTATACATAGTTGCATGATAACTAGCCATTGCTTCGTAACCTGCTTACTGCTCAGGAGTCATGTAGCTGGTGGTCACAAGATGTGCAACTTCCCTGATTGCCCCTATAGATAACATCACTATTGTAAAACCTAAGACTGGTATGTAAAATATTTTTCAGATTTTGCATTCTGGTGGAACAAGTGACGTCACTGGACCAGTGACCCCCATGCAGGAACTGACTCGGCACACAACGACAGTTTTGATAACTCTGTGATTTCTTTGCTGATGGTGCCAATCAGCCTTTCCCATTCTCTAGCCTCTTGCCCGCCAAACTGTCCTTAAAAATCCCAGCCTCCACACGAGGTCAGGAGTTCGAGACCAGCCTGGCCAATATGGTGAAACCCCATCTCCACTAAAAATACAAAAATTAGCCGGGCGTGGTGGCGCTTGCCTGTAGTCCCAGCTACTCAGGAGGCTGAGGCAGAAGAATCACTTGGACCCGGGAGGTGGAGGTTGCAGTGAGCTGAGATTGTGCCACTGCACTTCCAGCCTGGACGACAGAGTGAGAGTCTGTCTCAAAAAAAATAATAATAATATTTTCCTATTACTAAACCTTTTCCTTGGAGGAGAACAAATCAGGAAAACTACAGACAATATAAGTGTTCTCCTGACAATCCCCAAAGTCTTCATCCATTTATGGGAGGGAGAGAGTTTAATACTCTGTATGTAAGAACCCTGAATTCTGAATTGTGAAGCACATTAAAATACCTCTATGAGGATGGCTTTATGCTAGTAAGATAGAATGGACACTGTTACTAGATATTTAGAACAAATATTTTAACCCCCACTGCAACACTCCCACTTTATCTGAGAACATTAGGAAAGGATAATGAATGCTGTATTCGTTTATCATGAATTAATCATGAACCCTTTCAGCTGCATATTTTTAATTAGCTACTGCATCTGTCATTTTTTTCAGAGCCCTTCTAGCTGGATCTAGGGAATGTCAATCTCTCCCGTAGACTAAAATGACCGAAAAAAAAAAAAGGTACTTAAAGCATTTCCCTGCAAAATGTACAGTTTCCAAAGAAATTAAATAAACAACAACAACAACAACAACAAAAAACCCTACTTAGCTGGTGCTAAAGACTTTGAAAGCGAGGTCAGAAATTCATGCCAGCCCGTGTATTATCAATAACTTTAGAAAATAAATTATTCTTGAAAATGCCCAAAAAGTTTGTTTCTGAAACAGAAAAAGGAACACACAATCCTTTTAAAGAACAAATTACAGAAATCACAATGGAAAATGAATCTGTTAAGCTGCTAAGTGTTAGGAATGAATATAAGCTGAGGCTTTAAGCCTCCACGGATGTTGCTTTCAGACGGAGAATCCTCTGTTATGGGGTTTAAATTTAATAGAAAGAAAAATCCTAAAAGGTCATTGTCCTTTTGTTCTCTTTAATTCTTATTCTGACTCATATCCCTCAAAGTAAAAGACCATTGACTATTCTAGGAAGAAAGAGAAGATTAAGTTAAAGCCTCTTGTTGCAGTGAGCAGGGTTTGTCGCCCTCAGCACGACATTTCGGATTTGTGAGGAACTGTGGGTGCACCGTGGGATGGTTAGCGGCACGCCTGGCCTCCACCCACTACATGCACCCCACTCCAAAGTTCTGACGACCAAAAATGTCTCCAAACTTTACCAAATTCTCTCTGAAGGGCAAAGTCTACCCTGACACATAACTACTACCATCCGTAACCCCCGAAGCTGCCTTCTGAAAATCATTAAATCACCCTGCAAGCCCGCTTTCAGCTCCCATCTCCCTGGCTGGCAGGATCATCCAGGTCTTCACCACATTTTTCCCAAAACAGAGGT
Organism: Homo sapiens; assembly: GCF_000001405.40. Lineage (NCBI taxonomy): Eukaryota > Metazoa > Chordata > Mammalia > Primates > Hominidae > Homo > Homo sapiens. The sequence continues at coordinate 7,192,624 of NC_000023.11, read as the reverse complement.
CATCTTTTACGTTTCATAAGCACCCTATGAAACTGCCGTTCATCTATTTTTTTTTTTTTTTGAGATGGAGTCTTGCTCTGTAGCCCAGGCTGGAGTGCAGTGGCACAATCTCAGCTCACTGCAACCTCTGCCCCCGGGGTTCAAGCGATTATCCTGCCTCAGCCTCCCAAGTAGCTGGTACTACAGGTGCATGGCACAATGCCGGGCTAATCTTTGTATTTTTAGTAGAAATGGGGTTTTACCATGTTGGCCAGGCTGGTCCCAAACTCCTGACCTCAGGCGATCTGCCCGCCTCGGCCTCCCAAAGTGCCGCGATTACAGGCCTGAGCCACCGGGCCCAGCATCTTTAAGTCGCTTTTTACAAAGGAGGAAACTAAGGCAGGAAGAGGTGAAACGTTCTCCTGGGAACACACTGCCAGCATGGGGTGGGATGGAATCCCCAGCCCCAGGGTCTCTGACTTTGGGAGTCTCTTCACACTTATTTGAACCAAATATCTCCTCCAAAAGTATCTTCCTGCCCATTTCTTTGAGCCAGCTGCTATGGGGGACCATAAATGCTCTGAATGGCCAAATATTGTGCCCCCTGGTGTTCTGATAGCATAGTGCCATAGTGGTCCAGACATGTCCAAGAACAGGTGTAAAATAACAGGGATTCTTCCCTGCAGGGGCTTTTAAAACTATGTTTCCCTCATCCACCCTAAAGACTTGCACCATGCACACTCACCTCCCATCAGCGAAAAGAGCTCTTCCTGCAGGCAGGGACCATGCTCTGCCCCTCAGCCCTCACTTCCACCAGGGGGAGGAGCTCTTCCTGCAGGGAGGGACCTGGGTATGCCCTCACCTCCATCAGGGGAAAGAGCTCCTCCTGCAGGGATGAACCTGGGTATGCCCTCAACCTTCAACTCCACCAGGGGAAAAAGCACTTCCTGCGGGGAGAGACCTGGTTATGCCCTCAGACCCCACCTCCACCAGGGGGAAGAGCTCTTCCTGCAGGGAGGGACCTGGATATACCCTCAACCTTCAACTCCACCAGGGAAAGGAGCTCTTCCTGCAGGGAGAGACCTGGGTATGACCTCAGCCCTCACCTCCACCAGGCGGAGGAGCTCTTCCTGAGAGGAGGGACCCCATTCTGTCCCTCAGGTATTGCTGCAGCTGATCAGCTGAGAACAGGTGTACTGTGAGCCTTCCCACTGTGCCATGTTTCTGTACCTTTGCTGATTCAACTAGAGTAGAGCCACCTCAAGGGTCCAGAGGATGCATTAAATCATTTGTAAGCCCCCATACCTATATTCCTCTAGACTTGCCACATAATAGGCCACTTGCTTATGCTCATCAGATTATGCACGCTGCCCCCATTGGCCCAGGACAGTCTTTCTCTATAAAAATATATTTGCCCCACAGATGCTCCCCTTTGACCTTTTGATGGAAAGTTCTTTCTGAATGAAAGATAGCTGCAATAGCACCATGTGTATGTCATCCCTGCAATAACAGAATGTCCTCAATACCATTATCAAGATCACTGCATACCACTATTTGACTTAGACAACATGGTCTGGGTGAGTCAAACACTTGAGTTTCAGGGCGAAGATACAAACATATGCACCTCTCATACTTACGCTATGAACAGCTGAAGACGATCTTGCGCCATTGTCCTCAGGAAGATCTTAACTTACTGAGATGACTGTGTGCAGGTTCAGCAACTGAGGGGCTCTTAGTAGAGTCAAACCAAGGGCATCGGGCTCTTCCTGTGAATTCATTCAAAAGATGAATAATCACACGCTGGGTAATCATATATTGACATACTTAAATGACATGTGCTCTTTTATTTATTTATTTATTATTAGTATTTTTTTTTTTGAGAGAGGGTCTCACTTTATTGCCCAGACAGCAGCATGATCATGGCTCACTGCAGCCTTGACCTCCCAGGCTCAAGTAATCCTCCCACCTCAGCCTCCCAAGTAGCTGGGACTACAGGTGTACCACCACAGCTGGCTAATTTTTGTAATTTTGGTAGAGACAGGTTCCCACTATGTTGTCCAGGCTGGTCTTAAACTCCTGGGCTAAACAGAGCCTCAGCCTGACAAAGTGTTGGGATTATAGGTGTGAGCCACTGTGCCCAGCCTCTTAAGCTCTTTCTTTACTGCAGCAGGGGTTCCCAACCCCTAGGCCTCTTAGGAATCACACTGCACAGCAGGAAGTAAACAACAGGTGAGCCAAGCTTCATCTGTATTTACAGCCATTCTCCATCACTCACATTACTGCCTGAGCGCCACCTCCTGTCAGATCAGCCATGGCATTAGATTCTGATAGGAGCACAAAACCTATTGTGAACTGCAAATGCGAGAGATCTAGGTTGCACACTCCTCATGAGAATCTAATGCCTGATGATCTGTCACTGTCTCCCATCACCTCCAGATGGGACCATCTAGTTGCAGGAGAACAAGCTCAGGGCTCCCAATGATTCCACATTATGGTGAGTTGTATAATTACTTCATTATATATTACAATGTAATAATAATAGAAATAAAGTACACAATAAATGTGACACACTTGAATCATCCCAAAACCATCCCCCTCCCTGTCCATGCAAAAACTGTCTTCCACAAAAATGGTCCCTCATGCCAAAAAGGTTGGGGACTGCTGGTCTAGAGGATTTCTCTCCCCACTTTTCTTCTTCCCACTCTCTGCCTAACTCCTACCCATCCTCACCTCTTGGCTTACACCACTGCCACAAGGAAGCCCTCCTTCATTACCCTGTATGAAGCAGGCTCCCCCACTGTTGACTATTATAGCACCTCTTTTCCCCCAGATAGCAATTATTACTACTTGTATAATAGATTCATTTATTTCCTGATTTATTCATGTGACAGCTGTCCTTTCCACAGCTCTAAGGATCAAGAAGGCAGAGACCACATCTCATTTGTTCACCACAGCAAACACTCAATAGATGTTTTCTGAATAGGGCTGGGTTTGCACAAACAATGGCCCACAAGAAAAATCTGTCCTGACACCTGTTTTCATAGAATGTTTACATGTTTAAATGGTTGAAAAAAGGATATTATTTTGGGATATGTGAAAAGTACGTAAGACTCAAATTTCGGTGTCTGTAATACAAAGTGTATCAGAACACAGCTGCCTCCACTCCCTTAATGCTTTTGTGCTACAATATCAGAGTTGAGTAGTTGTGATAGATACTATTTGTCCCTCAAAGCTGGAAATATTTATTTACTATCTAACCCTTTACAGAAACAGTTTTTTGACCTCTGATACAAAGTCCTAGAAATGAATAGAAAATGGGTCTCAAAAGAAAGCCAAGAAGATAGCTTTGAACCTATTGAAGACTTTTCTTTTAACTTGTTGACATTTAGACCAAAAATCTAGTATATGTCTTGAACTATTTATTAATATATAAATCTATTGTTTATGCTTTGAAATATGAAGCATAATCCCACTTGGTAAAAAAAAATATTCACAAGAGAATATCACATCAGAGAAAAATTACCATTCCATATAGATTTTTATAAATGTGGATTTTGCTTTATTAAAGTTAGGCTTCTAGCAACAATTTCTGAGGTTCAATCAGAATCTCAGAAATGTTATTTTTTCCCCCCAGAGATGGCATTTGAAACTGTAATCAATCTTCCAGCATGGCTTTTCATGTTAGATTCTTGTTGAAATGGAATAGTGTGCTGTCAACATTGATCCTTAACCTCCCACTGCAGGAATGACAAAACCACTGGGCAGGGTCTCCCCTTCTGCTCATTCACCATGACATCATCAGGCAAGACTAAGATTGCATGGATGTGGGTTTGAACAATTGGGCGTCTCTCCTTGCGAGATAAGAAAGGTCATTATTTTCCTTTTTTTGTCCCCACCTTTTATTTACAGAAAATAGATTTTAAGGTATCAGCATGGAAGCTCTTTGACCCACACTTGATACTCAGTGCTTACCAACCCCCCAGTGAGAAATGAAGACAAAGAACATATCTGAAGGGATTAAGTCACAATGCTTATCACAGTGGTACTGCCACGAAGAGCCTATACTTACAGAATGAAACAGCACAATGGAAAATCTAAAGGCCCACGTTCCGAGGACATTTTTCAAATTAGTATGAGATGGGTTCTCACCCAGGAGTAATTTTACCCCACCAGGAACAGAAGGTGATATGTAGAAACAGGTTTGGTTGTTGCAATTTGGGGGACAGTAATGGTATCCAGTAGGCAGAGGGCAGGAATTCTGGTAAATATCTTACAATGCACAAGGCAGCCCCCAAGACAAAGAACTATCCAGCCCAGTGCCCGCCCTCAATCAACAAAGCATGGTCTTCTCCCAAGTGTCAACAGTGCCAAGGTTTAGGAATGCTGTGCTAGATCACTCATCCAATGCTCATTAAAGTGGGTGTGGCTACAAGCACAGGCAAATAGGTTTTAGGGGTGAAGGGGAATGGTACCCAGCTGACTCAAACAATCGCACCTAGTAACTATGGTGATTCCTCTGTTACTATCACAAGTTATATGAAAATAAGTCTCTTCTGATAAAATATATAATCCAAACTGTAGTCACAGAGCAAGAAGATTGGTTAAGCCTGTTTTATTATGAGGAACCTACATTCTGATTTGTGTGTTCAAAGATAATAAGTATGCATCTTTATCCCCTTGAGTCTCTGTTTATCTATAATCCTCACAACTGCCATTTGCTTGGCCATTTTTCTCATTTGCATGCCCCCTCCAAATGAAATTCCAGTTGTACAAGTCTGAAAATGATAATGATCTAAGAATGCCATTGGGGTTTGCCATCCGTTGTCCATAATTCTGAGACACAAAAAGCCCTGAAAACCAAATGATTTTTGTAATGCCCATTTTGTTGTATTGAGCATCAAAACCCAGACTGAACCAACTTGAGGCATCAGTCTTGTCTCAGCCTACCAGCTTCTGCTGTTCATTAGTATTGTGTTACTTTGTTGTGACTTCAGGTTTAATGGCACGGGTTTAATTTTGACTGTGAAAATGTCAAAAAGAGTTAAAGGCATCCTATGTTCAACAGTGAGAAGAAGAAGAGAATGCATTTCTCCTTAGCCATAGCCCAGGCCGTGTAGTTATTAAAGAAGACTGACTGTAGTATACAAAGTGGAAAGGTTAGTTGTTGAAATTTGACTGATTGATTTGCCATAGGGTGAACCACATCCCAGTGTGTCTAGGACTGATGAGGTCCAGTTTTCAAACTGGGACAGTCTCAGGCAAGCTAGGATGAGTCATTTATCCTACTTTCTCGTGAAAGCTTCCAGAACATTCCATGTAGAAGTAAGCACTGAAAACCACTGTGAATATTCTAGAGATTGATTGAAGGAATTTACAAGGGTAAATGGTAATCCAGGGTGAAAAAGTGTATTTTGAAGAGGAAGACATAGAGTATGGTGCCGAGAATTTGCACAGAGAACGTCCTTTGTGGGTGCTGTGGTAGCAACTTAGATGTCAAGGGAAGACCCAAGTCTTCCTCCCCCAGCTGCTGCTGATAGTTTTGATGGCTGACACACTTAGCAAAGTCTGTCTCTGGAAACTGGCCTCGGTCAAAGAGAACTGCCTTTTCCAAGGGGATGGCATCTCCTTGCCTCAAGGTGGGAAACCTCTGAGGGACCTTCCTGGCTCCAGAGCTCCCTCTGAAATGAGCTGAGGTCTTTGTTGCAACAGCTGTGCTGCTCAACTCCTCCCTTGGCCTCAATTTCCTTTCCTCACTCCCCTGCAAGTGTTGACCCCAAGAATACACTCCCCACAAAAAATCTCCTGAGCACCTCAGAGTCTATTTCCCATGACTTGACCTAAGATGATATCTGATTTTAAAGAAACAGTTTATTCCCGGAAATATTTACAATGCTGATCAAATAGCCTCATCTTGCTGATCAAATAGCCCACCTTGCTACTAAGCTATAATCCTAGAGAAACTCTAATGTATAGGAGCACTCTTGACATAAGTGACTCCATCTTAGGAGAAGATTACATCTTGCTTTTCAGAAGGCATCTTCCCAATAGGACCAGATGTTCGCCCAATCAATACAGACTGCACCCAATCAGATGAGGTTGTAACCCTTTACTGTCACCCCTCACCAGAGGACTCAGGGGGATATTAGCAGGACTTCACCAGTTCAACATGACCACCTCACTAGACCCCGTCTTGCTAACACTCGTGGTCTCCTCCATGTACCCACTGCTGAACCCTCTGCCCAAATCAAGGCCTCTTCTTTACAAGATGTGGGCTATCATCCAGATCAGCCCAGAACACTCTCCTTGTCCATGTCACTCTCCATGGACTGGTTCATTAACTCCTTTTCCTATCCCCTTTATATGGATGTTAAATGTTACAACACATGTTAACATGTGTTATGGAATGTTTAATCTAGAACATTTATATATTGATTAAGTATACTGCCATGTTTGGTTTGCAATATTGACTGTTGTAAACTGGCTTGAGCCTGTGTGTCCCTGGCTCTGGCTACCAAGTGAATGGGAAGTACTAAGAAGTAATAAGGAGTGCTTAGCACTAAGGAGAATTGGCTCTTGTGGCTTTTACGACTGAATAAACATTTTCACAAGTCCAACCTCGTGGAAAGACACAAATATGTGCAGACCTTGTTGTCCGATCTTGTGCCATTCACAACACCTAACAAAAGCCAACAGGAGGGAGGTCTGCAAGCTTGGATTGACAGTCCTTGGTTGTGTTAACACTCAAAGGCAAACACAAAGTAAAGTTGTCAGTGACTGGAAAAAGCCAACATCCACAATGATGGAAATGTTAACTCAATTTACCTATTCATCATCATGCAAATAGGAATTTCCTGAGAAACATTTTTTGAGTAATCTAATAACAAGCATACCAGTAGCAGACAATCGGGGCTAACAGAAAAAGCATAAAATAATATAGTTTCTGAAGTGTCCTCCCTCCTTCAGACTTCATTAAAAATGAAATGTTTTAGGTACTGCTCTTTTCCTCAATATGAAATGTATTTAATATAAACTTATGGCCAAGGAATTTTGTATTCCATCAAGAGAAGATGTGCATTTTAACTTTATGTTTGCCATATACTGATAAGCATGAGAATAATAGTAATAATAATAATGGAATTGTGAACCACAGTGAAAAAAAAGCCATGCAACAGGGGTCAGCTAAGTATGGCCATGGGCCAAACCCAGCTTACCACCTGTATTTCTAAATAAAGATTTATTGAAATACACCATGCCCATTCCTTTATACACCTACTTTTGAAATACAATTGCAGAGCTGACTGTATCCTCCACAAGGCTGAAAATATTTACTATGCAGTCCTATACAGAAAATGTTTGCAACCCCTGACCTAGATGATAGGGTTAGAATGTGTGATCTGTTCATTGTTGGCCTTGAGAATGAGTGGGTAAGACAGTTCATTCAACTAGCAAAAATGCTCTGAGAGAATGCCAGGTTCACATGACAGACGGCAATGGGAGAAGTCTTTTAAAGGGTCATTTTTCACATTGCCATTTCATCCTTGGAGAAGATGTTCCCTGATCATTCTTGTTCTCTGGCCAACAACACGTGGCCAACTCAGACTCAGTGAGAGACCTATGACAGCCCTGATGCAACCTCTTCTCAAAAAGCCGAAGCAACCAGAGGTCACAGATGTATATTGCAAGTATGTGTAAAGGTATTTAACTTATTCTGAATTGACTCTCTCTGATGTTTTACTTAGAAATCAGAAGTGCCCAGGGTACTGATGGTCTGTCATCACACAATTTAATTTACCAGTGCATTACTATAAAAATGCACTATATTATACCACTTGTGGTCTTCCTGCATCCCACTGGGAGGAATAGTCATACATTTTTCTGCAAAAATATTAATGTGTTTGATTATTGAATGTTGCCCTCACCTGCTGAGAGTGTCTTGGGAGGTAAAGTAAAGGCATATATTATCTTCCTAAAATATGCGTAACTGAATTCCAGAAAACACCTGGCTCTCAGGGCTTCAGATGAGATATTTGGGATGTGTATCAATATTCAGCATGTGTCACCCAAGACTGTGGAAATACCCTGAATTTAATCAAAGCGGATGTCAAAGTGTCACTCTATACATGAAGAACACCTGGAATTATCAGACCAAATCCCTCACATCCCTGATTTACAGAAGCCCCTGTCTTGCAGGAGTAAATTTTTAATTGGCAATGCAAAATGATTTTTTAAAAATTCCAGGCAATTATTTCTTCATTTTGCATGGTGGAAACTCAGTCATGCTGCAGGGAGTCTGGGTTTATTTCAAGACCACGATGGAAATTGCTAGAATTTTTGGTAGTTGAGCCTAACTATAAAATGGCATTGATGCCTAAAATAGAACCAGATTTGAATTTATGATGAAGCTAATTCCCTAAATCAGCTAAACATAATAATGTTGACCCAATAAGGGAGAAGAATTTCAACTGCAGAATTTTCTTCTGTTGCTTCCTTGTTGTGCATTGGGGATAGTTTCAAACTGGCCAATGAATTTGATTTGTGTTTTGCAAAGTTACTCAAGCCACTTTTTGGCTTGTTCATGGTGGGAGAATTGCTAGTCTTCCATTTATGCTAAGGGTATTGCCATTTTTTTTTTTATTTTTATTTGAGATGGAGTTTCACTCTTGTTGCCCAGGCTAGAATGCAGTGGCATGATCTCAGCTCACTGCAACCTCCACCTCCTGGGTTCAAGTGACTCTCCTGCCTCAGCCTCCTGAGTAGCTGGGATTACAGACGCCTGCCACCACACATGGCTAATTTTCGTATTTTTAGTAGAGATGAGGTTTCGCCATGTTGGCCAGGCTGGTCTTGAACTCTTGACCTCAGGTGATCTACCCACCTCGGCCTCCCAGAGTGCTGGGATTAGGCATGAGCCACTATGCCCGGCCGGTATTACAATTTTGAAAGAGCTAATTGGTGATTTGAAATCTCAAAAAGAATGGAAGGCATTCGGAATCATTTGACTATTCTCATTCCTATGCTCTACATAATGGAAATGTCTTCTTTTGCAAGATTACATTGGTGATGTGATTAATATCCACTGTAACAAACTCTGTGTGCGTTAGGAAACAGTAAAAACCTTAGCTGTGGACCAGGCACAGTGAGGCTCAAATTCTAGTTCAGTGAGTCATTACTTGTGTGATCTTGGGCAAGTGATTTTGCCCTTTTGCATCTTAGTTTGGGGGGCATTTACATCTTGTCTCCCTGAATCCACTGTGTAATTCTCCCAATGGAAGCCACATCTTCTTTTTATTTCCATTGTCCACGAGGTTGTGTCCAGCAGCAGACAGAGGGAGGTCTTACTAAACATTTGCTGGATTTATTGCTTAAATTGTACAATGAGTTCTGAAGGTTTCTCCTGGGGAACTATGAATAGTCTTAGGGTTTAAGATTAACACCAAATTGGACATGAAGACCTGTGCAAAAGTACATCTTATAAATATCAACCTGGATGAAAACTGTAAATGTGAAAAAAAATCAAGCAAAATATAAAGCATTTATTTGACTGCTGGCACTCCTTGGCTTATAGATCTATCACCTGAATCTCTGCCTCTGTGGAAATAGGGCATTTGTGCTGCGTGTCTTCACATCATGCCTCCGCGAGTGTCTTCTTTTTTGATAAGGACGCCAATCATATTGGATGGGGCCCACCCTACTCCAGCATGACCTCATCTTAACTTGGCTAATTACATCCACCATAACTCTATTTCCAAAAAAGGTCACATTCTGAGGTCGTGGGAATCACATGATTTTGGGGGGACTATTCAGCTCATTGCAAGCAGAATTGATGGAGGAACTGATATAAGGTCCCTTCTGTAAGGTCCCATCTGTAAGAACTGATGGAGGTCTCCAGATTACCACCCCCCGCAGAGTCTAGAGAGGTAGACAGGGAAGGCAAGGCTGATTTGGAGCTCACTGTCTTTTGTCATATCTGAGAATTGTTATAAATTTCCTCATTTCTATCATTCCTCAAAGCAGCACCCATAAATCAAACCCAGGGACCTTATACAATCCATGCGCACTTACTGTTGTTCAAAGCACTTTCCTATCCAATATTCCACCAATCGCTCCAATAACAGGTTGTATTTATGAAAAGACACTATAGGCACAAGGACCAGAGTGGTGAAAGGTCAGTGGGAATGCTAGAGTCCATTTCTGCTTGTAGTTAGGTACCCGGCCCCAAAAGCTCTCCAGGAGGCCTTGATGCAAGTTACAGCCACCCCATGATAAGGAGTATCTGCCAGCTGAGGCCAGGGGAACAGAATTCGCTCAAGAAGAAGCCAGCACCCTGCACGTGAGGACACACTATCAGTACTGAGCCCACCCCTACAGCATGCACATGTGCAATAGCTTTACCTCTCTCCTCTTCAGCTAGACCCAACTCTTTCTGGCAACCACTGTGGGATGAATTAGTAAGTGCCTGCTCTATGATTGATAGATAAAGCCAATATCGCGGGATGCTTGGAAAACAGAATGAAGGTATGACAAAAATAATCATCATTGGTTGTTTTGAGGTTTTTTTGTTTTTTTGTTTGAGACAGGGGGACTCACTGTGTTGACCTAGCTGGAGTGCAGTGATGCAATCTCAGCATGCTGCCACCTTTGCCTACCAGGCTCAATCAATCCTCCCATCTTAGCCTCCCAAGTAGCTGGGACTACAGGTGTGTGCCACCGATTTGTATATTTTTTTGTTTGTTTGTTTCATCATATTGCCCAGGCTGGTCTCTAACTCCTGGGCTCAAGGGATCCACCCACCTTAGCCTCCCAAAGTGCTGGGATTATAGGCATGAGCCACCACACCCAGCTTGATCATTGTCTTTTTGTTTTTTGTTTTTCAAAGGCATCCCTGCAATATCTACCCATAGAACAAAGAAGCTTCATCTCAGCCTCAAACAGGAGACTCCTGAAACTGCTGCCAAGTTTTCAAGGCCAGAGCTAAGTCAGTAAACAACCAGAAACCCACTGCCTCTAGGTGATGTTGGCATGACATGGGCTGTGATAGGTGTCTGGTGGGGATGCCCAGGTTCACAGTCCAAAGGCCAGTTCACTGTGAGACCTGGACCAGCACACTCCAGGAGTCCTTTGCAGAGTCACTTCCGATGCTCTGAGGGTGTTTCTCCTGACACCTTACAGTTACCTTCACAGGAGGCTCTAAAACAGTACTTGTTATTCTTCACTCTTCATGTGTCTTGCCCTGCACTTCCTTTATTAACCCAGGTGTTCATAATGACAGCTTCGACAAATGAGTTTTGATTTGATGTCTCCAGGATCTGAAAGTTAGCAGACTGGTATTTGTATTTTTAACATTTGAGGCTAAAAAACAATAGTTTCTTCTTTTCTTTTTAAATTTTAGATTAAGTGGATACATGTACAGGTTTGTTACACGAGTATATTGTGTAACACTGAGATTTGGGGTTCTAACAATTCCATTGAAAAATGACACTTTATTGAATTCATAAATGTGTGTAGAACTTTAAAAGTGTAAGTGGTTAAGGACTACTGTGTTTGTCACTTTACCATCGAATAGCATCCATATTCCCTGGTGAGCAGACATAGCGGCCCTGCCTACCAAAACAAGAAGGGTTCCTTTAATGGGCATTAAACATTGCCTTCCTTAAGACAGCAGGATTGAGTTACTGCATTTAGAAGCATGCCATCAAGGAGAGGCAGCTCTGAGTTTTCCATGCTGTGAACAGGTTGATAAGTGGTGTCTGACTTATGAGGACAGTTTGTCAACTTTTGAGTGTGGATTTTAAAAAAGTGATTTAGAGGCAAATTCATAATTACTTGCTTTCAGTATAAAATTATTAATCTTGGGTAGCTGGGGGAATTTATGGAGCTTATCAGCTCTCTCAGCTGACGACTTCTATGAATTACCTAATAGTTGATTTCCACTCCCCCACACTACAGTAACATTCATTAAATTAACACCTAGTTTTACAGGCAGAAGTAACCTCAGGACATCAATGTCCAATTTTTGCCTGCGAGCTTTGGAGAATGTGAGAGTCAAGGCTGTTTCCACCTGTATGCTGACTCTGTGGAGCAGGGGTCCCCAACCCCAGAGCCACAGACTGGTACTGGTCCATGGCCTGTTAAGAACCTGGCTGCACAGCAGGAGGTGGGCAACAGGCGAATGAGTGAAGTTTCACCTGTATTTACAGCCACTCTCCATCCCTTGCATTACCACCTGAGCTCCGCCTCCTGTCAGATCCGTGGCTGCATTAGATTCTCATAGGAGTGTGAACCCTATTTTGAACTGTGCATGTGAGGGATCTAGGTTGTGTGCTCCTTTTGAGAATCTAATGCTTGATGATCTATCACTGTCTCCCATCACCCCCCGATGGGATCGTCTAGTTGCAGGAAAACAAGCTCAGCTACATTATGGTGAGTTGTATAATTATTTTATTACGTATTATAATGTAATAATAATAGAAATAAAGTGCACAATAAATGTAATGCACTTGAATCATTCCAAAACCATCCCCCCTCACCCCAGGTCCAGGGAGAAATTGTCTTTGACAAAACTGGTCCCAAAGGTTGGGGACCACTGCCGTAGAGTATGAGGAACACTCTCTAGGAATTATAATCTGAAGACTATGCTTCATATGCATACAATGTAGAATGATTATTATCAAGTCAATTAACATATCCAGCACCTTATATACTTCTCAGTTTTTGTGATTAAGAACATTAAAGCTCTGCTCCCTTACCAAATTTCAAGTATACAATACATTACCATTAACCACAGTCACCATGTTGTACAATGGATGTCCTGAATTTATTTCTGCTGTCTAACTGGAACTTTGTACCCTTTCACCAACATCTCCCCATTCTTCCACCCGCACCCTCTGCCCCTGGTAACTGCCATTGTACTGTTGTTTCTATGAGTTCTTAGAGTCAGTATTTTGAACCTTTTAGATACACTCATTCATTGACAGCAGATGGGTGACTAATCTCAGATGCCTAACAGTTGTCAAGAAATGACTTTTTAACAAGTGGGAACATTGATGTTTCCTGCTGTTCACTGCCGGTTGGTTTTGAAATCAGAGCCTTGGGTGTGAATACATGTACCATGCAGGAGATCCTATGAATATGAAAGAAATCAGAGGAGAAGTACTAGAGAAAGCTAGTTACCACTTTCATGAGGAGGACTAGAGAAAGCCAGTTACCACTTTTATGAGGACTAGAGAAAGCCAGTTACCACTTTCATGAGAAGGACAGAGAGAGCTCATTATCACTTTCATGAGAAGGACTAGAGAAAGATGGTTACCACTTTCATGAGAAGGACTAGAGAAAGATGGTTACCACTTCATGAGAAGGACTAGAGAAAGCGAGTTATCACTTTCAGGAGAAGGGATAGAGAAAGCTAGTTATCATTTTCACGAGAAGGACTAGAGAAAGCCAGTTACCACTTTCATGAGGACTAGAGAAGGCCAGTTACCACTTTCATGAGAAGGACTAGAGAAAGCCAGTTACCACTTTCACAAGAAGGACTAGAGAAAGTAAGTCACCACTTTCATGAGAAGGACTAGAGAAAGCCAGTTACTACTTTCATGAGGACTAGAGAAAGCCATTTACCACTTTCATGAGAAGGACAGAGAAAGCCAGTTACCACTTTCATGAGAAGGACAGAGAGAGAAGGACAGAGAGAGCCCATTATCACTTTCATGAGGACTAGAGAAAGCGAGTTACCACTTTCATGAGAAGGACTAGAGAAAGCCAGTTACCACTTTCATGAGGACTAGAGAAGGCCAGTTACCACTTTCATGAGAAGGACTAGAGAAAGCCAGTTACCACTTTCATGAGAAGGACAGAGAGAGAAGGACAGAGAGAGCCCATTATCACTTTCATGAGGACTAGAGAAAGCAAGTTACCACTTTCATGAGAAGGACTAGAGAAAGCTAGTTATCACTTTCAGGAGAAGGACTAGAGAAAGCTAGTTAACCACTTTCATGAGAAGTTTGTTAGGAAAGGAAAGAATAATGTTTTACTTGAGGGCATTTAGAATTGAAAGGATTTTGCAGGAGCTCAGCCCTTGAGAATGTTTTCGGAGTGGAGAGAGGAACCCAAGCAAAAGGACAAAATCAAAGGCAACAGTGAGGGGAAAACAGATGAACTCAGTCGATGCAGGCGATACCCCTGCTGCCCACGATGCGGCAGCGGGAGTATATGAAGCCAGAAGGAGCTAAAATTCCCTTCATTGTATCTACAGCTAAACATCTTTTCCTCTAAATTAGGTTCGATGAAAAATTGTTCAACAAACACCAAAGGTAGCATCATTGAACAGAGAGGTAGCGCATCTCAGCACTGAAGCTCGGGTAGCAATCGAACAATCAAGGGAAAGGGCAAAACTTACTTTAAACTTTTGCACATGTCTGATTATGCTGAAGAACATTCTGATTTGTTTATGTGCTTTGTCTTAACAGAATTAATTTACTGTACAAAAAACCTTTTGTCTCTCTATATCCATCAGATATCCCTGAACTGGCTCAAATATACCAGTCAGAATTAAAAATCTCTATTGTGGGCATGGTGGCTCACACTTGTAATCTCAGCTCTTTGGGAGACCAAGGTGGAAGGATTCCTTGCCAGGGGTTCAAGACCAGCCTAGCCAACATAGCGAGACCCTGTCTCTCCAAAAAATTAGCTAGAAATGGCGGCATGTGCCTATGGTCCCAGCTACTTGGGAGGCTGAAGTGAAAGAATCACTTGAGCCCAAGAGTTTGAGGCTACAGTGAGCCACAATTGAGCCTGGGCAACAGAGTGAGACCTTGCCTTTAAAAATATATATATATTTAAGGCTGGGCATGGTGGCTCACATCTGTGATCCCAGCACTTTGCCGAGGTGGGGTGGATCACTTGAGGTCAGGAGTTCGAGACCAGCCTGGCCAACATGGTGAAACCCTGTCTCTACCAAAAAAATACAAAAATTAGCCGGGTGTGGTGGCATGTGCTTGTAATTCCACCTACTTGGGAAGCTGAGGCACGAGAATCACTTGAACCCAGGAGGCAGAGGTTGCAGTGAGCTGAGATCATGCCTGGGTGACAGAGTGATATCCATGGTAACAGCCAGTGAGAGGATGACAGTCTGGGTGACAAAGTGACACCCTGTCCCAACTCCAAAAAAAAATATATATATATACATATATAATATATATATATTTTAAATTAAAATTATATGTTGTATAAAATTGACATGATGACACAGAAAAAGTTCATGTTCACATTACTTGTTTATGAACAAATCAACACTACTATTTATATAACTATGATTTTATTTTCACAAACAATGCTACGCATTATTAATGAACTCCTAAACATATAAATGGCTCACCCACAAAAGATTTTGATCAAGGTCCATCTTTACAAACTACATCAATGGAAACCAAGTTGGGTAGACAGAATCACAACCCCCAAAGGTGTCCACATTCTAGTACCCTGATCCTGAGAATGTTTCCTTCCATGGCAAAAGGGAGTTTGTAGATGTGATTATATTAAGGGTTTGGGGATGTGGAGATGATCCTGGATTATCTCAGAGAGCCAGGAGCAAGAGTTTTGCCAGTATGATGAGGTAAGTTTTTAAAGAAAAATGATACACGCTGTGGGAAAATTATTTTCATAGAGGCAAAATGGGTAGACTGTAGATCTAACAGAGGTTTGCAGAAAATGACACCAGTGCCAAGCCAAATACAATAATCTAAGCCACTAGTCTTCAGACTGGGGCTCACCTATTGATATGGTTTGGCTGTGTCCCCACCCAAATCTCATCTTGAATTATAGTTCCCATAATCCCTTCATGTTGTGGGAGTAACCTGGTGGGAGGTACTTGAATCATGGGGGTGGTTTCCCCATGCTATTCTTGTGTTAGCGAGTAAGTTCTCACAAGATCTGATGGTTTTATAAGGGGCTTCCTCCTTCACTCGGTTCTCATTCTTCTGTCTCCTGCTGTCATGTGAAGGACATGTTGCTTCCCCTTCTGCCATGATTGTAAGTTTCCTGAGGCCTCCCCAGCCATGTGGAACTATGAGTCAATTAAACCTCTTTTCTTTATAAATTACCCAGTCTTGGGTATTTCTTCACAGCAGTGTGAGAATGGACTAATACACCTACTTGTAGAGATACACAAAGACATGCTGATGGGGTGTAAAGGGTTGGGATGCTCTAAGGAAATCAATTTCCAGATCTTTCACATCCATGTGTGCTCTGCTCTAAAACCCAGCTGCTGGAGTATGCCGGCTATCTCAGTATTAGTCGGTTTTCCAAGCCCACCCCTTTCCTAATCAACTTTCTTCTACTTTGCACAAAAGGCATTCCTCTCACTGGCTGTTACCATGGATATCACCCTTGGCTGTCAAAGTCTTTACCCCCGTGATCCTGTGAAATCTTGGTATTCATGGGATATTGGCCAAATTACCGAAGAGTGACTTTAGAGCTAGGCTGATCAGGGAGTTATTGGAAAACAATGGAAACTGTTCCAAAGTGCCAATACAAAACCCACGTTCAAGGAATATTCTGAATGGAAAGGAGATAAACTAAGGGACTAGCAAGGAACCGGGTAAGCACAGAAGCTGAGGGTGAGTGGAGAGGCAAGGTAGGAACATGGAAAGAAAATCACAGACTTTTACCACAAAAAGGGAGGTGGTGCTCAGATGTCCAAATAGTGTATTATTGTTAAAGTCCTAAGGATGAGGCTGAAAGGCAGTAATGATGGAGACAGAGTGGAGGTAAATTCAAGAGGTATTTTGGAAACTCAGCCAAACAGATGACTAAGTGGATAAGAGCATGGAGAATAAATGGTTCTAGCTCATGAACTGGATAATGGAGGACCCCACTGATTGAGCGAGGAAGTACTGAAGGCACAGTCAATCTAGAAAAGAGACACTAAAGAATTTATTTTAATCATATTGAGTTTGGAAAATATTTGTAGCTCATGCTGGAGGAAACAGACAAGGTCACTGCCATTATCGTGTACTAAGGGCTAACAATATGCTGGGTGTTATCTTCATTCTGCAGATACTATAACCTGTAATCATGTCATTTATTCCTTCCCATTTTATAGGTGGAGTAGAGAAGCTGATATGTACAGAGGTGGGGTTTTGTTTTGTTTTGTTTTGTTGAGACCAGGTCTCACTCTGTCTCCTAGGCTGGAGTCCAGTGGCATGATCATGGCTCACTGCAGCCTCAACCTTCTGGCCTCAGGTTATCTTCCTACTTCAGCCTCCCAAGTAAGTAGAACTACAAGCACGTACCACCATGTCTGGCTGATTTTTGTATTTTAAAAAATTTTGTAGAGCCAGGGTTTCGCCACATTTCCTAGGCTAGTCTTGAACTCCTGGGCTCAAGGGATCCTCCTGCCTTAGTCTCCCAAAGTGCTGGGATTGCAGACATGAGTCACTGCATCTGGCTTTTTTTTTTTTTTTTTTTTTTTTTACCAGCTCAGATTCTATGTGAAAAAGATAGAATTTGGATCTAGGTTTTCTGATTCTGGAATTGTCCCCACCATCACCGTGATATGAACACTGTCTCCATGGATACTGAAACAAAGGGGATAACTAGAAGTGTTAATCATCACAAAGGTATTGACTGGGTTTGACAATGAAAAGATCAATTCTGACCTTCGAAAAGAAGTTCCAGAAGACGCCAACGCCAGTTAGATGTCAGTAGACATGAAGACTTGGATGTGGGCCTGATGAGATCAAACGTTTTGAGAAGGAAGGTGGCTTTGTGAAGCCAGGTGGGGAATCATCACAGCAGCTTACAATCAGGGCCCATCTAAGGACTGAGTACAAGTTAGGGAGGCAGATCTGATGACACCCATTTGGTGCCTGTCAGTTTGTTTGCTTGTTTGTTCAGAGTTTTTAGAGCAAAATTTCCTAGTAAATGTGAGAGGAGCAACTGTGATGTTTGGGATTCCAGGAGAGGGATAAATTTGGGATGCTGAAGAACGCAAAAAGAGGCTTACACCTTACGAGAAGATCAATCTGACAAGGAATCCCCAAAATGCAGGTGAGGCTGTCAGTCAGCACTTTGGAATGAATCAGGTGAGCACTTCCATGCAATTGTCTCAAAGAACCTCACTACCACTCTTTAGGGTTCGACCCAAAATATGGCAAAATGTTATCGCCTGCCAATTCTTGGTGAGTAAATATGTCTGTTATTACAGTTTCAGAAGTTGCATGCAGTTTAAATGGAGGGTGAGCGTGATGGGTTAGTTTTCATGCAGCAGGTATGCTGGCTGGTGAAAGGGCGAGGAGATTGAATCAGGGTAGACCTACAAATGAGGGAATGAAGTGAGTCTTTTTCTCATCAGTCTTATCAGTATCTTTGGGATTTTGGTCTTCTTAACATTATATATAGAAAAGTAAGCCATTCCTCTAGCCCTTCTCCAACTTCTCAAATATTCTCTTTCAAAGTCTAGGTTCATTAAAGAGAAACCCTATAGGGCCGCATTGCTTTCTTTCAATGCTTCTTTTTTTCCCTTCTCTGTTGGATGCTTTATGGTTTTGTGATTGTATGTGCAGATATTTCATGTTTGAGTACATCCTAGCACTTGATCCATTTCTTTCTCAGAGTCCCTGGCCAGGAGATAATATCTATATTTTTATCTGAACAATGCTAAACTCTGTTTTCCCAAACCCCAATGCACATGCCAAGCTATGTTGGTCATTTACCATTATAGATTCTAAAACTGTATGGCCACTTTCTCCCAAAGATTCTACCACTCTCACTTCAACAACCAATCTGTCCTTGTTCATTACAGTCCATTTCAGAGCAATATTTGATCTGCAGGATAAAGTTTCCAAAAAGAAAAGAGTTGATCACAACCCCATTAAAAAGTAAGCAAGGGACATGAATGCACATTTGTCAAAAGAAGACATTAATGTGGCCAGGAAACATATGACAAAAAGCTCAACATCACAGATCATTAGAGAAATGCAAATCAAAACCACAATGAGATATCACCTCATGCCAGTCAGAATGGCAATTATTAAAAAGTCAAGAAACAACAGATGCTGGCAAGGTTGCGGAGATGTAGGAACACTTTTACACTGTTGGTCGGAATGTAAATTAGTTCAATCATTGTGGAAGACAGTGTGGTGATTCCTCAAAGATTTAGAACCAGAAATACCATTTGACCCAGCAATCCCATTATTGGGTATATACCCAAAGGAATATAAATCACTCTATTATAAAGATACATGCACGTGTATGTTCACTGCAGCACTATTCACAATAGTAAAGATATGGAATCAACCTAAATGCCCATCAATGACAGACTGGATAAAGAAAATGTGGTACATATACCAGATGGAATACTATGCAGCCATAAAAAAAGAATGAGATCATGTCCTTTGCAGGGACATGGATGAGAGTGGAAGCCATTATCCTCAGCAAACTAATGCAGGAACAGAAAACCAAACACCACATATTCTCATTTATAAGGGGGAGTTGAACAATGAGAACACATGCCTACAGGGAGGGAAACAACACACACTGGGGCCTGTGTGGGGAGGATAGGCTGGGGGTAGAGCACCAGGAAAATGACCTAATGCATGCCAGGCTTAATACCTTGGTGATGGGTTGATCTGTGCAGCAAACCACCATGGCACATGTTTACCTATGTAACAAACCTGCACATCCTACACATGTGCCCCAGAATAAAATAAAACAAAGTGAATAACACTGACTGAGAAAAAAGAAAAGAGCTGATCAGATATTAAGTTTTTAGCTGGGCAAGACTTCCAACAGGTATCCCACTTGTCAAGTCCCACATCACCAACAGATCAAGCCTCTTACCAATTTTGTTATTTGTAGGTAAGAACTCATTATTCACCGTCTGGACCAGGCCTGGTGGTTTATTGCATATTCCCAAATTATACTGCTTTGGATTTCTTCTCTCTTTTAAAAATACTTACTCAAGCATACCCCACATGCTTCCATGTCTAAGTTAAAGCTTTGTGATTTGCTCTTTTTTTGGTACAACTGTGTAATGTGCCAACATTCAGTATGTTTCCCTTACTCTTTTCTATTAGCTGTGTCTTCGAAATAATTATGCACATCTCCAAATGACAGCAGCCTGAGATACACAAGCAACGACAGGTGTTGACTTGCCTATAAGAGAAATCAGTCTTAAGGGGCTAAGTACAGGAATGAATTCCATAGGCGATTTGTAGAAAATGACTGTAATTAGAAGTGGGAAGAGAAGCCAGGCTAAATGGCAGAAGAGGGGCAAGCTGACAGTGCTCAAGCGGAAAACAGGCAGGCATCACGAACAGTGAGGGGCGTGGGGGCTTCCAGAACACATGGATGTTATTTCCCCATGCCTGAGCAATTTCATTCTGGGTCCCTTAAGGATGCTGCTTCTACAGTCCTATAATACAATTACTGATTATAGGGTCATACTGCAGAGTGATACAATCTGATGATCATCAACACTCCAGAGGCCAAAATTCACATGACCTGTGTTCAAACAAATATGATGAGGCCCAGAAAAATGTGACTTCCTAAAAATGTATTCAGGTGGGATGTGGGGATAGGGACTCACAGCAGTGGGCTTGAAGAATCTCACTTGGGTGATGAGAATATTCCCAAACTCATTTATGGTGATGATCGCGCAACTTGGTAATTTAATAAAAACCATTGAATTGTACAACTCGGTGAATTAAATGCAATGTAAAATAAACCTCAAAAAACTTGTAAACATGATTTTCATCAATATTATTTAAAGAAAAGAAATGGTTCTAGAGTAGCTGGGAATGTATGGAATTTCTTTAATTATTTCAAGAAGGCCTCTAAGAGTCACTATACTGATCCCTCCAATGGATCTAATCGAATATACAAGTGCCACATATATTCCACAGACACTATTGTACCGGGTGATGCTTCATTTCCTATTAATGTCTGGGCAGTCGTCAGGAGTACTTTTTGCTGGAAAATAATTCGCAATTAGTCACTCAAGCCACTTCTATGCTATTATGGCTAATAAAATCCCAAATCTCATCATTTATCGGCTGGGTGCAATTGTGTTTGTTGATGGTGAGGACGTGGGATTGCAAGAGAGGCTCTTTCCACTGGATATAAGTTAGTCCAGTAAACCCAAGGATAACAGCTCCTCAAATAATTGGAATTTGAATATGCAGAAGCTGATTGGCCATTGGTTCCATCCTCTGCCCATTTCTGTCCCAAGACCAGGGCAGGCTAAGACTGGGGTTGACATTTTTGGGGAGAAGCTGGGGGTAGAGAGCTGAGAGAGGGCAGGTGGCAATGGAAAAGTCAGAGACCCCTCCTGGAAAACGCTGAGTCCTCATAGATCCTATTTTCTTCTGGCCCTACCTCCAGGTTGAGGCTGAGGAGCAGATTCAGCTCACCAACTCAGAGAGTCTTGGAATTACTGCCAGGATTCTGGAAGCCAGCCAGCCCCAGGAGGCCGAACTGCCCCTATAGATTTTTATGCTTTGAGCAGAGAGCTACCAACAGGTGGCGACAAACTGCAGCCACTCCAGGATGGATTTGGAGGGTTCCTCTGGACCTGGTTTTGCAGAGGCCTCTGAGTCATTTCATGACCTTGCAATCATATGACCCTGCATATCCCATGACTGGCCCATTGTACCAGGGGATGGGCAGAGACTGCCCAGCCATTAATAGGAAATGAAGCATCCCCTAGTACAATGGTGTTTGTGGAATATATGTGGCATCTAATTACGTGTTTGATTAGATCCATTGGAGTTATCAATACAGTGACTCTTGGAGGCCTTTGTTAAATAGTTAAAGAAATTCCATACATTCCCAGCGACTCTAGGACATTTTATTTTTAAAAATAATTTATGCCTGGTACAGTGGCTCACACGTATAATCCCAGTGCTTTGGGAGGCTGAGGCAGGAGGAACATTTGAGCCCAGGAGTTGAGACCAGCATGAGCAACATAGTGAGACCCCATTTCTACAAAAAATTAAAAAAATTTTTAAATTTTTTAAAATATAAATTTAAAATTTAATTTAATGTAAATTAAATGGGCATGGTGGGGCACATCTGAAATCTCAACTACTTGGGAGGCTAAGGTGGGAGGACTGCTTGAGCCCAGGACTTTAAGGCTGCAGTGAGCTGAGATCACACCACTGCAATTCAGTCTGGGTGACAGAGTGAAACCCTGTCTCAAAATAATAATTTTGATGAAAAACATGTTTACTTTTTTGAGATCCATTTTACATTGCATTGAATTCACCCAGTTGTACAATTGAATGTTTTGATTAAATTACCATATTGTTCGACACCCCCCGTACCCCTCCCCCAACATCAGTTCTGGAACACTTCACCCTAGTGAGATCCTCCATTCCCACTGCTGTAAATCACTATTCCTACCTCCTGCCTGTATATATTTTTAAGAAGTCACGTTTTTCTAGGTCTCATCATATTTCTTGGAACCTGCAGTATGTGATTATTGCCCTATTGTCTTCTGGGGTGGTGACAATCATCAGATTGTATTATTCTACAACAAGACCCTATAATCTGTGATTGCTTTATATGACCATTTAATCAGTATCCTCAAAGCACCCAGAACTAAATTGCTCGGGAATAGAGAAATAAAACCTATATGTTCTGTAAATTCCCATTCTCTTCACTGTTTACAAGGCCTGCCTCTTATATGCTTGAGCACTAAGTCAGCTCACCCTCTGTGGTGCCGTTTCTGGGAACCGCACCCACCCCCCAGCCCCCCCCACCAACAAACATGCCACCCATGTGTTATAATGAGTTTTTCTAGACTTAATCAGAGCTGCTTTTGACACTGCCTTTTCCAACAGGCTGCAGGGCAAACAAACGAGTCTCAGAAATGCTGATAAGTAAAGGGAGGCTTTGCCAAGTGCACCTTCCTAAGCCAAACCTATTTTCTCCTCAACACAAGTTCTGGCAGGAGATACTATAATTGCTGGATGTTCAATCAAAGGTGAGAATTGTCTGTAATGTGAGGACTTTAAAACTAAGAGATAGTAAAACTTGCTGTGGATAACAGTATGGTGGTTCCTTAAAAAGTTGAATTACCATATGACCCAGAAATCCTACTGTGAGGTATACACCCAAAATTACTGAAAATAGGAACTCAGGTATTTGTACATCAATGTTCACAGCAGTATTATTCACAATAGCGAAAAGGTGAAAGACAAAGGGATAAGCCGAATGTGGTATATCCACACAATAGAATATTATTCAGCAATGAAAAGGAATGAAATTCTGATACATGCTACAACATGGATGGACCTTAAACACCATGCTCAGTAAAAGAAGAGAGAAGAGAAAGGGCAGATGGGAAAAGAAAGGTCAGAGATCCCTCCTCTTGGAGAGCACTGAGCCCCCAGAGACCCTGTTTTCATCTGGCCACAGGGTGTATAATTCTACTTGTATGAAATGTCTAAAATAGGCAAATTCATAGAGACAGAAAGCAGACTGATGGTTTCCCAGGGGTGGGGGTATGGGAGGAATGTGGAATCGCTGTTAAAGGGTATAGGGTTGTTTTCGGTGGTGATGAAAATGTTGTAGAACCAGACAGATGGTGGTTTAATGTGGTCAATGTACTCAATATGTCAGAATTGTATATTTTACAATGGTTAATTTTATAAGAATTTCATCTCAATAAAAACAATTCAGAAAAGAGATGATCAAAGCTGAAGCTATTTTGTTAATACCATAAAGCCTTCTGATATCACTAGCATGATATGACATCCCCAAAATGAAATTTGGACAAATAAACCCTACTGTGAGTGGAAGGAGGACCCTCACTGCCCAGTTGGTGAGCAATTCAACCAAGCCAGCCTGGCACCAGACCCAGGCATCTGTGCTGTTCTTCTAAGGAACATCCTGGGTAAGGACAGAGAGGAAGGCAACTTGAAGGTGCTCGAGGAAGAATTCCCAATCACTGAGAGATGATATCCCACTGCAAGGCCTGGGTGCAGGGAAAGGAGGGGCACAGCTCATCCACCACCCAGGGCAGCAGAGGAAGAATTTTGATGGGATTCCCTGTGTGCAGGGAGGCATGAGCCATTCCCAGAAACCTGCCCACACATTATGAGGGATGCCCTCTGATCCTGTTTTCAGAGGAGCCACAGCCCCTAGACACATTCCTGAGCAACTGGAAAAAATTACTGTGATGCATTGCAGGAGACTTTGTCATGACAAGAATAAAATATTCAATTATGTAGGGGATTTTTCATGATTTTATTATCATCAAATATAAATCAATGACATTGAAATTGGCTAACTAGAGTCAGGACTGGCAACCAAAGCCAATCTTACATATCCGTTTCCCCCAGACATCTGTTTGCCATTAGGTTATCTGGTTCTCAGAACACATTTTTCCCTACATTATAATTCAGTTCCCAGGTGCACTCACACAAAGGCACTCGTGGGAAGCAGAGTTCTAAGATCGCCTTCTGGGTTTCCAGCCCCTGGTACTCACAACTTTGTATTGTTGTGAGTACAATACAACAATACACCTTCTCTTGAGTGAGGGTGGAAATGATGACTTGCTTCTAATCAATAAAGTATGGCAAAAGTAAAGGGATGTTTGTATGTGTCATTAAGGTGCCTAATCAGCTGACTTTGTGCTAATCAAAAGGCAGATGAGGACCAGGCATGGTGGCTCATGCCTGTAATCCCAGCATTTTGGGAGGCTGAGATGAGAGGATCACTTCAGGCCAGGAGTTTGAGACCAGTCTGGACAACATAGCAAGACCCTGTATCTACAAAAACTTAAAAAAAAAAAATTAGCCAGGCATGGTGGTGAGTACTTGTAGTCCCAGCTACTTGGGAGGCTGAGCCAGGAGGATGGCTTGAATGCAGGAGGTTGGGGTTGCAGTGAGCCATGATCCAAGCAACAGAGTAAGACCTTGTCTCAGAACAAAAACCAAACAAAAAAATGATCCTAGGTGAGCCTGCCCTAATAGGGCAAGGCCTTGAAAGCAGAATCCAAGCACAAGAGGCCTTCTCCTGCTGGCCTTGGTAAAATAGACAGCTCTGTTGTAAGATGCCTCTCATGAAGAGTAGTCTTTAGAAGCTGAGAGCTTCCATCCTACAAGAAGGAACAAAACTCTATCAACAACTTGGGCTGGGCGCGGTGGCTCACACATGTAATCCCAGCACTTTGGAAGGCCGAGGCAGGCAGATTACTTGAGGTCAGGAGTTCGAGACCAGCCTGACCAACATGGCGAAACCTCATCTCTACTAAAAATACAAAAATTAGCTGGGCGTGGTGGCACACGCCTGTAGTCCCAGCTACTTGGGAGTCTGAGACAGAAGAGTTGCTGGAACCCGGGAGGCAGAGGTTGCAGTGAGCCTCAATCCTGCCACTGCACTCCAGCCTGGGCGACAGAGCAAGACTCTGTCTCTAAATAAATAAATAAATAAATAAATTTTTTATCAACAACTTGATATTGAGCTTGAAAGAGGACCCCACGCTCTGGGTGAGAACACAGCCAACACCTGGACAGCACCTTGATGGCAATCTCGTGAGACTCTGAGCAGAGAACCCTGCTAAGCTATGCCTAGACTCCTGGCCCACAGTCATTGTAAGATCCTCAATGGGTATTTGTTTTAAGTCTTTAAGTTTGTGGTAATTTGCTCTGCAGTGATAAATAATGACTACAGTATCTAATCCCAAATATACATAAAATAGTACCAACACTATACAACTTAACCAGAATGTAAAACCAAGTGTTTTCAAATACAGTGATGGCTTCTATCTGGAGCCATAGGTAGTAGCTATGGGTCATGTCAAACAGGCTTACAAAGAATTTTCAGCTGGTCTTGAAGACAACCGTTCCTGGTTAGTGGTTTTCTCTTTGATTCTATGAACTTCCCACATATGCAACTGAAAAATCTCTTTCTAGGTTGGAGCAAGGTTGCACTGGGTCTCCATCATGTCCAACTAAAAATCTTCTGAGTCATGCAACCTGCAAGCTCTAGGCACCTGCAGCTATAACCTCCTAGATTAAGTAATTCATCAGTTACATGAGCTAATTTGCAATTGGAAGTTCCTGGAATCCATTTCATATTGCTAACTGTGGTGTCTACTTAGTATCATGTAAATTATTTTATATGATCCTGTCTGCCAATTAAGACAAATGGCTTTGCATATCCCCATACTTCAGTCATCCATGTGATATCTGGCAACATGGCAGGGTACAAACAAAACTCTGTGACACACTGTATAGATTGCTGGGGTTAGTTTTCCCACCGACAAAAATGGGACTCAAAAATACCTCACAGGGTTGAAAGAGAAAAGTATTAAATGAAGCAAAATATAAGATAATGCAGCCAGACAGGATGGCTTATGCCTGTAATCCCAGCACTTTGGGAGGCCAAGGCAGGTGGGTCACTTGAGCCTAGGAGTTCAAGATCAGCCTGGGCAACGTGATGAGACCCCGATTCTACAAAGAATACAAAAATTAGTCAGGTGTGGTGGTATGCACCTGTAGCCCTAGCTACTTAGAAGGCTGAGATGGGCGGGTCGATTGAGCCTGGGAGGTTGAGGGTGCAGCGAGCCGTAATCACGCCACTGCACTACAGCCTGGATGACAGAGCAAGACCCTGTCTCAATTAAAAAAAAAAAAAAAAAAAGACAGCGACAGAGAGAAAGAGAAAATGCTTTCTGTAAAATATGAGGCACCACACAAAGTTAAAGTAATGTGACTCTGTAGACTACGGCACTAGCCTAGACCAGTGGTTCTTGCCAGGGCCCAATTTGACCCCCGGGGGACATTGGCAATGTCTGAAGATATTTTTGGTTGTTACAACTTATGGACAGTGCTATTGTCATCCAGTGAGCAGAGGCCAGAGATGCTACTAAGTGTGGACAGAACAGTTCCTGACAACAGAGAATGATCTGGCCTCAAATGTCAATAGTATCAAGGCAGAGAATCCTGATTAAGTCGAAGCTTTGCATTACTATTTTTATTTTATTATTATTTTATTTTTAGAGACAGGATCTCACTCTGTTACCCAGCTGGAGTGCAGTGGTGTGATCACAGCTCATGGCAACCTCAAACTCCTAGGCTCAAGGGATCCTCCTACTTCAGCCTCCCAAGTCGCTGGGACTACAGGTGTGAGCCACCACACCTGGCTGATATTTTATTTTTTTACTTTTTGTAGAAACAGAGTTGTCCAGGCTGGCCTCGAACTCCTGGTGTCAATCTCCTCGCCCTCCTTGGCCTCCCAACACATTGTGACTATAGATGTGAGCCACCATGCCCAGCCTGTTACTCCTTTTAAAATGCTTTTTCTAGACCAGTGGTTCTCAACCAGGGGTGATTGTGCATTCCAGGGAATGTTGGACAATGTCTGGAGTCATTTCTGGCTGTCACAGCTGGAAGGTAGATATTGGCCATCACAGTCCAGCAAAGCCACTAACACCCCACACTGCATAGGACAGTCCATCCCACAAAAGGGAATTATCCTGCCCCAAATATCTAGTGTGCAGAGGATGAGAAATTCTGTCCCAGATGTACCCATACTTCAATAAAGAACAATTTTTCTTTCTTTTTAACAAACCAAATAAGGACTTGGTAGTTGTTTTTGTTTGTTTATTTTTCATTGTTGAGAGAGGGTCTTGCTCTGTTGCCCAGGCTAGAGTGCAATGGTACAATCAGTGCTCACTGCAGCCTCAACCTGCCAGACTCAAGCTGTCCTCCCACCTCAGCCTCCCAGGTAGCTGGGACTACAGGCATGTGACACCACACCTGACTCTTCTTTTTGTGTGTGTGTGTGTTTTTTTTTTTTGTAAAGATGGGGTTTTGCCATGTTGCCCAGGCCACTCTTGAATTCCTAGACTCAAGCAATCCACCCACCTCAGCCTCCTGAAGTGCTGGGATTCCAGGCGTGAGAGCCACCATGCTTGTACTTTTGTTTTCTTTTTTTTTTAATGGAATTTAGCCTTTCAACAATGAAGAAGTGTCTTTTGGTTTAATAGCCGCAAGCCATAGAGTCCCCAGGTCTGGTCACTCTGTCCCCCAGATTCGTGTAAATGGTTCTTTGCATCTTAGGTAATTGGCTGGGAAGTGGGGGCTGGGAGCTACTTACAAGTGGGCCCAGAACCAAATGACACAGCTATTCTGCCCAGCTTTTCTGGCTCAATTTCAGTTCCTGAGTGTTCTCAGGTTATTCTAAAGCTTAAAGAGTACAGAAAAGGAAGGAGGTTTTACATAATGGAAGCTGCATCCGAGGACACACAGAAGCACATGATGATACCATAAACCAAAAAACAACAGCACCATCGGGTGGTCAAGGTCACAAGAAGTTAAGAATGAACCCTTTTCCACTTGCAATTACATTCTCAGGCCCATAGTCTTGAGATGGAAACTTTTGAGAAAAGGTGTGTGTCAGAATGCAGAATGTTTTGGGTTTTATAAGGTAATGGTGAATATCTCATGTCATATATAATAGCTCAAGCGAAGTCTTGGACAGCAGCCTGTGGTCACCCATGTTAACAGTTTTGCAGTGAGGCTGGGCACAGTAGCTGACGCCTGTAATCCCAGCACTTTGGGAGGCAGAGGTGAGCAGATCACCTGAGGTCAGGAGTTTAAGACCAGCCTGGCCAACATGGTAAAACCCCGTCTCTACCAAAAAATACAAAAAAAAATTAGCTGAGCATGATGGTGGGCACCTGTAGTCCCAGATACTGGGGAGGCTGAGGTGGGAGAATTGTTTGAACCAAGGAGGCAGAGATTGCAGTGAGCTGAGATCGAGCCACTGCACTTCATCCTGGTGACAGAATGAGACCCTATCTAAAAAAAGTTCTGCAGTGAAACAAAATGAATACCCACAATCTGTGGGATGAATGAAGACTTTTCACTTTATGTTAGTTTTATGTTAGTTGGTTCGAGCTGGTGTCACTGCCAAGTATGTTAGAAAAACTCTGGGTTTTCAATGTTTTTCTTTTCTATTTTTGGTTATGGACAAAGGATTGCAAACCTACATTTCTGAAGGCAAGATTTGAAAAGAAGTGGTAAAGTCCTGTGGGCTGAGAAGTCAGGTACTGGAAAAGCCACCTATGCTGAACAGAACCTTGGCCAAGTCACTTGGATGTGGATAGCTCCAGAGTTTCCTCATAGGCAGAAGAGGTGACAAGTTGAGACCCAGGGAATGCTTGCCCAATGACCCAGGTCAAACCAGCTGTGACAAGCTCTAGCAAAAACACAGAGCTGCCTGGCCAGCTGGAAAAAGAGCTGAGAACAGACTCAAAACAGTGATCTCCACACCTCTTCTGTGATCCCAGATGCCGGTTCTTATCTGTTTCCAATTTGGTGATTCTACACAAGAGACAGTTTTGCAACCCAAGAAACATCTGGTGATATCTGGAGACAAGCTTGGATGTTATAACTTAGCAGTGGGTGGGAGGTGCTGCTGGCATCTGCTGGGTGGAGCCCAGGGATAATGCTCAGCACCCTATGGTGCACAGGACAGCCACCACCAGAGAGTGACCCAGCCCCAAATGTCTGCAGTGCTGAGGTTGAAAAACCCTGCTCTAAGTAAGCTCTGTCTCATGCATTTTTTTTTTTTTTTTTTTTTGAGACGGAGTCTTGCTCTGTCGCCCAGGCTGGAGTGCAGTGGTGTGATCTCGGCTCACTGCAACGTCTGCATCCCGGGTTCAAGCAATTCTCCTGCCTCAGCCTCCTGAGTAGCCGAGATTACAGGCGCGCGCCACCAGGCCCAGCTAATTTTTTTTTTTTTTTTTTTTTTTTTAGTATAGACGGGGTTTCACCATGCTGGCCCAGCTGGTCTCAAACTCCTGACCTCGTGATCCACCTGCCTCCGCCTCCCAAAGTGCTGGGATTACAGGCGTGAGCCACTGCGCCCGGCCAGTCTTACACATTTTAAATGCTTATTTCAGGCCAGAGATTGTCATCCGGGAGGATGATTTTACCTACCAGGAGACATTTGGCAACATCTGGAGATATTGTGGGTTGCTGCATCCTACCACGCACTGGATAGCCCCTACAGCAAGGAATCACCCAGCCCCACGTACCAACAGTGCCTCCGTGGGGAATCGCTGGATAGACAAATTCATTGTGAAAGAGAACGTCCCAGTCTCTATCTCTAAACTAAAAATCTCCCAGTCTTGGAACCGCCAAGAGGAACCCGGGACCCTAAGCCATCTCTGTTCCATCCCCCTGGGCTTTCTCCCAGACCTCACAGTTGAAGGTGCTTCTCCTAATTAGCCCTGTGCCAAGTCTCTGCCCTGCACTTCCTTCTCATAATAAGCATTTAATTATTATTGACATTGGTACTTGCAGTATTTATACTGCTTGTTTTCCTTCACAGAAAACACCTGAGGTGAGACTGGACTTCTGCTTCATCATTGCCACATCCTCTGTTACCTGTGTCCCTGGGGCACTGGGGAAGTGCTTGTTGACTCAGTGGCCAAGTTTGACAGGGGTTAATTTCCAACCAAGGCTCGAATTTTAAGGAGAAGACAAGATGGAAACAAAACAATGGTGACAGAACCTGGTCTAGAAAGCATGGCTTAGGACTTTTGGCCATAAACTCTTAATGCTTATTTTATTCAAGCTTTTAAGGGATGCTCAACATCTACTATTTAGGTTTTTAATGCAAAGAGGAGTCATTATTATCTTTTTTTCATGCACTGAAAGCTTTTAGATTTCTGTCTCCTGATATCAGCTGTGATGTGATAATCTCATTATAAATGAATATGGGGCAATTTCTCAGTTGGCAAATAGTAATGTCACTATAGATACCAACTCACAGGGTACTCAGTAAAGCATTGTCATGTGTTCCTTGAGACAAAGAGTACCTACAGTAAATGACACGAAATGGAGCAAACTTTCTGTAAAATAATTTTAACACTTTTAGTGATATTATTTTCAGTGAAAATTATTTCTAACATTCCTCCAACTCAATCTGCTCGGGTTGGCACAGAAGACAAAACTGATGTGTACATGAAATATGTTGATACTCTGATAAGAAGTAAAGTAAGCATGAACTGGACATCTTAATTCATTATAATTGCTCATAAGATAACAGAGAGTTTACTTGAAAGAGATCAAAGGAATTTCTTAGCATCTCTCTTTGGGGAAAAAATCATCCATTTGGTTGGTTCATAATTACTAGATTATGTACAGCATGCATTGCAAAAGTTAAATTGTTTTTGGATGTTCATTTTCTGCAATTAATATAAATTTTCAGAAAACACTAACTGATCTCTGAACTACATACCCATTCTTCAGTTAACCTAGTTCTTTTATAGAGATGATCTTACATACACAAGTATACTGTAAAAAGTGCAGTAATAAACACCACATCTTAAAACCAACATAGCCTGTTAAGAAACATTTGGCTTCAGCCGGATGCAGTGGCTCATGCATGTAATCCCAACACTTTGGGAGGCCTAGGCAGGCAGACCACTTGAGGTCAGGAGTTCGAGACCAGCCTGGCCAACATGGCAAAACCCCATCTCTACTAAAAATACAAAAAAAAAAAAAAAATTAGCCAGGCATAGTGGCACATGCCTGTAATCCTAGCTACTCGGGAGGCTGAGGCAGAAGAATTGCTGGAACCCAGGAGGTGGAGGTTGTGGTAAGCTGAGATCGCACCACTGCACTCTAGCCTGGGAGACAGGTCGAGACTCCATCTCAAAAAAAAGAAAAAACAAAAAGAAACATTTGACTTCATGCATGGTCCTGAGGATAAACTGAGAGATCTACGTGTATGCCCCTCTAGAAGTAGGCATGTATGTTCTTTTTCCACTCTTTAGGATACGTATTTCCACTCTTTAGGATACATACATATTAACATTACAGATATTGAATCTGTATATTTAAAATGAAAAAGAGTGAAACAACTGTTAATTCCTTCTCAAATTCATCCTTTAGAAAAGCAGTAAGTTGAAAGCTTAAAATCATGCCAATCTTTCAGGGAATGCATTGGATGGCAAAGACATCTCCCGCATAGACATCGTATCTAACTCAGAAGCAGTGGGTGCAGTATTTTCATATATGAGGTTAATTGATTTAATTTCTCTTTTGTGTAAACTATAGCACAAAATCCACCACTTCCTTTGCTCATTTCCTTTTAGGATTCTTTCCTCTAAACTCCAGTATTCTTTATACCAAGCTTGTGTTTTCAAACTACCACTCTAATCCACAAAGACAAACTATTTGGCAATTACTTTCTTCTCCTTATAGACAGCCTTGTTTCAGGGCAAATGAGCAAATGAAAACATATTAGATAAATTGTTGTAGGTGGTTTTACAGATATTTTCTTTAATGTAACACTACAGATAAAAAATGTATAAACTTTGATCAGTCCCACAGAAGAGAATTTAAAACTCCGCCTCCCAGAGCAAAGACTTGGCTCTTCTACTTATTCAATTAACTCTTAACATGCTGCTCTTGGGCTATTCCAGGAAGGGAAATAAATAGAAACCTTTAGACTTCCTTTGAAGCAGTGCAACTAAAGTAAATATTCCCCGTAAGCAATTTTCTGTCATCACGTATCCCAACATCTTAGCAGCAGAGAAGAAAAAATAATAATCATATTAAAAATGTAACTCACCAGTTCTTACAAGGCTTTCAGAGAGGGCTCTTTACTGGAAGACTCAAGACACTTTGTACGTCTCCTTCAAGGATCTCAAACAGCTTTTCATACCATCACATTGGACAAGTATCCCAGCCGAACGCTCATCGTGTGTGAATAATCATTTGACAGCCTGGGCAGTTATATTGGAGCATCATTGGCAATAAAGTCATCACTGAGTAATCAGCGAATCTATCATAAAAAAGTTATTTAACTGCATGTATTTCTCCACCTGGCCTTCCTCTCCCCCAGTGCCCCACACATTTTTAACATCACTCAGAGGGAAGCTGGACTTCCTTCACCAACTCATCACTTTGGAGGAGCTTTGGGTGCCAGCCCTGAATACTTAACTGCAATTCTTATTCACCTATTGACTCCCTAACCTGGAAAACAATCAGGAGTTCACTGAGAGCACTTCCTGTAGGCACTGAATTTTGCATTGCATGGTGCGCAGCAAGGAAAGGGAGCATGTGTTGAGGAAGAAGAGGGAGGCTATATAATGGTGGGGTGGGACAGACAAACAGTGATGATTATTTTTTCGATGAACAACATAGGACGTGGTTTTAGGATGAGAAGAGCAAGGGTTTTGTTTTTAATGATCTGTGGAGAGCCTGATGTGCCTAAGCCTTGCCAGCCTGTTTGTTACGTGAGTTACACATACAACACAGTGCCAAGAGCCCCAAGGAATTCATTCTCTGTGTCAATACCACAGGGTTGGGCAATGAGCAGGGCTACCACTCAGCAGGGAGGTGTCCCATCAACGCTGATGAAACAGCAGGCAGTCTTCTGACCACACACCTTGGGGGAAAATCACACCCCAGGAAAAATAACCTCCAGTGTTTCTCTTTTATTAGTTTCCTCGTGTTGTTTGTTTTTACAGCATTTAGGGAAAAAGGAAAGGGAGAAAGAAAAAAAAAAGCCTAATCTGAGTCTTTGCTTCTATAAATAAAAAATTGCTTATTTCTAATTATTTTGTGTGCCTCTGGCTCTCAGTAGGCACTCAAATAATATATAAAGTAGCAGTGTTAGCCCATTTTCTAGTCTTAATAATAACTAAGGATTTGGGCATGCTGAAACCTGAAAAGTATTTTAACATGAATAAATACGACTCGGATTTTACCAAAAGGCCATGTTTTGTCTCCCAGGGTCTCTGTAAAACTTACTCATTGCAGAAATGTCTTATACCAGCTAGTGGTCAAAATTCCAGCACATCACATGATGTTTCTGGTCACTGAATGCTTTCAAGATCAAAGTTAAATGTCGAATGAAAGGCTAAATCTCTGCAGCTTTAATTCCAGAGTAAGACTTCCCTTTCTCCCCACCCTACCCCCAGCTAAGGCATGCTTTTCATGGTCCTGAAACAGAGGGCACACACGGGGAAGCTTCTGGCTTTCTCAATTGTCATCCTCCCTCATTCCCCCTGCTGTGGTTACTGATCCCTCCACCTGGAGAGTAGCAGGAAAGGAAGGCGAAAAGGAGCAGAAGGTTTGTTCTTCTCTCACTGGTCCTGTCATGTGAAGATTTCAGGCAAAGCTGAAGGGCATTTTC
Organism: Homo sapiens; assembly: GCF_000001405.40. Lineage (NCBI taxonomy): Eukaryota > Metazoa > Chordata > Mammalia > Primates > Hominidae > Homo > Homo sapiens. The sequence continues at coordinate 7,158,484 of NC_000023.11, read as the reverse complement.
TTAAGTTCTTGGAAGCCAGGACAGCTGGATCACCCCCATTTGCAACTCCTGAGATGCGGGCGATGTTGTCTCTTCCTCCAACTGGTTTTCAAGTGGCGCCTCTCTGCTGGAGTTTCCTCCTCATCCCAGCAGATTTTGTGGGGCAAAAGTCCAAATCATTAAGGTTATCTGGTTATGCATATTTGTTTGAGGGACTCTGGAAGTGCAACCTAAATCAACTCCCCCTAGTCCTCGAGATCAGAAGTCTCTAGAGCAGATCAGGCAGGGATCAGGTGCCACCCACCTAGGTCCCCCAAGAGATGCACAATCAAATATCAACCTCTCTGAGGAGTGTCGCTGAAGCCTCAACATTGGACTGAGGCTAAGAGAGATGCATGCCATGTCATTTGTTTTTATTTCATTTAGGAAACAAGAAAAAAGAAAGCCTAACTCCACTGGGGAGGAGGCAGGGCTATAATGCCACAGAAACCTCTTCATAAGCCCCCACTTCTCTCCTTGCTGTGAGGCCAGAGATCCATAGGGTTCCTGGTTATCTACATGGAAAATTCCTACAGAATGCCATTTTTTTCCATCTCATTTCATGATGCTGTCAAATGAGTATCCTGTTACAATAAATATTTCCCAGAATAATTTGTCTTGATATGTGGATGGAGGACTTTGGAGTCAGACAGACATGGCATTCTGATTCCAGCACCCACTAGCTGTATGACCTCCAAAAAGTGCTTAATCACTTGGGGCACCAGCTTTCTCACCAGTAAGGCAGGCAGAAGCATACATCTCAGGCCCCTCTAATCAATAACCCTTTATTGATTAGATATAATGTCCCAGGGCATGGTGCCTGGCCAAAAGAAATGGATGATCCTTTTTGGCAATTTTGAGAAGACAGAAGTGAAAAGATTTTACTTTACGAGCTATGAAAATTACTGTGCTTTAAGATCATGAAAAGCACAGACTTTGGTATATGAATCCACGTAGATGCTTAATGAAATTGTTCAGAGTTGAACCTACCTGATGTTTGACATTCCTATAACTGTGCCAACCATCAGTGGCATTGCACAGGAACCCTCAAGCTAACACTGGGCATGTCTTCATACTTGGGCCTCTACCCAGAAAGAACCCATAAGAGAGACTGTTGGTGGGAAATCCTGGAGTCCCACAGAAGAAGGGCACATGCAATCAGAGATGAGCAAGGGAACACTTACTCTCAAAGACTCGACAGGCAGCAGTCACATGAGCAAAGATCGAGGCTTGATAATTAGGGCCCTGAATCAAGGAACAAGCATCTCAATGCAAATTGGGCAAGTGGGATGAGAGCAACACGGTGCTCACAGAAGGGTTCTCCTCTTAGCCATGCAGAAGGAAGAGACCTGGAGCCCCAGAATCCAGCTTATAGTCTCCCTATTGCATCATCCACTACTGCACAAGACAAATAGCAGTGAGCTCTGTATACATTCAGTGGGCTCAAATATTCTCCTCCAAGCCATTTGCCAGCTTCATAAAGTCTAGAAACATTAAAACACCAAAAGTGCTCTCAAATCTCTGGTTTGGGGACCCCCTCCTTGTCTATTAAAGTAAAGGGTATGGCACAGGAAAGGGCAAAAACATGTGGAAAACCCCAGAATTCCTCCTATGTGTGTTACATGGAACATGGTTGGGGGCAGATCAAAGAAGGAACACAAAAAATCATGAATAGTTTCTAGGTATTTTTGCATATTTGTGGTTTTTAATTATCATTCGCTTCCCATTTTGCAGGAGCAGATTTAATCACAGCCACTGCATTTCCATGTTTCAAGTTATAGCTTTATTATTAAACCAAAACCCAAGTCCTAGTAAACTACCTTTCTTTAACTGGCATCCTAGTTTACACCAGGAGGAAGGAGTCATGGAAATTTATTGCCTCTAAGATTCTTTCAGAGTGGTTTAAATGGCCCTAGGAAATTGACTTGAAATAGATGCTTCCAAATGTTATTGTTTACGCACTAATACAACAGCAGCCAATAAACATATTCAATTGAAATGTGCCCACAAGAGAAGAAAATACATGTGTTGTACCTGTTTGACCCACCTACTTCACTTAGCCTATTAAACAACTCTCAAACCTGTGCAATTATATATAAATATATATACACACATATATTATATATAAAGACCTTTCACCTGAAGATTGTTAAAACCACACATACATCCAAAGAGAAGCAAGAGCCAGCCAAAAATAAAAAAACCCACACATGCATGCATCTATATGTGTGTATATATGTAATAAATTTAAATCATATATACAATAACTCCTCACTTAACAATGTCAATAGATTCTCAGAATTTTTTTTTTTTTTGAGATAGGTTCTCACTATGACACCCAGGCTGGAGTGCAGTGGCATGATCAGAGCTCACTGCAGCCTCGACCTCCCAGGCTTAAGCAATCCTCCCATCTCAGTCCCCCCAAGTAGCTGGGACAACAGGTGCATGCCATCACACCCAGCTAATTTTTGTATTTTTTTTGTAGAGATGGGGTTTCACCATGTTGCCCAGGCTGGTCTTGAACTCCTGAGCTCAAGCATTCCACCTGCCTCAGCCTCCCAAAGCGCTGAGATTATAGGCGTGAGCCTCCATACCTGGCTGATTCTCGGAAATTGCAACTTTAAGAGGAACGATATATAGCAGGTTATTTCATTCAACATCATTTTGTTATAAAGTTGATGAGAAAAAAATTGGTTTTGTTATATGTGGCTTTGCTTAAAGTCACAGTTTCCAAAAACCTACCAACAAGTGAGAACCTACTGTAATCACCTTTCTTCTTAACTTTCTTAAAGCCATGCAGTTGCATTGTTTGTAATATAATATTTAACATATACATTTGTGAATATATACAAACTAAATATATTTAAGTTATATATAAAGGCATTTCCTCAAGTTTATAAAAATCATGCACACCAATATATTATTTATATAGATTATATAACATATGCATGGTATACATATATACATATAAACATAATCTGTTCCCTTTAAGATTCTTAAAATCTTAACTATTTGAGGTACCTAAGATTCTCATTCTCTGAATTTTACTCTGTAAATTTAGTCTGCTTTTCCAATGTGTTTGGTGTCACGCTGACTTGGCAAAATCCCACAGCCTTACTGAATGATTGCTTCAAGAAAGTTGGTGGTGAGGCAGAATGTAAGTCAGAATGGACCCTATGCTGAACAGTAGTCTGGTATTTCTAAAGTGTGTTTGAAGGAGATATTATGTTCTTTTTAAAGAGCATATGTGATGGTCCCTGTTGAGTAAGTTTGGGAACTGTTGTGTTAAAAAAAAAAATGGGAAGACCATCGTTGACCACAGAAATGGGAGAGTTTCAAGTGAACACATGGCTGTGAATTGAGGAGGCAAGGACTCATTCAGCACATTTTCCAGGCTTATGTGATCATGGGGAAGCTGAAGGGAGAGGCTGTGCAACCAGCTTTCTGTTCCCTCCAGATGTTAGCTTGCACCAAGCAGCACAGGAGTTGGGTGCAAGTAAAATAAAGGAGAAAAATTTCAATCCTAGAAATGACTGGTTGGACCACGTTATCGCTGACATGCCATACTGACATCATAATTGAAGAAAACAAATGTTCCTTGTTTATTTTTTGAAGCTTCCTTTTCCTTATTTTTTTTTGCTGGTGTTTTCTAGAATACTTTTTTTCCCTTTATTTGCACATTCACTCCTGTGTTTGATTTTGATATTATCTATTCACGTTGTGGTCCTGATTGCTTACATACAACATAAGAAATTTTGAAAACATATAGGAAACATATTAATAGATAGTTTTTGCCTTTTGGCTCTTTTTGAGGAAGGAAGACCAACAGAGGTTGAACTCTCCACCCTGATCGTTTTCAGGTATATGACTTGTGGCAAGCTACCTGACTTTCCTCAAGCTCCATTTCTTTATTTCTATAAGAAGAAGAATTCCATTGTTTACCTTGCAAAGTTGCCGAGTCAATGAAGTAACAGATCATTTATAAAGTTGTAAGTACATCATAATTATTTGAGGGCTGGTGGCTATTACAACAGTTGCTATGAAACAATGAGCCAACTTTAACCATAAACGAATCACTCTTTCATCTCAGACTCTCAGCATGTGGCCTTTATAAACACTTCGGAGAAGTGACCAGTGCACTAAGCAACTTGCATAAGATGTGACAGGAACTCAGAGCCTTGCAGGTGGGCATGTGGTTTATTCAGAAGCAGAGACGACGCAAGGCGCACATTAGAGATGGCATTCAGCTCTCTGCGTGGTGAGCTCCAGCTGTGATTCCATTCAAGGAGAGAGGCTTCAGCAGGCAGGGCCAGTGGGTACCCCTCTTTGTGAATGTGGTACAAGACACAGCAAAGGCCCAAGTTGCTGACATCCCCATTTGTATCCATTATGGGTGCACAAACCCCTCACAGGTCCTGGAGAGAGGGAGCTACGCCAGAGGAAATGTCAGGAGGGAAAGAAAAAAGGAAAAGAGGGAGAGAGGGCAGGAGAGGGGGAGGGAGTTTAGGAGGAGAACAGGAAGACAGGAAAAGAGAGAAGAAAGAAAGGAAGGGAAGGAAGCAGAGAGGGAGGGAGTTGAGCAGGAGGACAGGAAGGAAGGAAGACAGGAAAAGAGAGAAGGAGGAAAGGAAGGGAAGGAAGCAGAGAGGGAGGGAGTTGAGGAGGAGGACAGGAAGGAAGACAGAAAAAGAGAGAAGGAGGAAAGGAAGGGAGGGAAGGAGAGAGGGAAGGAGTCGAGGAGGAGGAGGACAGGAAGAAAGACAGGAAAAGAGAGAAGGAGGAAAGGAAGGGAGGGAAGGAGAGAGGGAGGGAGTTGAGGAGGACAGGAAGGAAGACAGGAAAAGAGAGAAGGAGGAAAGGAAGAGAAGGAAGCAGAGAGTGAGGGAGTCACGGAGGAGGACAGGAAGGAAGACAGGAAAAGAGAGAAGGAGGAAAGGAAGGGAAGGAAGGAGAGAGTGGAGGAGAAGAACAGGAAGGAAAACAGAAAGAGAGAAGGAGGAGGAAAGGAAGGGAGGGAAGGAGAGAGGGAAGGAGTCAAGGAGGAGGACAGGAGGAAGACAGGAGGAAAGGAAGGGAAGGAATGAGAGAGGGAGAGAGTGGAGGAGGAGAACTGGAAGGAAGACAGGAAAAGAGAGAAGGAGGAAAGGAAGGGAGGGAAGGAGAGAGGGAAGGAGTCGAAGAGGAGGACAGGAAGGAAGACAGGGAAAGAGAGAAGGAGGAAAGAAAGGGAGGGAAGGAGAAAGGGAGAGAGGGGCAAGCAAGGAGGGAACTGTTTGGAGTCAGGAGCCCTAAATCTCAGAACAATGAGATGATAAAGGGTGGGGTGTGATGAAGCCTGAGCCCCTCTCTCAGATGTCCAGTCATGTCTAGTCAGTGAGAATCCTGGCAGGACAGAGGAAATTCGAATGCATGGTAAGGTCTGACCACATGCTTCACTTCTCCACATTTTTGGAGCACACATCCTCCCTTCACATGTGCTATTTTAGAATAGTGTGTGTCTACTTAGGCACTAACATTACGGATATTACGAAACATGATCTGTAATCATTAGTGAAGGCTATAAAGCTGATGCTGGAATTTCTACTTTCTTGTTATTAACTGGAAGCTACATTTTATTATTTTCATAGGCATGTCTTTAATCCCTCTGTCCATTTTTTGACAGTTGATTTAAAAATTAAATAATATAAGCCATAAATACACTTTACCTTAATATGTACATTGCATTATGCTGAAATCAAATAAAATGGTTGAGAGCAATGATGTCTCCCCTCCTCCCTGCAAGGATACCTGGAGAAAAGACCAGGACACAAGAACATTCGCCAGTGTTCACACAAATATTAAATGTTAGGGCTGGGTGCCATGGCTCCTGCCTGTACTTCCAGCACTTTGGAAGGCCAAGGCGGGCGGATTACTTGAGGTCAGGAGTTTGAGACTAGCCTGGCCAACATGGTGAAACCCCGTCTCCACTAAAAAATACACAAGTTAGCTAGGCATGGTGGTGGGCACCTGTAGTCCCAGCTACCTGGGAGGCTGAGGTGACAGGATCGCTTGAACCCGGAAGGAGGGGAGTTGCAGTGAGCCGACTTCACGCCACTGCACTCCACCCTGGGCAACACAGTGAGATCCTGTCTCAAAAAATAAAATAAAATAAAATAAAAATAAATCTTGGTAAACTTAACACATTTGCTACTTCTTTACATTAAAATAATAATCCTGGCCGGGCGTGGTGGCTCACGCCTGTAATCCCAGCACTTTGGGAGGCTGAGGGGGGCGGATCGCAAGGTCAGGAAATCGAGACCATCCTGGCTAACATGGTGAAACCCCGTCTCTACTAAAAATACAAAAAACTAGCCAGGCATAGTGGCGGGTGCCTGTAGTCCCAGCTACTTGGGAGGCTGAGGCAGGAGAACGGCGTGAACCCGAGAGGCGGAGCTTGCAGTGAGCCAAGATCGTGCCACTGTACTCCAGCCTGGGCGAAAGAGTGAGACTCCATCTCAAAAAATAAACGAATAAATAAAATAACGATAATAATAATAATCCTAAGCCCCCTCCCCACAATGAAGTAGCTGGTATACCCCAGGAGGGGGTCAATGGTCTAGACCATTGGATGCCCTGGTTGAAAGGCAGATGCTGAGTTGGTCAGTCTGGGGGTGGCAGCTGGGATTCTGCATTTCTAGTGAGCTCCCAGGGGATGCTGGCACTGCCAGTTCCGACCACATCTGTTATCCAACACTGCAGAGAAGCAAACTGGACCTCTCGCTCAGAGCCAGTTTGCACTCTGATGGTGAAGGGGTTCAAAAACAATGACCCTCCCCACACAAAAATACCAGATATGTCCGAGAGTACAAAGCCAGGAGTGGCGAATTCAGCCATCTATGTCAGGCTCCCTTCCAGAGCTCACTGGGCTTGGAGGAAAGCAGCAGCGGGAAGGGGTGAGAATATTCAGTGCCTCTGAAGCAAGAGACTTCCTAAGTCAGCGTTGCAAAGCCAGCTATCTAGGGGAAGAAGGCAGGTAAGTCTGCAATGAGGAGCTCAAATTCAGGCCCCATCAGATGAAGTCAGAGCTTTCTGGTCTCTCAGCATCATCAAGAAAAGTAGACTGTGTACAGCCACTGAGAAAGATGGTCCCTAGTCCAACCTGTTACCCTCCATCTACGCTGGGCAAGATTTGTACCCCTAGAAAAGTAAAGAGAATAACAGGGCAAAGTGGGCTCACAGAAAACAGATACAGCAGACTGGAAACCAAATACAACAGATAACAAAAGCACAGAGACACAGGAACCAGGACAACAAACTAAGGAAGTTGAAATAAGCTAAGACTCCCTACAGGATGGCATATATATACACACAATAAATGGCATGTTTAAGTTTACATGTTGTGTGAAAGAAGAGCATCTGTTTATTTGTCCCATTGATAATGTGCTTTTGATGCCATCGTACTGTAGTTTACTGGATCATTTCTATTGTGTCTTAAAATTGTCAGGAAAAGTAAGTTATTGTCCCATGGGGAGAACACAACTGTACAAAAGTAAACTGTAATTCATGGAAGGAAATGCATCCCCATCAGCATAGAAACTGCCCATCTTTGGCTGTTGGAGAATTATGAAAAGCTAAAAACTAACTTGTTATATGTGTACAAACCACATTGCTAGAACAAAATTTCATTCTTTTCCAATCTAGCTTGTGACAGAGAAGCATTCACCATTCAGTTTGTTTTTTTTTTTTTAAGCAAAGAGGAGTCTTCCATCTTATGCATAGAAGTGATGTTACTGAAAAGTGTAGAAAATAAGACTGATAAAAACATAATGTGAAGCATGTTTTCACATCTGTGGAGAGCTGAAGTACCTACGATTTCCCAATCTGTCTCTTCCACAATCGCTGTGAGGCTTTGCCATTTCGTCAAAATGGCATTGGGGCCTTTTTTCCTTTGAAAAATACTCTTTTTTGGCCGGGGGCGGTGGCTCACGTCTGTAATTCCAGCACTTTGGGAAGCCGAGGTGGGCAGATCACTAGGTCAGGAGTTCAAGACCAGCCTGGCCAACATGGTAAAACCCCATCTCTACTAAAAAATACAAAAATTAGCTGGGTGTGGTGGCTGGCGCCTGTAATCCCAGCTACTTGGGAGGCTGAGGCAGGAGAATCACTTGAACCCAGGAGGCTGAGGCTGCAGTGAGCAGAGATTGCGCCACCGTGCTCCAGCCTGGGTGACAGAGTGAGACTCTGTCTCATAAAAGAAGAAAGAAAAAAGAAAAATACTCTTTTTTAATTTAATGACTAAACAGAAATGTGAGGTGGTTACAATACCAAAAAAATAACAGTAACTCTGACATGTGTGCATCCATTTGTTTCCAGAGAATGGAAGGAAACTGGGAGGGAGAATTCTACAGACTCCAGGTGGGAAATACTGTCATACTTACTGTAGGTACCACAGCTATGTGTGTGCAATGCATCTATTATGGAATTGTGTTCCCAAAAATATATGTTGGAGTCCTCATCCCCGCTACCTCAGAATGTGACCTTATTTGGAAACAGGATTTTGTCAGAGGTAATCAAATTAAAATGTAGTTATTAGGGTGGTCCTTAGTCCAATAAGAATCGTGTTCTTATAAAAGGAGAAAATTTGGACACAGAGACACACACAGAGGGAAGACGATAGGACAAGATACAGGGAAAGGAAAGCAGGTTCAAGCTGAGGAGAAAGACCTGGAATAGGTCCTTTCCTCACAGCCCTCAGAAGGAATTAAGACTGCTGACATCTTGATCTAGGACTTCTGGCCTCCAGATCTGTGACACAATACACATCTGCTGTTTAGGTTACTTAGTCTGTGGTATATTACTATGGCAGCTGTAGTAAACTAATACAGAAACCACGAACGACTGTATTTGAGGCGCAAGTCCCTACCTAATTTGCTCATAAATTGCCTTCTCTGAAATCCCGTGTCCTCAAAGGGAAATCACGATTGCATTAAATGGGGGAAGCTCTCTTATAGTACCACCTCTAAGAACACATAATTTTATTGACTATATATTATGCACTGGTACTAAGGGCTTGGCCTGCCTCACCTCCTTTATCACCTCCATTTTACCCAGGAGGAAACAGACACAGGTGCACTTTGTCTATCATAGATAATAATTCTTGCTGAATCCAGGCATGCCCCTGTCCACTATGTCTGCACTAAACTAGAAATACACTCTCATGTTTACACCTTTTTTTTTTTGTCTTTTTCCCCTTTTGTGGAGAACAGGGTCTCGCTATATTGCCCAGGCAGTTCTTAAACTTCTGGGCTCAAACTATTCCCCCAACTCCCACTTCTGCCTCCCTAAGTACTGGGATTACAGGTGTGGGCCACTGCGCCCAGCACACCCTCACGTTTTTAAAGTCTTGAAATTCTCCTATTTCCGCTTCTCAAAAGGTCCAATCCTTTTCCTTAAACGTGAATATACCACATAAACGAACACGAAATAGAAACAGGGACAAAAAAGTATTTTTTTGACGATGGCAAACGGGAAAAAAAAAAAAGAAAGCTGTTTAGGTGGCATTTGAAAAGTTAAAAAAGAAAGAAAACTCAGAGCAGCCCAAAAGACAGATGATACCTAAGAAGGCACAACCAGCAAGACATGTTGACTGTTAGTATTATTTCAGCATCCTCCTTGAGCAGCTTGGCTTTGCTCTGGGACAATGCACCAGCCTGGGATGCTCAGAGATGCAGGCACGGAGGTTGTGCAGCCTCTCCGCACACTGCGCATGCGCGGCTGCCGGTTCAAGTCGCGGTCCAGGACCGCAAGGAGGCGGGCAAGCGAAACTGAGAAAAACCCACCCACGGTCCAGGGACTGGGGGCTCGGGCGAACCCACCCAGGGACCTCCTGACCAAGGCCATTTGTCTGCAACCTGATGGCTAGAAGTGATACCACCCTGAGCATCTTCAATCCCCTTTCCCCACTCTACAGCCCCTTGTACTGTCCCTCCTTCCTCATTCACACCCCTGATCCAAACTCAAGCACTGAATTTGTCCCCAGACGAGGGCCTCGGCTCTGCGCGGCCGCTGGCTGAGTAGCTTGGCCCGATTCCGGGTGTGAAGTGAGGAGGAATTGATGCGGGTAAACATACAGCGCCGGCCCGCGCCGCATCCCGGGTCTGCAGCTACAGCTGCGGCGAAAGCCCAAGGTGCGCGTGCGCGGAGCGCCACTAGGCAGCCCAGGACGCGCGGGCTCGGAGCCGGGCGAGGGGCCGCGGAAGGCGCGTGCGCAGAGCGACCCCGGGCGCGCGAGAAGGTCCTCAGTGCGCGTGCGCGGGGCGGGCGGGTGCGCGCGCACTTCCTCCTCGCCCCCACCCAGACCCAGAAGGCGCCACCATGGCGGCGCCCCCGCAGCCCGTCACCCACCTCATCTTTGACATGGACGGACTTCTTCTGGGTGGGTAGTGTGCAGCCGCCGCCTCCAGTAAGGGCGGTCTTGTGTGGGCGTGGGGACGGTCGGCGCGGGGTACGTCACGGCCTGGGGGCCGCGGCGGGGCGGTGTTCATGCAGGGACGCTCGGGCTCCCGCGCGCTCTGCCCCCGGCTGGCCCCGAAGTCGGGCGGCGGCCAGGAGCGCCCGCGGGCCCATGTCCGGGCTGGCGGGCGCGCGTGGCCGCGGCGTCTACGCGGCCCCAGCACCCGCTTCCGGTCGGCGGCCCGCGCGTGGGGCCGGAGCACGTGGGAGCAGTCCCTGGGGTCCACCGGGCGGGCGCGCGGCTCCGCGTCCTCTCCTCAGAGCGAGGCGCGGCGGGACCTCCGCGCTCTCTTTTCGGTTACGCATGCGTGCGACCTTGAGCGGTGCCCAGCCTCAGCTTCCCCGTCTGCAAAGTAGCCTGGAGGATACTTGCCTGCCTGCTCCAAGGTTGCTGCTGTGGGCGCACTTTGATGGTAGCATCCTGCATGGTAGCGGTTCTCTACCTGGCGGTTTTGCAGCCCTGAGGGCATCTGGCAATGGCGATGTCAGGAGACATTTTGGCTGTCACAGCTGGCGAGGAGTGATGGGGTCACTGGCATCTAGTGGAGTCCAGACCAGTGATACTGTTAAACTTCCCGCAGTGCACAGGAGTGCCCTATGCAACCATAAGGAATTATCCCGCGCCGTCAACAGTGTAGAGGCACAGAAGGTCCGTCAAGTGGCCTGGCTGCCTAGGGTGACCAGCACCGGGGACATCACCTGTGGGCTACTTGTAAATGTAGAAGCTGGGGCCCCACCCTACCCCTGCCCAATCAGAATCTGCATTTTAAGCGCGTGAACGTTTGAGAACAGCTGCTCTATCAATCCGAGGCATTAAGAAACCCTTGGCAGTGTACTAAGGTAGTCAGTCTTAGCACATGTGAACTTCACCAGCCAAGAGGAATTCAAGTAGAATTCAAAGAATAAAACCCTGTTTTTAACTCAAGACAGAACTATGCTGAGCTCTACCGAAAGCCTTGACACAGTTAACACTATGACACATAATCACCAGGAGGCTTCATATATCTATAAACATGTCTGCATACTCTTTGTAGACAGCTGACCTGCTTGGTTACGTATATCATTCCTTCATTTCAAAACCCTGCAAGTTAGGAGGAAGTATTTGCATGTCACTAATTAAAAAAAAAAAAAAAAAAAAAACCCTGCAGCTCAGAGAGGTAAAGCTACTTGCCCAAGGTCACACAGCTAATAAGCCAAGCTGAGAAACGATTCTGGATTGATCCAGTTCTAAATATAAATGATGTTGAGCTCATCTTAAATTGTGAATGTGACCTTGTTTCTGCTCATCATATTGCTGGGTAATTCCCTAGCAGTGTTTCCTTTTAAAAAGGCATGCAGAAACCATTCTCTTCATTTTATGAACACAGAGGTGTAAACTGATGAATTCCAAAGGAAAAAAAAAATCCCCGTAGAGGTCACTAATTGGAGCCAACGGTGTATGCAGCTACTAAATTTGAAATGACTCAATTTCAGAAAGCTTGTGGGATACATAGGTATAGTTTGTAGACATGAATTTTCCTACTCCGGTGGTCAAAAAGTTAAATTGTCAAATAAATTTCTTATCCTCTAATAAAGGTCCAGAGAACCTGTTCTGGGAGTCTCATGAATTTTAATACCAAACAAGATGTCTCATTAAAATTAAATTTATTAAACTTCTAAATGAGCTTGGTGCCTAATTCTGATTCTAGATTCACACATAGCCATGCCCTGAAGTGATGAATGTGACTTAAATGGCATTACAAGCATTGACCTCACATTGTTACCCAATCCTCTGATCTAGTCAGATAACCAAGAATTAGTGCTATTTGGAAAAATAAGCCCTGCTTCTTTTTATTCCCCCCCCTCATTTTCTGCCCATTTCCTCCTTTCCTGCCCTACCTCTTCTTTGAGGTGGTAAGGCCTTGCAAAACTTTCTTGGAAATATACCTTTGTTTATCCCATTCTTTCACCAAATGTGTAAATATAAAACACAGCTTTCCAAGATGTGCCACTTTAATTTAATCTACCAGATTATGCCTGCTGTCATTCTTTAGCACCTCACTTCAGTGTATCTGTTGTTTGCATAACAATATACTATCAATTTATAATGAGTTATTTTACAATAGGTCTGTTTTTCGGGAATTTTGAATGCATTTTTCTAGGAAGTTCTGTTTGTCTATGTAGCCCCAATACTTGCATACTTGGGGAAGTAAAATTGAAAACGAATAGTTTCATGGAGGATTGTTAACATTAGAGGAGAAGATTGTTTAATCAGAGGAGAATGAGGAAGTAAATGGAGATTTTAGAGGAAATGTTGACCAGGAAGAAAGCCAGGACACTTTCCCATGCTTTTGACATGCACGATGCTGTTAGTTGTCCTTTAAAAAAAAAAAAAAATACACTTCGGTTTCTGTTTCTCATGACCAAGGTAAGAGTCAGTTATGATTTAGGTAATATTAATAATTTTGGCTCTCAAATGCCATTCAGAGAAAGAGAGTAGGGGAGTGGGATTAGTTAAAAACTGGGATGATTTTGAAATAAGAAGATGACAATTATTAAACAGTATCTCAGCAGCTGGACAGGGAAGATTATTCTGTTTGTAAATAACTGAAATTAGGAACACAAAAGATGGTCCCAATTTCTTTAAAAGAGAAGACAGTTTGTTGTCCAGAGCAGTTCTGTCTCATAGAATTGAGCCAGGTAAAAATTTTGGGGAGCAATTTTTAATAAGTAAAAAGATACAGATGACATTGATTTGGATGATGTATGTTATGTAACCTAATGTATCAAAAATATTATTTAATACAAAGTCAGTATAAGAAAATCTTTGAAGTGTTTGACATTAATTTTGATACTAGGTCCTCAAAATCTGTGTGTGTTTTATACATACAACACATCTTAGTTTGAACTAGCCTCATTTCAGGCACTCTGTAGCCTCATTTGGTGGGTGGCTACTGGCTTGGACAGCATGGGTCTAGGTCTTTGTGGAGCAACCCAAGATGTCTGTTGATAATGGCTATGCTGGGAGGGTCAGGCAGAGGGTGGGTGTTAAGAATATTCAGAATTAGGAGTTTTGGTGTATGTAAAATGTGGTATGTGTAAAATGTGTTTTCTTGGAGTCTAATACAGAATTATTTAAAATCCTTTTAAAATCAAAGGAAAATAAGCTTATTTCCAGTTTCTTAAATATCGTAAAATAATAAGGTAGATCTGCGAAGGGTAATAAGAACATTTGCAGTGTTGACCATAATATACCATATCTTTATAAATCCAGATTGCAGGATTTTAATGAGTGACTTCTACTTCACCTTTAGTAAAATGAAGACCTCTTCTGTGCCTTTTTGCACTCCCGTAGCTTCCTCCTTGCCAAATAATAGCACTTGAGACTATAAGTGCCTGCCTCACTGTCTGGGGCCCAGGAGACCCTAAAAGGTCATGGAGGTAGGGTCTCTGTGGGGATTACCAAGCCCAGTACTGATGGGATTGTGGGCTGCCTGAGACAGTTGACAGTCATGTCCACTGTGTGGCCAAAATTCCACAGACATAGCGTGAGTGTGTTTTGCGCTGTCATTCTTTGTTAACTTCATGTAGGCTGTTTCTTTAGACACCAGAACATCTATATAGCTGATGACAAAAATAGATTTTTCTTACGTAATATTAGCGCATGCCCTAGGTGGATTGTCAGAAGAATCTATGTATGTTGTCATTTGACCCCATGAAATACGTCTGAGGTTTAAAAGTGCAGCTGACAAGCTTTTCAGCCTCAGTCGGTTCTTACTACTTGATGTTATCAAGTCATTCATTCCAAGTGGGATTTCTAAGAGTTTTGGCACATTTCTGAGGAAGGTGGAGCAAAGTGAAGGATCATTCTGCATGCTTCCATAGGTGGTTATTGTTTAACCCCAGAACGTGCAGTGATCCTAGTTGGAATGAGATCGTAATCACAATCTCCCCTCCTTCCATCATTTGTAATGGGTCTTGCTCTGGATGTCAAAGCAACTCTGGTGGTAGGTTCACATTCTTTCTTTGCCCTGTCTTCCCTGGAGGCTGACAGTGTACCCTTGGGTTTTACCCTTGCTAGGTGAAATGTAGGTTCTCTTCCACGTTTGCAAAGGAGATGGCTGAGGGTGGAGGCCAGTGTGAGGGCTTGGGACAGAGATGAACCCTTATCTCAGGGGCCATGATTGGCCTTTCACTACAGGGTGATCAATGAGTAATCTGTTGTTTCTGGAAACTGAAAAGGCTTCTGGAATATAGAAAGCACAAGACACGTGTGTTCCTATTAAGGGTCCGAAGAGATTTAGAGTAAGATGCTATATTGTATGTTGGAGAAACAGCATCAGATTATAGATTTAGCTCCGTTTGGTTCTGTTTTCTAATTGACCTGAACCATGCCAACCTTAAGTTCTTGTAGTAAGTGGTTGGTTGTCCACTGCAGCTGTTTCTGTTTCTAGAATAATTGAGAAGGGGGTAAAACTTAAATTGCAAAATTCTGCAGATAAATAATAAGAGTTTTGTCCAGCTGGCAACACAAATATTCAGCAGATTCTAGGCATGCAGGTGTAAAATATCCTTTTCTTTTTTCTAGCTCTCTCTTTCAAATAAAAGCAATATGGTTTTATTTAGAATCTTTAAGTAAACTGGATACAGGCATGTGTGAGAACTATTGTGGGTTCAGTTCCAGACCATCACAGTAAAGCAAACATCGCAATAAAATTAGTCACATGAAGTTTTTGGTTTCCCAGTACACATAAGGTTAGGTTTATACTATACTGTATTCTATTAGGTGTACAATAGCATTATGTCTAAAAAATGTACATAACCTTAAATACATTTTATTGCTTTAAAAAAAAAAGTGCTAGGGATCATGTCATCCTTCAGTGAGTTGTAATTCTTTTGCTGGTGGAAGGTGTTGTCTTGATATTGACTGTTGACCAGAGTAGTGGTTGCTGAAGGTTGGGGTGGCTGTGGCAATTTTAAAAAATAAAACAGCAATGAAGTTTGCCACATCACTTGATTCTTTCTTTTACAAAAAAATTCTCTTTTGGCGAGGCATGGTGGCTCATGCCTATAATCCCAGCACTTTGGGAGGCAGAGGCAGGCAGATCACTTGAGGTCAGGAGTTCGAGACCAGTCTGGCCAACATGGCAAAACCCCATCTCTACCAAAAATACACACACAAAAATTAGCCAGGCATGATGGTGCACACATGTAGTCCCAGCTACTCAGGAGGCTGAGGCCCGAGAATCACTTGAACCCGGGAGGCTGAGGTTGCAGTGAGCCGAGATCCCACCACTGCACTCCAGCCTGGACGACAGAGTAAGACTCTGTCTCAAAAAAAAAAAAAAAAAAAAATTGGAGTCCTCTCAAACTCTGCTGCTGCTGCTTTACCAACTAAGTTTATGTTAATATAGTGAATCCTTTGTTGTCACTTCAACAATGTTCAACAACATCTTCACCAGAAATAGATTTTTATCTCCAGAAACCACTTTCTTTTCGCGTCCCTAAGAAGCAGTGTCTATTCAGTTCAGGTTTCATCCTGAGATTGCAGCAACTCAGTCAAATCTTCAGGCTTCACTTCTAATTCTAGTTCTCTTGGTATTTCCATCACATTCTGCAGTTACTTCCTCTGCTGAAGTCTTGAACCCCTCAAAGTCATCCATGAGGATTGGAATCAACTCCTTACAAACTCCTGTTAACATTGATATTTTCATCTTTTCCCATGGATCATGAATGTTGTGAATGGCATCTGGAATGCTAAATCCTTTCCTGAAGGTTTTCCATTTACTTTGCCTAGATGCATCAGAGGAATCACTATCTATGGCATCTATAACCTTAGGAAATGCATATCCTAAGTAATAAGACTTGAAAGTTGAAGTTACTCCTCAATCCATGGGCTGCAGAGTAGATGTCGTGTTAGCAGGCCTGAAAATAACACGAATCTCCTTGTACATCTCCATCAGAGCTCTTGGGTGACCAGGTACGTTGTCAGTGGGCAGAAATATTTTGAAAGAAATATTTGTTTTTGAGCAGTAATTCTTAATAGTGGGCTTAAAATATTCGGTAAACCATGCTGTAAACAGATGTGCTGTCATCCAAGCTTTGCTGTTCCATTTACAAAGCCCAGGAAGAGAAGATTCAGCATCATTTTTAAGAGCACTAGGATTTTCAGAATTGTAAATGAGCACTGGCTTCAAGTTAAAGTCACCATCTGCATTAGCCACTAACACAAAAGTCCGCCTGTCCTTTAAAGCTTTCAAGCCAGACACTGACTTCTCCTCTCTAGCTATGAACGTCATGGGTGGCATTTTCTTCCAATAGAAGGCTGTTTTGTCTACATTGAAAATCTGTTTAGTGTAGCCACTTTCATCGGTGATCTTAGCTAGCTCTCCTGGATAACTTGCTGCGGCCTCTCCATCAGCACTTGCTGCTTCAAGGAGCTGTTCAAGGACAGAGCAAGGAGCAATTCTTTCCTTAAACCTCATGAACTTCTGCTAGATTCAGACTTTTCTTCTGCAGCTTTCTCACATGCCTCAGTCCCCATAGAAGTGAAGAGAGTTAGAGCCTTGCTCTAGGTTAGGCTTTGGCTTAAGGGAATGTTGTGCTGGTTTGGTCTTCTACCCAGATCATTAAAACTTCCTCTATGTCAGCAATAAGGCTGTTTCACTCTCATCATTCACGTGTTCACTGGGGTAGCACGTTTAATTTCCTTCAAGAACTTTTCCTTTGCATTCACAACTTGGCTAATTGGGTGCAAGAGACCTAGCTTTCAGCCTATCAGCTTCTGACATGTGTTCCTCACTAAGCTTAACCATTTCTAGCTTTTAATTTAAAGTGAGAGATGTGTGACTCTTCTTTTCTCTTGAACTCTTAGAGGCCATTGTAGGGTTATTAATTAGCCTGATTTCAATATTAGTGTGATTCAGGGACTAGGGAGGCCTGGAGGAGAGGAAGAGAGATGGGGGTCTATGGAGCAATCAGAACACACACAACATTTATCCCTTAAGTTCTCTGACTTATATGGGTGCGGTTCATGGTGCCCTAAAACAATGACAATGGTAACATCAAAGATCACTCATCACAGATTGACGTAACAGATGTAATAATGAAACGATTTGACATATTGCAAGAATTACCAAAACGTGACACAGACACGTCACGTGAGACATGCTGTTAGGAAAATGGTGTTGATAGACTTTCTCGACGCAGGGTTGCCAAAAACCTTGAATTTGTAAAAACTACAATCTATGAAGCACAATAAAATAAGATATGCCTGTATAATATGGGACAGCAGTGCATCGTTTTGTTTTGTTTTGTTTTTTGAGCCAGAATCTATTTTTCTCCTTGAAAAGCTATATATTAGAGATTATTTGGTCCTTTTTATCTTTGCGATTATTCACTCCTTACTCTGATTCTATTTCTTTTTTTTTAAACTGCTATAATTTATATACTATTTTCTGTCATTTTTCAGGAGTAGATGGAGACTTAAAGCAATGTAAAGGAGCAAGGTAAATGATATCTCCTAAGAAATGTCCCCTGAAAGCACTCCTTATATAGATGCTCAGGCGACTGGTCAGACCTTCTGATGAGATGTTTGAAAAGTGATTGATAGGCAGTCTGTAGGTAGAAAGCACAATAGTGTTATTCTGGAATACATTACGCTTGAAAATAATGCTCCTACCATCGGCTATAAGGGAATTTTAGTGATTAATAAATGCAGCATTTAATATATTAAGAGCTTCCTTCAATAGTGTTAAAATGGTGGAAGGGGGCAACCTTGATTTTGTGTTGCAGATATTTGCAGTTTAAAATTGCCTTGTTGGTGCTTAAAGAGCATTTTTTTGAAGACATAGTAATCCTAACACATGCATTTCTACTGTGTAAGAGCACAAAAAGGAAGACTTTTCCCCATGGCTTTTCATAGCTGGGCCATCCATGTGGCTTCTCTTCACATCCCTTTTCAGCAATGTCTGGCAGATAGATCACCACCTTTCCTGATCCTCCTTTATCCTCTGTCTCCCTTGTGTCCTTTGCTGTGATGCCAACAGTGAGTAGCAGCTAAGGACCCTGGTGCAGCTGGCCACGTGGCAAGGTGCCTGCGTATGAGAGGAGGATGGTCACCTCTTCACAGCCATGCCTGGCAGGCAGTTTCATGGCATTGCTTGTGGCGCTTGGTGGGGCCCTTGACTCTTCTCTCTCTGAGCTCTGGGAGCTGGGCCGAATGATGTGCCCTTTTGTGATTGATGGTGCCTTATTTAAAAAACACTGCAGATGACATAGCTGTTCAAGGACAGAGCAAGGAGCAAACCAAAGTTTGCTCTTTGACTCCCAATAGACTGTTCCATGTGTCTATGAAGTAAGAGCAAATGGTCATAGTTGGCACATCGAAGCTTATCTGAGCCTTCAGACAAAAGCCAAAATAAGCACCAACCCTCTCCCACTTGTGTCAGCTGCCATGCACATGGAAGAGAAGCACATGGTCCTTGAGCACTGTGCGCCTGTCTGCTCTCTAGCCCAGCACTGTGTATCCAGCAAATCTTCCTGCCAGGATGGAAATGTTCTGTAACTATACTGCATCCGATGGGAGCCACAGCTGGAAACTGGGTTCATGAGATGTGACTCATGCAACTGAGGACCTGAATTTCTCGTGTTATTTAAATAGCCCCCAATGACTAATTGCCAAAACGTAACATAGAGACACAAAATATAGAGTGGACAGCACAACTCTAGAGGAATGCATTCACTCATCCTTAATCTATTTAGAAAATACTCTGCTGGGTGTTACAAAGGCTTCAAAATTAGTCTCTTCCTTTAAGGATCTTAGAGTCCTGCTGGAATCTAAAACATGATTGGTAAAATCTGTGAATAATTGCTAATGATATACACAATAAGAATGTGTTAGCAACAGTGCAGGATTTTGAACTGAAATCACATTTGGGGTAGCATACTGTCAAGGATAGATAGGAGCCAAGAAGAAAAATGGATATTCCAGACCAGGAGAAATGGCCAAGCCATAGGCATCTTTACTAAAGCATAGAAGAGAGTCGTTTTTTGTTGTTGTTGTTTTTATCAAGCAAAGACTGTATTAAAAAAGATCTTGCTAATGATTACATTGAAGTGTGGAGGTGAGAAGAGATTTGAAAACATAATAATCCTAACACATGCATTTCTCCTGTGTAAGAACACAAGAAGGAAGACTTTGTTTTCCCCTTGGGTTTGCATAGCTGGAGCACCTGTGTAGCTCCTCTTCACATCTCTTTTGAGCAATGTCTGGCAGGTAGAGATTAGAAATCTCTAATGTTTCATTGAGAAATACGAGACTGGGGCTGGGGACAGTGGTTCACGCCTATCATCCCAGCACTTTGGGAGGCCGAGGCAAGTCGATCGCTTGAGGCCAAGAGTTCGAGACCACCCCGGCCAACATGGCGAAACCCCATCTCTACTAAAAATACAAAAATTAGTCTGGCATGGTGATGCGTGCCTGTAATCCCAGCTACTTGGGAGGCTGAGACACGAGAATCACTTGAGCCTGGGAGGCGGAGGTTGTAGTGAGCTGAGATCACGCCACTGCACTCCAGCCTGGGCAGTAGAGCTAGATTCTGTCTCAAAAAAAAAAAAAAATACTAGATTAATCTCTGTCAGGCTAAGATTAGTATTTCTTAAACTGGGTGCCCATTGGTAATATCCCTTTAGCCTATTTTAAAGTGAAAATCTCACCCCATCCTGCAAGCACACATCCTGGGTTTTCCCCCTATGACTTTCAGAAGAGTCTAGGATGGTTATCGAGACACCAGCCTACATTCTGGATTTGTCTGATTGTTTCCACATGATACCACCTTACTTGTTCCTCTGTCCCCTGTATTTCCTCTAATCTAGAAATTATGCCTAGTGCTTCAGTTGGACACAGGTCAGCTGCCTCTGGCAAGAATAATGCTGTGCCCCTTCGTCACCTTTTTGGGGAGATGTTTGTATTCAGTCTATATAGGGTCAGTACCTTCATGCTAGCCCCAGCCCTGCAGAGTAGAGTTGTCCTCAGGAAAGCTGGTGAACTGACTCCTCTCCCATAGTGGTACATGGAACTTTTTAGTGAGAAGTTCAGAGCCTGAGATACAAGTTAGAAGTACTGGCTATAATGCCTGTGTGTGTGGACAGCCGGAACCCTTAGGCAGGAAGAGGAGGCTGCCGGGGACAGAGGTGTGCCATGCTGTGCACCCTTCGAAGAGAAGGTACTCACAGGAACCTAAATAGGTTTCACGTGTATGGGTTCCTCTGTTCCATGCAGTGGGATACAGGAAAGAAAGAGCAGCCATGCAGCTGTTTTCTCACTGTGTCGGAGCACACACCACAGTCTCTTTGATGTTTGCTCATGAGATTGAAGGACACTCATGGCTTTGTCACAAGATGCCTGAGAAAGCACAGAGGTTTTTTGTTTGTTTGTGTGTTTGTTTTTGAGACAGAATCTCGCACTGTCGCCCAGGCTGGAGTGCAGTGGTGCGATCTCGGCTCAC